>NC_000004.12:145796381-146421381 GCF_000001405.40 Homo sapiens | reverse complement strand
AATGAATACTTTGGCTAGAGCTTTTCAATTGTCTTACAAATAAAGGACCACAAACACAAAAGAAAAAGGAAAAACTTTCTTAATCATTTATTCAATTATTTAGACAGTTAATATTAACCTAGTGACTACTGTATGCAAGGACCTGATACTGGAGGAGGAGTCTCTACCAAGTTTTGAGTTAGGGATACCTAACTAGGAGTACTGATAGAGATTAAATAAGATTAAATCTCTCAAATGCTTAGCAGAGTGGCCCATTAGCAAGCATTCATAAATGGTAGGTGCTACTATTATTATCGAGAGTATTTTACCCCAAAATTCTCTGTATAAGCCTTTCTCAAGACCTTTTTTGTTTTTGGAGACAGGATCTTGCTCTGTCCCCCAGGCTGGAGTACAGTGGTGCAATTATATGTCACTGCAGCCTCAACCTCCAGGGCTCAAGCAATCCTCCCACCTCAGCCTTCCTAGTAGCTGGGACTACAGGTCTGCAATGCCACACACAGCTAATTTTAAAAATTTTTGTGTAGAGACAGAATCTTGCTATGTTGCCTAGGCTGGTCTTCAACTCTCAGCCTCAAGCAATCCTCCTGCCTGAGCCCCTCAAAGTGCTGGGATTACAGGAATGAGCCACCGTGCCCAGCTGTTGAAACTTCTTATCTAGCCCCCAAATATGATATTTTCCTAAATCTCTGACCCCTAAAAAAAACAACAGCAACATTTTTAAAATTAGAAACTTTGAAATGTATGCAGAGTAGACCAAATAATATTAATAAGCCTTATGTACCTATCTCTCAGCTTCTACAGATGTCAACTCAGCCCAGTCTTTTTTCCTCTACATTTCCATCCACTTTCTTCCTCTCAGGTATTATTTTGAAGCAAACTCTGGTGATCATATAATTTCAACATGAATCCCTAATAAGTACGTTTTTTAAGCATCACTATAATGGTGGTTTTTACTTAGATACTTATACTGACCAAGTTTTTCATGAAAGCTTCTGGAATATTATATGGTAAAAAGGCCAGGAAATTCAAGAAACATAAAGAGACTGGGGACTCAAAGATCTTAAGATTAATTGTTGCGAAGCATCATGAACAAAAACCGGAAATGTAGGTGAGAAAACCATTGTGAGATAAATAAACATTTCATTTGATATGTATTAGTGATGTGGTGTCCAGAGGTAGATATAGTAGATAACTACTTTTTTTTTCATGAATGAAGAACACATGGGTGTTAAGTGAATAGACAGTCTTTTAGTTCAACCATTAATTCTCCTCTCTGTTTTGTTTTCTTCTTAACTTCCAATCTCATCCTTCCTGTGTCCCAGCCTTCAATTCTATACGGCCAGTCCTCTTCATTCTCATACATTTCTTGGTACACTTTGTAACATTACATTTTTATTATGTTCGTTAGTATTCATTATGTTAAAAAGCTCATTGTCTTATTAAAAATAATTTTAGTCCTCTGACAGTACTTAGAGACAGTAATGATTAGACATTGGGTAGATATTGAAACGAAATGGATGGTAGCTTTGTGATTTCTTTTTTTTTTTAGACGGAGTCTTGCTCTGTTACCCAGGCTAGAGTGCAGTGGCATGATCTCAGCTCACTATAACCTCTGCCTCCTGGGCTCAAGCGATTCTCGTGCCTCAGCCTCCTGAGTAGCTGGGATTGCAGGCACCCGCCACCATGCCTGGCTAATTTTTATATTGTTAGTAGAGATGGGATTTCACCATGTTGTCCAGGCTGGTCTTGAACTCCTGACCTTATGTGATCCACCAACCTCAGCCTCCCAAGGTGCTGGGATTACAGGCATGAGCCACTGTGCCTGGCCTTTAATTGTGATTTTATAGTGATTTTAATGTAAGATATTTTTCAAAATAAAAGTGTAAAATAGTTATCTAGGTAAAATTTCATTCATCAAAGGAACACATAGATCAATGTCACTGATTCCTAAAATTAAATTAGTGAAATTAAGTTAAATGTGATATTGTGAAATATGTATTTTCTGGTATAAAGCTCCTAAAATCCCTGGAATCTCCAGAATGATAAGAGTGACTTTTGTGTGCTAATTTGGCTTATTGGCCTCTAGATAGTTGCAGGATCTGGGCTGGTCACCAGAAAGACCAAGGCTTGATTAGAGGGTAGGGACTTTCAATCCCATTTCCCAACCTCCTGGGCTGAAGGTTGAGTTGATCACCAATGGCCAATGACATAATCAATCATACCTACATAATGAAGCCTCCATAAAAATCCAAAAGGACAGGGTTCAGAGCGCTTGCTGATAGCCAAATGCAAGGAGGTTCCCATTGTGCCCTGGAGAGGGCATGGAAGCTCCGTGCCCCTTCCCACATGCCTTGCCTTATGCATATCTTCCATCTGGCTCTTCATCTGTGTTCTTTGTAATATCCTTTATCATAATCTGGCAAACACAAGTGTTTTTCCTGATTTTTGTGAGCTTTAGCAAATTAATCAAACATGAGGAGGGGTTGTGGGAACCCTGATTTATAGCTGGTCAGGTAGAAGCACAAGCCACAACCTGGAGCTTGAAGTTGTCATCTGAAGTGGGGGATAGCCTTGTGGGACTGAGCCCCCACCTTTGGGATCTGACACTCTCTGCAGGTGGAGAGTGTTAGAATTGAATTGAATTAGAGCACATCCAGTTGGAGAATTGCTTGGTGTGTGGGGAAACACTCCTACACATCCGGTGTCAGAAGTGTTGTATCGAGTGGTAAGAGAGAGTAGGAAATGCACTTTGCTTTGGTTTTTCACATGTCACAGGTAAATTAAATTAAAAACGATCATAAAAAACTTTAATTCTTTTTTAAAAAAAATCTTTAGCTTTCAAAATATCTTTTCCTATTTCACTTTTGAAAATACTATAAGCAATGTAGCTTTTAGGCTAAAACAGAGATCCTATTATTCTTTTGGATGCATGGGTATCATCATTTTAATGCTAATTTGGATTATATGTATTCATGAAGAGTAAACATCAGGCTTGTTTTAGTGCCTGATTTAAGCCTGCAGCTGACTTTCACACCAGAATTGTAAACCCTAAAAACTAGAGATTTGTATCAAAAGTGGAGCTATATATGCCTAGGAATTCAGCTTTAAAACACACTCATAATTATTAGCAATGGAATCCATGCTGTTAACATTGGACAATGTTTGAATGTTTTGTGATAATTTATAAGGTTGATTACTTCAGCCTTAAGTGGAAGCTTAGGAAGAAGAGCGCAAATGCTAAATCTTTGTGACAGTCCCTGGAGCATCATTTCAGTTTGAGGCTCTGAGTTATGTGGGGTCTCAATCTCTTTTCCTCCCCTATTCTTTTCTGTGGATCATTATCATCATCATCATCATCATCATCATCATCATCATCATCTGTTCAGATATTGTCTGTTCAGAACTCACAGGTCCCCAGGGAGGAGAGAGAGGAGAGAGTCCTGTTATAAGCATGCTGGCTGCAAACCTTTCACCTTGCTGTCAAGGTGACAAATGTTTGTCCTTAAGGGAACACTAGAGGTTAAATCACCAATGTTTTTCTCACTTATCTTCTTTCCCGTAGTATCCAAGCCCTTAGCCAAATCTGTAGCTGAAAGAATCAAAGAAAATTAGGCTACTCTTAACCTTTATGGACCTTGTTCATAGTGATATGTTTTGTGCAAGCTTAAAGTCTTCACTATATTATATATTGCTGTCGAAGCAAATAGAATTTGCTAAAAGTACAGTTTATTTCAGGGCTTATTCAGAAGGAAAACATTTGGGAAAGAAGCATTTAAATTTTGAGAGTTTGGATTGGGAATTTTGTAAATACTACTGTGATAGGCAAACAATAAGTTGTTTTTACATGAGCGTGTGTTAAGGATGTATACAGCTTCACACAGAGAGACAACAAAACTTGTGTTCACCCTGGAGATGAGAGTTGCTCTGGATTTTCTCATCTCTTTTTGGCCCATTTCATTCTATTCTCCACATAGTAGTTAAAATTATCTTAAAAGATGTAAATTGATCGTGTCATTTTTCTGCTTAAAATCCTTCAATGACTTTCTTGAGATAAAAACCAACGTCTGTTATGTGGCTTAAAAGATTCTCCATGGTCTATTTCTTGCCTCCCTCTCAAGCTTCATCCTGTGCCATCTTCTTCACCAACAAGGCATCTGCCATAAGGGCATGCTTATAGTCTCTCCAGTTCGTTTATTCAACAAATAACTTTGCTGAGCCCCTACTCTATAGTGAGGCTATGAAAATGTATAAAACAGATAACACTTGTGGACCTTACATTCTAGTGAGGGAATACAACAACTAAAATGTACACTTTTACTATGTTTTATATTTATATATATATCTTATGGAGAGAACAGAAATGAAGCAGGAAAGGGATAAAACTAGAGGGGTTGCATTTTATTGAAAGGTGGTGGGTGACAGTCTCATTTATAAAAGAACATTTGAGCAGAGACTTGAAGGAGGTGAGAGAGCAAGCCATGGGGATATTTGGGGAAATGGTGTTTGTTTCATATAGAGATAACTCAAAGTACAAAGGTATTGAGGTAGGAGAATAGCCAGAACAGAAAAGGCAATGAAGATGAATTCAGATATGTAATAAGGGTCCAGATTATAAAGTTAGGACCTTGTGGGTCATTGAAAAGATTTTGGCTTTAAATCCAAATGAGATGGGAAGACATTTGTAAGTTCTGAGTTCTTTTCTAGTAGAGTATTCAGAAAGACCAGATTCTCTTTCTGAATACTCTCCTGGTAAGTAGTGCAGTTCCTTTAAAGCACCTATCAGAACTTTAAGTAATTATTGTGAAATTTTTTTTGATTCCTGTCTTCCATCACCAGGATATCACCAGGATGTAAGTTCTTGGAGAGCAAGGGCTGAGGCTCATTGATATCCTAGCAGAGTTTCTCAAATAGAGTCAGGTGAAGAAACGAATGTGTTCACGCTTTCTAGCTAGCTCAGGATTTATTCTTTTAAACAACTCTCTAAACATTTTTTTATTATATTAAATACAAATATTTTAAAGTACGTCATATACTCTCCAGTCTTTTGAAATTCTCTGTTGTTTAACCTTTTGTTGGTGACCCTATTTGGTCATTACTCTATTGACAAGCATACTAGGCATGGCTCTCATGCTAACCATGCTGACTTCTAACCCTACTGAGTTTTTGCCTCCACACTAAGTGACTGCTGTGCCACAGTGCTTTTTGAGTTAGATTGTTTTTGCTTTAATTTCTGGCATCTCCCTTGCTCTAAGCTGATCATTCTCACTCAGTCTTTCAGCCAAGTGTCTGCTCCATGCCAGACACTAGACTAGGTTCTGAACATACCTGAGAATAGGTATAGAGTATGTCTGGGAGAGCAGCCAATTTTTTAAAATTTCTCCAGACTTGGAAAGCAGTTTGTTGGAATTGGATTGAAAAAGGAATAGTTTCTGAGCAAGATAGAGGCTAGGGAGCTTTCCTCACTATTTGTACAGTGCTCTTTGTGGCTGTGTACCTAACTAATTCGCAATCTATGATATTTCAAGCTGGTTGGAATAGGATTAAAGTTGATCAAAAATAGTCATACTGCAAATAATTTTGTGGTAGATATTTTTAATATACTTGAGAAATGAACTCAAAGTATACTTTACTGATTTAATTACAGATGAACTCTGCTAATCTTGAATGAATTAATCTATTCATTAAATACTAGTGATTTCTTATATGTAAAGCATCATATAGCTTTCAAAGCACTTTTACATATATGTTCTCAAATAAGGACCACAGTTGTCCTGTGAGGCAGGTACAGTATTGCTGAGACTGAATTTCCAATGAGACTGGTTCTGGAGTCAGACTGCCTGTGTTTGTATCCCTTTATTGTGCCTCCATTCCCTGGATAAGAATATAATAGCAACTATGTCAACCTGTGGATGTTTGTAGGGATTAAATGAAGTATGTGGTGTTAAATATTAACAGAGCATGTAAAATGGTAGTAAATACTCCATAAATATTAGCAGTTATTATTTTTGCCATTTAATAGATGATGAACTTGAGATTCAGAAAGTTCAAGGGGTTTGTCCAAGCTTATCCAGCTGGTAATGAGAAGAACCACAGCCAGAATCCAGTTCCCACTATTTCTTGACAATCTACTTTCCATTATGTCATGTAGCTGAAGGAATTCCACTTTAAACCAGAGGTTAGTTCAAGTTACAGAAAGTAGTAAATGTTTCTTTCTCTTAAAAAATTCCATAATTTGAACTTTTCAGTACTGAATCCTGACTCACATTCTTTTTTTCTCATGCTAATCCACATAAATGAGATTTCCTCTTCTGTTTTTCTCTTCATAAAGTTTAGCTTTTTATTTCCTGGAAGTAGTCCGAAAATTTGAATATCCATTGAATTATTAAGCTATCCTTCTCTTTGGAAATTGCTTAATTTTTTTCTGTTGTTTTCTCAACAGTTCACTGTGTCCTATTTTCATTAGGAGTGAGAATATTAATTCTGGGACTATTAAGATTTTTAAGGAGGTTTCTGATTCCCCACCTGACCTTTGCTTTTGTTTTGCCCAGCTTCCACTGTTGAGTATTTTACTTTCAGTAATGCATAGGTTTTTATAAAAGTCATGAACAGATGTCTGTGTAAGCTCTTAAGCAGTTTTCTCAGTGAGTTTTTTTTTTTTTTAGATGGAGTCTTGCTTTTTCTCCCAGGCTGGTATGCAGTGGTATAACCTCGGCCCACTGCAACCTCCGTCTCCTGGGTTCAAGTGGTTCTCTGGCTTAGCCTCCTGAGTAGCTGGGATTACAGACATGGACCACCACACCTGGCTAATTTTTGTATTTTTGGTAGAGACAGGGTTTCACCATGTTGGCCAGGCTAGTCTCGAACTCCTGACCTCAGGTGATCCTCTCACCTCAGCTTCCCAAAGTGCTGGGATTACAGGCGTGAGCCACCGTGCCTGGCATCTAAGTGAGTTCTGAACACTAGTGAACTTCATGTTAGCCCCTGGTGGAATCTTAGAATAGGCTAGAAGGGTTGTGGAAAAGCCTTATGTTTGGTTCTGGGTTGTCGTATTTTTCAAGTGCCTACTTGGTGTCTTTTCGTGGGGGCACATGGGTGTGTTTGGATCACCTTTATTGGAGTTTTATTTAACGCTTATTTATCTAGACATCTCCTTTCGTCAGCACAATGCTGTTGTTTCCTAGTCATGTTGAGGAGGGCCCTATGTGAGCTTTCTGGGAATTTGCAGCTTCCCCAAGGCTATACCTGAGCAAGCTGTTGACTAGCCCGTGTTCTGGGTTCTGGACATTTCTACTTCACCATCCCTTTCAAGCAAGGACCCTAGTATCTGACCTCCCCATCCTCCTCTTTCATGTCTTTCTGAATTTCTCTTCCTGCAGTTCAGAAGTATAGTGAGCTTGTTCTCTGGGCCATTAAAAGTTCCCTTGGATCATATCCTGAACTTTCTCTTTCTTCATGGTCAGGATTGATATTCAGCTCTACTGGATTTGACCCTTAATCTGTAATAGGAATTTAAGGACTTTAGAAAAATCTCTTTCTCTCTCAAGGATACTGAGAATCTTTTTCAAGACTCTTTTCCCTCTAGGAACTCATCAGGTAAACCTTATATGACTCTCAAATCTGAATAACAACTTTGATGCTGTAGACCATGTTTATTTACCCTACTCTGGGTGATAGGCTTAATGGCTTAGCTTGAATGGAAAGTCTGCAAACGATAGTATTTACATTTGAATAAAAAAGCAAAAGATACTGTTTAATATTTTCATAATATTTCTGTTATAGGTTAGTTATTTAGTGAATCTTTAATTCATCCTGAGTAGTAAATTAAAACTTATTAGGAATAAGAACCTGTAGTGAAGAAGCAGCTAGAAGGTAAAATACTGAAAATAGAAAGCAGGAAAGGAGACAACAAAATGATTAAATATGAGTCTATGTTGGTAGGTCCCTTTGGTTTAGGGACATATTGCCTTACTTATCTCACTAGTATCTGAAGGTACTACAATATTATATGACAGAATGTAAAAGCATTTTAATACACAATTTTGGTTATAAGACATTAATAAATTACGTGAAACCTATTTTTAAAAAACAAGCTAAAGAAGTAAATAATGATGTGTGTTTGAATGACACACTTAAAATAATTGGAATTAAACTGTCTTAGAATCTTAAAGGTATCATCTTTGGCTATCTGAGAAAATCAGCTTATTTAGAAAATCAGCTTATGTATTATTCTACAGTGATCCTAGATAAATGAAGTTTTCCCACATATATTTTTCCATAAATATCAATTTTTAAAGGATAAATGAAGTTTTTAAAGGAATAGAGAAGTTTAGGAAGTCCTTTGGAATCTCTTCTAATTCAATCTGGTTGAAATTTTAAAAAATTTGTTTGTATAAGAAATACTTATTGAGTATTTACTGTGTGCCTGGAACTAAGCTAGACATTGGAAATGGAGTGGTGAACAGCCAGATATGATCCTTTTCCAGGTGAAATTTACATTCAAATAGAGAGGGAAACAGACAACAGATATAATAATTACATTATAATTAAGTGCTATTCAGGAAATAAGCAGAGTAAGTAAGAACAATAGATAGTTCAATTTTGTTCTAGTTCTTCTCCCCCAACTGCTCCCCATTTCTCCTCCTGTTCTAAGATAATTTTTGTATCAGAGAATTCAGCCTTTAAATGTTTTGCTTAAATCATCCATATAAAATTGTGTAACACAGATAAAGAATGTATAAATCCTTAAAAATGTATTAATCCTTTGCTTAAATCCTCCATATAAAAATGTGAGTCATTGACAGATTAGCTGAAGTCAAAAATTGGCTGATGTTTATGTTGATATACATAAAATTTTAACTTAGGTCATGGTAGGCAGGCTAAGCTAGAAGAACATCATTTTAATAACAAACTATAACAATAACAAGCTTAGTAGGCATATTTGTGTGCTTTATAAATGTTATCAGTCATTACAGTTAATGGCTTTCTTTCTTTGCACCCAAAAGAGGCACTCATTGCAGAGCAAGTAGATGTTGTTATTTCTGCTATATACAATCAATACTAATGTTTGAGGGAGGTGTATGCTATAAAGAATGACAACATTAATTAGTAACTTGTTTTAAAATTATCTATTGATAAGATAAAGGAAAATACCTTTGAGAAAGTCATGTGAATTACTCCCCATATCTTTTAGGCCAAGCAATTATATTCTATCACGTAATTTTTTTTTGGCTAGATGGACAGAGTGAAGATAAAAGACAACTGTAGAGATAACAGCGTACTTCACAGCTGACTGAAGCAGGTGTTAGAAATGCAGATGAAGTGTATTGACTAAAGACTATACAAATTCGAAGTGAAAATGCCACTGGTCTGCATGCAGTGTTCTGCACATATGAAGTTTCAGGTAGTTAAATTATTCATTTTATTGTGTGAAATAGTTGAGGAGTTAGGGAAAAGGTGCCTTTTACATTTAAACTGTTATTTCCCTTCTTCCTTTCATCTGCACTTGACAAGCAAAACGAGCTTCATTATGTAAGTTTTATTCCAGCAAATGCATGACTTACATCTCTATATTTTAAAAAGTACACCAAGAAACAGATCACCTATAGGCTTCAGTGACAGTATAAAACAAGAGAAACTAAAAATTATTTTTCTTCTTCACTTTTAATATAATGAAAACACTAAAGACGAATGTGAAAGTAGCTATTTAATCATCATTGCTATCACCCTCACCATGAATTATTTTTCAAGTGCCTATATGTACATTACTCTCCTTCAAACATTAGTATTAATTGTATACATTAGTAACACTAATACTACATTAATACTAATTGTAAACATTAGTATTAATTAGCATACACCTCCTTCAAACATTAGTATTAATTGTATGGGTTAGAAGAGTTTAAAAAATAAGCCATTCCTTCTGTCTTATAATTCAAAAGTCCTGAGTATTTTATTTAAAGACAAAACAGATATTTAAAAATATTTAATATGGAATTTTAAAGCAGAGTCTTATTTTAAGGGAAATGTCACAATTCCTGGAATTATTTCTTGTCTTATTTGGCTCATTTTGTTTTTCCATCTCATAGTCTGGCTGACTTTGCTATAGGGCACCACGGTGGTCTGTAGAGGTTGACATGAGTATAAAAATACCTGCTTTTGGGAAACTCAGATGACTTCAAGACACTTAAGGAAGTTTGACACATATTTAAAAGGAAAACAGAAGCAATCCTCATTTTAAAGGTGAAGAAGGCCGGGCAAGGTGGCTTACACCTGTAATCCCAGTACTTTGGGAGTCCAGAGCAGGTGAATCATCTGAGTCAGGAGTTCGAAACCAGCCTGGCCAAAATGGTGAAACCCCATCTTTACTAAAAAAAACAGTACAAAAATTAGCCAGGCGTGGTGGCTCATGTAATTCCAATTACTCGGGAGGTTGAGGCAGGAGAATTGCTTGAACTGGAGAGGCGGAGGTTGCAGTGAGCCGAGATCATGCCATTGCACTCCAGCCTGGGTGACAGAGCAAGACTCTGTCTCAAAATAAATACATAAATAAAGGTGAAGAAACTATGAACAAGATATGCCTTAAAAGATCTTTTAAAACAATCTTCATTAAGATTCAAGGTTATGGAACTACTGAAATTTTGACTCAATGTACAAGTGTGTAGGTTTAAAATATTTTTCTTTTGGCTCTTAGGACAAAGGGCTTCAGAATCCAACAGGCTTGGATTGTAATCCATGCTTGGATGAATGCTAGTTTATCCATCCTTGATAAACTAGGTAACTTTGGACAACTTATTAGCCTTGATCCAAATTTCTCTAAATGTAAAATGAGGATAATAATAATACCTATTCTTAGGGATCTTTGTGATATTAAATTTAAAACAGTCGGCCTGGCTCATTGTAGGAAGTCTATGTGTGTCTACTTTCCTTTTTATTAGAGCAGTAGCTTTCCTTGCCTAAAATCCTGCCTGTGCTATATTCTCATTTTAATTTAATAGGACCATTTTAAAAGCTGTAGAGCTGCATTTGAGTGTTGATATAGACTTTTTGTCAGTTTTAGTTGGCTTTGTAGTTTGAGATTTGGGGAAGAGTTTTGAGATATATTGTCTTTAATTGGCAGACTGATATAGGGAGGAAATTATTAGATTTGGGATCAGAATATCTTAGTTTATTTCCTGACTATTAATACTAATGTTAGAACTGTAGACAAATCATCTAACTTATTAGGCCTCTATGTTCTCATCTATATAGTGGAGAAAAATAATACTACCTTACCTTTCTAACCTTGTTGGATTACTGTGAGAATCAGATGATATAATGTGTGAGAGATACTTTGTGATTATTAAATGTCCTTAAAAACTAAGTAAACTATTAACATCTGCAATTTATCATTATTGAATATATCATGTGTGTCTCCTTCCCATTGGAAGGTACAATTATGCTATGAAATGTTAAGATTAATTGCTTATTTCCACAGCAAAGGATATCACTTTTTGTGATCACTTACTAGTAAATTAAGCCAAATAATTTGCTAACTCAGTTATGAAATTGATCCCATTAAAAGTAAACACATAACTATCCAACACAGCATTAATTCTACCATATACATTTATAGCTTAAAAATTTATGTAATATATAGGACAACGGCTCTATTTCTCACGTTCTTGATTAGTTACCACAGCATGGCTTAACCCAGCATAAAATAACTCTTGGTTCTTATCAGTTCACAGATGTGCTATTCCCCGATTTTAAAATTAAGGTATAATTTACATAGAGTAAAATTCATCCTTTTTTAGTATACAGTTCTGTAAGTTTTGATAATTGTTTAATATATAATGACCACTATAATCAAGATGTAGAACATTCCATCACCCCCAAAGTTTCCCTGTGCCCTTTTGTAGGCAATGCCTCTATCCCCCTCCCTCCCAGCCCTTGGCAACCACTGATCTGTTTTTTTATCCCTTTAGTTTTGCCTTTTCCAGAACACCCTATACATTGAATCATACAATATGTACTTTTTTGAGTTTGACAGTGTGGCTTTTTTTTTTTTTGATGTGCCATATTCAATAGCATTTTTTTTCTATTTGGAAGCAAAAGTGTTATTGCACTTACTTTTTAGAAGAGATTTCCAAAGTTGCATTTTTTTTGGAGTGTGCTTTTTATTTACTGAGAAACACTGGTTGATGTTTTTGACTTCTATGTTTATAGATAGCTTGAGAGTACCTAAGTATTCCCAAGCCTTTGCCTATACATACCCATTAAAAAATTTCTCCTTCTATGTTTCCTATATATTGCAAACAAAGTTAAATTACCTTTCAGAATATCTGAAATATATTTGTTCCCCCATTTTCGGTTCAGAGTTTTTGTTTTTTAATAACTATAACCCTTGAATGTGTGAATTTACTATGCCTCTTGGAATTTCCACTTAGCTGCTGGATTAACAACCAGTACTGCCATAATATGTTGAAATTTCTAGGAGGCTGAAATTCTGAGCCATGAAGAATGCAATAGAAATGATTAACATTAAAGCTGATGTCACCCCACTAAGGCTTAAAGTGGTATAGATATTAATAGATAATAAAGCATTAGATAATCTGAGAACAAGAGGGTTGATATTCCTACAAAGCTGAGAATTAAAGGATGCTTCAGAGAAAAAAAATTGACTTAAAATATTCCCTCCATTAGTGTCCACCAGTCAACTTTATATTGTTGAACATCAGGCCCAAGATCAACAATTGTCTACTTCCCATTTTCGAAGTAGTCAGTTGTTGGCCTTGAGTCTGATGTTCAACAATATAAAGTCTCAAGCTCTTTCCATCTCTCTGCTCCATTATTCTTAGCTGTTGGTATTTTTTTTGTTTTGTTTTGTTTTGTTTTGTTTTTTGAGACACAGTCTTGCTCTGTCACTCCAGGGTTCAAGCAGTTCTTGTGTCTCACCCTCCCAAGTAGCCGGGACTATAGGTGTGCACCACCACGCCCAGCTAATTTTTTGTATTTTAGTAGAGACAGAGTTTCACCATGTTGCCCCCAGGGTGGTCTCAAACTCCTGAGCTCAGGCAATCTGCCTGCCTCATCCTCCCAAAATGCTAAGATCATAGCTGTGAGCCACCGTGCCTGGCTAGCTGTTGGTCTTTTATCCTCATGCTTTGTTACTTCATGGTAGTGAGATGGCTGTTGAGGTTTTAGGCATTGTATTTTTGTTCGAGGTAGGAAGAAAGGGAAAAGGCACCGCTGATATGCTATCCTGTTATTTCTGTCCTTTTATATGTTAGAACAAGCATTTCCAGGAGGCTCTCAGCTGACTTTCCCTAATGTTGCATTGGCCAGAACTGGATTACTGCTAGCTGTAAGGAGAGGAGAGAAATTGAGTATCTATCCAAGGGAACAGAATTTGGCTTAGAAACGTGCTTCCTGACTGACGTTTTTCCCTTTATGGCACGTGTAGGAAATGATAACATTTGTTGTACATCCTGAGGGTGAACAGAATGCTTCTGCTAATCTAGGCCCAGTCCTTCTGCCCTGAGAGTTAAGGGGAATCAATATCTCGGCTATCTGTCATGTATTTGAGGCACATATTACTTGGAAATGTGACTGGTTTAGACTAACTAGACTAACAGTGAGTCATATCCTAGATTGGGCATATTGTTGTCCCAAAGAAAACAGGGTTCTGTTAACATATAAGAGGGTGGGAATGGCTATAAAGTAGGCAGTTAATAGTCTGGCACAGTAGCTGTTTGTTTAAAGATTATCTTCAATTTTAGAATATGCTGTATCTGGATTTGAATAAATACGTATTTGTTACTCTCAGAAGTCACCTTTTCCCCCTTTAATAATGAAACTTCTGGAATGTGGGGGAAATGGTTGTTCAGTGTATATAAAGTTTTAATTATCTGCTAAAGTTCTAGAAATCTTTTGTACAACATAATGCCTATGCTTGATAATACAGTATTGTGTACTTCAGAATTTGTAAAGAGCGTAGATCTCATGTTACATGTTCTTATTACAAAGAGCAACAATGGGATACAAGGAAACACTGAGAAATATTGCATGTGTCCGTTAACTTGATTGTGGTGATGGTATCATGGGTGTTTTCAATGTTCAAACTCATAAAATTGTACACATTAAATATATGCAGTTATTTGTATATCAATTATACCTCAATAAAACTGCTTAAATATTGTGAAAGAGGATTAGAGTTGGAAAGTTGACTTTTCTCAGGTATACTTTCAGCCTCACTTGCCATAGCTTGACTTCTATGTACAATGAGATATCCTGGGACTCTGAAAAGATAAAGTGAGGGGTAGGAAAGATCCCATCACTAAAATAAGTCAGGTTTATATATGAGAGACCAGAATCACACAGTAAACACTTTTTTGTTGTTGTTGTTGTTTGTTTTGTTTTTTCAGATGTAGTCTCACTCTGTTGCCCAGGCTGGAGTGCAGTGGTGTGATCTCAGCTCACTGCAACCTCCACCTCCCTGATTCAAGTGATTCTCCTGCCTCAGCCTCCCAAGTAGCTGGGATTACAGGCACCCACCACCACGCCCAGCTAATTTTTGTATTTTTAGTAGAGATGGGGTTTCACCATGTTGGCCAGCCCGGTCTCAAACTCCTGACCTTAGGTGATCCTCCCGCCTCTGCCTCCTAAAGTGCTGGGATCACAGAAGTGAGCCACTGCGCCTGGCCACGCACAATAAACTCTTAAGGAAGGATCCTAGGAACTAGGCATTGAGCAGATGGCTGGTGGTTGGCTTCTTATATGTCAAATTGGCAAGAATGTTCTGGCAAATCCTTAGGTCTCCAATATAATTAAACAGCACGCTCCATTTGAGTTGTTCATAGCAGAGTGTGGAGATCAGCTTTCAGGACATGGCAAGGCTTTCCCATGCAAAGTACCAATGAAGAGCTTATAGATGAGGACATGGAACTGTCAGTCTAATATGGTCCAAAATAAATAGATGGAGTGCCTAAGCTAAAGCAGGAGATTGGTTTATATATTAGGTATTCAGCGATAGGCTTAAAAGCAAAATTTTAAAAAACACAGAAATATAACCAAAATTGCTCTAGAGCCAAGAGTTCCTTAGCCTAGGGACCTGAGATCCCAATAATTTATAGAAACTTACATTGAAAATTCTATAAAATTCTATAATTGTATATGGATTTTCTTGGTTTTTTAATTTTGTTTGTTTTGTTTTAGAAAGAAAGGCTGTAGCTTTTATTTAATTTTCAATGATTAAGAACTGAGAATCTACTGAATGCTTAACTAACCCAGACTGGAAGTAGTTTTCCAGATCTTATAAGTTACTTTAAGAGAAGTACAGCTCCCAATTGTTCTATGATCTGATATAATCTATTTAAACAGTAATCTCTCTTTGCTATGCAAATGCTTTACAGTACTTGTCAAAAATGGCTTTATGGAAAAGATATCCTTTTTT
This sequence comes from Homo sapiens, assembly GCF_000001405.40. NCBI lineage: Eukaryota > Metazoa > Chordata > Mammalia > Primates > Hominidae > Homo > Homo sapiens. The sequence continues at coordinate 146,405,951 of NC_000004.12, read as the reverse complement.
CTCCAAAATACCTGCTAGTCTTGGATCCACAAATTCAGTTTTTCTCTTGAAGAATATAAAATACATTCTATGGGATGAGCAAAATTAGGCATCATCTTGTAAGTGGTATTGCAAGGGAGCCAAAAAAAAAAAACTCTTCCTTCTGCCTCCAAGATTATATAGCATTAAGAGTTAGTTAAAATAATTAAATGCTTAATTATTTGCTAGGCCTTCCAGAATTTGAATATCCAAGGTATTTGTACATCTACCCAGTTAGACTTTTAATCATAACAAAATTTTATATATGGTAGACAGGCAGATAGATAGATAAAAAAGAATGAGTTTTTCTCAATTATAAAACAATTCTCAGTTCTTCATTGCCTTCATAGTTACTCCTGTCCTTTAGATGTGTGTGTTTAAATAATTTTTTCTTCATGGATGAAGCTGACAGCATTTTCCAAATTGATTTTCTATCTGTAATATTCTAACTGTATTTCAAACCTCATTAAAGCCCTTTTCATCATTTCTCTGACTTCATTAGTTATGGCAGCATCTCAAAATCTGGTTTTCTCAGTAAATTTCATTATTGTGGTGCCAATTTATTATAAAATGATCAGAGAAGTAGGAGGGAGTGAGGAGGAATTGACATATAAGGACAAAGTGAAAGATTAGGACTCTTTGGCCTAGAAAGTAAAAATCTATCAAATCATGAATGGTATGGATAAGATGAATATGGACCAAGATGGTAGATCTGGAAAATAGAAAGTTGAAGGGGCATTCTGGAAACTTTCTTAAAATATAAGTAAAGCCACTAAACAGAGGCAAAAAACTGATTTTAAAAGGCTTTGGGTGAATTTATTTCATAACCAGTGAAAGACTAAACTATAGTAAATCTTCCTGTAAACTGAGCAGATCCTAATTGATTTTAAGTATTATTCTGATAAACATGATTTCTTGTTTTTTATCATGTTCTCCAGGTCACTCGTTAGTAACAGAATTTTGCACTGGTTAGGCGAGATGGGACCTGACCTAGAAAGATAATTCCTATGCTCTTTTCACATGAAATGTACAAACAAAACTGTCAATAACAAAAACCACTGCAATGTATATCAGTAAAGACTTCATCTTTAGTTTATTTTTACAGTGAAATATCAGGGAAGTGCTTTTATATCCAAAGTTCACGTAACAAAGACGCAACACATAAGCCAGGTGCGGTGGCTCACACCTGTAACCCCAGCACTTTGGGAGGCCAAGGCAGGAGGATTGCTTGAGGCCAGGAGTTCAAGACCAGCCTGAGTAACATAGCAGGGCCTGTCTCTACCAAAAGTAAAGAATTTTTTTAAAAAGAAGCAATATATAGGTGAGGATGTTTTTATCTTTAATATATAAACAACTTTTACAGATCAAATAGAAACATATATACCCATAGAAAAATGAACAAAGATCTTAAACCAGTCACACACACACACACACACACACACACACACACACACACATAAATGAGCAGCAAACCTATGAAAAGATGTACAACTGTACCAGTAATCATATCAGTGCAAATAAAAATATTTTCCATCTATAAAATTAGCAAAGTTCAACAAGAGTCACAAGACCTGTTGTTGGCAAGAATGGAAAGACATACAGATTCATACTGTTGGTCAAGCATGGTGGCTCAGGCCTGTAATCTCAGCACTTTGGGCGGCCGAGGCAATTGGATTGCTGGAGTCCAGGAGTTTGAGACCAGCCTAGGAAACCCAGGGAGACCCCGTCTTTACAAAAAAATTAAAAACAAAATTAGCCAGGTATAGTGGTGCTCTCGTCACCCCAGTTAGTCAGGAGGCTGAGGTGGGAGGATCACTTGAGCCCGGGTGGTGGAGGCATGCCACTGCACTCTAGCCTGGGAGACATAGCAAGATCATGTCTTAAAACAAAAACAAAAACAAAAGCACACTGTTGGTAGGTGTGTGAATAGGGATAGTCTTTCTATTTGGTAATTTAGCAATATGGATAAAAATTGAAAACATTTAGAATAACAATAGCAATAATAGTAACATCTATCAAAGCCATCATGGACTTGGTACTCTGCTGCACACTTTGCATGTACTGTATTCTTTCCTCACAATAGCTATTCTTACTCCTATATTAGAATTGTGAAAACTAGGACTCAAAGAGTTTGGATTTTCTTCCCCCTTAATAGCTATAATAACAGCTATTAAGTGGCAAAGTCAAGATTTAAACTTAACGTCTTAATAACTCCAGATTTCACAATGATAACTGCTTTGCTGTTCAGCTTGCTCTTTTTGGATCAGTTCCATTTTTAGGAATTTATGTCAAAAAGACAATTATCAAGCGCCCAAATTGCACATATAAGCATGTGATAGGCTGTCATAGTTAGGTGTGAAGTATACATGCAGGTATATGAAATGTAGCCTTGGGTAGTTAGCTGGAACTGAGACCACTCAATAAACCTGGGAACCTGAAAGGTGTCCTCTCACGGAAAGCACTACTAGAAAAACTCTAATCATTGGCCAAGATAAGCAAAGTGTCTTCTTAGTCTGGGACTTTCAGTGGGAGAAAATAAGTTTCCTGGGGGAAAAATGGAAACTCCATGACTGTGCTATAGGTGGTTATGGAGTATGGATTTATACTGTTTTCATCAGATTAGAAACTCAAGTCCAGAAATTAATGTTAAAACTAGTTCCAGACAAGAGTTCCAGAAAGAAAATGGCTGAGACGTTTTCAGAATTACTACAACATGAATTTTGCAGGTCCCAAGCAGGGTAAGTTTAACTAAATCTGCACCTGTATATATCATAGTAAAACTTCAATATAACAAAGACTACTACAATAACTACTACTAGCAGTAATAACAAACAGATAGTGGATTCTTTGTGGCAGGTACTCTTCTAAGCACTTTATATATACCAACTCATATATTTATAGACATTAACTCATTATTATTCTCATTTTCCTGAAGAGAAAAGGCACAGAAAAGTTAGAAAATTTTTGCAAGACTACACTGCTAGTCTGTGGTCAAGCTGGGATTTGAATTCAGACAATCTGGCTCTTGAAGCTGTGCTCTTAACCACTACATACACTGTTCAAAGAGAAAATCTTCAGGTGAAACAGAGAGAAAAGACAACTTTCTAAAAAACAACAACAGCATAAACAACAATTAGTGTGACAGCTGGCTTCTCTAAAGCAGTAATAGAGGCCCCCCAAAATGGAATGTCTTCAAGGCGAAATGGAGTTAGAAAACAATTGCTAGCCTATATTATTCCCAAGTAGACCATCATTCAAGAATGAGGGTGAGCTCTTCTGCTACTTATTCCTGTCCCCCTGCCCCCTTTTTTCCCCTTTCCTCTTCTGTTTTTTAAAACATGTTTTTGGTTTCCTTCCCTCCCCTTGAGGCAGCCAGGGTTGGAGTGGCCTGTGGGGTCAGGGCTGAGGAAGCAGTTAGGACCAAGCGGGTGTGTTGGGCCCAGGAGGCGGTCAGGGCTGAAGAGGTGACTGGGATGAAGTCTCAGGAGGTGGGTAAGAGTAAGGAGGCAGTTGGGGCTGATAGGGCCAGTAGATTGGTTACATGCAGGAGGTATGAGGAAATAAGGGTAATGGGAGCCTGACTTCTCTCTGTTGAAGAAGGGAGTTATGAATATGGAAAGGGAGAAGACTAGCATACATCCTGTGGTGCTGACTGAAATTAGAGGTATCAGTATTGCCTGATGTTTTAAAAATACATGTAGATAGATAGATATAAAATAGATATAACAGATATTGGTATGTGTGTATACACATATGTATCTTTCCTACCAGTGTCCACTGAAAGAGCCTAAAATCAGTTTCACTCCAGTAGCAATAAGTGTACCTAGCATGCTGGATCTTGGTTTCTAGATGCTATTCTCCACCAATGGGGTATCATGTCTGCAACTCACTCTCAATTAGGTATGAAGATAATAATTGAGTGTCTATATGTGTACATTTTTTGTAGTGGTGGTATAGATGTAAATTTTTATTCCATTTGAAACAGATTTAATACCTAATTATCATCTTTAATCTGGGTTTTAAAAATATAAAGTTTATTTTGATCTAATTATTAGCTTAGATGACCTATGAAAACTGAACAAAAAATACTGATTCAAAGCACCCCAAAGTACAAGTTACACTTCTATATTATTTGACTTACTATTTTCCATGTTATTTCTTCTCGATTTAATATATTTCAAGCATATGGAATCCACAGTGTTTTATAATGGGAAGATAGTGGTATTTCGAATCACACAGTCTGTGCTGCTCTGTGAATTTGGGCAAGACTCTTATCTCTTTTTGTTCACTGTTTCCTCATCCACAGGCAACTCAGGATTGTTCAGCAACCAACCTGAAAAAAAACATGAAAAACCTAGGCAGAGTTACTGGCGTGTAAGAGGCATGCAATAAGTGTTGCTTTCCCTCATTTTGTTCTTTCTTTATTCCGTCTCTCACCAGTGTGGTTATGCAGGTCTCCTGGGCATTGGGAAATACAAAGCTTAGTAATAAGGAACCATAGTAAGAGGGCTGTGTGTTTGCCCCTTTGTTCATATCTGGCCTCTCCTTTTGTATTTCATTTTTGCCTTCATTTCTGTAATTAAGTCATCCATCATCATCCAGAAGATGAACCAAGTCAGATAGTAACCATAATTTGGGGAGGACAGTGGGTATAGGAGGATTGTGAAGCACTAAGGGTTACTAAGGGATCAGCAGCCAGTGTAAATCAGGAGATTAGAATAGAGAAGGTCTTTCCAACCAGAAGATTTTATCGCCTGCCGTCAGAGTAGCTTATGATCTCTCAGAAAAATACTGATTGATCATTGCTGAATGACTTCAGCTGATGCTCCTCTCTGATTCCTTACTCAGCTAGCAAATTTTAGCTGTTCTGAATCTTGGGGTCATCCAGTGTTTGCAGTTTCTTTTCTTTCATTGATATCTTCATTTTTTACTTTGTTACTTTGGGAGTATTTTTCTTGTTGCTAATTTTCTTTACACTTTTATATGTAAGTAGATATTCATTCCCTAAATGTCAACATACATTTTATGCAATTTTTAGTGCATGCAGACTCACTTCTGTTTATTTTGTATTCTTCTTTTCATGTCTGCAAGACCAGAAAATTTGTTCTTTAAGTAAACAATGTATCTGTAGGGAAGGTAGAAACCCTTATCGACACACTATTCATTCACGTCTGTCATCAAATGGTGAGTATGTTCAGAAGGACCTGGAGCTTAGCCTACTTTTTTGGTTCCTTGGAACCAAAAAAACTTGTGGAAAAATTCCACAAGTCTCAGATGAAGGTTCTGCTCCCTAGCAAGAGCTCAAGTGCTGAAATTCAGAGCCCATATCCTTAGTTCTATTCTAATTACTACCACAGTGCCTCACATCTAGTAGATGTTCAGAAAACGTTTCGATAAGTCACTCAGTAAGTAATTCGAGATCCTGCTTTTCATCCTAGGTATTTGTACTAAAGCCTAGAAACCAGAATAGGATGACTGTGAACCTCTACTGGATCGTGCTCTTATAACACCGCCCGAGTACCCCTTTAGCCACTGCCCTATTTTATGCTCTTCTTTCAAGCAAAATTTGAAACAAGTGTTCCAATTTCTACTTTTAACAGTGCCAATCCCACCCCATACCCAATTTAATTAAGCCTCCCTAGCATTCTACTCAGCCTTTAGGCTCTACCCTTGTCAAGGTCACCAGTGACCTCCATCTTCCAAATCCAGTGGTGATTTTTCTGTCCTCATCTTACAAAAACACTTGGCAGTAGTAGACAATATTGATCACTTGCTGCTTGTAACATGTTTCTCTTTTCATTTCCATGATACCTCTTTCTCCTGGGGTTTTTGTCTACTTCACTGACTGCTCCCCTTCTCAATTCCCTACATAGGTTCTGTAACCTCTAAATGTTAGAGGGTCTCAGGCCTGGCTGTGGGTCCTGGCCTTTACTCTGTCTACAGTATCTTCCCAGGAAAATTTATCCAATCATCCAACCCTGTGGTTTGATGTAACATCAAAATGCTTGTTCTGTGCCAATTGATATCTTCAACACTGATTTTTTTCTTAAATGCTGGACTCATACATCAAAATGCCTACGTTATGTTCCATCCTAGATATCTAAAAAGTATTTCAAGCTTACTGTGCGCAAAGTAGAAGTCTTGATCTCACCATCCTTAAACTGCTTCTTTCTCTATATTTCTTAATTCAGTGAATGCCTCTCCCCGTTACGTGGTCTTAAAAATGTTCCTTGATTTCTCTCTTTCCATTGTCTTCCCCTCCCCGTATCTGATTTATCAGAAAATGCTATCGGATCTATTTTCAAACTGTATCTTGAGTTTATCAACTTCTCTTCATCTTCACTATGACTATTCAAATTCAAGATGCCATTAACTCATTTTGCCTCTTGTGCTGTAATTATGCCTGTTGTGCTGTAATTATTCCCTAATTGGTCCACCTCCTTCTACTCTAATCCCCCTGAAATTTTGACTCCACACATTGGCTGTAGTAATCTTTAAATAATATAAACGTTTACATTGTATTCCCATACTCTCTCCCAACTCTTTCTTGGTGTTAAAAACCTTTCTTAACTTCCTATTGCCCTTAGGTTAAAATCTACACTCCTTATCCCAACCAGTAAGCCCTGTTATCTAGCTCGCCCTTCCTCTGTGGCTCCACCTTATGCTACACCCTCCACAGTCAGCTCACCACAGCAGCAAAGACTTTCTCCCCTCAAGCATTTCAAGCCTGTTTTCTCCTCAGAACCTTTGAACTAGCCACCCCCTGTGTCTAGAACACTCTTTCCTCCGATCTTCACTAGATTTGCTCCTCTTGTCACTCCAGTGTCAGCTCAAATGACAGCTCTACAGTGGCCTTCCCTGAATACCGCCCTAGTGCTTTCTATCACATTACCCTGTTTATTCTCTTATCAGCTAGGTTACCACTATTAAAAGTTAATCTTGTTAATTTCCCCATTGCCTGTCAATCTCCACTAGAGAGTCGGGTCCTTGTCTGCCTTTTTCACTCCCGTTCTCCTGCTGCTTACACAGTGCCTGGCACCTAGTATGTGCTAAATATCTGTAGAATAAATGAACCATTTTTCTAGGATTCAGCTAGAGCAAAAACCCTGGGACTTTGGGAGTCTTACCAGTCACTGGTCTGTGATACCTAGTCACATGCAGAGTTTCTCTTTTCCCACTTTGGCTATTTTTTCTCTCCATTCTTTTCTCCTTTTTCAGGATGTACTTGTTGTTTGTTTCTGCCTCTCAAAGCCTTTACAAAGCCACATTTTATTCTTGTCTTTTGACATCACCCACAGATTCTTTTCTGAAGAATAGTAATTCCAGCATGCTGTGGTCCATAAATCTGTTTCTTATTATGTCAAATTAGAGGACTTCCTGATCACTGGTCCTAGGCTTGTCTACTTTTCTTATAACAAATATTCCACGGTTTGGTAAGAAGTTGATGGAATATAGATTCTCCTTTGGTGTTTCTGCTTTTCTTGATCTTAATTTTTCTTCTCTGACTTCTTTTGTGATGAAGAATCTTTTTGATACTACTTCTCTAACTATATCTTTAACCAGAAAGTTAACTAAATATTTAAGCTATAATGGATGCCACACATTCATTTTCTGTGTATGTATAAATGTGTGTATATACGAGTGTATGTAATTATTAACTTTTTTACATGGCTCTTCCTTATATCCTAATTGATACTTTATTGCCAAAATAAATGTCAAATTGTAGGATACTGACTCATGTAAAAAGATTTATCTATTTTTTAGTACACAACAGAATATTTTTCCCTATTCATACAGTCATTCACATGCATATCCACATATTTTCAGAAATGTCAAGACGCTCCTAAGAGTTATTGTGTTCTGATTACATGATGTTGCAGAAAATTCCAATGCTACGTCAATAAATCTTTGGACACTTGTGACATTATATATACCTGGGCTGCCTGAAGAGCGAACTTTGCTTTACAACTTCATGTCTTAAACTTCTGGTCCTCAGAGTCTCTGCCCAAAATGAACAACTTCGTTTGTTATTGCTTTATCCAGTTTTTCTTTCAGCTTTAGTTTCCACTCTTGTTTTGTATTGTTAAATCATACCCCAGAGAATTCCTAAAGGTGTTTCCTCTGCTCTCCTGTTTTGAAGCCACGTTAAATTTACTGACTGTACAAGGACTACTTGGGCATCCTGTTGCAGTTCTTTATTTATTGGCTCTTGAACAACTTGCAGACTTAATGTTTCAACACTGCTTCAGTGTGAGTGGACTAGCCATAATGAAGGAATTGTGTGTGGATGATCTCACTCTGCAATTTAAAGTTCACGAGTGACATTAATTAGAAGTCCCATTAAACAGGATATGAAGGAAAGCTTCAAGCTCCCCAACTGCTAAAAATCCTATGCAAACTATCCCTCGTGCAGACCAGAACATAGTTATGGTTTCTTCAAGCTCAAGGATTTTGTCTCCACAGCACAAATGAGAAAGGTTACCAGTGATCAATTATATACATTATTGGGGATGTGTTTCTAAAGCAGAACTATTTTATCCTGAAATTCCTGGATAATTTTGGTGTTGTTTGAGTTGTTAAGTTGGAAGAAATACCCAGATGTCTGAAAACTTTTCTGACATTATTTTAGTTGACATATAGTGTGCAAGTGGCCCTGCTTTAAAATGAGCGTTATTTAATACACAGTAAACCATCTTTTAGTTCTTACATCGGTCTTAACTTTATTAAAGTCAAAAGTAATGTTTGGGGAGAGTAAAATCGTAAATATCATAAATATGATTCATAAATACTTTAAAAAAACAACAGAATTCCTAGTTGAATAGAAATTCCACTTAGAATTGTAGTTTATCTTTGAAAGAAAAACTTCTGGGATTGAGGGTAAACTGGTTTTAGAAAAGAAATCAAATGTTATGGAATTTGAAAATCTAATTTGGCATATATTAGATTAATGGCCTGTAAAAGCCGAAAGTCTGAATTCAGTTAACAGAGTGTTTGACTTAATTCTCTTCTTTCTTTTTCTCCTTTTCCTTTTGTTATTTGTGTTTAAATCTTGGTGACTTTTCTTTGTATGGGTTTAAACATATTGTACTGAATTTCTAAAGGGGCTGGTCCCTCAATGCTTTTTTTTTTCAGTGATTTTAAAGGAAGTAGTGGTCCGGAATTTGTGTGTATGTGCAATTACTCTTTTTCTGAATATATATAATCCCACAATTTTACCAAAGTACATATTTTTTTGCTTGCAAATAAGCATGGATTTAAAAATTTGGTACATAAAGAGTAAGGTTGGTAAGGCCTTTTCATGTATTTGTATCCTAATATGTTTTTATTTTTAAAAAATGTGCTGCAACTGATTGAACTAAATTTGATTTTGACTTGTTCCACACAACTGTAATTCCTTCAAAAACATGTCAATATGCAGTATATTTAAGGTGATGTCAGCAACAATTCCTTCTTTATTTAGGGTAATGTAATCTAAAACTATCAACCTTTTCTACTTTCATGAGCTTTTGACTTTCATACCATAATGTAAAAAATAATTTATTTGATTTAAAGCTTTTGGTAAAATATCCATCACTTGAAGGAAAATTTTTATTTAGATATTCTCTTTCCACTAAAATAGACTTTTCTATGAGTATCTGTGTTTCTTTCCATGTTGCAAGCCCTTTGAATTACTTTGGTTTAATTAGTTATTCCTTTATTTAAAAGTTAACATAATGGTCCCATTTTGTAGTCAAAGACTTGAACCAAGCAGGGTGATTCAGTTAGGGAACAAAATGTCAAATGATACCAGAATCTAGTTACCTTATCAATCCTCTTCAGATAGACATGATTAAGCAACCTTTTATATAATATGTCTGAGCCAGAGAGAAGAAATAATTAATATTGGAAGGATGTGGGAGAAAAACCTCGTAGATTGTCGTATAATGAGAGCAATCCATGATACATACATTTAAAGAAAGAAGAATGATCAGTGTCTCAAATTCAAAGGCTAACTTGGCTTACTTTTATGAGGACATCTCATTGATTTTCATGTATGCTAAGTTCTATAGAGTTCAAACTGAACAAAGAAAAACAAATGACATGTATGGTTGAATACAAGTACTATGTACAGAGGTGACTTGGGGGATAGAAAATATATTGAAATATTGAACAAACAAAGTAGTAACACTCCTCTAGCAAGACATTCATGCTGTGTAATTGTGTAATATATATATATATACTCGTTTTGGTTTTCATTGACGTTATTACATATTAATACTAAAAAGCATGTCCGATGTTAGTGTATGTTGGGAGCAAATATATGTGTCAGCACCTGACTCCAGTTCACTCACAAGCAGCCATGTCATTTATTTGTGCAGTAAATTGTTCTATCTATTAGGTGCACCAATATGAAAAGTGCTGGGGAAGGAATGGTTACAAAAAATATTCAGATGTAAAATCTGCCTGAATGAACTTCTGCTTTAAAAAGGAAGCCATGTACACATAAATCTATGAAATACAAGATAGTAGCAACTGTGTGGGGGTTTTATTTGTTTGTTTCTTTTGAGACAGTGTTTTGCTCTGTTACCTAGAATGTAGTGCAGTGGCATGATCACGGCACACTGCAGCCTCGAACTTCTGGGCCCAAAGCAATCCTCCTGCCTCAGCTTTTTGAACAGCTGGGACTATGTTCTGGCACTATGTTAGCCACATTGCCTGGCTAAGTTAAATTTTTTTTTTCTTTTTTTGTAGAGTTGGGGGTCTTGCTATATTGCTGAGGCTGGTCTCAAACTCCTGTTCTCAGGCAGTCCTCCAGCCTCCACCTCCAAAGGTGCTGGGATTATAGGCATAAGCTACTGTGCCCAGCCAAAACTGCATTTTAATAGAGAAGCATGTAATAGCAGGAGAGGTGACATGGAAACATGGAGTGAGAGTTCAGAGGAGAAAACGGAGAATATCAAGGAAGGCTTTATGGAAGAAGTAGAAATGTTGTTTGGAGAACAATATTCCCTTTTAATGTTTCTTGTAGCTGAACAAAGGTCATGTATTTCTAAAAAGGCATGAGTTTTTAGGAATAGAAATTATTCAATTTATACCATATGAATAAGAATATGGAGAAATGTGATCCCATGGGTGAGAAAAAGGACTCAGAAGAAAGATATACTTGAATCTTTTCCAATGTCTTCCATATTTTCATTTGTTTATGTGGTTCATGTTTATTGTGTGTGTACATGTTTGGACTCTGTTTGCTCCCTAAATCAGTATACAGTATTGCTTGAAGATAAAAGTGTGGGGCTGGGCACGGTGGTTCAGGTTTGTAATCCTAGCACTTTGGGAGGCCGAGGCGGATGAATTGCCTGAGCTCAGGAGTTCGAGAACAGCCTGGGCAACATGGCAAAACCCCATCTCTACTAAAATACAAAAATTAGCCGGGTGTAATGGTGTGCTCTTGTAGTAGTCCCAGCTCCTCAGGAGGCTGAGGCATGAGAATTGCTTGAACTCAGGAGGCTGAGGTTGCAGTGAGCCAAGATTGCGCCACTGCACTACAGCCTGGGCAACAGAGCTGTACTCCCTTGAAAATCTTTTCATGGCAAGCTCATCATACCTTGGCCATTTCTTTGTTGTAGAAAGGAAAAATAAGAAACAATACCTATTGATTTTGTTATTTAGTCACAGCACTGGTAGATAAAAGATTTAATGAGGTAGGATGTTGAAATAAAGACTTAAATCAGGTTTTTATTTATGTTATAACCATGGATTATGAGAATTCGAAATCTAGGGCTGACCTTGACCAGTCCCCAGAGTCGGTGATATTGGCCTTACATATCAAGTTCAAGAAAACTTCCAATTGTGCTGATTAGATTTCCTGAAATAATACAGAATAATACTGACTCTGTTTAGATTCCCATATTTTAGCTATATTCATTGAAGTGGATATTCTATGGGTCTTTGAAACAATTTTACCTTAATTATACATAATTTTTAAATGAGATTTTAAATGTGTTTGTACTTTGAAATTGAAGTCAGGAGCTATCAGGCCTACTCTGAATGCTATAGAGCACTGAATTTTCAAAAGGTTCCCAGAATAATTGCTCTTATTGGTAGGTGCCTGTATATTCCCTTCCCCTAAAGACTAGTTTCATACATTTTATATTCAGATTATATTTACTATGGATTTTGATGGAACTTCATACAGTATTTGGTAATAATTTATCCCAATTTCAACTTTCCAAATTCACTGCTTGAGTTGGATAGGTAGCAATGTATCTTGAACTCTTTTAAGGTAGCCTTTCTTTCCTCTGTGTTTTATAGAAATTACTCAGTATGCCATGCACTCATTCATTCAAGAAGAAACATTTGTTCATTTATTTGTTCCCAGTGCCAGCACAATGTCTATTCCATAGTGAACAGGGTACTTTCTGTCTTTATGGAGGTTACATTCTAGTGTGGAAAGAAAACATTAAGCTACTGATTATGTCAAAGTTGTTAACCAGAGTGTAAAGTATAAAGAGATAATGTAGTAGAAGGACTACCTCAGTGAATTCCACCTCCACCATTTACAAGCTCTGTGATCTTGTACATATTTCTTAATCTTTCTAGGACTCATTTTCACATCTGTAAATGGAGATAATGCTAATAAGCTCATGGGGTTGTTATAAAAGCTAAATTTTAAAAATGCATGTAAAGAATGGAGCATAATGCCTAACACACAGAAACACTTAGTAGCAATTGACTTTTTTTTTTTTTTTTTTTTTTTTTTTTTGAGACAGGGCCTTGCTCTGTCATCCAGGCTGGAGTGTGGTGGCATGATCACAGCTCACTGCAACCGCTACCTCCTGTGCTCAGGTGACCATTCCACCTCAGCCACCCACCACCCTGCAATAGCTGGGACACAATTGACTTTTAAGCTGAGACCTGAACAATGGAATTTCCTAAGTGGAGAACATTTATTAAGAGAGAACACCATGATCAAGGGCCTTGAGGCAGGATTGCCCATGTTGTTTTTAAGGAACTAAAAGAAAGCCATTGTGCCATGAGCTCAGAAAATGGAGAGGAGAATTGCTTGAGATGAGGCTGAGGTAGTCAGTGGTAGCAAGGTCATGCAGTGTCTTGTGGGTTTTGTTAAGGAGGTATCAGGGCTTTACTCTAAGGGCAATAGGAAGAATTTTCACAAGAGAATGATGCTATTCAATTTGAGTTTTAGAAAGATTATTCTGGCTTTAGTATTAAGAATTGTTCAAAATCTTTCACCAGGCATTGAGGGGTCTGGCTCATCTCTTAAGGGACCTTTGGGGAAAAATATTGGTGGATATTTTTGCTATTGTCATCTTCATAGGTGATGAGCCCTGGGACAACAATGAGTGACATAATTGGCATTGCCAATTTTTTGTTTTTCAGTAAATCTGAAGGTCATAGGTATGTGAGTATGAGTGAGTGTGTGTGTGTATTCATCTTTGCACACATATATAAACATAAAAATATATACATGCACATATATAGACCCACACATATATACACATACATATATATCTCCCACTAGAGAGACAGCCAAGGTGTTTTTCTCTCTTTTCTGCCTCTGACCATTCAATCTCAATGTTTTTTAAATTATGGCACATAGGTTTAAGAGATAAGGGAGATAGAATATATTTACCAATCCTTTTAGTCTGTATGGTATAATGACATATTATCATGGTTACCCTTCATGTGAGAATGGGAACATATTATGTTATGCATAATGACTTTATAATATAGATTCACGAATTTCAGAAATTATAGAGATACAACAGAGTCCTGTGTTCTTTTGCATGTCATGATGAATGCAGCAGTTGTATGTATATACAAGAATAGATCATACTGAGCATCCCCTGAGCTCCGTTTGCAGACAAGTCGTATCTCCACCATGACAAAATTCCCACAAGATTTTGAATTATTAATGTCTTGGAATCTGCGGGTTTCAGCAGATATGTTCAGTGTTATTGATGGCAAACTTTATCTCTTTTATTCCTGAGACGCATAATGAAATAGGGAGTTCCTCAAATAACCACAGTTACTGTTTAGGGTAATTTTGTAGGGGCCAGTGGGCTTTTGCCTTAATGTGTATGAATATAATTTTTCTCTCTCACAGCAGAATGTATGGAAGATAGAGGGAGAATGAATTGGCACTAATTTATGAACCTCCAGCCTTCTCAGTGCAGTATACCTTGTGAGGGCAAGATGCTCTAATTGCACCTACTTCACATAATGAGAGCTTTTAATGACAATTACTGATTAGAGTTAGGGATGTATGGGGACTTTAGAGAAGATGTATTGACCTTGAGAAGACAAGACTTCATCTGCCTTTTATACACCTCTGTCCCTAACAATTGACCAGCGGCTCAATGAAATCCAGCTCTACAGACTTGCACCAAATATTTGAGCAGATTTTAAAACTGAGGGGCTGAGGTACACTTTATTTCTCAACTCAAATTATGTCAGACAGTTCAAGAATTCTGTTTGCTTTTAGCAGTGTTTTTACTTTACGCTTTTTCTTCCTTGGTGATGGTCACACAGACTGTTTTTCTGTTTGGTAACAACAATAACCCATAGTTCAGACTGCTCTTTTTAGAGACATTGATTTGCACCATCACAAATGGAGACCTGACATTGTTTTCCTCTTAACACATTTGCAGTGTTCACATTTGGAAGGCCAATATTTAAAAACTGGTATATTTTATATAATATGTATATGAGAACTGTAAGAAAGATGAACAAATTAAAGAAAATTGCTGATTGTTTTATTAAGGGCAAGAGTTTATATGGTCTACATGTCCTTTTTTGAGCAAAGCAGTTTTTTTAATAAGTCAAGATGACATTTTATGTGCATGTCATCTTTTTATGAACATTTAGACATTTTAATTACACAACACACACACATTTAACTAGCAAGATGATAGTGTCCTTTCCAGCTTCACTATCTAGCTCTCTCCTTAATGAAAACAGATCAAAGTTAATTTGTTTTTCCCTTTCAAGTTGCTCTGAGCGTTAGTTTCTTCTAAAACCCCTCTTGCTTCCGTATTTCCCACCTTTACAACCATTTTTTTTTTGTTTTAACTTTTCTGTATGTCTGGAAAATCTGATTTTAGAATTAAAAGCAAGAAGTACTTACAATGCAGGCAAGTTTAAACCCAGTAGACTTAAATAATTCACAATTAATATAACTGGTAAAGCAGGAGGGGAAAATTGCTCGTGTTTTCCTAGCTCCCCCTGCTCTGAATTTTCCCAGTCCTAGGATTCTGATTGAAATAACCATATTTTATTATTATTTTATTTCATTTTCTTTGAGACAGGGTCTTGCTTTGTCACCCAGACTGGAGTGCAGTGGCTTAAACATGGTTCACTGCAGTCTTGACCTGCTGGCCCAAGGCTCAAGTGATCCTCCTGCCTCAGCCCTGCAGGTAGCTGGGACTACAGGTGTGCACCTCCACACCCGGCTAATTTTTTGTATTTTTTGTAGAGATACGGTTTCTCCATGTTGCTTAGCTTGGTCTTGAACTCCTGAGCTCAAGCAGTCTGACCGCCTTGGCCTCCCAAAGTGCTGGGATTACAGGTGTGAGCCACTGTACCCAGCCTAAATAGCTATCTTTTACATATTCTGTATCCTCCTTCAAAACTGCCCCATGCCTAATGTTAAGCCTTTAATAACTATTAGCTTTACAGTACTACAATCTGTCACTGAAACCATAAAACATGATGGCCTTCTGTCAATTTCAATATAGTTTCTTGTGAACAGGTTTACTTACAACTAAAGAGCTCGTTGTCTGATTATTCTGTGTAAGATATAAAATATTAGTGAAAATAGTTTTTCAAATAGCAGAATCTAGATGTCTTCAACAAATTTTACTATTAAAAGGTTAAAATCACACCCTCACACCTTAGTGATGTTATGTACTATTATAATTGTCATTGTAACTCCTAAAAATATGTTTTTTGAGATTCCATAGGTTGCATTCAGCTAACATTTATTGAGCATCTATTAAGCTAGGCAACTGTGCTAAGTGATTTGGCATCCATTATTTCACAAATTCTAACAACAGCCCCAGGGAGGAATGGTCATCTGCATTTTATAGCTAAGAACTCTGAGAATCATAGGGGCTAGTTAAGTGATTTGCCCAAGGTTTCATAGCCAGAAGGCCAAACCGAAAGTTCTTCTAATTCCAAGTCTGAGATTCATATCTATCTAACAGCCATTCCCCCTCCCTGCCCTGTTACATTAGAAGCTGATAAACCAACCCTGGTCATAAAGACACTATGTTGTGCTAAGGAGAATGAAGTTCTCTCTGGGAATGTTGGTCTACTACTTGTCTTGGCACTACTTATAGCTTTTGAAAGAGTTAATAGATCTCATTAAGTGTATGTTTGTTTTAGTTGGTTCAGGCTGCTGTAACGAATTACCATAGACTCCATGGCTTTAACAAAAACATTTATTTCTTGACAGTCTGGAGCTGCAAATCCAAGATCTGGTTGTCAGCATATAAAGATGGTTGGATTCTGATGAAAGCTTTCTTCCAGGTTGCAGACAACTGACTTTTCCCTGTGTCTCCACATGGCAGAGACCAAGCTAGCTAGCTCTCTGGCCTCTTTTAATGTTTTTTTTTTTTATTTTTGTAGACTTAGGGGACACAAATGGAGTTTTGTTACATGGATATATTGCATAGTGGTGAGGTCTGGGTTTTAGTGTACCTGTTGCCCAAATAGTGAATATTATACCCAATGGGTAAATTTTCAACCCTCACCCTCCTTCCACTCTTCTACCTTTTGGAGTCTCCCATGTCCATTGTTCCACTCTGTGTCCATTGTTTAGCTCCCGCTTGTGAGTAAGAACACGTAGCTTTGATTTTCTGTTTCTGAGTTCTTTCACTTAGGATAATGGCCTCCAGTTGAGTTGTTTGAGTTCCTTGTAGATTCTGAATAGTAACCGTTTGTTGGCTGCATAGCTTGCAAATATTTTCTCCCATTCTGTACATTATCTATTTGCTCTGTTAATTATTTATTTTGCTGTACAGGAGCTTTTTAATTAAGTCCCATTAGTCTATTTTTGTTTCTGTTGCATTTTCTTTTGAGGACTTAGTCATGAATTCTTTGCCTATGTCAATGTCCAGAAGAGTTTTTCTTTCCTAGGTTTTCTTCTAGGGTTTTTTTTTTTGTTGTTGTTGTTTTTTGACAGAGTCTCACACTGTCAACCAGGCTGGAGTGCAGTGGCAACATCTCGGCTCACTGCAAGCTCCACCTCCTGGGTTCACGCCATTCTCCTGCCTCAGCCTCTTGAGTAGCTGGGACTACAGGCGCGCACCACCACGCCCAGCTAATTTTTTTGTATTTTTACTAGAGATGGGGTTTCACTGTGTTAGCCAGGATGGTCTCGATCAGCTGACCTCATGATCCACCCGCCTCAGCCTCCCAAAGTCCTGGGATTACAGGCGTGATCCACCATGCGCAGCCTCTTCTAGGATTTTTATAGTTTCAGGTTTTACATTTAAGTCTTTAATCCATCTTGAGTTAATTTTTGTAAATGGTGAGAGATATGGGTCCAGTTTCATTTTCTGTATATGGTTCTCCAGTTTTCCCAGCACCATTTATTGAATGGAGTGTCCTTTCCCCAGTGTATATCTTTGTCAACTTTGTCAAAGGTCAGTTGGTTGTAGGTATGTGGCCTTATTTCTGGGTTCTCTATTCTGTTCCACTGATCTATTTGTCTGTTTTTATACCAATACCATGCTGTTTTGGTTAATATAGCCTTGTAATATAAATTGATATCAGATAATTTGATGCCTCCAGCTTTGTTCTTTTGCTTAGGATTGCTTTGGCTAATCAGGCTCTTTTTTAGTTCCCTGTGAATTTTAGAATTGTTTTTCTAATTCTGTGAAAAATGATGTTGGTAATTTGATAGGGATTACGTTGAATCTGTAGATTGCTTTGGGCAGTATGGTCATTTTATCAATATTGATACTTCCAGTCTGTGAGCATGGAATGTTTTTTCATTTGTTGGTGTCATCTCTGGTTTCTTTCATCAGTATTTTGTAGTTGTCCTTGTAGAGATCTTTTGCCTCCTTAGATAAATGTATCCCTAGGTATTTTTTTGGTATGTATTATAAATGAGACTGAGTTATTTATTTGGTTTTCAACTGGATTGCCATTGATATATAGAAATGTTACTGATTTTTGTACTTGATTTTGTATCCTGAAACTTTGTTGAAATCATTTATCAAAGCTAGGGGTCCTTTGTAGGAGTCTTTAGGGTTTTCTACATAAAAGATCATATTATCAGTGAACAGAGATAATCTGACTTCCTTTTTTCCAATTTATATGCCTTTTGTTTCTTTCTCTTGCCTGATTGCTCTAGCTAGGACTTCCAGTGCTATGTTCCCTGGTAAAAGTGGGCATCCTTGTCTTGTTCCAGTCCTAGGGGGAATGCTTTCAACTTTTCCCTGATGCATATGATGTTGGCTCTGGGTTTGTTTGTTTGATGCCTCATTTGTTGTGAGTTTTTATCATGAAGGGATGCCAAATTTATCAGATGCTTTTTCTATGTCTATTGAGATGATCATATGGTTTTTGTTTTTAATTCTGTTTATGTGGCGAATCACATTTATTGATTTGCATATGTTGAACCATCCTTGTATCTCTAGAATAAGACCCACTTGACTGTGGTGTATTATCTTTTCGATGTGCTGCTAAATTTGGTTTGCTAGTATTTGGTTGAGGATTCTTGCATCTATGTTAATCAGGGTTATTCTCTGGCCTCTTCTTATAAGGACACTAGTCTAAATCATGAGGGCTCCACCTTTGTGACCCAATTGTCTTCCAAAAGTCCCACCTCCAAATACTTTCACATCAGGATTAGGATTTTAATTTGCATTAAATTACAAAGAAAGTTGCTAAAAGGTCAGAAGTAGAATCTAATTCTCCCTCCGATTCTCTCACAAACATACATTTATTCAGTGATTTTGCTGATTGATTTTGTAGTTGTTTATTGAGTATCTCCTATATGTAAGAGACTATACTAAGCTCTATGAAAAATAGAACTTGCTATTCGATATGCTTCCTTTCCTCAAGTGCCCATGGACTATTAAGGGAGAGAGACATATATACAAATAATTGTCCTTCCAAGAAGAAAGCAGTATGTAGTATAAAAAGAGGCACATATAACTGAAGGAATATTTAGAAGAGTACGTTTTATGGGTTAAAGGGCATTTGAGTGGACTTTGAAGGATGGATAAGATTTGGACATATGGCCGATAACAGTACATTCCAAAAAAAAGAAAGAGTAAATGCATGATATAGAAAGTGCTGAGAGTTCATTAGGTTAGAGAAGGTACCTTTGAAGGGCCAGAATAGCAGTAGGCATTAACAACAGAGAATATGTGAATACATGCTAAGATATTAGGTGAGCATTGCCACAATGTCACACACACAGTTTGCAAGTAACAGAGAGTTTGGGAGGCAGACAGTTGAGAGAGAGGTAGCAAAATGTTAATGACTGGTAATTGGTGAGTGCAGGTAAAGGATATATGAGTGTTCATTATACTATTCTTAGCAACTTTTCTGTACGTTTAAAAACATTTTTTTTTAAGTTGAGGGCATCACTAATCATGAGAGAAGTGCAAATCAAAACCGCAATGAGATACCAACTCACACCAGTTGAAATGGCTATTATTAAACAGTCAAAAAACAACAGATGCTGGCAATGCTGCAGAGAAAAAGGAATTCTTAAACACTGTTGGTAAGAATCTAATTCAGTTTAGCCACTGTGGAAAGCAGTTTGGAGAGTTCTCATAGACTTTAAGATAGAACTACTATTTGACCCTACACTCCCATTACTGGCTATATGTCCAAAGGAAAATAAATTGGTCTTCCAAAAAGACATGGACTCATATGTTCATCACTGAATTATTCACAATAGCAAAAACATGGAATCAACTTAGGTACCCCATCAACAGTTGATTAGATAAAGAAAATGTGGTACATATACACTATGGAAGGAAAGAAATCATGACTTCTGCAGCAACATGGATTTAGCTTGTGGCCATTATCCTAAGTGAGTTAATGCAAGAAAAGAAAACCAAATACTGCATGTTCTCACTTGTAAGTGGGAGCTAAACACTGGGTACTTACGGACATGAAGATGGCAACAAGAGACACTGGGGACTACTAGAGTCGGGAGGGAGGAAGGGGGCAAGAGTTGACTAACTATTGGATAATATGCTCACTATCTGGCTGATGAGATCAAATGTACTCCAAACTTCAGCATCATGCAGTATACCCAGGTAACAAACCTGCATGTGTACCCCTTGCATCTAAAATAAAAGTTATTTCGAGTTAAAAAAATTTATTTATTTTTAAGTTGAGGGAAAAAATCAAAATGTATGAGAAACATCTGTAATCAATAAGCAAAGGACAGTCACCTAATTGGAAAAAATAAAGCGAAACATATGACATGAAATGACACAGGAGAATCAAAAAGATGAGTAAATATGCTGAACCTCTTAAGAGTTAGAGAAATTTAAGTTAAAGCAATGAGATTCTACTTTTCACCTATTTGATTATGCTGTTTTAAAAGTGAGGCATTTTTTAAAGTAATGGCAAAAACCGCAGTTACTTTTGCACTAACCTAATAATATCAACCTTCTGTAATTACTATAGGGATTAGAGAACAGACATGTGAAGCACCTGCCACACAGAAGAATTTAGTAACAATATCTCCTTCTACTACCAATATTATCTAACAAAAGATATTATTGAAACCCTAAACCTAGGGTATTAGCAGAGGAAATGGAAAAAAATCAACTAGACTTGGCAACTGATTGTATTTGAGGGGAAGAGAAAAAATACTAAGGAGAGGAAGACATTGCTATAGAAAGGAAGAAAGGTGGCTTAATTGTTTGCCATATTGATTGTTAAATACTCTGAAGGAGTCTTTTCAGTAAGGGTAGTTGATTCTTAGAAATTATTGAAGATAGACCCATAATTTAAAGACTATTCTTATATAATTATTCTGTTTTAAAAAATATATTCTTAAATACATAATATGGGCACATTAAAAAGCAGTGTATAAATGTAAAAAAAATGCAAGTATCCCTTTCTTATCTCTCCTTATGGATAGCCATTGTTAAGTTTGTCATGTTTTCCTTCATGACCTAGGCACCTCCCAGTAGGCCCACCTCCAACATTGGGGATTATATTTTAACATAAGATTTGGAGGGGACAAAACATCTAAATCATATCAAGTATAATATTCTGATTTTATATTTCTATAAAAGTCTGTAGTAATTCTGTAAAATTAATCTTCTAATATTGTCCAAATCCCTATATATACATAGTGTGCTTTTTTATGAAACCTGATAAAGAGACTAATAATAAAATCACATAGTTCATGTATTTAGTTTATCATTGGCTTTTTGACCATGTGTTCTTTCAAGGAACTGGGCTAGGCACAAAGAATACAAAGAAATATGTATTTTTACCCATTTCCCATTAGTCTTTTTACATTGATTTTATAAGCTACTCATAAAATAATAACCTATGTCTGTTACATGTGTTGCATATATTATTTCTAGTCATTTATCTTTTGACCATATGATGTTTTTGTCATCTGGGGCTTAAAAAGAAGTTGTGTAATTAAATTTATCAGTTTTTTTCTTTATGGCTTTTAGGCATTATTACTTTTTAAGAGTTACCAAGTTTCATTTTATATTCTGTATTAATCCACCAAATAGCAGTTTTGAGCATGAAATAAAAGATGTTTGCTGGACTTTAATAATTGACATTGTTTGATTAGTACAGTTTTTTTGAGAGCAGGAATATAATTTCATTCTGGCACTGCTCACGTGGGAAAGCAATAAATATAGTGTTAGATCTCAGAGATTATTTGATACAATACCTTTGATGTGTAACTGAGGAAACTGAGACCCAGAGTGTTTGAAACGACTTCCCCTAAATTACACAGTTAATCAGTGCCAGCAGTTGAATTGGAATCCTGGTTTCTTTGACTTCTGATCTGGTGTCATTAATTAAATACATGAACAAATACATTTAACATGCTTAGAACATACCTGACATCTAATTAGTAGCTACCTAAGTATTGGCTATTATTAGCTTGTTGTTGTCTTCATCATCAATGAGCACAGATTCTGGAGCCAGGCTGAGATTGAATCTCAGTGATTTTAATAGTTGTTAGCCTTTCTGAACTTCAGGTTTCTCAGCTATAAAATGGGACAATAAGGTAACCTATTGTTACCAGTGGAAGGTGTCCAGGCTGTTGGAAGTTTGAACAAAGAATTGGACAAAACACACAAAGCAAGGAAAGAATGAAGCAACAAAAGCAGAGATATATTGAAAACAAAAGCACACTCCACAGGGTGGGAGCAGGCCTGAGAAAGCGGCTCAATGGCCTGGTTACAGAATTTTCTGGGGGCTTAAATATCGTCTAGAGATTTCCCATTGCTTACTTGGTGTATGCTCTATGCAAATGAAGAGGATGAAATGAGATTACAAAGTTATTTACTCGGTGTACACCCTGTACAAATGAAGAGGATGTTTCCTGTCATAGCTGACTTGGCCTTAGAAAGCCGCGGTTTTCCCCCTTTGATTTAGTTCTAGGAAGTCCTTAGGTTCCCTGCTCCTAGACCCTATTCTCCTGCTTCACTGTCTCATAGGGAGTTGAGAGAATTCACTAAGTTCTTATATACAGAGTACTACTTGAATCAAAATAATCATTTTGTAAATATTTACTATTATTACTTCAGAGCCCTAGAATCAGTTGAACAACCTAATCTGGTCTATTTAAAGAAGTCAAGGTAACAATAAAAATGCTTACTTTTATTGTGTGATGAGGCTGCAGGTCACAATAGATAAGGAGACAAATCGAGCTTTCAGTGGTTTCAGAGGCCTACATTCCAGAAGAAAATCGGGGAGCCATGCATGAGGAGGCAGTGCCTAGAGGTGGTTAGAGGTACCAAGGAAAGTTTCACCGATATTGATGATATTCTGCACCCCCCACCCCCAATACTGATATAATTCTATCTCAAGATACCCTGGGCCCATCATGGAAAAGAGTTTCATGGGTCAAGATTGAGTTTTGGATTTTTCTCATATACAAAACTAGATATTATGAAGAGGAAAGGACACAAGGTGACAATTTTATAAGAAATTTAAAATGGTGTGATTTTAAACACATTTGGAGTACTTTTAATCTCTGGATTCTGAAATATATTTCTCGAAGAGGACATTATTTATATTAAAAAGCCCTTCATGCTTAGAACTGCTCAGTCCATCATGAGCATCTTCTGTGCCAGCTATTTATAAAGTAACTTCAATATTTGATTTTCAACATGCCTTGGTAACCCCTAAAATATTGGGTCTTGCCATTCATATTAAATATTATCAATTCCATGTCTGTTTCAGTAAATTCACTCATTGAGTGCCAACTATGTGTCAGCACTACTCGTTATTAAAGATACAAAAATGAAAACAGCCCTAGTACAACCTCCCTTCTCCCAGCCCCTGGGAGTCTGTAGTCTATTGGGTGAAACAGTAATTGTAACATGATGTTAGTGCTGTGACAGTGTAAATACAGTGATGGCACAATGGAAGAAATGACTGATCAGAAATAGGCCACTTTATGCAGTCCTTGAGCAAATTTAGTCCTTCTACAGGAGAATAAGCAATTATTAAACAATGTCAACATAACTAGAAATGTTTATCCATTCATAAGTGTTATTTTGTAACATCGCTATAATTGCACAGCATGTATAATCTCCGTATGATGATAACAGAACCCAGAGTACTTGGAATATTTACAGAGGTAAAAATATACAAAACCTTTGCAACAAAGCCCTTTGTCAGATTAGATTTTTTTTTTTCTCTTATCCCATGCCTTTAGAGAGTTTGAATGCCTTCTCTAAGATTGGGAGACATTTTTCTTTCTAGGTTTAGAAATCATTATTTTCTGTGTAGTCTTCTATAAACTATTGATACTGCAAATGCTTCTTTAAGTCACTGAAATGTCTGTTTTTGTAGATTTTAGACTTTAGGGCTAAGCAATCTTATGACAAGTAGAGAGCAGGCATAGAAAAAGGTATAAATGCTGTCTAGGTGATTGATAATATGGCTGGCTGTCTCAGGGGCTAGCTTCTGGAAAGGGCCTTCCAAGGGTAGTTTTAAGAACAATTGCCTAGGGCAGTCTTAGGCTGAGTGTGTGGTAGAAACAGAACTTGCTCCTTTGGGGGAAGGGAAAAGAAGAACTTGCCTCCCTAAAGACTGATGGCTTCTCTTTGTCTGATGAAAGAGTGGCATTGACAGAGTGCAGAGTGGATGAGAGCAAATCTTCCTTGCCTCCAGTGAAGATTTTTCTTTGGCTGGGTGGAGGGATTCAAATTGTGAAGTCTATTTGGGATGAGTTATCTGCAATCTCTCCCTATCCCTGGAGAGAATGAGAATGACTAATTGAAGCATCCCATAACAGTAATTGAGACGGATTGAAAGGGGAAATGAGTGATTAACCTTGAGCCTCCTCCTGATGCTGTGCATGGCAATGTTAGAGTAGATTTCTGGGGGTGAGGGGAGGGTTCCTAAACAGTTCAGTTTTACAAAAGTTCACATAGCTCCTCTAATTAACTTTCAGAGAACTATATTTCCGCCCCAACTTAAATTTCAGATACTTGTTGCTCTGTTTTACATCATTCTATTGATGAAAGTTTGTTATTGATGACTGAAAACCAGAGTCAGATTTACTCAGAAGCTAATGATGCTTAAGCTTTAGGGCCCCTCATTTGCATGGGCCCCTTCTGAGGCCCTGGCACTAGTTTTGTACTCCTTTCTTAAACAAGAGCCCCCCAAATTGTATGGGCTTTAGGGGTCACAAAACCTGGATCTGTCCCTTCTGATAAAATTCTAATTATAAATGAGTGGATCAGGCATAAATTTTAAAATTCTGTAAAATGATGGCCGGCATTTCTTCACTCCCTAGAAACTTTGGAACTGTTTAAATTTATAATAAATGCTTAGGTGTATATCTATATCTAAATTATCTATTTTTTTTAACTTCTGGGAATCAAGATAAACATCGTACCAACTAATTATATGTTTTTGTAAGTATAGAGATTACTTTATTCCCTCTATAATGTTAGTCATGTTAAAAAGGAAAAGGAAAAGAAAAAAATTCCTACAATAATATAATGTGCCAGTTTGTATATTTCTGTGTACTGATACAACAATTATAAGTAGGAATCAAATGAATTCATTTCAGAAAGTCTCAATGGATCGCCTACATTTTGAATTGCAATGCAATTCATCTTTGTAGCCTTTAGCAACACCTAATTTAGTGCCCCATATGTAGTAGGTCATCAAAAAGTAGTTTTTGAATTGAAAATAAAATAAGTATATGCAGTGAACTGAATCGCTTTTAAAACTAAAAAGGTATGTTGGCAAGATCTCTCTGATTTGACAAAAATAAAACATATAACCTAAATATAGTGGTTTGCACATTGATGGCAAGTAGTTTTTATAGAGCAGAACTCTCTTTTTCAGAAATTGCATAACCATGTTTTGCAAGTACAATTAATATAATATCACAAGCCTATTACCACATTATTACCTGACTAGTGAATGCATGGTTAATTTAGGCAACCTATGTGCCTTTTCTGGAAATTCACATACTGTCAAAACTATGGGATTTTTTTCTTCATTATTATTGTGATTTTGTTTCTCTGCCTTTGATAGGGTTGTAGATTGATCCAGAGGGATTAAAACTAACATATACCTGGTTTTAAACAAAAGTGTATTTGACCCATAGTACTCCTTGTTATATATTTGGATCTGAAACATCTTTTGGATAGTTTTCTTCCCAATGGGTATTAGATTTTCCTCAGACTGCTTTCTAAGAGACAGAAGCTCAGCTCTCTTGCTTGCTTACCCATATTCTTGCATACACACACGCACACACACACACACACACACACAGAGAGAGAGAGAGAGAGAGAGAGAATTATTTGTCAAGCAGATATTTGTGTAGTATGAATCACTGAATGAACTCTGAACTGCATAGTTTGACAAGACTTGGGGCCATTCTTCAAGCTATCAAGAATTTTAAATCTCTCAGCTAGGAATAATATATCTGATATAATACTCAATAGTGGGATGATCTAGAAATACTCAATGAAAGAGTACTTAATGCGATGTTCTTTGGAGAGGATAAAAATATAAGGAGGAATACACTGATTTAGAAGAAAGTAATTAATTGCTAATATTGACATTGATGATTTAAGTTTTTCTTCCAAGTGGACAGTTATCAAGATTGGGGTTTTTGTCTTTGGAGAAGACTATTTCTCACTTTTCTGATCTCTTCAGTTATTCTGGCAGTTTCATAGCCAATTACATGAGACAAAATATTTGTTTCATTTTAGATCAGCTATCCTAGTTTTGAATATACATTAGTCTTACCAGCAACAGTAATTATAATATTAAGATAACCAGTAACTTTTTTATTGGAGGTCTTATTTCTCAAAGACCTGTTTATCCTGATGATGTTACTGAAGCGTCTGATAAATCTGCATCAATAAAATCTGTTGTATTCATCAATTAAACAAAGAGAGGCTGCAGATACATGTATATATGTGTTAAAGATGGTCACTTTGGATAGTTGTAAGGATAATTGCTGAGAACAATGTAGACCTCAGTGAAACAGACTGATATGAACTATTCTGAGCTATTGGACCAGCATATGTCTAAATGAATAGGATCCTAATGGTTTTGTGAGCTAGAAGGTAGAATGAAAGTAATTTGGTCAGCATTCCTAAGTCTGCAATTCTGTTAGGCTAGTTCAGACACTCTCCACAGGAAGTGGACATTGAGGTCAGAAGTTGGGTCAAAGCCTTTTAATTGTGAGCCTCCATGATGCCTCTGGGCTTGGGTCAATACCCTGAAAGGCTCTGTTTGTGGGCCTGGAAAGGGTATATTATGGGGGCTCAGGTGGTCTCTTGACTGTTCTAATACTCAATTGTGAGAAGCAGATTATCTGCTTTGCAGATTATCTGATCTTCTATCATCAGCCTTCCCATTGGGCTTTGAGTTGCCAAGGATGGGGCTAAAATGTGAAGTACAGGAAGTTAGGCACAGTGGACTCTGTGTGCAATCCCATTACAAAACCAAATATAAATAATTCAAGAACCACTTTGTTAAATGACTTTAGTTTTATTTGGTTTGGCCTTTTTCTCTATCTTAATCTATATTCTCCAGAGTTGACTAAGCCTCATTTATTTTATTCTCATTTTCTAGAAATCTTTAGACTAGAAAATAGACATGTCGTAAAATCTATTCAAGTTGGAATGACACAAACACCTTTCCTTCTTTTATGTACTCTATAATGTAGATTGAGCATTATGGCATAATTTAATTTCTTCTCTGAAAATTCATGAAATCATTCCAGTCTAGGCTGTCCTTAGCACCCTGGTAATCTTGGTTGATTGTGTCTCTTCAAACTGTGGTTTGATCAGAAGAAAGACTGGTTATCTTTGTGATTCAGTTTCTGTGGATTAGGAAATTGGAGCTGTATTGTGGATTATGTTTTTTATTTAAGACCAGAACATTATCGTTATTCTCCCATGTTTTCTAAAATAAGAAGAGAGAGAGAGAGATTATAATTTTCTCTATAGCTAGGCAGATGAACTGTTGATAACGAAGCAGATTCATGCCCTTTTTTGGCGCAAGAAAGCATCCCTGCACACTTAGAAGCAAAGTAGCAGACTCTTAAATTCTGGTCTTTGTTGTCATCACTAGACCTCATGCCTCCCTCTGAAAGAACTGCATCCAAAACCAGTCTTTTCCACCTAAAACGCATACTCTTTCCTTTGTTCCAGTAGCCCTGGCATAGATGCTCTAAGAATAGAGACAGCATGAGTAGTGCCAGTGAACAAGAATTTTGGGCTTCAGCATCACCTTCTATTCTTTTTATTTTTCCCAAATAAGTTAGTTTTGATGACTGGGTTTCCTGTTAGTAGTATCTTTACTTACAATACTGGCATATAAACCTATGAAGTTTGAATTTTGTTGGCAATTTTAAAGTATTTTTTTTATTCAAAAGATGTTCATTTCACACTTTGTACCAGGCACTGTTCCAGGTACTTGTGATATACAAATTAATAAAGCAGACTCTGCCCTTGTGGAGTTTACATCTGGAATATTGTGATATAATAAGAAATATGTAGTTGTCCTCTGCACACCCTCTTTGTTCCTGGGACAGAGCTCCTAAAACCTTTGTAGATAAAGGTGATAGGAGACTCTTTTGTTCTAATATATGGTCTTTGGTTCTGGGTCCCTGAACAACCCTTTGCAATCTCCAGAGTGATAATGAGATGGGAGAATTTCCTTGACCTTATCATGGGACTTGAGACAGGAGTGTGGCTTGCTTAAACCCCTTGCGGGAGGAGGAGCATGCAGGTGAGTGTGTGCCAGGGCTGGGGTGAGTGCTTTTGGGCTCTAGCCCCACAGCAGCATCCAGGGGTGTGTTACAATTAATGCTCCTTTAGCAGCTGCCATCCACAGATGGCTAAGTGTTAACCAGCTCAATGGAGAGTCAGGGTGACAGCCTTTTACATCCTGCCCTCTTGGTACCTGGGTTCTTGTCCAGCATCCAGAAAGAATCAGGTCACATGGACTTGAAGGATGCAGAGATTTTATTGAGTGTGTAAAAAGTAAAGTAAAGGTTCCTCTTCAAAGACTTTCCTCCCCGTCTAATTAGAAATAAACAGTAACTTCTCTTAAAAACAAAATTTATTCAAAGACCTGTGCTAACATTCTTAAATATCTGCTAGCTGTAATAATAAAAAAAAATGTACTTTACATTCTTATCTTCCACAATTTAGCCTAAATATTTGCCCTGGCATGCTTATACTGGTCCAAGCAAGCATTAAGTTATAGCCTGTTCCTCTTCCTTATTTAAAGGTGTTTTTACCTTTCTCAGCATTCCTCAAGTTACTTCCTCCTTCCTTTGTTCTCCTCTGCCTTTGCCTCTTAAACATTTCTAAGTTGCTAGCCAATTGAGACAAATACAGATTGTGAGGTCCCGTTCCAGCCAATAAAAACGGGACACAGCTGTAAAGTGGACGCATCAGGTTATAAATGACCTTGTCTCCTTTGTTCAATATACAGTCGCGGCAAAACTGCTGGTGAGTGTACCCTTTCTGCAGAAAGTATAAAAATGGCCTTGCTGAAGAAATTGAATTTATGTTCAAGTGCTATTTCTTTATGGCACTGGGGAACAAGCATTTCAAACAAGCGATGGGGTGGCTTTCAGCAGGATGGGGAGCTGGAAAGGGGATGGAAGGGAAAGTTAGTCTTCCCCTGGAGTTCGGCTGGGGACCAACCATCCCTGTCTGAACTCTTCTCAATGTTAAGATGCCTCCTCTCTCCTTCTTTACCATGCTGCTCTGCTCCTGTGCCAGTGGGGTTTGGGGTTTTTAATGGGTATAGGATGGGGGGTGTGGTGGGCCAGGGTGGTTTTGGAAAAAGCAACATTTGGGCTGGACAACAGGGGCAACTATTCTCATTTAGGGTTGCAGTTTCCAGGCTTGAGGGTGGGGCATTTGCCAGGGAACCACCCTCTTCTACCCAGTATTTCCCCTCCTCCTATCCATATCAATAAGATCGGACAAAGAGCTTCTAAATCCTTTAGAATTTTGTGGGTGATAGGAACATCTTTTGTTCTAATGAGGAGATTCTTGGTGAACTCCTAGATAGCCTCAGGATGAGGCTGAATATGTGGAGGTTTCTGGAGTGTGGTGTGTCCTGAAAGGGCATGAAAGCTCTGTGCTCCTCTACCACACCACTCTATGCATCTCTTCCATCTGGCTGTTTATCCTTTGTAATATCCTGTACAGTAAATGGGTAAACGTAAGTAAAGTGTTTCCTTGGGTTCTGTAAGCTGCTCTCACAAATTAATCAAACCTGAGAAGGGGGTCACGGGCACCCTTAACTTATCACTGGTCTGTCATCAGTATAGGTCACAAGCTAGGACTTGTGATTAGCATGTGAAGTGGGGGGCAGTCTGATGGGACTGAGCCTTCAACCTGTGGGATCCGACACTATCTTCACCAAGTGCCGGAATAGAATTGAATTAGAGGACACCCAGCTGGTGTCTGCTGGAGAATTGTTTGGTATGTGAGGAAACAACCCTAACACAGCTCATGTCAGAGGGGTTGTGTTGTGTGAGAATAGGAAAAACACTAGGGTTTTTCTTAGCCTTTACAACATTCTGTTGGGAGGAGGCAGACAATAAAAAAATGAACGAAATAAATAGGTAAATCACACAGCTTGTTAAAAGGAGATAAGTTGTAAGGAAAAAGAGAAACAAAAACAAAAAAGAAGAGTTAGGTTAATGCTTATACGTTAAAGGGAGCTAGATGTTCTGTGGCAGGGTTGGGGAAATTGCAATTTAAGTACAGTGGTCAAGTTGGCCTCATGTAGGAGTAACATTTAGGAGTAACTTGAGGGCCATGAGGGAGTTAAGCGTGAGGATTTCTGGAGAACATTCCAGGCAAAGGAAACAATGAATGCAAAGGTAAGAGCATCTCTCCAGGTATTCAAAGGTGATGTTCCTACAAATTGAGATTAGAATGTTTTTCCTAAAATCAGTCTTTCATTATTAAGCTCCTGTCTATTCATACTGTTTGGTTTTTTGTTGTGTTTTGTTTTGCTTTTTGTTTTTGTTTTTGTTTTCTGAGATGGAGTCTCCCTCTGTCACCCAGGCCGGAGTGCAGTGGTGCAATCTCGGCTCACTGCAACCTCCATCTCCCAGGTTCAAGTGACTCTCCTGCCTCAGCCTCCTGAGTAGCTAGGATTACAGGCATGCACCACCATGCCTGGTTAATTTTTGTTTTTTTAGTAGAGACAGGGTTTCACCATGTTTGCCAGGCTAGTCTCGAACTCCTGACCTCAGGTGATCCATCTGCCTCAGCCTCCCAAAGTGCTAGGATTACAGGCGTAAGCCACCACACCTAGTGGGTTTTTGAGATAATTTAACAATATTAGAAACAGATGGTCTCTCTCAGTGACTCTGCATCTCTAGAAATGATAATACAGTACTTTTTACATCCAATGTATCTTTTTAAATGTCATGCATCTTCTGAGAAAATCATAGCATTTGTTAAATACTATGTTAAAGTAATTTCACGTATTGAAGTAATGTTAGCACAGTTTCTTTAGGAATCTAAACGAATAACCCTTACTTTCCATAGTGGTCACATCCAGAAAATATATATATATGTGTGTGTGTGTGTGTGTGTGTGTGTGTGTGTGTGTGTGTGTATGTGTATATATATATATGTATATATTTTTTTTGAGACAGTCTCACTCTGTTGCCTAGGCTAGAGTGCAGTAGTGTAATCTCAGCTTGCTGCAACCTCTGCCTCCCAGGTTCAAACGATTCTCCTGCCTCAGTCTCCCAAGTTGCTGGGATTACAGGCGTGCACCACCATGCCCAGCTAGTTTCTGTATTTTTAGTAGCGAGGGAATTTCACCATGTTGCCCAGGCTAGTCTTGAACTCCTGGCCTCAAGTGATCTGCCTGCCTCGGCCTCCCAAAGTGCTAGGATTACAGACATGAGCCACCGCACCTGGCCCAAAATAGCTATGTTATAAGATGGGAGGGGAAAACATTCATTGAGCATCTGTTATATAATAGGCCCTGTGCTAGATCCCTTATATGTGTCATCTCATGTAATCTCGACAAAACGCTGTGAGGTATTATTGTTTCCATTTTGTATAGAGTTCAAAGAGATTAAATAATTTACCCAAAGCCTCAAAATAGAAAATGGAGAAGCAGATCCAAACCCAGGTCTCTTCCAATCTGAGGCCAATGAATAGCACTCCAGTTTGCCCATTTTCCTAGGAGGAACCTGATGGCAGTTTTTGCTTCATGTATTTCCTGTATGCTCCATAGGTAACCAATCTGTACATACTGTTTATTTTATTAAAACCACTTGAATATCTGTCGAATTTATCCACATTTCCTCATCTCCATCACCAGAACCCTAGCTTAGCCATCATCTCTTATAGCCTTTGCCTGTCTCCTGGCATCCAAATCTGAGCAGTGGTTCTCAACCTTGGTTGTATATTAAAATAACTTGGGTGGTTTAAAAAAAATCATTCATATGTGGGCCCCACTCCAGACTGATTAAATTAAGATTCTGGTGGATGAAAGTTTGGATATTAGTATTTTTAAAAATCTCCTTGCATGATTCTAATGTGTACTGAAAGTTGAAAACTACAGTATTAAACATTTTTATAATGTACATTTCACCATTAAAACCCTCTTTCACGTCTCATGTCTCTCAGGATAAATCTAAGCTTTTACTATGGTGCTTTTTGACCTGATCCCTGTGCATACATTGCCAGCCCTTGAATTTTGCCTGGCCCTTGTATTTATTTGTTATCACATTTTTTTTTTTTTTTTGAGACAGGGTCTTGCTATCTCGCCTAGGTTGGAGTGTAGTGGTGCAATTATAGTTCACTGCAGCCTCCATCTCCTGGGCTCAAGCTATCGTCCCACCTCAGCCACTTGAGTAGCTGGGACTACAGGTGTGTTTCACCAGGCCTGGCTAATTTTTTTGATTTTTAGTAGAGATGAGGTCTTGCCATGTTGCCCAGGCTGATCTTAAAATCCTGAGCTCAAGCAACCCTCTCACCTCAGCCTCTCAAAGTACTGGGATTATAGGCATGAGCCTCTGTGCCTGGCCAAAATTATTTCTATTATAACTTCAGAGATGTTTATTTGTACTTGTAATCAGCCTTTTGCTTTAAAATGTTCTTTCTTCAGGCCTTTCTGTAGAATAATGATCAACAAACCCTTAGGTGCACTAAGAAGCTACAAATGATTTTAATGAAATAAACCATTATTTTGTGAAGCAAATAGGGCTCTCTGATGTGGCTGATTGATATTCTTCAAGACAGACCTATTGAAGAACAAATGGATTCTAGCAAATCAAAATTTAAATTGTCCTAGTAGTAATAATGTTGAAACCTGGATGATTTACTTGGATTTATTATTTCATAATTTATATTGCTAAATGTAACTGAGAATAAATAATGGCTAAACAACTTATTTAATCCAAAAAATGTTACTTTTTTAATATTTGATGAAACATTAAGTTAACATGCTTCTCTGCCATTCTGCCATTCCCTGCTCCTTTATGCCATTCTCTTTGCAAAATATTTCAGTAACTCATTAAGAAGGAAAACATAATCTTATTAATGCCTTATTTAAATGAATTAGTGTTTTGTTTAAATTAAAAATAGAAAGGAGGCTAGTGATTTTATGAATCTGTTATTATTAGATAAGCTAAGTATTATTTTACTTAGTGGGCAATATGAGTAAAACATATTGACCTGACTTCTGAGAAGGCTAGAACAAAGGTCTTTAAATTGGGCTGTTCATCAGAATCACTTGGGAAGCATTTTTTTTTTTTTTTTTTTTGAAACAGGGTTTCCCTCTGTCACTCAGGCTGGAGTTCAGTGGTGCAATTGCAGCTCACTGTAGCCTTGACTACCCAGGCTCAAGTGTTCCTGCCACCTCAGCCTCCTGAGTAGCTTGGACTAAAGGTGTATGCCACCATGTCCAGCTGATTTTTGTATTTTTTGTAGAGATGGGGTGTCTCCATGTTGCCCAGGCTGGTCTTGAACTCCTGAGCTCAAGCAATCTGCCCACCTCAGCCTCCCAGAGTGCTAGAATTATGGACAAAAGCTACTGCACCCAGCCAGCTTTGTAACTGTGCTAAAAAACAGTTTTCTCAGCTCTGCCTTAAATGAATAAGAGTCTCTAGGTTTAGGCCCAGGAAGTCCTGATTTTTATCAGATTCCCTAAGGGATTCTGATGCATATATTTAGTAATAGGAAGAGACAGAGAACATCCAGATAGAAGTAACCCATTCACCCATTTGACATAAAACATTGCTTCCGGGATACTAAGATGACTGGGAGTCAAATGGTAGAATGAGAAATACCATTCTGATAACCCATACTTACTTCATTTCCTTATGCTTGAGCCATCCCCAACCATCTGGACTTCTCTAATAATAATAATAGGTCTATAGGTCTCTATTAAT
This sequence comes from Homo sapiens, assembly GCF_000001405.40. Taxonomy (NCBI): domain Eukaryota; kingdom Metazoa; phylum Chordata; class Mammalia; order Primates; family Hominidae; genus Homo; species Homo sapiens. Next base: position 146,371,825 of record NC_000004.12, on the reverse strand, counting down.
AATGGCTCTGACAATAGTAGCAATAATACTTATTACAAGTGAGGCCCTGTTTTTATACATATTAAAAATCTCCATTTAATCCTCAATACATGCTGTGATGTAAGTACTATTATGTGGACAAAACACAAGAAGAGAAGCACCAGGTAGGCAGTTTATTCACCCCAGGTCACTCCTAGGAGGCAGCAGAACCATGATGCCAGCTCTGGCAGGCTAACTCTGAAATTATGTCCTTAGCCACTTTGTTCTGCTTTCTCTAAACACATCGCGTACTTTTTAGAACTCCGTTCCTTTTCTCATGATGCCACCCTTCTAAGAATCCCTTGGTTTTCATTCTTCTCTACTAAAATCCTACTTGTTCCACAAGGCCCAGCATCAACTCTACCATTTATTTGGCCCCCTCTCTCATCATCTTCACTGCCTTTAGATGAGATTAATTGTTCTTGACTTTGTATACAAGGAAGAAAGCAAACAAGCAAACGAATAATTATTAACCATCTAACAAGGGCAGGCGCCCTGTAAGGTAAATAACATTGTGTCTATGTTATAATGCAAGTAAAATGAAGTACAAGAAGGTGGATGCCTTTTGCTGGTACCCCCGATATCTGGTGAAAGCAGATTTGAACCCTAATCTATCTAGCTCCCAAGATTTTTATGCCATGACACATGGTTCTGTCATATCAGAGTACATATCACATTGTAAGATAATGAGTTGTGAATTCCCTGTGGGCAAGAAGCATATCTATCTTTGAAGCCCTAGTTCTAGAAAAAGTGCTGTACATATAATACGTGCTCTGAAAAGTGTTTGATGACTCAATTCTGAGGTTCTTCCATAAACCAGATCTGGGGAATTTTTATGGTGCTGCTAAGCACACACTTTGCAAATGGGGTTAACTTTACTTTCTCCTTCTTCATAGTGTACAGATTATATCTCAAGTCATCAGGAAAATGCCAAATTAAACTCTGAGGGTAATTACTAGATCTTCACTCTCTAGTCATGATGTGATTTAGTGACTTTATTTGCCTTATGATTTCTCTTTTTGGAGTAGACATTTCGGAAACGTAAATAAGAGAGACAAAGAAAGTAAGAAGAGTGGTTTAAAATAATTTTTATTTTTACTGAGCCAAATTTTCTTCTATGAAAAGTACCTCTGAGCGCTGTGGGGGAAGATTAAAAAAGGCTGAATGCCGGTATTTGTTTTGCATGCTTGAGAACTCTATATTCTTCTTTGTGCCCTGAAGTTTAGCGTAGGAACACAGACAATCTGATTTGACCTTAAGTGCCTCCCCAATCTGCTCAGGGGACTCCCTTTAGGAATATAAGCTGACACCACCTTGCCTGAGCTTCTTTCAATCAATAACATGGCAGAGTACACATGATATGAATAGGCAGACCGATAAGAAAGAAAAGCATATCTCTTGATACAAATGGAGCGATAAAAGGACTGGTTTCTATCCAAGGACTTTGAAGGAGAAATCAAGGAGAGAAAGATGGCCAAATGAGAATGTATAGTCAATTAATTTTTCTTCTGAAGGATTTTTTTTATTACTTGTGTTCCGAAGAGAATGGTCAAGTTGTTCTATGCCAGAAAGGAATTTGTTACTCTGATTCTTGGAACAACAAGCCTCTTGGGAGCATGCATTTTGTGACTGTAAATCTACAGTGGCAAAATTGTGTTAATTTGACTGACTAGAAATATTAACCATATTATATCAAATAACTGCCAGAAATAATTCTCTATCATGCCCTCTGACTTTATTTTAATTGATTTTTTTTTACTTTCAGCTTCTGTGATTTTTGTTTATTCTGACATATATTTATTGAATGCATAAAGAAAATTGTTTTGCAAATTATTTTTAGTGTTTTTATCTTGTTTAAATTGGTAGGTTAACTCTTTTTCTGCAGAATTCCAAGGTTTTTTATTTTCAGATGTGATACTGCTGATTTAGCTTTGTGGGCCCACTAATGGCATTATTGTCCACATCAGCAGTCTGTACAATTAAGTTTTATGCTTATAGTATCATTTGATATTTATCAAAGATGTGAAAATCAAAATTGAATATGATTGATTGCTATGAGATATGTTAATATTGGGATTCCTAGGCTATGTTATGGAATAAAGCATTCGCTGTAATAACAAAGATAAGGCCTCTAACATTACTCATTTTATGTTCTATCAGTAATCAGGCCTTAGGAGTAAGCGTCATTTGTCTGCTGGAGATCCCTCATGTTAAAGGAATCACAAGGTGAAAGTTCACTGAATCATCATTTATGATAGTAGGATCTACCAGTCAATATCACCAGTAAAGAAATATTCAAAGGGAGATAATCCATCTGTTTTATCAGCGTGTTTGCTTCTATTTGCCTTGACCTCTGATATTTAAAAATGAAGATGTTTTATGTTTACATATATTTGTCCAAAAAGACTAATGATAATGTTAACCAATAGTTCCTGAGTGTTTACTAAATGCCAGATTCTGTAGAATGCAATTAATATGTATAAATTTATTTAATCCTCACAATAACACTAACTTGTGGAGAAGCTGTTGTTATCACTGTTTTACTGAGGAAGCTGAGGCTCAGAGAGGTTAGATAACATGTTTAGGGTCACACAGATGGTTAAGTGGTAGAGCAAGATTTGAACCCAGGGTGTCTGGCTCCAGGGTCCATACTCCTTATACCTGCTGGAGGAATATACAAGAGATGTAGCCCCTGTCCTCAGTGGCTTGCTTTCTCATTTTTGTGATACTAATCATGAATAGGAAGTTATAATAGAAGACAGACTAGTAAGTAACTGAATAAGTGCCCCTGATAGGTGTTGCAGGTCATCAAGTAAAAAGGAAGATTAATACAGGCTGGGTAGCTCTCAAAATAATTTGTCATTATTTACTTAAAACTGAGATGCCTAGGAAAACTTTAAAGTTCCTAAACACCGAATGTTAATACCAAAAGCACTTTCATAGACTATAGTGTCTTTGTTTTTACATGTGACTCTAGACACTAACTAGTAGGAGTTGTCTTTTACGAATTATCATTTTTTTCCCAGGTTATTTTGAATATTTATATTTCTAGGGAAACTGTCCATTTGGAGAACTTTCACTTGTGACAGAAATTGAATATACACTTGATAAAAATATGTTACTCAAAGCCAATTTAATAGCTAGTGGGTTTGTTCAGGAAGGAAGGAAGGGGCACAAGTTGTATTCTTTTATGGTTTTTAAGTCTTTCTTATTTAAAGTTTTAGGCTGGACAAAATGTTCCTTTGTTTTCTGCAGTTAATCAAATCAGTGCAGGGTTACTACCTACGTAAAAATAATAACTTGCTAATTTAATGTCAAAGCCAAGAATGAATTAGTTTCATGTGATTAGTTGTCAACAGCTTTGGAGATTTTTGGCAGTCTGGTTAAGAAAAGCTATGTAACAGTACCATGGAGAGAACATTTGTACTGTTAAGCTTTCAAACTCTTATTCAGCTGTCAACACATGGGCATTTTCTGCAGCCAGATACTCTCATGCTGTGTACTGCCTGCAGCTTGCCGGAAGCCCAACCTTGACTGAAAGGGTTGATTTCTCTGCTCTTACCCTTGTTCTCATTTAGTGTTAAAACCTGCTTAAAGTCCTCTTTTTATTCTAAAAAGTACACATGCATGTGTCATCTCTTAAACAATTCTGGTGTCAAGGTAAGGGGCCCCAAAGAAATGCTGGACATCTGAATGCATAATTGATTAGAAAGGAGCCTGGCAGTGTTAATTCTGAGCTGCATTATAATGAATGCTGAAACAGAGCTTTCGGGATTGTTCCAAAACTTAAGGAAAGTTTTTAGGACTGGGCAAGAGGGTCAGTGTCCTGAGGTGGAATTTAAAGGAGTGTTTTTGACTGTGATAGTTTTAAAATTGCCTTTGTCACTTGCTATTGTTCTTTGATTGAAGGCTCATTTGTTATCAACTATTCATTGTTTTATTGTTGTTTGTTTTGTTTTTAATGTTTGCCTGAAGTCACTTTGTGAATATTTATTTATTAGACATACTGGTAAGGTAGGGTTGGTAGAAGAGTATAAATAACTACTGAATAAACAGAAGCACAAATGTTGGATAAAGCAATGAGTTCTTAAGTCAATACCCAACACATAGAAAAATGAAGCAGAAACTTTAATTCTCGGGAGATCTCACAATTTATATTTTAAATGATTCTTTTCAAGCAAGGTTGTTAGAAAAGACCTCTTAAATTTCACTACATGGAAAACATTACAGATAGTTTAAAAATAGAACTGGCATTCAGTGTCTCCATTGAAAAGGACTGCATAAACAATTGGGGTTTTGTGAACCTATACTCTCTAATACATTTATAAGTAGCCACATGTGGCTAATTAAATTTAAATTTAAATTAATTAAAAAATTAAATAAAATTTAGAATTTCATTCCTTAGTTGCACTAGCCACCTTTCAAGTGCTTAATAGCTACATGTGGCTAGTGGCTTTTGTATGGAACACTGAATATAATAGAACATGTCATTACAGAAAGTTCTATTGGACAGCACTGCACTGGACAATAATAGGTAAAGCCTCAACAGAGATTTTTTTGTTTCCTTTTGTTGTTTTGGGCTCTGGGTTTTAGTTACAATTTTAACATACTACTTGAAAGCAGAGACTATCTGTGTTAGAAGAACTAATGTGAGAATTTTGGTATTCATCTTGATATCTTACTGTTATGATATCTAACAGCTCACAAATCTATACATTATTCTAGTAACTTGTGAGCTGAAGAAATGCCTTGTAGATGAGCCAAACCATGATGAATGGCAAAAACAAAAACAAAAAAAAACAAAAAAACAAAAAACTTGCTTATTGCTTGGGCAGAAGAAAAAAAAATCTGAATTGGAATAGAAGTTTCTTTGCCCCTAATGAGTGTATAACCCAAGAACATTTTCAAAGCAGAAAACTCAGAATAATTTTTGTTTGTGTGATAAAGGAAAAGGCAAGACCAAGAAAAGGATCTGTAAGGAGCTGCAGTGACTTAAAGTAAATATTTCCAAATGAAGGGAAAATAAATACTTTTTTAAGTTCAATAAAGCTGTTTTATTATAAAAATAGTAAATGTCTATTACATCAAATTTATAAAATATAGAAATTATAGACAAGATAAAATTTACTTAGAATTTCATCAGTGAGCAGCCATCACTTTTAACAACTTTATGTATTTTCTAGTCTTTCAAAAGTATAATAATGTCGATGACCAAGAAAACATTGGCAGCTAAGTATGGCTTAGTATGGCTGTGTACTCCACATGCATTTTATCATTTGATATTTACAGCAACCCCAAGAAGTAGACATGACAGGTCTTCTACTCCTTTCCACATTCAAAAACTGAAAAAATCTGGAAGACTAGAGAAAAACTGCAAGTGTTTGGGTCAGGGCAATATCTGACCTGAAATGACATAAGGCTGTTTTTATTATGTATTTGTCTCATTAAGTATGAATATTAATATGTCCTGCTACAGAATGTAAGGTGTTTGATTATGGAGTGCTTCCTCAGATCCCACTGGGATGGTTACATAATACATATACCTTTTAAAAAATCAGAAAAATTTGAAACCCATCTGGCCTCAGGATTTTTGGATAAGAGATGTAAAACTGTATTATCTGACTTTTACTGAAGAGCAGTGGTTCCCAACCTTTTTGGCACCAGTTAGACCGGTTTTGTAGAAGCTAATTTTTCCATGGGGTGAGGCTGGTGGGTAGGGAATGCAGATGGGTTTTGAGATGAAACTGTTTTACCTCAGATCATCAGGCATTAGATTCTCATAAGGAGCACACAACCTAGATCTCTCACATGTGCAGTTCACAAGAGGGTTTGTGCTCCTATGAGAATGTAATGCTGCAGCTGATAAAACAGGAGGCGGAGCTCAGGCAGTAATGCTCACTGGCCTACCACTCACCTCCTGCAGTGCGGCCGGGTTCCTAACAGGCCACAGACTGGTTGGTCCACTGCCCAGGGCTTGGGGACCCCTGCTGAAGAGGACAAAGGACATTAAGTAACTTGTCCAAGTCCTCTTGGCTAGTAGAAAATAATCCAAGACTCAAATAGACCTGTTTGTCTCCAGTATTTGAGTACCTACTACATTGCTTCATTTAAGTAAAATTGCTAAATATTGAGGAACAGTAAATACATACTTGTCTATCTTATAAAGCCTAAGCAGAACTTTCAAGTATTAACTTGGTAAACATCAATCCCTTTCTTTACCATTAAGTGTAGTAATATTGAAGCATTGTTTATTAACAGTAAGACAATTCTAACTAATTAAACCTCTAAGCCTGAATTTAATTATTTAATGCCAAAACTGCAGTTAACTGTGCTTTAAGTAGAGGTAAACTTTAATGTACAGTGCAGTCATAAAGTCAGCTACTATCAACCATGCTGTACTAAAATAATACTCTGATGTAGTATCTATGTGATTTTTACTGAATCTTAGAAAGTTAAGTATCCAGATAAAAATTTTAAATGCAAATGCAAATATAGATACTTGACAAAAAGAAAGCAAATATTTGTAGTATTACTAATTATATTCAGTGTTTATATAAATAAAAGGTGGTGTTTTGCTTTGTGCCTTATAGGAGTACAAAAGATTTAATTAATATAAACAATAACTTTTTTGTACAACTCTGTATTTTCTATACTTACTGAGTCTTATGTGGTCATAATATATAACATATAATAATCAGCAGTAGAATTTCAGATTTCTTTGATACTTTGATCAGTTCATGGACCTCATGATTTAAATTGCTGTTCAGGATTGGCAGTCTGCTTTTTGGGTGGTCTGTCTCACTAGATACTCTCTGATGAGAGCAGCATTAAAAAGGAAATGGAAGGGGCTTCTGTGTATTGGTAAATTTTTTTATTTTTAACTTTTATAGATATGTAGTGGTTGTATATATTTATGGGGTACATATGATTTTTTTTTACAAGCATACAATGTGTAATGATCAAATCAGGGTAATTGGGATACCCATCATTCCAAGTATTTTTCATTGCTTTGTGTTAGGAACATCCCAATTTTACTCTTTTAGTTATTTTGAAATATACAATAAATTATTTCTAGCTATAGTTGCCCTATTGTGCTACTGAACGCTAGGTCTTAGAAGAAATAAGATAACTGTATTTTTGCACCTGTTAACCAATCCCTCTTTATTCCTTCCTCTTCACTGCTTTTCCTGCCTCTGGGAACCATCACTCTGCTATCTCCATGAATTCAATTTTTTATAGCCCCAACATGAGTCAGAAAACATGCAACATTTGTTGTTCTGCACTTGGCTTATTTCACTTATCATAATGTCTTCCATTTCTATCCATATTCTGCAAATCTATTCTTCCTCCTCAATTTTTCGGAATAGTTTGAGTAGGATGGGTCTTAGTTCTTTTCATGTTTGATAAAATTCATCAGTGAAGTCATCAGGTCCTGAGCTTTTCTGTGATGGGAGACATTGTCTTACAGCTTTGATCTCATTCTTTGTGTTTGGTCTATTCAGGTTTTTTATTTCTTCATGGTTTAATCTTGGTAGGTTGTATGTATCCAGGAATTAATCCATTTCTTCTAGGTTTTCCAATTTATTGGCATAGAGTTGCTTGTAATATCTCTAATAATCCTTCAGATTTCTGTGATTTCAGTGGTAATGTAACCTTTTTGTCTCTTATTTATTTTGGTCTTCTCTCTTTTTTTCTTAGTTTAGCTAAAGGTTTTGTTAATTTTGTTTATCTTCTCAAAAGAACCAACTTTTTGTTTTGTTGATCTTTTGTACTTTTTAGTCTCTATTTTATTTGTTTCTGCTTTGATCTTTATCTTTTCTTTTCCTCTATTAATTTTGTGTTTGGTGTGCTCTTGCTTTTTTAGTTCTTTACGATTCATTGTTAGGTTATTTATTTGAAGTTTTTCTCCTTGTTTGATTTAGGTGTTTATTGCTATAAACTTCCCTCTTAGTGGTGCTTTTGTTGTATGTCACAGGTACTGGTATGTTGTGTTTTCATTTTCATTTGTTTCAAGAAATTTTTCAGTTTCCTTCTTAATTTCTTCATTGACCCAGTGGTTGTTCGGGAGCATATTGTTTACTTTCCATGTGTTTGTCTAGTTTCCAAGTTCCTCTTTTTATTCATTTCTAGTTTTATTCCATTGTGGTCAGAAAAGATAATTCATATGATTTCATTTTTTTAAATTGTTTGAGATTTGTTTGTGGCCTACCACATGGTCTATTCTTCAAAATGTTCCATTGCTGAGGAGAAGAAGGTATGTTCTGCGGCTGTTGAATGAAATGTTCTGTAGATGTCTATTAGGTCCATTTGGTCTATAGTGCAGATTGATATTTCTTTGTTGGATTTCTGTCTGGATGATGTGTTCACTGCTGAAAGTAGGGTGTTGAAGTCACCAGCTATTATTGTATTGGGTCTCTCTCTCTCTTTAGCTCTAATAATATTTGCTTAATATAACTGGATGCTGCATTGAGTGCATATACATAGACAATTGCTGTATTCTCTTGCTGAATTGACTCCTTTATCCTTATATAATGACCTTCTTTGTCTCTTTCTACCATTTTTATCTTGAAATCTGTTTAACTGATAAAAGTATAGTTACTCCTGCTCTTTATTCATTTACATTTGCATAGAATATCTTTTTCCATCCCTTCATTTTCAGTCTATGTGTGTTTTTATAGGTGAATTGAGTTTTTTGTAGGCAGCATATTGTTGGGTCTTGTTTTAAAAAATCTACTTAGCCACTTTGTCTTTTGATTGGAGAATTTGGTCCGTTTACATTCAGTGTTATTATTTATAGGTAAGCACTTACTACTGCTTTTTTTATTATGTGTTTTCTGGTAGTTTTGTTGGTCCTGTCTTTTTTATTTTCTTTCTGTTTTCTTTTGTTTATAAGTAATTTTTCTCTCACAGTATCTTTTAATTTCTTGCTTTTTACTTTTTGTGTCTGTGTTATAGATTTTTGCTTTGTGTTTAGCATGAGGCTTGCAAATAACATCTTATAACCAATTATTTTAAAACGATGAAAACTTTAATCACAAAGAAAAAAACACGCAAGGAAAAAACTAAAAATCTCATGCTTTAAATTCATTCATTTCACATTTTGACTTTTTGTTGTCTCTATATCTTATTATATTGTCTATTATCAAATTGTTGTAGTTATTATTTTTATTAGATTTAATCTATTATTTTTAATAGATTTGTATATTCATTCTACTGAAGATATGAGTGGTTTACATTATTAGAGTATTCTGTATTTGTGTACTTACATTTACAACATTATTTGTTCTTCATGTTTGAAAGATAATTTTGCTGTATATAGTATTACAGGTTGAAATATTTTTTCCTTCAGCATTTTGAATATGTCATCCCACTCCCTCCTGGCCTGTAACGTTTTCATGGAGAAGTCTGCTGCCAGACATATCAGGGATCATTTATATGTTATTTGCCTCTTTTCTCTTGCTGTTTTTAGCATCCTTTCTTTTTCCTTGACCTTTGAGAGTTGGATTATTATATGTCTTGGAGTAGTCTTATTTAGGGTCAATCTGCTTGGTGTTCTTTGACCTTCTTCTACCTGGATATTAATATTTCTCTCTAGAATTGGAAAGTTCTTTATTATTATTTCTTTGAATAAACATTCTACCCTGATTTCTTTCTCTACAGCCTCTTAAGGCCGATAACTCTTAGATTTGATTTGCCCTTTTGAGGCTATTTTCTATGTCTTGTAGGCATACTTCATTCTTTTTTATTCTTTTTTATTTTTCCTTTTCTGGCTGTGTATTTTTATATACCTGTCTTCAAGCTCACTAATTCTTGCTTCTGCTGGATCAATTCTGCTGTTGAGAGACTGATACATTTTTCGGTTTGTCAATCAAATTTTTCAGCTCCAGAATTTTTGCTTGATTTTTAAAAGAATGTCAATCTCTTTGTTAAATTTCTCTAACAGAATTCTGAATTTCTTCTCAGGTGTTATGTTGAATTCATTGAGCTTCCTGAAGACAGCTGTTTTAAATTCCATGTCTGAGAGGTCACATATCTCCATCACTCCAGAATTGGTCACTGGTGCCTTATTTAGTCTGTTTGTTGATGTCATGTTTTCCTGGATGTTTCTGATGCTTTTGGACATTTATCCATGTCTGAGCATTAAAGATTTAGGTATTTATTCCATTCTTCACAGTCTGGACCTGTTTGTACTCATCCTTCTTGAGAGGGCTTTCCAGGAATTCAAAGGAGTTTTGCAACCTGTGTCTGTGCTCACTGCAGCCATTTCAGCACTAGGGGGGTGCCATAAGCCCAGCAATACTGCAACTGTTGCAGCCTTCTAGATAAATGACCCTGGCAGACTTGTGGAAATAAGGGAGAATTTCCTGGATTACCAGGCAAGTCGGTCACTTTCTACATGTCTTTACAACCTTCTTGATGATCTGTTTAGAAGCTATATTGTGAAAGAATATAATTTTTATTTGATGGTTTATTTTGCATTTTGATTATCTGTTATATTTCTCATTGAACAATAAATCACAAAATATTTTGCCAACATTTTTAACTTTAAGTAATATTTGTTGAGTGCATACCACAAATTAGGCATTATATGAGTGCCACAGAACAATAAGAAGCAAGATAGATTGCCCTGCTTCCTCAGAGTTTTCATCTAGTGGAGAAGACAATTATTAAAATATAATGTGATAAATGCTATGATAGGAGAAGATAGGGAACTATGGGAGTATATGTTAAAGACTTTAATCCATTCTAGGGACCTCAGGAGTGCTGATACCTGAAAGATGAGGAAAGGGGTTGTAGGGAGTAGAGAGCAGAAAATACATGTTCCTAGTAGAGGGAACAGCATGCACAGAGGCCCAGCCCAGAGAATAAGTTCATTGAACTTATAGGTGAGCCGGGGGGTGACCTAATCAGATCTGTATATTTGTTGACTCCTAAGCTCTGAAGACCAACTTCCAGGCTTTGAATCCTAGTTTACTTCTTTCTTGCTAAACGAACTTGGGAAAGTACTCTTCCTCTTCAAGCTTCAGTGACTTGATTTAAAAAGAAAGAGAGGCTGGGCATGGTGGCTCATGCCTGTAATCCCAGCATTTTGGGAGTCTGAGGAGAGAGGACTACTTGAGCTAAGAAGTTTGCAACCAACCTGGGTAATGTAGCAAGACCTTGTCTCTACTAACAAAAAAACAAACAAACAAACAAACAAAAAGCCAGGTGTGGTGTTGCCTGCCTGTGTTTCCAGCTACTCAGAAGGCTGAGGCAGTAGGATATTTTGAGCCCAGGAGTTTGAGGTTGCAGTGAGCTATGATTGTGCCACTATACTCCAGCCTGGGCAACAAAGCAAGACCCTGTCTCAGAGATTAAAAAAAAGAAGAAGAAGAAAGGAAAGAGGAATATAGTGCCTTCTTCTCAGGGTATTTTTAATATTAAATGTGATCAAGCTTATAAAGAATCAAGCACAGAGTAAGCGTTGCTGAAAACCTAGCTATTATTAACTTAGAAGGCCCATTCTGGCTGGAGGTGGAAAAGTGGATTGGAGCAGGGCTAGACTGGAGTTTGGAGACTAGGAAGTTGGTACACTGATTCAGAGGAAAAACAACAGTGGCTTAGAGTAAGGTAATGGCAGTGAGAATAAGGAGAAGCAAATATATATTCAAAATTTATTTAAGAGATAGAGAGTCTTTGGTAAGTTGATTAGATGTAGCAGGTGAGAGGGAGAGGAGTTAAGGATGATGCCTAGGTTCCTGGTTTTGGACTATTAGGTGGGTACAGAAGAACAGGTTAGAAATCCAAATCCAACTTGGTAATGTACAGTTGTGAAAATTCAGCTCTGTGGCTGTGGATGAGTCATTACTAGGTAGTCAGTGCAGAGTGGGACTGGAAACACTTCTAACTTTCTGACCAGCATCTTTCCACCAAGATACACAAACTCTAATAGCAAATACCATGTCTAAGGAAATCAAATTATAATAGAAGTACATCATTGGATGGATTACCATAGGATACTCAATATATATTCAATAATGGAAATTCTTCTGATTATGTCATATCTATAATCAATTTAGCTGTTAAATCAGGAGTGCCTCACATACTCACTAGGAGGATTGTTCACTTTTTTAAAAGGCATGATATACTTACTTCTCAAATTAATCTTCATAGTCAAGCCAAATATAAGATTTATTAAATGATCTAGATGCTGTTGGGTATGAGCAGAAAGCAATATTACTGTCACCCCTTAACACCCCTTTACACTTCCTCTGTGAATCCATTTCTTCTCCTTCTTTGATAAAATATTAGAATAAACCCATAGTTTTTCCAGTCATTTTCAGGTAATAAAAAATTCAGTACACTAGAAAAAAACATAGGTGAACATCTTAAGTCACAAAAACGTAACTATATATGAAAAGATTGATTAATTGGATTTCATTAAAATTAAAAACATCTATTTATTGAAAGCCACCATTAAGAGAATAAAAGGCAAGCCATACAATCCAAGAAGTTATTTAGAATACACACATCCTTTGTCAGATATCCAGCAAGCACTTCTACCCAAACTATGTAAATAACTCTTACAAATCAATAAAAATAGGTGACACAATAAAAAGTGGGCAAGGATTTGAATAGGTACTTCATAATGGATAATATCCAAATCTCCAATAAGCATATTAAAAGGGGCTCAACACCATAAGTCACCAGGAAAATGCAAATTAAAGCCACAATAAGACTGCCACACATGTATCAAAATGACTAAACTTTTAGAAGATTGTCACTAACAAGTATTAAAGCAGATGTCTAGTAACTGGAATTCTAATACATTGCTGGTAGGAGTGAATGGTAAATGGTTCAAGTACTTTGGGAAATTGTTTGGCTGCATCTACTAATGTTAAACATATGCCTACCCTATCACTTAGGAGTTCTACTCTCAGGTGTTGTATCCAACAGAATGAATGCAAATGTTCATCAAAAGACATCTTCAGGAATGTTTTTAGCAACTTTTTTATGTGTGTAAACCAAAATGAAAAAAAAATTCAAATGTCCATCATCAGGAGAATGGATAAATAAATCGTGGGATATTCATACATTACAACAAAATATGAATGGAAAAGCTGAGCTACTGCTCCACACAAAAATATGATTAACTATCACAGATATATTAATAATACTAAGTAAAAGAAGGCAGGCATTAAGAGAGTTCTTATGCATGATTTCATGTATATGAAACTCAAATAAGAAAAATTAACCTGTGGTGACAAAAGTCCAAATAATGGTACCTTTGGCAAAGTGAGTATTGACTTGGAGAGATTTTCCTGAAGTACTAGAAAATGTTTTATATTTGGATTTGGGTGATGGTTACCCAGGTATTTGTATGTATGTATAAGACATATATGTAAAATTTTATACTATATTATACTTCAATAAACAAAAAAGCCTAGTCTAGTCTAATGCCAAAACTTCAGTTTCTAATCCAGCTAAAAGTTTTTCCTCTTTCTTTCCCTCCCACATCAACTCACAATCAATAATCTGCAGCAGGGAAAGGAGAATTATAAGTTTCTTCCCTCATCCTTGGTCTACCTCCTCCCCATTCTTGTAGCACTATTTTGTCCCATGTAGAATCAGATACATGGGGGAAAGAGGGATTAGAGAAGAATTAGAAAAGTGTCATGTGTCTCGAGTTGTAATCTATCTTTGATGTCCTCTGAGTGTGGCATATCTTCAAAAGCTAGCTCTTTTTTTTTTTTTGTGGGGGTGCTTCTGTGGGTTTTTCAGTGATCGTGCTTCATTAGGAGCATCCTAATACAATATTAGGCATGAACAATGATCCTCTAAGAACTCTAGTCACAGCTCTTGACTCCTATTGATCTCCTCTCTAATGGGAGTTCTGTCAGGATGACTCAAGTCCTTTTCTCTTTTTCGGGTTACTTGACCTGTAGGAAAACTGCCACATCTTTGCCTGGCCAAGGAAGAACTTGCAGCTCTTCTCCCCTTCCAGCCTCTCAGCTTCAAGACTCTCCTGGAGGGAATCATGCCTCACTTCCGGGTACTCTTTCCTTTTTCCCCAAATTCCAGGGGACATATTCTTCAAGTGATTCTCTGAAGCTCCCCTCACTTACCTTGGGTAGAAACAACCGTGGAGAGGGAATTGAATTTCCATAGTTTAATGATAGCTCTCATCAAATAAGTTGCGCTTACCAATCTTACTTCTACCTTTCACGTATTGCTTCAAAGTAGATAACGGACTTATGGTAGAGCATGGTTGTTGTTTTAAGGTAGACGATGAGTAGTTCCTGCCTAGAAAGGGAAGTAATCATTTTATTTGCTTTGCCTTTTTTGCCAGTTGCTTGAGGCATTCCTGAATGGAAAGAAGCTTTCTGTAGTATTAAGTGCTGCAGGGTTTTTTTGTTCCTTAAGTATTCCACTCAAAAATATTTTAGCTGGAAAATGAAGATTGGGAAATATAGATTTTATCATGCACATATATACACACACATTCCCGTGTGCAAAAATTATTGGAACTTCCTGGTAACTCTGTAAGTCTCTTGTTTCCACTTAAAAATAAGGAATAAATGTTACCTGCTTTACATTATTGCCATGAAAATAAAATAGAAATGAATTATGCACATACAGAAATATACATGTGCAAATGTACACATGCACATACATACGTATGTTACATATACTACTCAGAACAAAGTAAATGCCTAACAAGTGTTAGTTTCTTTCTTTTTTCTTCATGGGTGACGTACCTCTCCTCCTCTTTCATTGAGCAAAGCAGCTTTCTTTACTTACAGGCTTTGGGTAGAGCAGAGAGGAATAGGGCTATAGGATTCATTATAAAGATGTGTTGTTTCCTTGCAAGTTTATTCCTTGGAAACTTTCAATAAAGGTATACTGTATTTGAAATTAATCCAGGTATAGTATTATAAATTAAGCATAGGACTAGAGTTAGTAAGACCTGGATTAAAACTCCAGCTCCACAACTTCTAGCCATTTGTTGATTCAACAAGTTTATTGAAGGCTTGTTTTGTGCCAAGCACTGTTGTAGACATTGAGAATGCAGGGGGAAGAAGACAAAAAAAAATCCCTTGTAGAGCTTAGTTGGGGGATAGAGGTAAGAGAACACTTGTGTAAATAGACAAAAGCAAATAAGTATAATATCAAGTGGTGTGAACAAAAATAAAGCAAGATAACAGCAAGAAGAAGTAGAGGAGAGAAGATGGGGAGTGTGTGTGTGTGTGTGTCTGTCTGTTGTAGATGGGACAGTTGTGGAAGCCTTATAAGAGACTTGAGTAAGTGAGGGAGGAAGATCTAGGGGAAGAAGGTAAAAGAGTAGAATGCAATATTCCAGAATCAAATGAACTAAGTGTTTCAGGAAGGAAACTGTCAAATGCAATTGAGTGACAAAGTTACACGAGGATCTCTCAGTAGTCATATGACCCTTGGACAAGTTATTTACCTTTTGGAACAATAGTTAGTAATATATTGGATTAAGGATTAAGTGATTATGTAAAACACCTTTCACATAGTAAACAGGAAACTGAAATTTTTCTTCACATTTCATGTGCGTAATAAATGTAAAGTTATAAACTCATAGTAAAAGATTTTTAAATGGTCTCAACTCAGTTTCTCCCTGAATTTACAAAATCTTTAAGTAAGTATGCATGAGAGCCAAAATATGAAAGTCAATAAATCAAATAATAATAGTTGTCGAATTGTAGCTTTTTCTTTTTAAAAGACTATATATATGTATATATATATATATATTTTTTTTTTTTTATTATACTTTAAGTTTTAGGGTACATGTGCACATTGTGCAGGTTAGTTACATATGTATACATGTGCCATGCTGGTGCGCTGCACCCACTAACGCGTCATCTAGCATTAGGTATGTCTCCCAGTGCTATCCCTCCCCCCTCCCCCCACCCCACCACAGTCCCCAGAGTGTGATATTCCCCTTCCTGTGTCCATGTGATCTCATTGTTCAATTCCTACCTATGAGTGAGAATATGCGGTGTTTGGTTTTTTGTTCTTGCGATAGTTTACTGAGAATGATGGTTTCCAATTTCATCCATGTCCCTACAAAGGACATGAACTCATCATTTTTTATGGCTGCATGGTATTCCATGGTGTATATGTGCCACATTTTCTTAATCCAGTCTATCATTGTTAGACATTTGCGTTGGTTCCAAGTCTTTGCTATTGTGAATAATGCCACAATAAACATACGTGTGCATGTGTCTTTATAGCAGCATGATTTATAGTCATTTGGGTATATACCCAGTAATGGGATGGCTGGGTCAAATGGTATTTCTAGTTCTAGATCCCTGAGGAATCGCCACACTGACTTCCACAATGGTTGAACTAGTTTACAGTCCCACCAACAGTGTAAACGTGTTCCTATTTCTCCACATCCTCTCCAGTACCTGTTGTTTCCTGACTTTTTAATGATTGCCATTCTAACTGGTGTGAGATGATATCTCATAGTGGTTTTGATTTGCATTTCTCTGATGGCCAGTGATGATGAGCATTTTTCCATGTATTTTTTGGCTGCATAAATGTCTTCTTTTGAGAAGTGTCTGTTCATGTCCTTTGCCCACTTTTTGATGGGGTTGATTGTTTTTTTCTTGTAAATTTGTTTGAGTTCATTGTAGATTCTGGATATTAGCCCTTTGTCAGATGAGTAGGTTGCGAAAATTTTCTCCCATGTTGTAGGTTGCCTGTTCACTCTGATGGTAGTTTCTTTTGCTTTGCAGAAGCTCTTTAGTTTAATTAGATCCCATTTGTCAATTTTGGCTTTTGTTGCCATTGCTTTTGGTGTTTTGGACATGAAGTCCTTGCCCACGCCTATGTCCTGAATGGTAATGCCTAGGTTTTCTTCTAGGGTTTTTATGGTTTTAGGTCTAACGTTTAAATCTTTAATCCATCTTGAATTGATTTTTGTATAAGGTGTAAGGAAGGGATCCAGTTTCAGCTTTCTACATATGGCTAGGCAGTTTTCCCAGCACCATTTATTAAATAGGGAATCCTTTCCCCATTGCTTGTTTTTCTCAGGTTTGTCAAAGATCAGATAGTTGTAGATATGCGGCATTATTTCTGAGGGCTCTGTTCTGTTCCATTGATCTATATCTCTGTTTTGGTACAGTACCATGCTGTTTTGGTTACTGTAGCCTTGTAGTATAGTTTGAAGTCAGGTAGTGTGATGCCTCCAGCTTTGTTCTTTTGGCTTAGGATTGACTTGGCGATGCGGGCTCTTTTTTGGTTCCATATGAACTTTAAAGTAGTTTTTTCCAATTCTGTGAAGAAAGTCATTGGTAGCTTGATGGGGATGGCATTGAATCTGTAAATTACCTTGGGCAATATGGCCATTTTCACGATATTGATTCTTCCTACCCATTAGCATGGAATGTTCTTCCATTTGTTTGTGTCCTCTTTTATTTCCTTGAGCAGTGGTTTGTAATTCTCCTTGAAGAGGTCCTTCACATCCCTTGTAAGTTGGATTCCTAGTTATTTTATTCTGTTTGAAGCAATTGTGAATGGGAGTTCACTCATGATTTGGCTCTCTGTTTGTCTGTTGTTGGTGTATAAGAATGCTTGTGATTTTTGTACATTGATTTTGTATCCTGAGACTTTGCTGAAGTTGCTTATCAGCTTAAGGAGATTTTGGGCGGAGATGATGGGGTTTTCTAAATAAACAATCATGTCGTCTGCAAACAGGGACAATTTGACTTCCTCTTTTCCTAATTGAATACCCTTTATTTCCTTCTCCTGCCTGATTGCCCTGGCCAGAACTTCCAACACTATGTTGAATAGGAGTGGTGAAAGAGGGCATCCCTGTCTTGTGCCAGTTTTCAAAGGGAATGCTTCCAGTTTTTGCCCATTCAGTATGATATTGGCTGTGGGTTTGTCATAGATAGCTCTTATTTTTTTGAAATACGTCCCATCAATACCTAATTTATTGAGAGTTTTTAGCATGAAGGGTTGTTGAATTTTGTCAAAGGCTTTTTCTGCATCTATTGAGATAATCATGTGGTTTTTGTCTTTGGCTCTGTTTATATGCTGGATTACATTTATTGATTTGTGTATATTGAACCAGCCTTGCATCCCAGGGATGAAGCCCACTTGATCATGGTGGATAAGCTTTTTGATGTGCTGCTGGATTCAGTTTGCCAGTATTTTATTGAGGATTTTTGCATCAATGTTCATCAAGGATATTGGTCTAAAATTCTCTTTTTTGGTTGTGTCTCTGCCCGGCTTTGGTATCAGAATGATGCTGGCCTCATAAAATGAGTTAGGGAGGATTCCCTCTTTTTCTATTGATTGGAATAGTTTCAGAAGGAATGGTACCAGTTCCTCCTTGTACCTCTGGTAGAATTTGGCTGTGAATCCATCTGGTCCTGGAATCTTTTTGGTTGGTAAACTATTGATTATTGCCACAATTTCAGAGCCTGTTATTGGTCTATTCAGAGATTCAACTTCTTCCTGGTTTAGTCTTGGGAGAGTGTATGTGTCGAGGAATGTATCCATTTCTTCTAGATTTTCTAGTTTATTTGCGTAGAGGTGTTTGTAGTATTCTCTGATGGTAGTTTGTATTTCTGTGGGATCGGTGGTGATATCCCCTTTATCATTTTTTATTGTGTCTATTTGATTCTTCTCTCTTTTTTTCTTTATTAGTCTTGCTAGCGGTCTATCAATTTTGTTGATCCTTTCAAAAAACCAGCTCCTGGATTCATTGATTTTTTGAAGGGTTTTTTGTTTCTCTATTTCCTTCAGTTCTCCTCTGATTTTAGTTATTTCTTGCCTTCTGCTAGCTTTTGAATGTGTTTGCTCTTGCTTTTCTAGTTCTTTTAATTGTGATGTTAGGGTGTCAATTTTGGATCTTTCCTGCTTTCTCTTGTAGGCATTTAGTGCTATAAATTTCCCTCTATACACTGCTTTGAATGCGTCCCAGAGATTCTGGTATGTGGTGTCTTTGTTCTCATTGGTTTCAAAGAACATCTTTATTTCTGCCTTCATTTCGTTATGTACCCAGTAGTCATTCAGGAGCAGGTTGTTCAGTTTCCATGTAGTTGAGCGGCTTTGAGTGAGATTCTTAATCCTGAGTTCTAGTTTGATTGCACTGTGGTCTGAGAGATAGTTTGTTATAATTTCTGTTCTTTTACATTTGCTGAGGAGAGCTTTACTTCCAAGTATGTGGTCAATTTTGGAATAGGTGTGGTGTGGTGCTGAAAAAAATGTATATTCTGTTGATTTGGGGTGGAGAGTTCTGTAGATGTCTATGAGGTCCTCTTGGTGCAGAGCTGAGTTCAATTCCTGGGTATCCTTGTTGACTTTCTGTCTCGTTGATCTGTCTAATGTTGACAGTGGGGTGTTAAAGTCTCCCATTATTAATGTGTGGGAGTCTAAGTCTCTTTGTAGGTCACTCAGGACTTGCTTTATGAATCTGGGTGCTCCTGTATTGGGTGCATAAATATTTAGGATAGTTAGCTCCTCTTGTTGAATTGATCCCTTTACCATTATGTAATGGCCTTCTTTGTCTCTTTTGATCTTTGTTGGTTTAAAGTCTGTTTTATCAGAGACTAGGATTGCAACCCCTGCCTTTTTTTGTTTTCCATTGGCTTGGTAGATCTTCCTCCATCCTTTTATTCTGAGCCTATGTGTGTCTCTGCACGTGAGATGGGTTTCCTGAATACAGCACACTGATGGGTCTTGACTCTTTATCCAACTTGCCAGTCTGTGTCTTTTAATTGGAGAATTTAGTCCATTTATATTTAA
This sequence comes from Homo sapiens, assembly GCF_000001405.40. Classification (NCBI taxonomy): domain Eukaryota; kingdom Metazoa; phylum Chordata; class Mammalia; order Primates; family Hominidae; genus Homo; species Homo sapiens. The sequence goes on along the minus strand of NC_000004.12, from coordinate 146,352,043 downwards.
AGTTAATATTGTTATGTGTGAATTTGATCCTGTCATTATGATGTTAGCTGGTGATTTTGCTTGTTAGTTGATGCAGTTTCTTCCTAGTCTCGATGGTCTTTACATTTTGGCATGATTTTGCAGCGGCTGGTACTGGTTGTTCCTTTCCATGTTTAGCGCTTCCTTCAGGAGCTCTTTTAGGGCAGGCCTGGTGGTGACAAAATCTCTCAGCATTTGCTTGTCTATAAAGTATTTTATTTCTCCTTCACTTATGAAGCTTAGTTTGGCTGGATATGAAATTCTGGGTTGAAAATTCTTTTCTTTAAGAATGTTGAATATTGGCCCCCACTCTCTTCTGGCTTGTAGGGTTTCTGCCAAGAGATCCGCTGTTAGTCTGATGGGCTTCCCTTTGAGGGTAACCCGACCTTCCTCTCTGGCTGCCCTTAACATTTTTTCCTTCATTTCAAGTTTGGTGAATCTGACAATTATGTGTCTTGGAGTTGCTCTTCTCGAGGAGTATCTTTGTGGCATTCTCTGTATTTCCTGAATCTGAACGTTGGCCTGCCTTGCTAGATTGGGGAAGTTCTCCTGGATAATATCCTGCAGAGTGTTTTCCAACTTGGTTCCATTCTCCACATCACTTTCAGGTACACCAATCAGACGTAGATTGGTGTACCTTTTCACATAGTCCCATATTTCTTGGAGGCTTTGCTCATTTCTTTTTATTCTTTTTTCTCTAAACTTCCCTTCTCGCTTCATTTCATTCATTTCATCTTCCATTGCTGATACCCTTTCTTCCAGTTGATCGTATCAGCTCCTGAGGCTTCTGCATTCTTCACGTAGTTCTCGAGCCTTGGTTTTCAGCTCCATCAGCTCCTTTAAGCACTTGTCTGTATTGGTTATTCTAGTTATACATTCTTCTAAATTTTTTTCAAAGTTTTCAACTTCTTTGCCTTTGGTTTGAATGTCCTCCTGTAGCTCAGAGTAATTTGATCATCTGAAGCCTTCTTCTCTCAGCTCGTCAAAATCATTCTCCATCCAGCTTTGTTCCGTTGCTGGTGAGGAACTGCGTTCCTTTGAAGGAGGAGAGGCGCTCTGCGTTTTAGAGTTTCCAGTTTTTCTGTTCTGTTTTTTCCCCATCTTTGTGGTTTTATCTACTTTTGGTCTTTGATGATGGTGATGTACAGATGGGTTTTTGGTGTGGATGTCCTTTCTGTTTGTTAGTTTTCCTTCTAACAGACAGGACCCTCAGCTGCAGGTCTGTTGGAATACCCTGCCGTGTGAGGTGTCAGTGTGCCCCTGCTGGGGGGTGCCTCCCAGTTAGGCTGCTCGGGGGTCAGGGGTCAGGGAACCACTTGAGGAGGCAGTCTGCCAGTTCTCAGATCTCCAGCTGCGTGCTGGGAGAACCACTGCTCTCTTCAAAGCTGTCAGACAGGGACACTTAAGTCTGCAGAGGTTACTGCTGTCTTTTTGTTTGTCTGTGCCCTGCCCCCAGAGGTGGAGCCTACAGAAGCAGGCAGGCCTCCTTGAGCTGTGGTGGGCTCCACCCAGTTCGAGCTTCCCGGCTGCTTTGTTTACCTAAGCAAGCCTGGGCAATGGCGGGCGCCCCTCCCCCAGCCTCGCTGCCGCCTTACAGTTTGATCTCAGACTGCTGTGCTAGCAATCAGCGAGATTCCGTGGGCGTAGGACCCTCTGAGCCAGGTGTGGGATATAGTCTCGTGGTGCGCCGTTTTTTAAGCCGTTCTGAAAAGCGCAATATTCGGGTGGGAGTGACCCGATTTTCCAGGTGCGTCTGTCACCCCTTTCTTTGACTCAGAAAGGGAACTCCCTGACCCCTTGCGCTTCCCAGGTGAGGCAATGCCTCGCCCTGCTTCGGCTAGCGCACGGTGCGCGCACCCACTGGCCTGCGCCCACTGTCTGGCACTCCCTAGTGAGATGAACCCGGTACCTCAGATGGAAATGCAGAAATCACCCGTCTTCTGCGTCGCTCACGCTGGGAGCTGTAGACGGGAGCTGTTCCTATTCGGCCATCTTGGCTCCTCCCCCTATATATATATTTTTTTTTAATTTCAACTTTTATTTTAGATTTGTGGGGGTACATGTACAGGACTGTTACTAGGGTATATGAAATAATGCTGAGGTTTGGGATATGAATGATCTCATTACCCAGATAGTGAGCATAGTACCCAGTAGGTTTTCAACCCTTGCCTCCCTTCCTTCATCCCTGCTCTATTAGTCCCCAGTGTCTATTGTTGCCATTTTTATGTCCATGAGAACCCAATATCTAGGTTCCGCTTGTAAGTGAGAATGTGCATTAATTTGCTTAGGATAATGGCCTCCAGCTGCATCCATGTTGCTGCAAAGAACATGATTTTGTTCTTTTTATGGCTGCATAGTATTCTATAGTATATAAGTACCACATTTTCTTTATCTAATCCACTGTTGATGAACACCTAGATTGATTCCATGTCTTTACTATTGTGAATAGTGGTGCAGTGAACATGCTTGTGCATGTGTCTTCTTAGTAGAACAATTTATTTTCTTTTGGATGTATGCCCAGTAATGGGATTGGCTGAGTTGAATGGTAGTTCTGCTTTAAGTTCTCTGAGAAGTCTCCAAACTGCTTCCCACAGTGGCTGAAATAATTTACATTCCCACCAACAGTGTACCAGTGTTCCCTTTTCCCTGCAGCTTTACCATCAACTGTTGTTTTTTACTTTAATAATAGCCATTCTGACTGGTGTGAGATGGTGTCTCATTGTGGTTTTGATTTGCATTTCTTTGATAATTGTTGATGTTGAGCATTTTTTTTCATGTATTTTTTGGCTGCTTGTATGTCTTCTTTTGAGAAGTGTCTGTTTAATGGACTATAGTAGTAACAAGTAGTTAATTTGGTAGGTTGTGGGTCTAATTGTAATGTGTTTAAATATGCTGGAATTGTTTACACTAAAACCAGCAAAAATCATTTGAAAAATAAGAGCTGAGAAAACATATTTCAGCATTCATTGGGGTCTGTTTTGCTAAATTACACTCTCAGTGAATGATCAGCAAATTATGCCCATTTTAAATCTAAGAAATAAGGGAATTGATTTGGTTCTCATCTGTTTCAGGCATTTCCTAATGTCTCAGCATTGATTTTTAAATATGCTTTCAATTTTATAGAATTTGGTTGACTAATATGGCACGGGATCTAACCTGTATAGTAATGACAAAGTGCGACTGTTACACACTCTTTAAAGTAATAGAAAATTATTATATCTTTGGCTATCTCACAATATTTACATGTCAAGTAAATTATTTTATAAAAATCAGGCATTAAAAATTCTACCCAGAAAGTGTTGAACAATGAAGATATACATTCAAGAATGTGTGGTTCAGGAAAATTTACATAAATTTAAATGATACGTTTTTATGTACTGTAGTTTTCTCCAGAAGAAATCTGTATGCTTTCTGAAAACATGACTCTTAGATGTTTAAAAGCTTGTCAAATACCCTACAGGAAAGGTAATAAAGTCATTTTACTTAAAGCAAATCATTTTTTCAAATTTCCTCAAGCACATTTATGTAGGTACTGAGAGAGAACAGGAGTTCTTTTACACGTTTTAAATACACAGCACACCAGCTGCTACCCCAGCTATCCACTAGAGAAAGGGAGAATAACTAAATTTCTGTAGCAATGTGTAAAACTAAATTTATTGAAATCCCAGTGAAAGCTTTTGCTGTGTTTGGTATAATAGGGAAAATTCCATAAGATATCTTAGATTGCATTTTCTTCATGTTAATCTTTATAGTCCTTGTGCTCCCAGGTCAGTTTGTAAACATACTTCATTCATTTAGAATGAAAACTCTCACCTCAGAAGCCAACGAGGTTTGGTAATTACAGAACATTTTATTTCAAATAACGTGACTACTCCTTGTTGTAAACACTGGATCCATTGAATTTGGTTCAGAGAGGTTAGAGCTTGGTGACCCCCATTAGTTATTTTTCCTGGAATATATAAGAAATGAATTTGTATTCTAAAGTGTGTGGTTTTGATGTGCTGATGTCAGCCTTTCTTGTGTCTATATCCAATGCTTTCTCTTAGTTATATTTCTGGTTTCAAGTGCTTTTTTAAAATTTATTTTTCATTTATTATAAGAAGCCAATGTATGTATTGAGGATTACTCATATTTTCTTTCATTTTCTTCCTCTTTTCACCTATCCTGTGTTTTCTAAAAGTAGATAGAATCAAGTGTTTTTGTTCCTCTTAAGAAATCCCTGACAGGCCCATGACACTGGCTACTGCTGTAGCTGTACATTTCTATACATAATTGATGACTTGGGGCTAAGCAGACAGCACCAGTACACAAACAATATAGATTACTATACAGTGAGGGTTTTTAGTCTTTGAATTTTCCATTTTTGCATAGAAATAACTCCTTGCTAAGTAAGAAAAATTTCAGAAGGAATAAGTTCACTATAGTAATACATATTCTTCAGAGAACAAAGCATTTGCCAGCCATAGAAGATTTGGACAGTCTTAAGATTCTAACTTTACAATCCTGTCCTCCACTCCAGCCATGTCTCAACTTAGCAGCACTGGTAACATTCGGTTTTGCTGACATTTTGGTTACTAGTAAAATTTTTAAAAAACAAAGTTTTAGCACTGAGGAAAGTTAAATTTCCAAAGAGCACTTTTTGAGGTATTTCATAATCTCATTGCCCTTTCTGTGTCTTTGATTTCCTGGAAGATGAGAAGGCTGGTAGATATAACTGGTTATCTTTTCATGAAGCTTCTGTGAGAGATTGGTGCCATGGGAATGGTGTTTATTATGTCCCATTCACTATGCCCTGCCTTTCTTTTCCTCTAAGCACCACGAACACACTTCCTTGTCTACAGGCCTTTCACACATGCTGTTCTGACCCCCACCATTCCCTAAACCATTTTTAGGTGCCTTCCACCTCTACCCTTCTCTGGGCCATTCTTACTGATCATTTGGGTCTTAGTTTAGATGTTACATCTTTTGAAACCCCTCGCTCAGTTGGGTGAGGTAAGCAGCCTTTCCTTAACCCCATTATCTGGCCTTTACCTTTTTAGTTTGCTGCAACTAGACCGTAAGATCTTTTAGGATAGAGACCAGGCCACCTTTATCTTTGTTTCCCCCCTCCTCTTGGGTATGCCTATCATAGAGTAGGTATCCAAAAATTATTTGTTGAATGAAATCACAAAGATCCTAATAATATAAAATTGACTTGAAACATAAAAATAATGATATGGCTTGCTAGGTTTTAGATGATAAATTGTTCGAATTTATAGGTTTCCTGGATCTTTGTTTTTCATATTGTGATATATTCTTAAGCATGCTGTGATAATAGAAAAAATAGATTACAATTATGTTACACATTTAAATACTCATGAAACTGTTTTGTAATTTCAAATGACCAACTTAATAGAAATAAAATTAGTTGAAAAATAAATATAGCTGAAAAGTTATAATTGAAATTAAACCGAGTTGAAAAGGGAGACATGTATCTATGTAATTCTGAAACTTAAGGCTCATAGCTTTATTTTGATTCACTTTCTTTTTCAAAAATAGAATTTCTCAGAAGATCAAAGGTTTTCTGAATCCTAACATGTACTATCTAGTTCTAGATATCCAGAAGAGGACATTGTTTTTGTCATTGTTTCTTGGGCTGCCCTCATACCTTCAGAAAATACATTACACATATTGCACATATATGTATTTTTCTGTTATAACCAATGAAACATAAAAAGCTACCAAAGCTCTCACATGAAACTGCTGTTTGTTGTTTTTTGTTGTTGTTGTTTTCTTAATACTAGTTAATTTCAGAACTTATTCCACACAGTTCCCCAATAGAGTTGGTCATCAGTTTGTACCTTAGCTTCCTAGTTTATAAATCAGTCATTGATTTCTATGAGGAATAATTTTGAATTCCAACCTTATAAATGGAGATTGGGCCCATAAATGCTTTTTCATCCATAAGACAACTGAACTACAGTATAGAGTTGTGGGTGCTAAAATCAAACTGTTGGAGTCCAAATCCTGACCTCAAAAATTACAGCTTGACCTTGGGCAAATTAGCTAACCTCTGTGTGCATTGGTTTCTTCATCTGTAAATGGGGATGATAATTGTGCTTATCTATTGGCTTCTTTTCAAAATTATGTCACACTTGCAAAGTGCAAGAACAGTATCTAGGAGGAATGCTTAATAAATAATACCTATTATTCATGTATTTATTCATTCAAAAATATTAAATGGGCCCCTATTATGTCCCAAGCATTTCACTAGGTATGGGAAATACAAGATAGAGTAAAAATAAGCATGGTCCCTTTCCTCATAAAGCTTATAGCCTAGTGAAGGAGACGCAGGCATTAATGAAATAATCACACAAATAAATGTAAAATTACAACTGTGATGCATGCCATAAAGCAGATCTATAGTGCCATAAGAGTGCATATTTAGGGGGAATCTATAATGGCAGAAAGACTTCCTTGATAACTGAAGGAAGCTGATGTCTGCAGGTTGAAAGTGAATATAGCCCGGTCAAGGAATAGACCAAGGGCCCTGTGGCTAGCGTATAGAGAGCCAGGTGGAGAATGGAAAAAGATGGAAATGTAGGCAGGAGCAGATAATACAGAATGTTGTAGACCACAGTTATAATATTCGTCCTTAAAGACCAGTGGGAAACTAATGAAGGATTGCATTTCAATGTGGAAACTGTGTTGTAGTCTCCCAGAGCATAAGAGGTAAGAGAAGGTAGAGAAAAATGACCCCTTCCTAGATGTAGCATTGGTCTCAGGCTAAATTTAGAAACGAGCATTTGCCATTGCACTCTTGACTCCCTCTCTGTTCCTTCTACCTGGGTCATTCCACCTGAGCCTGTGGTTCCCACGTCACTGTTTATCCCTCTGCATCAAGCTAGTCTTGCCCATAAAAGTACCTCTTGCCTCAAAATGCTCGACCTTTCTTGCTTCTAAGCAAATTTCATTCAGATAGAAGTTTCAGATTCATACCAGTATTTAGAGGAAAGCATATTGACTAAGATGTGAGTAGCTTTCTTCCGGAACAGTGTTCTCCAACTTTTCGAACTCCTTTACAGTCTTAAAATTTGCTGACGACCAGAGAGAACAGTTGTTTATATGGGTGATATTTATCTATTGATCACATTTGAAATTAAAGCTGGAAAATTATTAATTCATTTAAAAATAATAACTTCATCATATGTAAATTTGCACATTTTTATGAAATATCACTATATTTTCCCAAACAAAAACTAGTGGGAAGAGTACTATTGTTTTGCATTTTGCAAATCTCTTTAATGCCTGGCTTAACATAAAACTGTTGGTGTATCAAATCTCTTTTGATATCACATGTCATGTAGCCTCTGGAAAACTCCACTATATAACTGCAAGAGAATGAGAGTAAAAAGGCAAATAATGTGTTAGTAATATAATGAAAGTAGTTTTTGTCTCACCGAGCCCTCCAAAAGGTCTTAGGAACCCGTAGGTCCCCAGGCCACACCGTGAAAACTACTACTTCAAAAGAAAACATGCAATTTTAAAATAGATGCTTATTAAGCCAAAAAGACTATCATCCAAGATGGCATTTCAGGTAGTCTACAAGTGAAATGAAAAGAATTCAGGCAGCGTGGCTCTAACCTAGTTCTGCTTTTCACCGCTTCTTCCGTGTATCTGTTTGAACCAATTAAACCCTCTAAAAATTCCAAATGATTTGTAGTGTTGGTAGAGATTCCTGTGAGTGTTTAGACAACATTGAAAATTCTTGAAACGTGATATTTTTGCATTGGTTACTGGTGTAAGGCATAGTCTCCATTCAAAGTAAACTGTGATTTCTGCATAGCTTCCCGTGAGCATCCGGTCACTTCATTTTCTGTAACAAAGACCCACTTAGATACTGCAACTTAACTGTGTTTATCTTTCAAGAACTGATTTGTGAGGTGAAGCTAAAGTAATGGGAGATTGTTAATCTCTGTGGTCTCTTCCGGGTCAGAAATGACATGATTTTATCTTATTTTCTTATGTAGCACACAAACGCTTTCTGAGGGCAGCTAAAAACATTTGGAATGATGCATCATTTAAAAATGAGTTTTGCTTCTCTGATTGACAGACTCGAAGAACAACATTCCTTTAGATGAGTTTTGTTGAATTTGTTTAAAAAATTCCTTTAGATGAGTTTTGTTGAATTTGTTAAAAATTCATTTTCATTCTTACCTTGTACCTGTAATATTAAGTTCCACCATCACTACTAGTGGGAATAAATTCTATCCTTTTTTTATTGATGTTAAACATATATTTCTATCAATTCAATATTAAGTACTTTATTATTGTACTTCACAATCATGAAAGTGCCTGCAGGGAAGAGGAAGACCATGCCCATAAAAAGACTACTAAATCTGTACTTCTCTTTAAATCAGTAGCTCATCATGGACGAGTAATGCTCTTGACCACTAGTTTATCTCCCACATCATTAATATTTTCTGTTCTTTAAGGAAGGACATACATAAGTGATTAAACATTGTAGAAGGACAATTGAGAAGCATTTACACTCCTTCATTTGAACTGAAATTTGTAGGTTATCTTTGAGATGTGTCACTCATAGATAAATGGTTAGGAACATGTTGGACTTAAGAGGTCACAGATGAGTGGCCCACAGGCCACATGCAGACCACAGATGTGCTTTCTATATTCTGGGTTTCCTAAGTTGCCCTCACTTCCTATTATTTTACTTGTGGCCCAATCTGCACATTCACCTTGCCAGTCTGGTGGCTGTCAGTATTTGAATTAGTAGCTCTATAGCAAGCAGTCATGTCTGGGGAAAATAGAAAAACAGAACCCAAGAAGATTACAGTACTGTGTTGTAAGAAATCACCTAATAGAAAATTGTTTGACAAGGATGTATAATTATTCATCTTTTAAATTCTTGGTCATATGAAAAAATAACTTTAAAGGTAAATGAAAATAATAGTTGATTGACAAGCATGCCTCAAAAATGACATTTATTATATAAAGATTTTTTAATAGCTTAACACAGGAGTTAGGGTATGAGATTATGAAACGGGGTTGTATCTTCCTCAAAGAGGTCATCCATCAAAACTTTGCTTTTTCATTATATTACTCTTCTTATTTATGTGCATTGTTTTATCTATAAAAAATATTTAATGTATATTTAAATATATAGAATCAACCACACAACTAATTTGTCAAATGCATACCTTTGCAGTGTTAGTTTATCTGGAAGGTCCCACAGCACCACCTAGTGCCCTGTATTTTATTTTGCATAATATTTTTATAAATTTAAGAATTCTTATCACATTTGAATATCAAATATGGCCCTGAAGCAAATATATGGTTTAAGTAGTATTATAAATAGAATGCTCTAAAGTAATTATTGCATGCTTTATTGAAAAATTTAAGTGAAACTCTAAAAAATGATGATTGTAAATTTTAATAATAGTACTATTATTAAAATTTACTGGTAAAAAAATTCACTAGTATTTCTAATTCACATATAAAGACATTCTTAAAAGATTGTTACGTTGTGTGTGATCTAATAGAACTATTGGTAAGGTTTTTGTCCAAAACAGATATTTATTTCTTCTTATTTTTTTCTTGTATTTGCTGTTCTCTAATAAATTAAAAGTAATTTTTTAGGCTTCCTCTTGGAGGTCATGATTTCTAAGTCTTTATACTTTTAACACTATCTACAACAGCTCTTATAAATTTCAGATAAAACTGTATAATCACTTTTTAAACTAGAATTGTGAGATATTTAGAGATAGATAAAATACTTCTACATTAAAAAATAAAATCAGTCAAATAAAAGAATGAGGTGTGCTTATATATTCTTTTATGGAAAGAGCTCCAGGAAATATAGAGAAGTGGGAAAAGATAAAGCTATGTACAGAATACTGTGTATAGTATGATTATCTTAAGAAAACTGTATAAATTTGAATAAGTTAAGAACGCTAGGCTAGATGGATGAGTAGGTGGGTAGAGGAATGGGTGGATACTGTTTTTTTTCTGTAAGGAATTACAAGAAATTGCTAATGTTTCTGAGTTGAGAGGGAGCTAGAAATTTTCAATTTTTCTTTGTACTTTTCTATACAACTAAAAATTTTCTAATGAGATTCATGTATAACTTTGTTTAAGGCCGACAAGGGTTATTTGTGTTTTAAGATTATGAACCATTTCATTGTTCCTTATAATATTTTCTGTATTAAAAACAAAGCCAAATTTTTAAATAAAAAACTAGTGTTATAAGGTTAGCATCCATCTCATAGATTTGTCTTTTTAGAAGGCTTTACCATACATTACTTTTTAATAGAACATGTAAGCCCCAAGAAGGCAGAGAACTTTTGTCACACTGTATCCTTGACTTCTGGAATTGTATCTGGCACATAATAAGTGCTCAGTAAATTAGCATTGAATGAATGAATGAGGACATATTATATTGTGTCCAACTACTATATAGAATACTATGTAATAATGAGATGTATTATGGTGAAATTTTATCCTATTTATGTATAAACATATGTGTGCATGGTTACATTCTTATGTCTGATGTTATTAAAACACTAACACTGATTCAAGTTAGTTCAAAATACAGAATATCAAAAACTCTAAATTATACTTTCAAATGTTTGTGTATGGCCATTTTTGGTTTTGGGGGGGTTTGGTTTTGCCTATTCTTAATAAAATATTTTATGCAACATATTAGCTATATTTGGAACTCAGTTATATTGAAATTCAATCCAAATGGTTACTAAAGAACAATACTGTGATCATTTCCCTCTTTTATTTAAATTCCTGATAATTCTATCTTAGTGACCTAATGGTTGCTACTTTTAAAGTTCCTGCAATTATACTTATATTAATCATAAAATGCTAATTACTCATTACATATATTCAATTCCTAACTACTAATTTAAAATTCCATGACATTTTATAAGCTACTGTTAGTGAAAATCCATTCATAAGCATAAGTTATATTGTTTTATTTTAAACATGCAGTGATTCATACTAATGTGCTGTGCATAGATTTTTTTTTAAACTGTCAAAGTGTGTAGAAGTTGCCCTCTACTGGGGAACTAGAAAAATTATGTTAACATAGATTTTCAATTTCCTTAAAGACTTAGGTAAATCCATTGATGTGATTTACCAGATGATTGCTTCTTGCTCTCTGGCACTTTTAAATTCTGAAGATATTGAAATGATTAGCAGAAGATATTTAAAAATAAATGTCTGATATGAATATATGTACATCCATTTCTAATATAAAGTCTTGGCTATTTCTTATTAAAAATTCCTTAGTAACAACACCCAATGGCTAAGGTCTAGAAGTAATTTTATTGGGATAAGTCTCTACTGAAACATTAAGGAAAATTAGCTGTATATACCTATGTAACTAAAAATGACTCAGTACTGTTTTTAATAATTCACCATAGAAATGTCCAGGTTAAAAGTCTAAAAGTCTAATCACTCTCTCTCTCTCTCTCTCTCTCTCTCCATATATATATATACACACACACACATATATATGTATATGTGTATATATATATTTTGTTTTTTGTTTTGTGCTAGAGCCTTTGCATTTTTGCTAGAGCCTGGGTCTTTGTTTTTTACTAGAGCCTGCATTTGCTAGAGCCTGGGTCATAAGGTGAAATTTGATTATGGCGAAGTGATTTGCTTGTTCTATTAGTTGTTGAACTTTTTATACCAAAAAAAGTCCATTGACCAGTTCTTATAAACTGATAAGACAGTCTTCTTCCTTTTGCTATTATTGCCTTTCCTTCTGCCCTTGAGAGTTCCATCAGGCTTTGGAGAGCACTGCCTTAGAGAGATTCAGAGTCTAGGATGCATCTCTAGGTTGTTAAGACCCCAATCACACATATATGTTTTTCTTCTCCTACCCCCTGATATTTAATAAAAATAAACATATTATTAAGGAGAAACCTGTTTAAAATTGGTGTCATTGGTGAGAGGTAGATAGGGAAAGAAGCAACTACTGATATTTAATAAAAATAAACATGTTATCACACACCGGGACCTGTCGGGGTGGGGGACAAGGGGAGGGAGAGCATTAGGACAAATATCTAATGCATGCGGAGCTTAAAACCTAGATGATGGGTTGATAGGTGCAGCAGACCACCATGACACATGTATACCTATGTAACAAACCTGCACATCCCGCACATGTATCCTGGAACTTAAAGTAAAATTAAAAAAAAAAAAACGACAAATGAAACTATAAAAAGGCAGGAAAACATGTCAGTAGAAGTGAGGATATGAGAAAAAATAAATGCCTTATCTGGTAGATTAGGCTTGGAGAAAAAATAATAAATAAACATGTTATTAGGGAGAAACCTGTTTAAAATTGGTGTCAATGGTGAGAGGTAGATAGGGAAGGAAGCAACTGCATACCCAGATCCTACTGCCTCTTTGTGTTGGGGGTGGCAGGAGGATCTGTGGACCAATGATGCTCATGTGAGGTGCAAACCTTTCTTAGGACCATTGGTTAATCCACCTCCTTCTCCTGACTGAAGCCTCTCTGAGTCACAAAGTTCAGAGCTGGTTTTCTAAGCTGCAGGAATGGCTCTGGCTAAGGAATATTATAAAAACCAGAGTAAATCAGACCATTGAAATATGAAACAAGGCAAGTGTAGTGCAGATGTCTCCATTCATTGTGTCCATCTTATACTCAGTATTGATCGTCACAGCTAGATCTAACAGCAGTGTGTGCCATCATTTAGACACGTCCAAAAGGAATAGATGAGCTATGCCAAACCTATTCATTTCACATGTGTAGACATGGTCTGGGTTTTTTGTTTGTTTATGTTAAAGTTCTGTTATAAATCTGAATAGTGATTTTGATTAAACCATTATTTTGAGTGTCTTATATAAAAGAGAATCAGTTTTTGATTATTTTAGAAGTTTATTTTAACATCCAGGAGCCTACATAAGAAGCCCCTTCCCCAAATCTCCCTCAAGTCACTTTCCATTGCCTCCTTTCTCTGTCCTCATTGAACTTCATACTATCCCCCTCCTCCATATTCCACGTCTCTGCCTTGCTTTTTCAAAAATGTTCTCCCATAGTCTTGTTGGTAATTCATGGGCCTTTTAGGGTAGGGATGAAAGTGCCTATTTCAAGATTTAATCTCTTTTAAAAACCTTCCTCTAATCTGTTCTAATTTTATCATCTATGTGTTTTTGTTTTGTTTTGTTTTGTTGCTTTATATGTATGGTAAATAATATAGTGCTGAGTAACTGCTTTCAGATCTTCCATATGTGAGCTTTGTTCTACTCAAGTGGTTTGTAGGAGGCAGTGTGGTATCAGAAATAAAGAACTGGGCAGGGAATTTGAGACACTAAAATGCTACTCCTTGTGTTTCCACTAACTCTGCACCCAAGAGTGAGAGACATTGCCTCCTTGGGCATCAACTTTTCAGTTTGTAAAGTGAGGTAACACATTATCCCTAATGTCTCTTTCAGCTAGAATTCTTTGATTTCTCTAAATTCTTAAAGAACTCCTATCCAGTATATCAACACAATGGTAGAGATCTTGGATTCTGGAACCAGACTGCATGACTTGCTTCCCATTCTGCCACTTACTGCTTGGGAATTCTGAACAATTCCTTGTCTATGTACCTCAATTTTCTCCTCTGTAAAATGAGAATTGTAGTGGCAGCTTTCTCATAGGTTTGTTGTGAGGACCAAATGAGTTAGTAAATATAAAGAGCATAGAACAGTTGCTGACATATACACAGTAGGCATTCAATAAATGTCAACTAGTCTCATTATTATTACAAACACAAGGGTTTTAAAACATTTCAGAAAGTGTGTGTGTTTCTTATCAAATGGATATGCTGCTCCATGAGAGAAACATTTGTGGACACACATTCATCTATTCATTTGTTCTTTCATTCAGCAAAAAAAATTATTGCATGCCTAATATTTGCCAGGCACTGTTGTGTTACAGACATCAATGAGCAGAATGGCAGATACACATTAAATCTTTTAAACCAGTGGGAAAAAACATCCATGTTACTCTAGTGACCTAAGAGAGTTACTTAGTGCCTTATTTTCATGTATTCCAACACCAGTGGCAAGTTATATATGTAATCGTTGACTCTAATTTTAATTAATATTATATATTTTACATTAATTTTCTACAATCTGTTTCTTAAATATCTTTTTCTTTTAAATTTTCTGCTTCCTCCTTTGCACATTTTTTTCTTTTTAACAACTCAGACCATCTCCTGATCTCTCAACTTTGTTTTTATTCCTTTTGTTGAGTTCTATCTTCTGACACTTCCTTAGGTTAGTCTCTATAAGCCTCTTTTCTATTCTCACCTATAAAATTAGGATAATCAATTTACTTACCAGAATTTTAAATTAGATAATGTTTGTAATGTACTTAGCACAGTTCCTAGTACATAATATACCTCAATAAATATTGGCTATTTTTATGATGGTGGTGTTTTATATCAACTGAACCATGATTCTAAAGCAAGAAATACTACAAGCTCCTATGTATAATATTCAGGCCATAGGAACTTTGGCTGACCATTGGATAATGTGAAATGATCCTCTTGACATTTTAAGAGAGCTGTGTATCTTGTGTGTAATGTTTGCAGTGCTACTAATAATTGGCTGCTCCATGTGTTCTCAGGGAAAATAAAACTGCAACCTCAGATTGTAGCTGTGTGCCCATGGTGGAGGCATGCAGGCCAAAGTGAGCTCTGTTAGGTCTTACTTTCACTGTGAAAGCTTATGTCTTTATACTCTAGTCTTCAAAAAATAAATTTTGATTTAGTTTCCTTTTGCTTCCTCCTTGGTCTAATATATACTCTGCAAATAAGCATTTTTAAGAAACTTCTTTAGAAAATTATTTATTGCCTGTTAAATCTAAAACTTAGAAGATGTTTACATGAAAATCTTTTGGAAAATGATAGAAAGTTCCCACATCTCTGTTGCCCTGGGCTCTAATTAAATTTCAAATTGTTTTTGTCACTCTTAACCTGGATAGAAAAAGCCAAATTAATGTAATACAGTTCTATGAGTTTACATTGCCTGAAGGTTTGCTTTTTCAGTTAAAAACAAAAAAGAGAAGTCATGAGTTTGAATGCTGTTTTTCATCTTTAACATATATCACTATATTAGTTCTAATCAGCAATGTACATATTATTCCACTTTTGTGTTCTTATATTTTTCTGTCCTCTTTTATATAGCTCTAGATATTAGAGCCCTAAACCCCACACATTCTGTCTGCTATTCAGCATCTTTAATTTCCCCCTCTGCACTGATCTCCATCCCTTTGCTTCCATTATCCTTGTAAAGGAGAACCAACTTTAGATTAGAAATGGTAAAGTAAATATTGACAAAGGAAAGCAGGTCCAAGATAGGCGGACTATCTGCTGGCCCAGACAAATTACATCATAGGATCCTGAGAAAACTGACATTTGAGATTCCTGAATCACTATCTTTGACAAATCATAAAGGGAAGGAGCAGAATCAACAGCTGCTGGGAATGTGCAAACATCACTGCAAATACCAAAAAGAGGAAGAAAGTGGATTGTACACACTATTAACTAGTAATTTTGATATCAGTCTAAAGAAAAATTAAAGAATGGGTCATTAAATAGTGGGTTGTAAGGAGTTACAAAGGAACATGGTGTGATGTTTAGAAGCCAGCGTGGGTTCACTCAAAGCCAAGTTATTAAAAACAAGTTTGTTACACTTATTTCTGTTTGAAATATAATTTCTAATTCAAAGCAATACTTCAGAGCAGAGATCTGCAAACTATGGCCCTTGGGCAAATCTTACCATGCCAATTTGTTTACCTATTGTCTTTGGCTGCTTTCCAGGTACAATAGCAGAGTTGAGTAATTGCAGAAGTGTCCCTGCAAAGGCTAAAATAATTATTACTTGGCCTTACACAGAAAAAGTTTGCCAACCTCTGCTCTAGAATCTAAATCCATTTTTTAAAATTTTAATATGCCTACAAATTACCTGGGGATCTTGCTAAGATGCAGATTATGACATAGTAGTTCTGGGGCGGAGTCTGATATTCAGCTAGTTCTCACAAGCTTCCAGGTGAAATCAATGTTGCTGGCGCTTAGATCACATTTCAATCTAGTGAGGATCTAGATTTCAAAAAGATATTTAGCAGATTCACCCATTTTAAGACAACAAAGAGAGTAAATAAATTATGAGTTAGAAGTCACTTCAGTTGGTTAGAATCTTGTTTAAATGATAGTGTTCATGAAGTGTTAGGCAATCAATGTCACCTTGGAGAGAAGTTTTTCTGGTCATTTCAAAATGATTATCTTATCATCATTTCCTTGTATGGAAATATTAGCTCAGTGGTGGTATTTGATGGGAGCAATAATGGGCTTGATAACTCATATGTTTAGATGACCAATATCAACTGGGTTGGTCTGCGGGACAGTTCCTCTGTTGGGCGACAGTTCTCTCTGTGTCTCATATTTCTATACATTTTGTCAGCAGAGGCACTGACTGCCTTTTGTTCTCAACTCTGGAACAAAGGGCAGCTTTGCTTTCTGCCTCTTATAAAAGATTCAGGTTCCCTAAGCTCAGTATTCCTTTCCTGGAATGCAGTCCACTGCTTCTGCAGGCATCCATTCGAGCCCATCTGCATCACCTGCTTGACTTGGGGACAAGGGGAAATGACACCAACATCATGCTTAGGCTGCTTGCTGTTCTATGAGTGGTAAAATCCTTTGGCTCTGATCCAGGACTCTTTTTTTTTTTTTTTTTTTTTTTTTTTTTTACAACATCTGTGGCAACACTTTAATGAGTTAAAAAGAAAGAGACAATAACATTCTATTACAATGCTCTTCCAAAAGTTTTTGGCAAAAACAAAACAAAACAAAACAAAAACCTTCAACTATTGAGGATCCCCAAACACTGACATCATCTTCTCCTGACATCCAGCCATCCACATCGTCATAGCTCATTCATCCAGGATCCAGGACTCTTGAGCCTTCTGCCAGCATACTTGAATGTGTGGCAGGCCGACTTGTCATCTTGAAAGTGTGGTAATCTCAGACCCTTCACCAACTTAGACTCTTTCCCAATAGTCGTAACACAGGTTCCCAATCACTGACTTTCCCCTTCCTCTGCACCCATCTTCCCCTCATTTTAGTAAAATTCTTCATGTTCTACAAAACAGAGAAAAGAGAAAGTCTTACATGAAAATGTCTTCAACTTTCCAACATCAAGCATTCAAGCCTATGTTCATCTGTACCTACTATAACCTCTGCTCTTCTTTTACAATAAAGAGATACCTACCCTCTGCTGTTCTACAAGTTAAACCCTCTAGCTGTGCTAGGGCTCCTTCCCTGCTGCCTCTTTAGTTGCAACAGGTAAAATTCCTTCTCTTTACTAAATCTCTATTCCTGTGACCCCCTTTTGCCTCTTTTCTATGAATTTTAAGAATCCTCAAGATTCTTTCAAAACAAAGCAAACAACAAAACCAAAAACAACGAACTCCATTTACCACACTTTCATTCTTCTTACATTGCTGCTGTTGTTTCTCTCCTCCTCTTTACAGCTAGACTTCTGGAAAGACTTGTCCAAATTGCCTCTTTTCCCTCCTTACTCAGCCCTCCATGTACTCCAATTTAACTTTCACACTAGTCATCTATTGAAATTGTTTTCATCTAGCCTTCAATAAGCTTCAATCTATAGTCTACATTTCTTAACTTATTTTCTGTAGCAGTAAATCACCACACCAAGCTATATGCTGAGGACTACTCAGCTGTTTTCACTGTCCAGACCCTATTCTGAGTTTCAGTCCCATAAATCCAGCTATCACAGTATCTCTAGTTGGAGGCCTTGCAGATACCTCAAACTCATCATCTTTCCCAAGAAAAATGAGTCTGTGCATCCCCAGTTCCACTCTGGCTCAGTAATTGGCTCTATGATCTCCTGTTTGGTCAAGAATCACTTAACTCAGAAAACTAAGAAACTGTTCTTCCTTCTGTTTTGACACTCTCCCCACAAACTTAATTGAACAGTCTACTAGTCTAGTTTTCAAATACGTTTTGAATCTGTTCTGTTGGTCCATCTTGATGACTAAGATCCCATCGCCTTAGCCCAGATCATCTTCTGCCTGGAGTCCTGAATAGCCTCCTGCTTAGCCTGCCTCACTCTAATCTTCTGCTTTAATGTGTTCTCTAAAGTACACACGGAGTGATTCTTACCTAACCACAGAGAGCACTGTGCCAGTTCTATTGCCCCTCCCCACACCCATGGCTGCATAAACTCTTCCAGTGTCTTCCTCTTGCTTTGAAGTGAAGCCCAAACTCCTTACCATGGATTACTAGGCTTTTCTGATTCATCTGTCTTTTAACTTCATCTCTCACAGCTGCACTCCTCACGTTCTGCTCTTCGCTTTCAGTTTCTATATGTTCTTCTTGCCTTCAGTGCCTTTATAGTCTCTTCCCTCTGCCTGTTTCCTCTCCCTTCCCTTCTTCTGTTCTGACTCCTTTGCCTGGTTAACTCCTTTTCTTCTTTCAGTTTTCATCTTAATTGCTTTCACCTCCCTATTAAGCACTCTCATAGCTCACTGTAATGTTCATTTTGAACATTATCATTTTATTGTAATTGCTTAACTGTCTTCTCTAAAAAACGTTGAGGGCATTGATTGTGTATGTGTCATTCACCTCTGTGTCTCATCATCTAATAGGGTCTGGCATGGTAGTCACTAAGTAGGTATATGTTGAATGTGTCAGTGACAAATCAAAATCTGAAAAGATAATAGGCCAAATCTAATAAGCTAATGTTTAATATAAGTGTAGAAGACCCTTAATTTTGGCCTGAAAAAAATCACACTTTTTTGAGAATGAGATGATAGAGGTATTTTTTGATCAAAGTATTAAAGTTAGAGAGGAACCAGGTAGAACTGCTTTCTCTGGTGGGAACTGTTTATGGCATACACTATTATGACATAAACCATATATTCACCTTTTCCCCTCGGCACCAGTAATATAGGATACATGGTACTCAATAAATGTTTGCTTAATTAAATGTAATGTCGTTAGGACAAGCCAGCTGCCATTCCTGTAAGGCCTCACTGAGTGACATTGCTTTAATGGGATCACCACAATCCAGGAATAGGTCCATATCTTTACATATCCAGAAATATCATCAGCACACCTTAGTGTGGTTATGTTCTAGGAGACTGATGTCAACTAGTCAGTGTGCTATCTTCCTGTCAGAAATGCTACTTGGAAAACAAAATTATTACTAAAAGTTTTCTTGACAAGCATGGTGTATTATTCTGTCCTTGCATTGCTATAAAGAAATACCTGAGACTGGGTAATTTATAAAGAAAAGAGGCTTAATTGGCTTATGGTTCTGCAGGCTATACAGGAAGCATAATGGCCTCTGCTTCTGGGAGGCCTCAGGGAGCACTTACTCATGGTGGAAGGCAAAGCAGGAGCAGGCACTTCACATGGTGAAAGCAAGAGCAAGACAGTGAGCAAGGTAGGAGGTACTACACACTTTTAAACAACCAGATCTCACAAGAACTAACTATCATGAAAATAACACCAAAGGGATGGTGCTAAACAATTCATGAAGGATCCACCCCCGTGATCCAATCACCTCCCACTAGGCTCCACCACCAACATTGGAGATTACAACTCAACATGAGATATGGGTGGGGACACAGAGCCAAATCATAGCACGTGATCTCAGACTAGAGAGAATTAACTGGACAATGTCAGTGGCTAGTATTATCCAGCTCAAATAGTTGGATGCCTCTGTCTTCACAATAGTGTACCGTGCCTAATAAACAAAGCAGCATGTTCCTGTCAGCTGCTAGACCATAACTGCTAAATGTTTGATTTGGGCATGTTAAGATCCTTAGTCTGTGAAGGTCTAGTTGTAAAGGGGAAAGTATAGTCAGAGGAGAGGAAAGAGGCCCTTGCTCACCAATCCACCACCACTTTCTTTCTAACTACCCTTCCCTAGGCTCCTAATGTCTCTTTCTTTCTTTCTAAAAGTTTTCTCAGTTATGTATCTTGACATTCATGCTTATAATGTCATATTCTTTGGAGACTATATACCCTGACCATTTTGTTGAAATTTAGATGTGTCCAGAATTCCCTATACCACCTCTTTATAATTTGTTGCTTAGGATTTGTTGACCAGTCTCACTCATTAAATATTGGTTTGACATCATTTTATTCTTGAAGAATAGACTTTTCACTAACTGTTTAAGATATCACTATATACTGACCACAGGACAAAAGATGAAGATAGCCTGGAGGTTTAGATTGACAGTAATCTTTTTTTTAAAATGATATTTCCATTAATACAAGTTCAGAAGAAGGGAGTTGTCAAAGTATAATTTTCGAAAAGTTAAGAACATGATTTTCTTATACATACAGAATGAACACCTGTCAAACATTTATTTAACTGAATAATGAGGAAACCATCAGGATGGTAAAGCTAGTTCTGGGGAGATTATAAAAATGGGGGTTACCCAGGCCATTAGAAAAGCATACTGAAATAAGTATGCTAAATTAGAGACAAAACTGGCCAATGCCTACAGGGCAATAAAACCATAGTTATTGTGGTTATTTTTTCTACTAGACAGAAACCATTTCCATCACTACTGAACAAAACTCTGTAAGTTAACATATACTTTTATAGTCTGAATCTTAACCAATAGTAAATAGAAGTTAAACAAAGGTGGTTAAGTAAACCTTGGATTGGCTGATAGATAATACTCCAAGATGACATTAAAGGGACATGCTGTCCTCTTGTTGCCTCATTTCCAAGTTTTGGTCAATTGTTAATAAGTGAGATTGACCCATAAATGTGGAGCCTTAAATTTATCTGGGTGAGTGTACGTCTAAGAGAAAGCTCAGAACCCTGCCCTAAGAGGAACAGTGGAGGAACTGAGGACTTTTGTCCTAGAGAAAACTTACTGTAGGGTCTAAAATGCTAACTTCAGCATTACTCTTAAAATATAACCCTGAGGAAATAGCTGAAGAAGGCATAGATTTTATTTACACCATTCAGGAGCATCATTTAAAAGGCCATCACCAGGAAGGAGGGTGAGACCTGCCCTAAATTGCTTCAAGGGGAAGACAGAGCAGCAGTGATAGTGATTTGGAAGCAATATAAGAAAGAGCTTTCTCTTCATGAGAAAGCTTCAGCCAGACCACTGTTTGCCTGAAGAGCAAGGGTGTCTTCTCTCTGGGAGATTCTCTGGCAAAGGCACAGCCATCACAGTTCCCATCTGTATATAATGCTGTCCTACTTCATAGAATTGTTGTGAGGATTACCTAAAATAACACAAAGTCCTTAATACAGTATGCAGCATAAGTACTGCATAAATGTTAGCTTTTATTATTTTAATAATAATTGCGATGACTTCCCCAAAACTTAATTATGGTGCTCTTGTCAGAATGAATGCATCATGGCTGACTCATTTCCTAATGCAACTGAAAAGTAGGTTTCAGCGTTATATAAGGACGTGAGGGAGACAGAGAGAGGGGTTCGCACTTTAGATGAGGACTAGACCAGGGTATCTCTAAGATCCCTTTCAAAACTGATATTCTTTATTCTGTGAAAACTGAGTTAATGCAGTATCCTGGAGACAAATCTAAAAAGTCAATTTTAATATCTGTGTGATCTTTGTAGTTGTTGCAGCAAAACCTCTTGATAACATTTTCTATTTCAAAAATTTCATAATTTCACTTTAGTTTTGCCTTTTTTTTGCATGTCCTATTGCTGAGAGAAGCACATTCACAGTTTTGTTGTCTTGCTGTTATTTGGGGCTTTTTGTTTGTATTTTGATGCAGCTAAATCTATCTAAGATTTAACACTCTTTCTTTCCACTAAAGTCATTGAAATACATTCACCTAGTCATTCACATCTGAGGTGTAAATGGATTTTCTGAAAGTTTTTTCAGGAGACAACGAAAGCCAGTCAGTTTGTGACTTGACTTCTTCAGGTGTTGCAATCAGAAAGCTTTATACACCATCCCAATTGCAAGGATGCTAAATCTATGTCTTACCTTGAATCTGCAAGGAGGAGGTAACATCTTTTGCTAGAAGTGCTTATCTCCTACCACTTTGGTTTTATCCATTTTCAGGAGAATTTACTTAGGAAAGAGAAAAGAGAAATAATTAAATTGAGCTGCATATACTCAAAAGAAAATAACATGTTTATTTAATTTTCTAGCTTTCAGTGATTGTTGCTGATGCAGTTTAAATGTTTAGCTCACCCTTTTTACCACTGATATTTGCAAAAACTTGACTCTAAAAAAATGTATCTGCCATATGACATGAAGGCTTACTTCTTAATTTGTTTTATGTTATCAAAAAGACATACTGAGCCTGAAACTCCTCTCAGATTTACTCTTAAAATACAACCCTGAGGAAATAACTTAACAATGCAAAGATTTTATTTACACCATTCAAGAGCACAGGCTCTGGAGTCAAGGGGAGGTTCAATTCCTGGCATTGCTTCTTCCTACTTCACTCAGTCTCTCTGAGGCTCAGCATTCTTACCTAGTAGATGGGATAATATAATAATAGTACCTATGTCAGAGAGTGTGAGGATTACATAAAATAACATAGCTAAATCCTGGGTACAATATCCAACATAAGTACTACATAAATGTTAGTTTTTATTATTTTAATAATAATCATGATGACTTTACTAAAAATTATGGTGCTCTTCTCAAAGTGAATGCCTCCTGGCTGACTCACTTCCTAATACAACTGAAAAGTAGGTTTCAGCATTATACAGTGATTCACTCTTAATGAACCTGAACAGCTATTCTTGAGAAAATAAGAAGGAATATTAAATCCAGAATTAGCAAATCCTTCCTATTTGCTAGGAAACTTTTACTATTTTGGGAACAAATGTTATAAGTCCTTGGAAGAGCTGCAAAGAAACTATCATGTGTCATTGACTATCCATTAGAAGTATTCAGGGAGAAAAACCTGTGGATAACAACACTTTTCTATCTCACTGATTTTCTTTAGTATCATTATGTTGAATTCTTTTTCAGGCATTTCATAAATTTCCTTCTCCTTTGGATCTGTTACCAGAGAATTATTATGTTCCTTTGAAGGTGTCATGTTTTCTTGCTTTTTCATATTTTTTGTCCTTACTGCACATCTAGCATAACAGTTGCTTCTTCCAATTTTATAGATTGGCTTTAGTAGGGAAAGAATTTTTCCTATAGATATATCTATAGTGTTGGTTTGGTAGGTTGCCTTGGCTTTGATTCTGGATGGGCACAGTATTGTAGTCTCTGTATTTCTTCAGCTGTAATCAGCTCAGTGGTGTCTGTTGTGGTTGTTAGTGGAGGCTATGGTGAGGCATTTTGGGGGATAGGGACTCCAGACAGTCCAGTCCATGGACCCCAGAGGTGGTGGTGGAGTGCAGAGTGGACCTATCCTCAGGCCTGGGATGGTTTGCATAGGTTCTGGCAGTAGTGGGCAGAGTGAGTCCCAACACTGTGCATGGGTGCTGGCAGCAGCAGTGGTAGAAGAGGAACAGCTTCTCCTAAGGTCCACCGATGATGCAAACAGGTGTCAGCAGCAGTAGGTGGGGCAGATTAATTCCCAGGCCCTGGAATGTTGTCCATAGGCACTGGTGGCTGGAGTGGCAGGTGAGAGAGGTCTCTCCTCAGGCCTCCCAATAGTCCACACAAGCACCAGTGGTGATAAGGAAGTGTGGGTAAATCCCGAGGCCCCCAGACAACATGAACATTAGTAGCACACAGGGAGGCCCGTCCTCAGGCCCCCACATGGTGCACATGGGTGCTGGTGGGAGGGATGGGTTAATCCCCAGGTTCTCAGACGACCTGTGCAGGTGGCAGTAGCAGGTAAGCCAGGCCTAGTCTTAGTGCCCTAGAGGGTGTATGTTGGTGCTGGTAGTGGAGGCAACAGGCAGGGTGGGCTTCTCTTGAGGCCTCCCAATGGTGTGCACAGGCGCCAGTGGCAGGGAGCAGGGTGGGTCATTCCCTAGGCCCCCATATGATGTGCAGAGGTGCCAGTGCACTTGTGGCAGGTGGGGCTGGCCTGACCTCTGGTCTGCAGACGGTGCCTGCAGATGCCAGTGAGTGGCATATATTGATCTCCAGACCCTCAGATGATGTGCACATGTGCCAGTGCAGGCAGAGTGGGCCTATTCTCAGGCCCCCCAATGGTGCACATGGGCGCTAGATGCAGTGGCACAGGGGTGGGGGCTATCAATCCTCAGGCCCCTGGACAATGCGCACAGGTAGTTGTGGCAGCGCCGGTCGCAGCAGTTATATCATTCTATATTGAACCTTGTTTATAGATCAGTGTCCTCTACTGGATTATAAGCTGTTTAAGCATAGGGACCATGTTGTACTTACTCTTGAATCTCTTGGATGAGCCCAGTACCCAGTATATAAGTGGATGTTTAATTATATGTTTAAACAAATCTGCTTGAAATTGAATGCCTCTCATATAGACTGAGTCAGCTAGATATTTTCATTTTTATGTGGCCCTGTAAAATTTGGAATTCCTCCTAAAGTCTGAACTTAGTACAAGTCATTGAAGGACAGTAGCCCTTCGAAGTTATCAGTTATTTGTCATTTAGCACATTTGGCTCTCCTAAATGTGTTAATGAGAACCTGTTTCATAGATACCAATGGAGTTGATAGGCCACAATACCTGTTTTAATAAGTAGGATTTAAAGTGATTCTTAGATTAAAATATTGTATTCTCTTTGGCCAATTGCAAAAGTGTGCACAATAAAAAATGTTCATTCTATTATTTAATAACAAAACAAGTCTGTCTGTGGATATTCACATGTGTATATGCCCCAGAAAGTCATGGTAGCATTGTTCATTTAAGGTAAGCCAGTCCCTCTTGGGCCACATGCAAAACACTTGAGTGACTGTTATGACACAGGGACTTTCATGTAAATACCAAAAGGACTTTTTTTCTTCCAAAAGTAATGAAGTAGTCCCAGATCTGGATCTTGGACACTGTCTGGATATATAGTACCTCTGTCTATCTGTCTCTCTCTCTCTCTCTCTCTCTTTTTCTGTGTGTGTGTGTGTGTGTGTGTGTGTGTGTGTGTGTGTGTGTGTGTGTGTCTGTCCCTCTCTTTTCTGTCTTAGGCACGCACAACCTCAGATTCTCTGAAATTTTAAAATTCCAAGTAGAATTCATTAATAAAAATCTGAAATGTTTTTTCTGGTATAAATCATAATGAAATGTTGAGAGACAAAGGAAAAACTAAAACGGGCAAATAATCATCTGCTGCTCCAAAACTGAAGCCTGTCATTACAACTCCCAACTCAAACACTTAGTTTTAAAGATTTGCCTTCAAGAAACCTAAAAGCTGGTATTCTGCCTCATTGGCAACAGCCTCAAACTGTTCCCTGTCATCGAAGAAAACAAATCTTTTGCTCATTTCTGCCTAGGGGAGGCAGAGGGACCGAGGTGGTCCTATGTGGCTGAATTAGATGAAAGACTTGCCTTCCACCATGGAGACATGAAGTCTAATCAAGTGAAATGAGTTTTGAGATCCCAGCTCATTTCCTAGGGGAGACCAGTTCACATTACAAAATCATGACATCTCATTCATCACAACTGACGTGGTCTTTGCTCAGGAGAGGACCCCAACTGGGACTAAACCACCTGTCTTCTCTCAAAAAGGGGCATTTTATCCAAGTTAGAGTTGAAAGCCTTGGAGTGAGGAAGCTTGCCAGCCACCAGCTTCTATCTGTATGATCCACGTGCAATGTGGAAGGGAATTTAGGTTTACAAAAGGAAAGATGAACCTAAGGCAGATTGGTGGTTGTGCTTTCAGGCTGCCAAATACAAATAATTGTAATAGAGATGTTATTATGGAAGAGAAAGCTAAGATTGGGACTCTCCCCTCTTTATCTCCTAGATTTTATTAAACAGCAGTGAGAAGATAAGCACTCCTATGCCTCAGAGTTTAAAATGGCAAAGAAAGTGTCCTGCTTTCCAGGCTGATAAATGATCATCCTCTCTTTTATTTCTTTCAGGGCATCGTTATAACACCCCTGCTCCTGCTGCTTTTTGTGAGTATTTTGATGTTGTCTTTAATATATTTTATTAAAAGCTATCTACAACCCTTTAAGAAAGGTCATTAGAACAAAAATGAAATTTGAATTATTTTGCACCATATTTGGAATTGTTGTTCCAGTTTAGCTGTACCGCATAATAATATTCAGATACGAAGAAGCTTCATAATTTCATGATCCAAGAACAGGATCAGGACCCAGTCATTAGGCCTCCAGCTCCTGGCTAAATCATTATATTACAAATAAATGACCCCATGACACAGGTTACAAAAACTGCGCTGCTCTTTATTTTCTCATTAGTAAAACTAAAGTGATTGATAGTGACCCAGTGTTTGATAGTGTTTAACAGAAAGAGCCCTAGGACCAGGGATCAGAGGAAGCTTGGGTTCCAAGGCTGATACTGATGATAACTAGCTTCCTCACCTTGGGGAAGGCTGCCTCAATTTTTTTCATCTGTAGAATGGGAAGTAACACCTCCTCCATTCTATCGCCCAGAGATAATGAAAGGTGCTTTAAAAATTAAAAATACAAATCAATACACGCTTCTAGTTAACTAAACAAAAACTGTTCTGAAAACAAGAAATGCTAATTAGCTGTCTTATTTCTTTTGGCACTAAGCATATGA
Source organism: Homo sapiens (assembly GCF_000001405.40). NCBI lineage: Eukaryota > Metazoa > Chordata > Mammalia > Primates > Hominidae > Homo > Homo sapiens. Next base: position 146,325,332 of record NC_000004.12, on the reverse strand, counting down.
GAAATTAGATGAAAGATTATAATAGAAATTAATGTTATCTCATGCTGAGCAAGGCATATGTAATCATGAATGATACCTAAAATATTTTATGAACTGTGCATCTTTTCATACACACATCTTCCAAATATAAATCACTCTGCTTATCACTGAAATGTAGTGGGGATGTGTTTCTGGGAATGTAATGTAGCTGTTTGACTAACACTATTTATCAGTGAATTAAAACTATGGGGAAAATTTATTTAATTGTAGTATAATTACCCAAGTTGGAATTCAATTAGAGTAATAGAATGAGGGACTTCATTTCTTACCCGCTGAGTAGGAAATAGGGAGGGATAGATATACTACTAAACAGTTGGATTCCACATCTTTCATGAAAGACATTACCTTCAAGTAATAAACCTCATCCTTACCCTCCCTTTTGAAATGCTGGCTCCATTTTGACAAGGTAAGAAGAGTCAAATAATCAGATCACTTTCCTCAGCATAACAAACTTCATTGACATGGACTTCACCAACGCAGAATTTTCAGTTAGTTAAATTGAAACCAAAGAGACTATTTGCATTAATTTGGAAGAAAAGACTTATTATGTAACTACCTGCTACTAGATGTGAGAAACTGGAATCATCCATTAGTTTATTTCCAAGACCTGGGATCACAGGACAGTTTCCCAGATGCAACCCTTGGTGGGCACAGGATGCAGGCCTGTCTGAGGTCCCCACTTGCAGTAGGTCAAGGGACTAGTATAGAGCTCAGCATCTGGTAAGTGCACAATGAATGGCTGCATCACCTGGGTTTTCTTCATTATGGAAGAGAGACATCTCTTACTCATGTAACTCATTTAAGAAGAGCGGGGGAGATGTTACAGCCACAATTAGGTGGCTGAGGCCTAGGTTGTAACATCTTGGAGTATCTCAGAGGCTGGAATCTCTGAGACCCTTTTTTGACTTGTGATTAAAGAACCAAAGAGTTGGCAATGCAGGCTCTTTTTTGGTTCCATATGAAATTTAAAGTAGTTTTTTCCAATTCTGTGAAGAAAGTCATTGGTAGCTTGATGGGGATGGCATTGAATCTACAAATTACCTTGGGCAATATGGCCATTTTCACGATATTGATTCTTCCTATCCATGAGCATGGAATGTTCTTCCATTTGTTTGTATCTTCTTTTATTTCGTTGAGCAGTGGTTTGTAGTTCTCCTTGAAGAGGTCCTTCATATCCCTTGTAAGTTGGATTCCTAGGTATTTTATTCTCTTTGAAGCAATTGTGAATGGGAGTTCACTCGTGATTTGGCTCTCTGTTTGTCTGTTATTGGTGTATAAGAATGCTTTTGAATTTTGCACAATGATTTTGTATACTGAGACTTTGCTGAAGTTGCTTATCAGCTTAAGGAGATTTTGGGCTCAGATGATGGGGTTTTCTAGATATACAATCATGTCATCTGCAAACAGGGACAATTTGACTTCCTCTTTTCCTAATTGAATACCCTTTATTTCTTTCTCCTGCCTGATTGCCCTGGCCAGAACTTCCAACACTATGTTGAATAGGAGTGGTGAGAGAGGGCATCCCTGTCTTGTGCCAGTTTTCAAAGGGAATGCTTCCAGTTTTTGCCATATGGAACCAAAAAAGAGCCCACATTGCCAAGTCAATCCTAAGCCAAAAGAACAAAGCTGGAGGCATCACGCTACCTGACTTCAAAATATACTACAAGGCTACAGTAACCAAAACAGCATGGTACTGGTACCAAAACAGAGAGACCAGTGGAACAGAACAAAGCCCTCAGAAATAATACCACACATCTGCAACCATGTGATCTTTGACAAACCTGACAAAAACAAGAAATGGGGAAAGGTTTCCCTATTTAATAAATGGTGCTGGGAAAACTGGCTAGCCATATGTAGAAAGCTGAAACTGGATCCCTTCCTTACACCGTATACAATAATTAATTCAAGATGGATTAAAGACTTACATGTTAGACCTAAAACCATAAAAACCCTAGAAGAAAACCTCCTAGGCAGTACCATTCAGAACATAGGCATGGGCAAGGACTTCATGTCTAAAACACCAAAAGCAATGGCAACAAAAGCCAAAATTGACAAATGGAATCTAATTAAACTAAAAACTAAGGAGCTTCTGCACAGCAAAAGAAACTACCATCAGAGTAAACAGGCAACCTACAGAATGGGAGAAAATTTTTGCAATCTACTCATCTGACAAGGGGCAATATCCAGAATCTACAAGGAACTCAAACAAATTTACAAGAAAAAGCAACCCCATCAACAAGTGGGCAAAGGATATCAACAGACATTTCTCAGAAGAAAACATTTATGCAGCCAACAGACACATGAAAAAATGCTCATCATCACTGGCCATCAGAGAAATGCAAATCAAAACCACAATGAGATACCATCTCATACCAGTTAGAATGGCAATCATTAAAAAGTCAGGAAACAACAGGTGCTGGAGAGGATATGGAGAAATAGGAACATTTTTACACTGTTGGTGGGATGGTAAACTAGTTCAACCATTGTGGAAGACAGTGTGGTGATTCCTCAAGGGTCTAGAACTAGAAATACCATTTGACCCAGCCATCCCATTACTGGGTATATACCCAAAGGATTATAAATCATGCTGCTATAAAGACACATGCACACGTATGTTTATTGTGGTACTATTCACAATAGCAAAGACTTGGAACCAACCCAAATGTCTATCAATGATAGACTGCATTAAGAAAATGTGGCACATATACACCATGGAATACTATGCAGCCATAAAAAATGATGAATTCATGTCCTTTGTAGGGGGACATGGATGAAGCTGGAAACCATCATTCTCAGCAAACTATCACAAGGACAAAAAACCAAACACCGCATGTTCTGACTCATAGGTGGGAATTGAACAATGAGAACACATGGACACAGGAAGGGGAACATCACACACTGGGGCCTGTTATGGGGTGGGGGAGGGGGGAGGGATAGCATTAGGAGATATACCTAATGTAAATGATGAGTTAATGGGTGTAGCACACCAACATGGCACATGTATACATATGTAACAAACCTGCACATTGCGCACATGTACCCTAGAACTTAAAGTATAATAATAATTAAAAAAAGAACCAAAGAGTAATTTTCTTCCCCTCCTTTCCATATCTGTGCGGTAACATGCTGATAAAAATTATGGCATCACTTTATTACAAGCTTTCCCCTACTCACAGACCCATAGGCTCATGAACTTTAGTTGTAATGTTCAACATTCTAAAATTATAGAGCTACAATAATGAAAGACTTGCCAAGACCCTCAATGTAAAAGTTTAACGCTTCCCTTCTGAGTCAACGGGGCTATCCCAGTAGGTTCAGTGGCATTATCACACACATCATTAGATACTTATGGTATTTTGACTTTACATCATATGCATCGCATATAACACTTTTTCTCTGTTTAGGTTGTCATGCATTTTATAAACAATGGAAATGTCTTAAGCATTTGGGTTACGAGGCCTCATTTACTGAGCAAATAATGAGCAAGTAACTGAGCAAGAACTCATTTACTGAGCAAGTAACGGAGCAAGAACCTGAATGACTTAAAATGTGAACAAGGCCAGATGTGGTGGCTCACACCTATAATCCCAGCACTTTGATAGGCAAAGGTGTGAGGATCACTTGAGCCCAGGAGTTCAAGACCTTCCTGGGCAACATACAGAGACCCCATCTCTTAAAAATGTTTATATATGAACACATTCCATAAAAGGTGTACTGTTTTTCTCAATGTCCCTGTTGTGAGTTGAATTGTTTCCCCTAAAAGGATATGTTGAGGTTTTGACTCCAAGTATATCAGAATGTGGTCTTGTTTGGACATCAGGTAATTGCAAAAGTAATTAGTTAAGATGAGGACATACTGGAATAGAGTGGGCCCTGAATCAAATAAGATTGATGTCCTTATAAGAACAAGAAGAGAAGGTAGAGACACACAGGTGGAATTCTATGTGATGATGGAGGCAGAGATTAAAGTGATACATCCACAGGCCAAGAAATACCAAAGATTGCTGGCAAGCATCAGAATATAAAGGAGATGAAGTATTCTCTCCTGTAGATTTCATAGGGAACATGGCTCTGCTTGATTTCGGATTTAGAGCTTCTAGAACCATGAGGCAATATATTTCTGTTGTTTCAAGTTGCCCAGTTTTGGGGCTTTGTTATAGAAGTACAAGAAACTAATACAACTCCTGGAAATAGTATTGTCTTATTTTATCATATCATAAAATGGAAATTTCTGGGTATTCAGGCATAGGAGCTAATGAAGGCCATTTTTGCTGGTGGAATCTCAGCTGTATTCCTAACCTTTTCTCAGAATATTTCCTTCACTTTCTTGCTCCAATCAAAACCTGTCCTCTGATTCATGTTTCTGCCACAGTCTTGAATTGGGGAAAAGTGTCTTCCTTGTACCTCATTGCCAATTCCAGATCATTTCCCATGCGTTCTCCATAAAATGCCCTGGTTCCTTTGAAGGTTGTACCAACACAGCTATACCACCTGCTACTCCTCTTTGTTGTAATTATCAATAGAACCCCAGGCCACTATCAGTCCAAAAAAAATGTTAGCATCTTCCCATTGTTTTCTTTTTAACAGTATGCTTTAAAGATTCTTGGTATTTTCAGTATTCACATAGTTGGTCCTTCCAATACCCTGGTCTCTAAATTCTTGAACTCTTCTCCAGCAAGCTTGCCCTCCACTTTATTTCAGCCAACTATTCCAGGTCCTTCACTTTGTTATTGCCCATAACTGCATCCCTCAATAATCCAATTTTCAAATGTCCTCTCTGATTAACAGCTCCTATCTTATGATTTATTCCCAAAATCAAAAGTTCTTCACTGGAATGGCCAATTCATTTACTTTATCACCTTTACGATCCATCTAACTATACCCACCCTACTCTCACCCCATGCCCTCACATCCCATCTTACCCAGCCTAGGCCTCATGGGTCCATCATTATAATTCCTTTGTTACATACACCATCAACAATCTTGCTCATCTCTACTGCTTCATATTTGCCTGGCAAAGTACTAACCCTGCTGAACTCTTAACTCTTCACCTTCCTGCATATGTACCTGAACATGCTGGAGCAAACATACTACCATGCTGACTGGTCTCATTTGAAATTCATGACAACTAAATGTAAGTAAGCCTGGAAATTCTACTACTTTCCTTTAATTAATTCACTCTTCCACTCTCTAGAGGATCATTTCACACCTTCTCCTTGCCTCTCAAATCTCCAGTGCCTCTTTTTTCATATCAAGTATTGCCAAAAGGAAATTGGCTGATGAGGAAATAAGCAATCAGAGAAATTTTACGTGGTCCCACCCACCTGCATCTGTAGCCATATTCTTCGCCTTTTCTCCTGTTTCTATAGATAAACTGTCTTTTCTCCCCTCTAAAGGAAGTTTTTTGAGTTATGTCATTTATTATGTCCTACTTAATGATATGATTCATACAGATATTCCTTTTTCTCCTATATTTTCACATTTTCTCTCTCTACTGGATTATTTCTATTAGCATATAAGCATTCTGTAATATTACACATCTTAAAATTAAACCTCACCTTATCCTACCTGCACTCCACTTCTGTGCTCCCTTTTTGTAGCAGAATTCCTCAAAAAAGTTATTTAAACTTATTCATTACTCATTCAATAATATATACTGAGTTATTTCTGCATGCCAGACACCATCCCAGGTGTGGGAATATAACAATAAGTAAAACAGATGTGTCTTTGCTCTCAAAACAGCATTTTGAGAATACTAGTGGAAAGAACCAACAGATAAGTAGAAATATAGTGTGTGAGATGGGTGATAAGTGCTGAAGACAAAAATAAATAATGTAGAGGAATAGGAAGTACTAGATTAGGATGGGAGAGTTGCTATTTTAAATAGGATGGTTAAGTTCAGATTCACTGAGAAAATGATATTTGAGCAAAGATCTGGAAGAGATAAGAAAGTGAGCCTTCTAGGGATAGAGTGTTCCAGGTGGAAGGAACACTAAGTGCAAAGGTCCTGGGAGTATACCCAGTGTCCTTAAGAAACACCAAGGTGGCCAGTGTGACTGGAATACAGTGAACAAGGGAGAGAGTAAATTAAGATGATGTCAGAGACAGAGCAGGGGACAAATGATTTAGGACCTTAAAGTCCTTTGTAAGGACTTGGAATTTTAATTTGAGAGAGACAGGAAACCATTAAATGGGTTTTGATAAAAGGAATGCATGTTCTGCTGTACTTTTTTAAAGAATGATTCTGGATGCTGGACTGAGAACAGATTGTAAGGGGACCATGGTGGAGGCAGGAAGACCAGTTAGAAAGCTAATGATATTATGGCAAGTGATCCTGTTAGCTTGGACCAGAGTGGTTGAGTAAATCTGATAGGAGATAGTTGTAAGTAGAACTGGAAAGTAGAACTAAGAGATTGAATGAAGGTTTTTTGGGAAAGAGAAGAGTCAAAGATGACTCCAGGCCTGAGCAGCTGGAAGTGTAGAGTTGCCATTTACTAAGATAGGGAAGATTTTAGGGTTGAGCAGGTTGAAGGAACTCATAAGGATAATTCAGCATGGGAGATACTTGGATTCCACTGACTTTCAGACATCTAAGTAGAGACATCAGGTAAGCAATGGACTATATGAGTCTGGAATTCAGGAAAAAGATCTTAACTAGAGATGTATATTTGGGAGACGTCAGCATCTGGATGGGTTTTAAATTAGACTGGAAGAAAGCAATAATAAAGAATGAAAGATATCAGAGGATCAAGTGCTAGGACACTGCAATAGTAAGAGATTCACAAAGTAGACCAAGGAATGACCAGTTGACTTAGGAGGAACACTGAGAAATTTTGGTGTCCTAGAAGTTTAGCAGAGAATGTGTTTCAAAAAGGGGAGAGTGATCAACTACTTCAGTTGCTGCTAATATTTCAAATAAAATGAAGTTTCAGAATTGACCATTGGTTTTAAGAAGACAGAGGTCATTGAGGACCTTAACAAGAGCTATTTCATCAAAGTTTTGTAGTTCAAAGCCTGATTGGATGGGTTGAGGAAAGAATGGAAGAAGAGTTAAAGACAGTGATAATTGATAACTCTCTTAGGGAAATGTTTCTGTAAAGGGTACAGAAAATGGGGTACTAACAAAGTAATAAAATATGAAGAGAAGATTTTGTTTAAATTGGGAAAATTAGTGGCATATTTGTGTCAATCGGATTAACCCAGTTATGGAGAGAAAAACTGATACAGAAAAAATAAGGGAGAGCTTGTGGACACATGTCCTTGAGCAGGAGAAAGGGAGTGAGCTCTAGTGCATAGTAGCCTCCTAGAGAGAGAGATTTATTATGGGAATTGACTCATGCAATTATGGAGCCTAGAAGTCCCACTATCTGCTATCTGGAAGCTGGGAAAATGGCAAAGGCAATGATGTAATTCAGTCCAAGGCCAAAGGACTGAGAATCAGAGAAGCCAATAGTATAACTCTTAGCTCCAGTCTGAGTTTGAAGGCCTAAGAACTGGGGGTTGGGGGTGGTGGCTGGTATAGGTCCTGGAGCCAAAAGACCCAAGAACCCATAGTCCCAGTGTTCAAGGAGAAGATGGATATCCCAGCTCAAGACAGGAGTAAATTCACCCTACTTCTGCCTTTTTGTTCAATACAGGCCCTCAGTGGATTGGATGACACTTGCCCCCATTGGTGAGGGTGGATCTTCTTTACTCAGTGTACTAATTTAAATGCTAATATCTTCCAGACATACCCAAACAGATACACCCAAAAACAATGTTTTACCAACTGGACATCCCATAGTTCAGTCAAGTTGACACATTAAAATTAACCATCATATATTCCTGTTAGTGTTTATTATCTCATGACATCTTAATCATTTGTTAATTTGTTTATCTATGTTCTCCAACTAGAATGTAAGCATCACAAGAGAGCAGGGACTTTATCTGTTTTAGTCACCGTCATAATCCCAATACCCAAAATAGTGCCTGGCAGTTGAAGCCACTCAAAAACATTTTTTGAATGTTTTTGAATGTTTTGAATGAAAGTGAATGCATGGTTGGACAAATGAATGGATGCATCTGTCCAAAAAGTTGGGTTGGAGCTATTTTTAAAACTGCTGTTTTCTTGTTATATGCTCTAACTTCAGAGACATATTCTTTATTATGAAGCCACTTTGAAGGAACTGAGTACACTTTCCCTCACACTCTATTTGTAGAGAGGTAGCACAGTATGATGAAAAGGTATAAAATTCTGGTTTAATTGGCAGCCAGTACCAGTTATGTAAAAGTAGGTTTTCTTTAACCCTTCTCAGCCTCAGTTTTTACCTCTGTAAAATGAAGATTATGATAAGATGAAATGAGTTAATTTTTGTGGAAGCATATTGTAAACTGTAAAGAGCCAAGCAAATGTTACATTTGACACTTAATAGAGAAAAATAGAATCCCTGGAGGATATCAAGATTCTACAAAAGCATCATCTGAAATGCAGCAGCTGGCCAACTACTTCAGATATTAATCACGGGCTGAGTCCTAAGACTTAAAACTTTAGGATTCTATAACCATACATAATCTATAATTTTATAATCTTGTGTGTAATTGAGTCCAATGTTTACCATGGCCAGCAGTGAAACTTTCCCTGAAGTATCACCTTTTACTACTAAGATCCTGTCTTAGTTCATCCAGGCTACTGTAAAAAAAATACCACAAACTGGGTGGCTTATAAACAAAAGAAATTTATTTCTGACAGTTCTGGAAGCTGGGAAGTCCAAGATGAAGGCAGATTCAGTGTCTGGTAAAGGCCTGCTTTCTGGGTCATAGATGGCTGCTTTTTTGCTGTGTCCTCACAAGGTGGAAAGGGCAAGGCAGCTCTCTAGGGCCTCTTTTATAAGAGCACTAATTCATTCATAAGGTCTCCACCCTCAGGACCTAATCACCTCCCAAAGTCCTGTCTCCCAATACCAGCACCCAGGGGGTTTGGATTTAAATATACAAATTTTAGGGGCACAGAAACATTCAGATTATCATGGACCGAGAGTGCTTTCAAATACATTACCTCAATTATCTTGATAGCATATCTCTCATTTAGGCAAGGGCAGAAATTCTTGTTCTTCTTTATTTTCTCAGTATATCTTCCTCAGTCCATGGAGTTCCTGTCTGTGAGGATAAATTAACGCCTTGTCCAGCTTTAAAAACTGTACTTATAAGTTCGTTACTTGGAATTTCATATTAATCTTCCTTATGAAACAGTGGTACAAGTGGCAAGTGTCCACTAGATTTTAACATCTAACAGGCCAGGAATTGAAATTGTGCATGTCTTATTCATTACCTTATCTTCAATGCCAAGTATTCAATAAATATTTATTGGAAGGAGGGCAATAGAAAGGTAGATGAGTAATGAATGATTAGAATGATTCAAATGATAAATGAATGGTTAGGAGGTTAGGAACTCAACCTGACTCATAACATCTTACCTTTTATTTGCTATGAAAAATAAATTATAGTTTTTTAATAATCTTAAGCAAAATAATCATCCTTTTATTGAAACCTATTGTGTATTGTGAGTACTACAAAGATTAATCTGACATTGATCCTTTCATTAAAGATCTTATGGTTTAATAGAGAAAAGAGGATACATGCACAAATAATTAAAATTCAACTTAGAAATTATAATTTCACAGTTATATTTCAAAGGAGATTACTAACATAGAAAACACTTCATTAAATAGTAGTAGATTTTTTGCAATAAATTTTCTACTGAAAGAAAATTTTTAATTTGAGGAGAATGAAAAGGTAGATAGAAACTTCCAATGTTTCTCAATGGATCTCTTTCTTACTTCAGTTTTTTGTTTTCATTTGCATGGTTCTGATTCTCTGCTGTGTCTAACATCACTTAAAAACTTGCATATCTTTCCTTTCCTTTGATGTGGTTTATCACTAATACTGTGTTTAGCAGCCATTATTATGGTCTTTATCAGCAGCATATAATAGAGAAGACTGAAGGAGAGAGATTCTAAAACTTGAAAAGTAGTATAGGATGGTAATTAAGATGAAGAGGCGATAGGGCTGAGTTAAGCACTTTGGCTGTGAAGTCAGGTGGTTGGGTTTTAAACCCTAGTGAACAGTACTAGGACAGTTGATCAAGCATTTTGAAATCTTTCCTTCTGTGGACTCCTGTTCTCTACAAGTTGTGCAGTCTCCATATGACTACCAGTCTCCGTAGTAGTTAACTTATACTTTCTCCCCAACTACATCTTGCTTACTCTAAGAAGAGGAATGAAAGGAAGCTACCTGTGTATCTAGGCTTCTTTCCTACTCCCTCTGAAAGACAAAGTAGGTCAAAGATAGCTGTTCACACCATAGAAACAAATCAGTCTAATTCTGTGTAATTGCAGTCTAAGGAAACCATATATTGGATGGTGTTGTCATGAGCTCAAGCCCCCAAATTCTGCAGACCATCAATTTATTTAAATAGGTGCATAATTGGCAGAGAAAGGTCAGTAACACTTTGAGTTTTTACCATTAGAATGACAGACCAAAGCCACACTTCTCCTCTCTCCAGCCATAAAGGTCAATTGAGCATCAAGACCTCTTGAAACATGTGGAGTGCAAGCTTTGACCACTGCTGAAAGTCATCCTCAGAGTTCATAGATGACACCATCTTCATATATGGGGATGGTCACATCATTACCTTGGGGTATTTGACAAACATTGGCCTACATGCTCACCCACTCGGAATCATGTAAGCACCCCTTGAGTAAATGGGGGCACTGCTAGCTCTTCTATTCTATCAACTGGTTTTATATGACTTGGTTTCTTAGAGAGCTGGCCCCTCAGCAAGTAGGTTTATAAGGCACTGTGATCATTGGACTGATATACACATATGCATGTGTATACACAAACACATATGTACACAGAATATATACATACCAGGCTCTGTTTCTAGGCTAACTATATGTTCCCTTGATCTGACTGTCTCTCCAATTAGTTTCCATTTCAGTAGTTCTTAAATTCAATAGGTTTGAATTCTCACATCTTTGTATAAGAAACCTTGTTTTTCTGGGGTAGGATAATTTTTATTGAGTAGCTACTATGGTTACTTGATGCATAATCCCACGTAACAGGCATGACTAGCTTTGGAGGTATTATCTTCACTTTATATGAGAAAAGCTAGGTTCAGAGAGATTTTGTCACTCGACTGAGACTGCACAACTGGTAGAGAACACAAGACGCTTTCAGCCTGGGTCTGCCTCCCCTTGAATGCCCCTTCCAGGTTATGCTTCCTAAGCATGCCTCTTGGGAGACACAGTTTGTTTTAAAACATATTATCAGCACACAATTACTTTTTCTTGAACATTATATCCTAAGTAATATAGGTAAGAGGAAAAAGAAGCAGGCATAATAATTGCCTTGAAGAAACTTAAAACGTATTTGGGCAAACAAGAATCAAGAATATGGAAGAAATTTAGAGAAGAAATTGACTGCTAAACTGTGATTCGAACTGAGCTTAATAGGAGTTCATAGAAGAGAGAGGTCTAGGTCAGCGAAAGAGACCAAGGGGCAGCTTTCAAGGCTACAGTCATCATTAGTTTCCGTAGTAATTTGCTGTCTATGATAGAAAATTCTTCAACTTTTGATCCCATCACTATGAACAGAAACAATGTATACAGCCATTAGTGTCATGTACAATAATTATTTTTTATAATTTGTTTCCATTTATGGTTGCATAATTAATGGACACACGTGTGAGATGCATAAAATGATAAACCTAAAACCACTTGAAAAAAAACTAGCCATCTGATTGTCTCAGTTGCTTCACATTGAGTCAGTTTCTCTACCTTGTTCTAAAGCAAATGAAGACAAATCTCCCCTTGAAGCTAAGAGTAGCTTCTGACTAAGGGAAGGGAAGCACCTAGTAAGCAGTTTTCAAATGCTCTAGAGGTGAAAGAGGTGACATTGATAAACTTCTTCCCCCATTAAGGACTACTGTCCCAAGAAGGCCAGTTGCACTGCTGGTGTGGGACTTCTCAGGCTTCACTGAAGTGAGCTGGAGACATGGGATGAGTTGGGGCAGTCTTGTCCTAGCCAGGCTTTTCCCTTGCCCTTTGGTTCCTTCTTCAGCACCAGCTACTGGGGGTGCTCCTTAAGCGGGTAGGGTCAATCCAGAGTTGGAAAGACACTGGTTCCTTGCTACTCCCTTGCCTATTGGTAACCAAGCTGAAGGAACTTAATCATGTGTTCTACTTAAGAGAATATTTAGCAATAGCAGGTCCTTTGGTTCCCAAACCACACTCAGGATTGACAAGACCAAATCCTTTGGTCAAAAATTAGGGAGCAAAGTTTGGTCCTAGAGGCCTCTGAGTATCTCTGCCTCCAGCCCTTCATGGCCTGGAAGCTCAATTCTTCATAGCTTTCCTCTTTCCTCTAGGTTAGAACAAGCCAATTTACGGTTCATTTTGGCACATTTCACTAAACAGACTGTGTGGGTTTGAGTAACCTGAACCTGTGATTGCACACTTTAAGTTTCCATCAAAGTTATTAGAAAGTAACCTTTTCATCTTACATTTTAAATTAGCGTATAACATGGATGAACTGGAGGACATTATGCTAGGTGAAATAAACCAGACACAGAAAGAAAATTACTGCATAATCTCACTTATATGTGGAATCTAAAAGAGTCAAACTCATAGAAACAGAGTAGAAGGGAGGTTACCAGGAGCCAGGGAGTTGGAGAAATGGGGAGATGTTGACCAAAGGATGCAGACTTGCAGTTATAAGCCAGTAAGTTCTGGACACCTAATTTACAGCATCGCTACTATAGTTAATAATAAAGTATTGCATATTTAAAATTTGCTAAGTGATTAGATCTTAAGTATTAAGATCATACACAAAAAGGTAACTATGTGAGGTGATGGGTATGTTAAATAGCTTTATCATAGTAATCATTTTGTAATATATATGTATATCAAAACATCATGTTGTACACTTTGAATAGATACAATCTTTGTCAATTATACCTCAATAAAACTAAGAAAAGAACAGTAGCTAGCATATAAACAAAAAGAAAAGTGAAGCCATGTTTTATATAATGTTTTTATATTGATAAAATCTACTAAGCCTCTTTTGTTCTTTATTTCTCAGAGAGGGAAAAAGACTGTGCATATAAATATTAAAAAGATACTTTCCTCTCCTAAACATATACTTTCCACACAATAACCCAATTTTAGCTTGATGCATGCAACTGAATCAGTATGGCTGTTTAATAACCATATTCCTAATTTTGATAAAAATCATAGTCTTTTTAACATTTGAGTCTGTCACCTGGTATACATTTACTTGACAATTTTATGTAAGTTTAGTTTGCATGTACCCCTGTGAGAGAAGGAGCAGTAGGAATGAAAGAAAAGCTGAACTATATCGTGTATAGGGAGGGGATTGGGGCCTGGGGAGACTCTTCCTTCTTCTGTTTAAATGTTTATCTTTGTGACAGGAAGGAGATATGGGTATTAGGAGTGTGTCTGTGTGTGGGCACAATAGTAAGCAAGCCTTCTTCCCTTTCCCTTTCCCCAGGGCTGGGCTCTGCGGGTGATGTGGAGAGGTGGAAATAGAGCAGGAAGACAACAAATCCTGCTCTATGTCTGAAGCTGCTACTTTCTGATTTCCTAGCAAAAGAGAGTTAACATTCATAATTCTACAGTATCAACTGTAAATATCTATTCTTATTTTTCCCTGAATGTGGTGCTAATGAAAGTGAAGACCAATCATCAAGGGTGAATTATTTAATACAATAATGTTTTAATAGCTGGGAAGAGACACAAATAGTGGAGATGCCTGTGGCTAATGGATTTCCCTGATAGGAGATAAAAGGCCGATTACACAGCAGAGCAAGTGAAGAACTGGTGCATTAATGACAATTTACAGGTCAGCTCACTTACAGGAGTGATTTAAAATGCACCATCTGTTTTCTAACTGTAGGTTGATAACTGTGATTCTACAGACAGTCAACATCTCTTCATCAAGAACTGCTACCTATTTGTCTTTCTAAGCCTGGTTAGTTTGCCCCATATTATTTTACCAAGTGGACCCCCAGATTCTTTCAGATGAAATAGTTTCTAGATTGAATGGGTTGATAACAGTCAATCTTGCTTCCACTCAGTCTCTCTCTGCCCAGTTAGAGAATTAAGCCCTGATGTCCTAAGGCATTCATTGTGTGTATTGAACTAACTTCTCCCTAATGCATCTACCCTGGCACTAGTTATGTACCATCCTTGGGAGAGTCGAGAAACCAGTCACTCCAATCATTTGCTGTGTTCTGTGGTTTGCCCCTTCCCCTTCCCCTCATCCCCCTCCCCCCATCCTCCCCCTGTCTTTCACATAGGCACAAAAAGAGGAGCCCAGCTTTGATTTTCACTAGTGCCCCCTTCCCCTGTTTCACACTGTACCACCTATAACTAATGTGTAGTAGAGTGTAAAGAGTTAAGTGTGAGGGCTTTGGAGCTACACTTGTGGGTTTAGATTCTGTCTCTGTCAATTTCTAGCTATGGTGACCTTGTCCAGGTTGTTTAACTGTTCTGTGCCACTGTTGCCTCTTGTGAAAATGAGGGTAATAATAAAACCAACATCAAGGGGTTGCTGTGAGAATTAAATTATTCCACATGCAGTAAGCATTCAAAGCAGTGTCTGCTTCTCAAAAGAAGACATACAAGTGGCCAACAAATATAGGAAAAAAAGCTCAACATCAGTAATCATCAGAGAAATGCAAATCAAAACCACAATGAGACACCATCTTACACCAGTCAGAATGGCTACTATTAGAAAGTGAAAAAACAACAGATACTGGAGAGGCTACAGAGAAAAGAGAACACTTATTTATGCACAATTAGTGGGAATGTAAATTACTTCAGTGTCTGTGGAAAGCAGTTCTGGAGATTTCTCAAAGAACTTAGAACTACCATTCAACCCAGCAATCCCATTACTGCATATATATCCAAAAGAAAATAAATCATTCTATCAAAAAGATACATACACTCACATGTTCATCACTGCACTATTCAAAATAGCAAAGACATGGAATCAACCTAAGTGACCATCAACAGTGGATTAGATAAAGAAAATGTGGTACATATACACCCATGGAATACTACACAGACACAAAAAAAGAACAAAATCATGTCCTTTGCAGCAACATGGAAACAGCCAGAAGCCATTATCCTAACAAATTAACACAGGAACTGAAAACAAAATACTACATGTTCTCGCTTACAAGTGGGAGCTTGGATATTGGGTACTCAGGGACATAAAGATGGCAACAAGAGACACTGGGGACTAATAGAGTGGGGAGGGAGGAAGGGGACAAGGGTTGAAAACCTAACTGTTGGGTACTATGCTCACTATCTTGGTGATGGGATAATCCATATCCCAAACTTCAGCATCACTCAATATACCCATGTAACAAACTTGCACGTGTACCCCCTGAATCTAAAGTAAAAGTTGAAATTATTAAAAAATGAAACAAAGCAGTGTCTGTCACATGAAAGTGCACGATAAATGTTACTATTGAGATTATAGAAGACAACTGATTGGGAGACCTGGCTGATGATCCTTACTTGGGTCTGTGAACTAAGTAGAGCTTTGCAGCTTACCTGAATGAAGTTGGAAGAATGTGTTGAAAGCATTCGCAAGCTTTTTCTGCCTTTGTATTACAGTCATTCACTAATTGACACACATTCATTGAGCACACCCTATGTACTAGATTAGTGGTTCTCAAAGTGTGAACCCCCAAGTCAGCAGCAGCAGCATCACTGGGCATCTTGTTAAAAATACCAATTCTCACCACAACTCCCATCCCTCTCCCCAGGCTTTTTGAATCAGACACTGTGAGGATGGCAAAATCAGTCTGTGTTTTAACAAGCCCTCCCGATGTTTCTGATGTGCTAACATTTGAGAACCACTGCCCTAGATGTAGAAAGTGGTCACTCTGCTGGGCAATGGGACTGTAAATGTGAATGACATAGTGTCCCAACCTTCAGGAGCATAGATTTGTAAACAAGAACAACCAAGGATTCCGAGAGGTACAATTCAGATACACAGAACAATGGTTCACAAAAGAGAGGGTGGCCAATTCAGCATTTTTGGAGGATGTGTTGGAAAGAATTCCTGAAGAAGTAATGTTTGAACTGAGTCTTGGAAAAAAACTCAAACTTTTCCAGTTATAAGTGGGGAAAACAACATTCTAGAGGACTGAGTGCAGGCATACTTGGCGATGGACAGGCGTGCACACCGACCTCAGCTTTTAAAAAGCAGCAGCTTGACACAAGGGGTTTTTGTGTTTTGTCTACAGTTGTATCCGCAGTGTCAAGAACATGCCCCTAGCTCACAGGAAGCACTAAGTAACTACTTGAATGATTGAATGCAAAGATCCTAAATTTCCACATACTGAATTTTCATGAATGATTTCTTCTCAGCATAGGATAGTAAAACAAAGAAACCAAGCTAATGGTGAGTTTTCTCCTTTAAAGTACTACATATTTCTGCAAGAAATTAGCCAGGGACTGGATTGTTTGCTTAACATGCTGTATCTTAAACCATGGATTGGCAGTATGAGACATATTACTTCTAAATCTGCCAGGGTGGCTCAATGAAGTCCAGGGCACTTGCTTGATACAACCTTCTGAACCTGGAAACTTCACCTGCAAATTATTGCTGCTTCTCATAAACACACTGATCTTTACAATAGAAACCACAACAGGTTCCTCATTAAAATATGAAGAACCAAATATCCCAAGCAGCTTATTTTCTTCTGCTTTAGTTAAAATCACCTCTGCATGCAGAGTGATTGGGTTTTGTGTGTCTCTAGTCCTGTCCTCACAGGCTGCGCTGTGCCAGATGCTTGCTGTTCTGTCTTCTGGATGCCAGGGCATACTTCATAGCATCAGAAACTTCCCCAGGGGTCCTCTGCATCTTCATACTGACCACAGTGACAGGTCTGTTGGCCAATTCAAAAGAAAGGACTTATGCCAAATTAGACTCCAGTACTGAGGTTTCCTTCCTTTCAGAGCCACTTCTAAGGGAGCCATCCTGGGGGATTTCGTCCCCAGCATCCCTGCCATACCTCGTCTGTCTTCATGTACCCAGTTAATTACATCCCTGAGTAGCTTGCTCTGATCTCTGATCTGACAGAGCCTCTGAGGAAGGCTGCTGTAACCTGTGTTTCCAGTCAAGTGGATCAGAGATCATAGCATTTTAGAGGAAAAAGGGACCATAGAGATCATGGACAACCTCCTCAACACATAGCCTTGTTCTACTGTCTTCTAAGAACACGCGGTTTCCAAACATTGAATATGCCAGTGGTCTGGTATGCGAAGGATGGAGACATTGTAAATATATAATACTTTTTAAAACCCAAGTTGAAATGGATTTTTCTTTATTTTGGGGTGCTTAAAGAGAGAATATACCTTTGAAATGGTTATTCATATAAAAAATTTAAAAACCTAATAATAAAGTTGAGATAGAAAGAGGAGCCAGGGATATGTGAGATCACTGAAGTGATTTCAGGCAGGAAATGTCACCTTTTACATGAAGATTATAGCTTAATTTTGCTACTTCTCTCCAAGTTCTGTAAACCTTATGAATAGAGCATTGAGCTAGACCTTCTTGAACTTGAAAACTTTGTTCTTTAAAGTGTATTTTTCTATTCATCCAGTGCCTCATTTCTCAGTAAAATATATTTTTTTCTTTATTTCAGTCCTTGCCCCAGGAATATCCTTAGGGTTAATATTTGTGGAGAGAATGTATTTGTTAAGCACCTTGTGCTGCAGAGACATAGTTGCTTTAAAATAGAGCTTAATTATTAGCTTTTAATATTTTGGTTTTGCATAAAAAGAAACATCTAACAGCCATGTGACATGTAACACACCAGGAATCCTGTTTGTTCTTTTCCAGTTTCACTTTTTCTGTTTGTCTCTCTTCATTTTAGTTTATATTGGTTGTGGAGAAAAAGGGCTAGAGACCACCAATTTTTATGGGTTAAATAGACAGCCAGTGGTCAGTGTTGAAGCTGGTTTTCAATGAACACAGGGCCAATGATGGGCCAGATATATATTCTTGGCATTTTGAGTGTATGCAGATTGGGGCTGGAGCTGGGGGACAGAATTTTATACAATGTGTCGGAGTGGAGAGGAGATTTTTGTAAACCATTCATGCAGAAATCAGTGAAAACACTGTTCCCGTACCACTTCATTCAGAGCTATTGACTTCATGTAGCTAAATGTTTGATCTGTTTTGTTTGACATTCTGTACCCTCAATCATCATTACCTCCATGTCCTTTCACAAAAATTGTTTTCCAAAAGATATTTCCAAGTGTAACTAAACTTAGGTAGATATGAAAACTGAGGTTTGGTCTGCAGGGGAAAGGCAAAAAGTAAGTTCCAAGGGCCAATTATCGATGGTTTGGTAGATCTGGTTGCAAAATGAACCTGTGAAAGAGAAAAACATCTATTGTTTGTCCAGAGAAGTTTGAAAAACAGGAGAAGGTTTTGACAAACACTGAAAAGTTCCATAGGAAGACTTAGCAATTCTTAGTGATGGAGGCTAACGTGAGTGTGTTACTGTGTGTGTAGATAAGCACTCTTGTGCTGCAGGGAATAGCATCTTAATGAAACTGAGATTGTAATTGTTAACGAAGAAAGAATCAAAAAATGAGGAAGAAGAAAAATAGGAATTATGAACAGTGTTAAAGCGTACAAATTTAGGGGAGCTATATTGAAATTTTAAGTTGAAAAATAAGTTATATTTCAGGATTTCCCATTTGCTAGACATTGTGTAAGAAAAAATTCTACGGGATCTGAGATTCATTATATTTGTTTTGAAGGAGTCAGAAAGTTAGAAACTATTTCATTTACATAAATAAAAATGTTATCTTGATAAAGGAATGAGACATTTATTTTAGATATCTACAGACAGGTGAAATAAAAATCACATAACCTGTAATTGTTGATGAAATATCATGCCATATGATTATAGACTGTATGAAAACAGAATGACTTTACTAAAATAATAAGCAATTTAGGTTGATTGCAAATCAATATTTTTCTCAATCTTAGTCTCCCAATAAAAATTATATTTTAAAATACTTAACAGTTTTTTGTGTTGAACTTAGAAAATTAGAGGTAACTTCACTTATTCTTTGTAGATAGCTACCAAATTTTTGGTGCGCCTGAGAAAATCTATTTATTGCATTATTTATAAACACTAATGCTTGATAACTGATTTGAAGTAATTCTAACTCCTATTTTCTTGTTTTACAGCTTGGTTCATCTTCTTCTGTGCCTTTCACATCTATTTTTTCTCAGCTTTTTATGACTGTTGTGGTTCCTCTCATCATTGGACAGGTAAGGCCTCCAATTCTATCTGATCTTTTCTTTATGGATCAAATTGTGAAATCTTACATAATGTCAGAGCAGTTGAGAGAAAGGATATTCAGAGGGAGGAGATAAATGAAAATATGAGACTAAAAACAAAACTTTCATCAATCACAGTATTCTCATCTTTTTTATTTTTTAAATTAATACTAATCTGCTTTGCAGTTAGCTGTATATAGGCACCCCTGGTAGCTATATATATAGGGACTTCTACACAGAGTCTTGATTTTTGTTTAATTTATTATCTCCTCTTTGTAGCTGTGTAGCTACCTTGAAAACATCTAGCAAGTCTTTTTTTTTTAAGTTTTTTTTTCTTTTATTATTATACTTTAAGTTTTAGGGTACATGTGCACATTGTGCAGGTTCGTTACATATGTATACATGTGCCATGCTGGTGCACTGCACCCACTAACTTGTCATCTAGCATTAGGTATATCTCCCAATGCTATCCCTCCCCCTCCCCCCACCCCACAACAGTCCCCAGAGTGTGATGTTCCCCTTCCTGTGTCCATGTGATCTCATTGTTCAATTCCCACCTATGAGTGAGAATATGTGGTGTTTGGTTTTTTGTTGTTGCGATAGTTTACTGAGAATGATGATTTCCAGTTTCATCCATGTCCCTACAAAGGACATGAACTCATCATTTTTTATGGCTGCATAGTATTCCATGGTGTATATGTGCCACATTTTCTTAATCCAGTCTATCATTGTTGGACATTTGGGTTGGTTCCAAGTCTTTGCTATTGTGAATAATGTCGCAATAAACATACGTGTGCATGTGTCTTTATAGCAGCATGACTTATAGTCCTTTGGGTATATACCCAGTAATGGGATGGCTGGGTCAAATGGTATTTCTAGTTCTAGATCCCCGAGGAATCGCCACACTGACTTCCACAATGGTTGAACTAGTTTACAGTCCCACCAAGAGCTAACTATCCTAAATATATATGCACCCAACACAGGAGCACCCAGATTCATAAAGCAAGTCCTGAGTGACCTACAAAGAGACTTAGACTCCCACACATTAATAATGGGAGACTTTAACGCCCCACTGTCAACATTAGACAGATCAACGAGACAGAAAGTCAACAAGGATACCCAGGAATTGAACTCAGCTCTGCACCAAGAGGACCTCATAGACATCTACAGAACTCTCCACCCCAAATCAACAGAATATACATTTTTTTCAGCACCACACCACACCTATTCCAAAATTGACCACATACTTGGAAGTAAAGCTCTCCTCAGCAAATGTGAAAGAGCAGAAATTATAACAAACTATCTCTCAGACCACAGTGCAATCAAACTAGAACTCAGGATTAAGAATCTCACTCTAAACCGCTCAACTACATGGAAACTGAACAACCTGCTCCTGAATGACTACTGGGTACATAATGAAATGAAGGCAGAAATAAAGATGTTCTTTGAAACCAACGAGAACAAAGACACAACATACCAGAATCTCTGGGATGCATTCAAAGCAGTGTGTAGAGGGAAATTTATAGCACCAACAACAGACATCTAGCAAGTCTTTACCTTATTCTGCAACTTTTGATAAGGTCTCCGTGTTTATGACCATTGTTGGGAACAAGCATCTGTCTTTGGTTGGTGTCTTTATAGACTCCTCCAACAGCAGTTATGTTTGTGACCATGTAATTGATAAACAATTTAATCCTATTATCTCTTAAAGTTTATCTTAGAATATTTAGGGTTTACTTTGTCATTCTTATTCAATTGGACTGATAGGAATTCTATTTTAACTTCTTATAACAAGTTAGTAGTAAGCATATAAGCATACAAATTGTAAAACAAGTGGATTTTTTTTGTTTTCTATGAAATCATAGGATGCCACAGTATTGGAGTATAGAATTTAATGCACAACTAAAGTGAACAAGTCTTAGGAAAGCAGTACATTAAGAGCAACTAGATTCTAGACTTATTTCTGCCTTTTATTTGCAGTGTTACTATGGGCAAGTTATTTAATCTCCCTAGCTCTAGGTTCATAATTTATTAAATATTATGACAATAATATCTATCGTAAAGGGTTGTTGTAAAGATTAACTGAAATATGCATGCCTGTAAACTTCTTGTCATAGAACCTAACACAGGTAAGTGCTCTGTAGCTTCTATCATCATAATCATTATTACCAAATTCCCTGCAAATACTAAACAGGAAACAAGTCTTTGAAATATTGAATATAAAAAATGTATGTATAGGCTGGGCTCGGTGGCTCACGCCTATAATCCCAGCACTTTGCAAGGCTGAGATGGGCGGATCACCTGAGGTCAGGAGTTCGTGACCAGCCTGGGCAATGTGATGAAACCCTGTTTCTATTAAAAATACAAAAAAATTGGCTGGGTGTGGTGGTGGGTGCCGGTGGTCCCAGTTACTCAGGAGGTTGGTGCAGGAGAATCACTTGAACCTGGGAGGCGGAGGTTGCAGTGAGTCAAGATTGTGCCACCGCACTCCAGCCTGGGCAACAGAGCAAGACTCTTTATGTCTCAAAAAAAAAAAAAAAAGAAAGAAAAAGAAATGTGTGCATAGACGTGTAATATTTACATGCTGTCCTAGGTCAGGTTCTCTGGGCAACAGACTCAAAGACAGAGGTTTTTATGCAGGAAGTTTACTAGGGAGTACCCTTGGGAACAATAGAGTGAATAAAGTAGGATGGAGATGATGCAGTCCCAGCAAAGGTCTCAGTAGAACCCATGGGGAACTCTGGAGCCGGAATGACCCCTCAGAGTTGTGCTGCCTTAAGGCAAGAGCACCTGGTCTTTATACTCTTACACTGACCAGTCATTAGATACTGGCTTCCCTCCTACCCTCCATGAGGGCTGTGACCTTGGGTGAGTCTGCTCTCTTAGGCTGAGGGCAAGTCCCGAAGAGGAACTCTGCTGACATATTTTACTCACCTAACACTCCCTGCAGCTGTGGGTATAAGTATCTCATTCTTGAAGAGAGGGATCTGGGTGGTGCTCCACAGCATCCACAACACATGTACTAATTTTTTTTAATTTTATACTTAGAAAAGGGACTAAATTTAGCATAAAATGGGGGATTTAAAAGCACTTTAAGAATAGCATTTAATTAAATATAAAATGATACTTAAAAAATACTTCTCCCACAGTGTTGATCACATAACAGAGATTCTGAATAAATGTTACATCCCTGCCTACCTTTCTGACCTCTGCCAGATTTCCTACTTCCAGCCTCTCTGGTTTTCTCAGTTCCTGCTCATTCTTTCTGTTTAGAGTGTCTTTCTGCCTACCCTCCCACCTCAACTTGTTTCTCATTTGACTCTTTAATGAAGCCTTCTTTGAACCATATAGCTGATATATATTTCCCTGGTTATTCTTCATTGCAACACCTTGTTTGATTTCTTTCTTGACCTTTCTCACAAAATATACTTATGTTTAGTTTGCTTGTTAACAATTTATCTCTGCCATTCGACTGTCAGCTTCTTGAGTACTGGAACCATATTCGTTTTGTTTATCATTACATTCCCAGACCATAGGTACCCAATAAATATGTGCTGAAAGAGTGAGTGAAAGAATGAATGAGCCAGAGTTCTGTGATCTGTAAGGGATATGCTTTGTTGTATAGAGGCATAACTGAATCTACCTGTACTTCTCATCTCCACACAGTTTAAACTGTGGATTATATTAGTTTAAATTCATACTTATTTTCTTTGTTCTGAAAATAATTCCATCTAATAATTTAAGGCTTATGCATTCTTCTCATGGTAGATCTTGGAAATTTCCTTATTAATAATAAATGCTTGGCTTAAAACATACAGACAAAAAATCTGCATGTAGCTTACTTAATTATGTATGTCTAGGGTTATATAATGTATGTAATTTAAAAACATTTATCCCGAGGGAATAATGAATTGTTAGATGGCTCATTCTTCATGTACTCAGTAGTAAATAGTAAAGTATTCAGTAAATTATAAAGTAATAATGGTAGTCAAAAGGTAGTATAGGTAGCTTTTTTTTTCTTAAGTGTTCTAGATACCACAGTTCTTTGATGACTCTTTTCGAGGAGAAACCTATATGCTTGCATCTACCTGCCCCTCCTCTTGTATTCTGGTCTTAGGAATTAACAGCCACCACCCTGTCTCCACATCTAGAAACCACCAATTAGCCTTACCTCCTCCCTCTCCTTACAGCCATACTCCTTTACATCCAGGCAGTCACTTCATCCTACCGTTTCTGCCTCAGAAATCTTTCACACCTGGCCCTTGCAGCCCCAGTCACACTGCTGGAGAGGATGACACACCTTCATCATCTCTTGTCTAAATTACTGCACCTCCTAAACCTGTCTCTCTGCTGTGAGTCTCTTCCAATTCCCATCTAATGTCTTTACTGCCTCCAGAGTAGTCCTAAAACACAAATCAATTCATATTATTCCTCTCCTTAAAAACTTGCTCGTGCCTTCCTGTTGCCAATTCCTTGCATGGCCCCAAAGCCCTTCACAGTCTGGCCCAACCTGCTTCTCCAGTGCCACCTCCCACCACTCCTCTCCTTAGGGCTCTGCTTTTCCCATGCTGCATACTCATCATCCTTCACCTGACCATGGCCCTTCACTGCTCTATGCCTTTGACTGTATTGCCAGCAAACTCCTACTCATTGTTGAAGACTTGTTACAGAGGTGCCCTCTAATGTGACGCCTGCCTGCTGTGACCTAGACTGGCCTCGATTAAATTCCACGTCTCCCATCGTACTTGATTCATAAATTTATCAGGAAATAATATAATTTATTGATGAGCTGCCTAAAAGCAGAGACTATATCTTCTTAATTTTCCTACCTCCTTGCTTATAGTAACTCTCAGTACATATGCATGTACTTAATCTGTTATTTCATCCTAAGTGGTGGTCTCCATAGGTTACTATTTATAGGTATACTTAATAACATATTCAAGAGTAGGGTGTAAGATGTATAAAAAGATTGACTGAAGAGAATTTTGAATTTATCTTCAGGGAGCGCCCAGCAGTAATTTTCCCTAGGTTGCCATTTGTTCAGGATAATATTTTTAGGTCTGTATATAGTAGGTACTCAATAACAATGACTTACTTCTTTCCTAGTCATCACCTGAAAAACATATCTGAAAAAAAAGTATATCTTTTTTAAGGATACCAGTTCAAGAAAAAATAAATATTTCAAAATTTTATGTTAAAGAAAAGCCATATTTCTAACACCTCCTTTGACTTTAGTCTTTGGATGAACTGTGCTGTAACTGGCCCACAGGTACATTAACATAAATGATAGAGCCACACATCTGAGTAGATGTTATTATATAAGTGCTGCTGCATGATCCTCAGGTCCTCCAGTACCTTGGAGAAGGGGGAGCATTCCACAGGCAGGGGTGCCCAGGGCAGGCAGTGCCACCTCAGCCACCTCCTCCTATAATCACCACCTCACAAGGTCGTCTCTGCCTGCAGTGGTATAGAGTGTGTGGTACACAACAATGCTGCATTTCAAAGAAGTGCACTCACTTTATAGGCATCATAGGTTTGAATATTTATTATTAAAATTGTTCTGGCAGGAGGAAACAAAGTATATTAAAGAAGGGATTTTTCTAATACACACAAAAGTGCTATGGGGCTATAGCAGGCTTGTTGGACCTTGATGATCAATCTCAGGCAGCCCACTTCATAGCCACCATACCTGTCCTCACCTACTAAGCTCACATACTCTATTCAGTAATTCTTCAGTCTCACCAAGACCCCAGATTAACTGACCTTTCAGTCACCATCCTCACGACTTTACTTCCCTTCTTACCCAGCTTTGATTCCTTAGTCTACCATTATAATCCCTCCTTGGCAATTATTCTCAACTCCTTCACTCTTTCTCCCTTTGATGTACTTGCTCAAAAAGCCCCAACCCTGGTTAAAGCCAACTCTGCCTACTCCATGCGTGCAATGGAGCTGCTCAGATTCCATGACCTGTCATTCACCTCACTCCCTGGCAGAGCTCTCAGCTTCTTCACCTCTCCATTTTACCTGCTTCACAAAGGCCCAACCCCGCTTCTACTGGAGCAGCTGAGCTTTGCTTCTCAGAGAGCAATACACATTGGTCTCATCTTGTGTTGAATTTATGACCCCACATTTAAGGTGTCATCTAACACCTCCCAGAAACCCTACCCTACTTCCTTATAGTGTTTCTTTTTCTACTCTTCAAAGGGATTGTTACCTTATCCTCTATCTTCAAGTCCCTTTTACCTCCCCAACACTCTCCCACTTGCCCATTGCACTCACGTCTCACTGACTTTGCTTCTGTTTCTCAAACATGCCAGTCTTGTTCCTGCCTTAGAACCTTTGCACTGGCCGTTCCTTCTGCCTGAAACACCTTGCCGCCTTTCACATCCTCAGAAAGACCTTTCCCCACCCTCTCCTTGAGTGGCTACCCAGTAGCAACTCAGTCACTATCATATCATTTAGTTTAAACTTCAGCTTAGTATGTATCATTATTTTGCCTCTTGTTTATTTGTTGTTTTGCTTTTTATTTCTCTCTTAAACTAGAATGTAAACATCATGAGAGCAGGGACTTTGTCTACCTAGTTTAATCCACTGAGTCACCTCAACTGTGTAATGTAATCTTTGAGGACCCTGTTAGCCGTACACATATGTGCTAGTTCAGAGGAATCAGGTGTCCTGCATGGCAGGCTACTTTCACAACTGTAACCAGGAGTGCCAAATTATGAAAATAAACGCTTGTATGGATTGTTATATGCATCTTTTAACATGAGGTTTTATCATTACTGGTTAAACAGAAAATGGGAACTAGAGGGAGAAGAAAAAGACCAGGAAGTATGAGCTGAATATATTTTTCTTAATCTTTTATTGGTGATAAAAGTTTGTCATTCAACTTGTGATTTATATTTCTGAGAGTGAATTTTATTTTTCTGTTTCCCCAGACAATACTTCTTTTTGGTTTAAATCATTATTGACTGACTCTGATTTGATGGGAGGTGTAGTTTGGTCTTCCTCACTGCTTGGCTGCACACACAGCTCCTAGGCCTCACTTTCCTCATTTGTAGAACAAAGTGTGTTGTATCTTCTACCCTGAAGGTGTTACGACTCTGTGAGATAAGATTAGTCTTTCCATAGATGGTTAGGAGATTGTTCCTTCTGTCAATCTAGAAAGAAAGAAAATTTGTGCCGGCTGTCATAGCATTTTCTCTTCTTTTCCAACAAACCTTTTCAATACATCTAAGTGCTTGTGACAAATACTTATTTTGTGCATTATATTTAAGAGTGGTATACAAATAAACAATGAAACAGAAATTCTACCACTTTTTATTTTCCATCACCTTGAATATTTTTAAAGCAGCACACTAAAACCTACTTTTTACCCTATAAATTAATAATAAAAAAGCATATCTATACATTATCATTCATGCATTCTCTGGTCTTTCCATTAGTGATTTGTTTCAGTTTGAGATGGGCCTTTCATATTAGTCTTCCATTAAAGTTGAAGTTAGTGTTATTAATACTAGTAGAGTTTTACACTTATAGCATTATATTAGATATGAACAATTTTCATTGCTTCACCTGAAAATGCTTTGAGAGAAAAGTAACAGTGAGGTGTACTGATAAACAGTGATAGAAACATCATCAAACTGAGACTTGGACATAAGAATAGTGATCATGTACCAGGGACAGGCCCGGTCTCTAAAGCATTTTATATTTATTTAATTACTTAATCCTCAAGACAACTACTGTTATATCACAGATGAGGCACACGGAAAGTGAGGAATTTGCCCAACATCACAAAGTAAGGATTGGGGCCAGGACTCAAAGTTAGGTGCGGTGTAGCTCCAGAGTCTGTACCCTGAGCCCCTGTGCCATGGTTCCCTCAGGAAATAGGGGTCGTAGTCCTACTCAGCCACCTCCCTAGCTTTTCAACATTTTATGCAAGTTGACTTGACTCTCTGTGCCTCTGTTTCCAACTGTAAACTCAGCAGAATAATAATGTGTGACCTTTCTCATGAGAATGGAATGAATTAATAGAGGGGAAGAATTTTCAAAGAGTGAAGTAGATAATAAGTGTTCATTGTGCCCATTTATTATTATTGTTTATGTTTTTTTGCCAAGTGTTTTATTTTGAATCTACTCAATATTTAATAAAAATAAAGTGTTACAGAAATTGGATTTGATTTCATATCTCTGACTATATATTAAAACAGGATATTAATGAAGAAACAAAACTTTATGAAACTATATGGATTTAGTGCAATAGAGGATAAAAATTGAAGAAACAAACTGAAACCACCTTGAAGAGAAAAGTCTTAAAATTCAGACAACGTGAAACATTATCTATCATATATCCTTATTCAAAAATCAATTTATGAATAGGGTAAAGACATAATAGAAATAAAAAGCAAGGAAATACTTTAAAAATATTAAGAAAACTAAGATGATGGGTGTTATACTTTATATCTATCTCAGTGAATCAACATTCTACACCTAAGACATGTCATTTTTACAGGTTTCCAACTTGGAAGTCATGCAGGAATTGATATGTGGCTCCATTTATTAGAAGCACAGAGAGTCAAATTTAAGTTTTCCTTTACCCTTTCCTGCTATTTAATTTAGAATAAAGAAAATCAAAGTTTTGAAGGTGAGACAACAAAATAAAAAAGCTTCTATGGAAGATTTTTTCCTTCTCTCTTCACAGGGAAAAGTAAACAGGTTAATGAGGATTTGTCACTTAATTTTGAACGCCTACATTTCTCTGAGGTCTGAGGGCAAATTAATTAGTATAGATTCTGAAGGAAGATAGAACTGGCCACCTCACCAGAATGTCTTCTCCCACCTCATCTTGGATTTTCTTTTTTCCCAAGAGAGAATTCTGAGGCATCTATATCAGGTTGTGTTGATCTAGCTCGAGCAAAGTGTTGTTTCATATAAGGTTATTAAAGATTTCTATAAGGCAAAGAAGTTTGGAGAATTTTAAAATGACATGAATTCTTGACAAATACAGAATGATTATATCAAAAGTGTAAGTGGCTAAACTAAGAGAAGATAAAGTTTCCTGGAGTTTATATCCAAAGCATATCTTTGAGGCATGTCAACACTACTTCACCCAGTTTTTGTTTATGAAACATTTTAACGCCTTTCTAGCTACATAGTGCAAAAGCAGCTGCTTTGTGAATTTAATTTTAGAGGAAGATGGAAAAGCTCTATGCAACCTGGCAAGATATAAAAGGGTTTACTTAGAAAATGTAGACAAATATCACAATAAGACTAGAAATGGTGAAAGACAATCTGCTTTCCCCTAGGGGTACTGTTTTACTTGTACATCTGTCCATTTCCAACTTTCCAGTTCTTTTCTTTATTGAGATTAGGTATCCACCATCAATTTATTGGAGTGTTTAGAAGAAAGACATTTTGGCTAGAAGGATTGTGGACCTGGGAGACCCTGTTTCTTGCCATACTGAGGGAGTCCTATTCTACTATGAGACTCTAAGTACTTTGAAATGAAGAAAGAGATTATTAGGTTAACTCAATCAAATTACAGTTGGCCCTTTGTATTTGTGGGTTCTGCATCTGTAGATTCAACCACCTGCAGATTAAAAATATTGGGAAAAAATAAATAACAATGCAATAAAAATAATACAAAATTTTAAAAGTACAGTGTAACAACCTACTACAGTATAATACATGTGTGAATAGTTGTATTAGGTATTATAAGTAATCTAGAGATGATTTAAAGTGCACAGGAGGCTGTGTGTAGGTTATATGCAAACACTACACATTTTTATCAGGGGTTTGAGCATCAGTGGATTTGGTATTCACAGAGGTCCTAGAATCAATCCTCTGTGGATACCAAGGGACATCTGTATTGCTTATACAGTTGATTAATTATTACAGATTTGTCTTGGGTTTTAAAATGGTTTTCACTTACAAGTTGCACCTCATTCATATTTATTTATTTTGTTGGAGGGCAATGCTGGTAGGAGAGGAAGACACTTATTTTTGGAATTGGGATCATACATTCTATAACCTATTGCAGAGAGAGAAATTTTGTGGTGTTTTTAACCATTGTGTATTAAAAACAAGATTGAAGGGCAGCAACAATTTCAATAATTTCATGTAATTTCCATTTATTTTATTTCCTAAAGGAGTTGAATTATATTAAATTTGGGCAGCTACCAGTTTTGTACCACCAAACACAATAGATTATGAAATGACCCTTTAAATGAAGTCCCTCTGTGGCCTTCCAATGACCAGCTACCCACCAACCCTAGTGACATATCTGATCATGGAGACATCTAGATACCCATGATACCTATAGCACTGTTGTCCAAAATTTGTGTTCTAATATGTCAGTACATAATGCTGTGTGACAGAACTGCTTTTATTTTTCTGTACATCACTGTGTTTTAAATTTAAAGAAAGAAATGGATGCTAGATAAATTACTATGGTTTGGGATCACTTCTACACTCCCCCCACCTTCCCAAAATAAACCCCATAATATTTTGTAAATCCAGGTGCGGCTTTAATTACAAGATCTACTTTTTTAAAGAAAATTAATTACAATTTTTTAAAATATCTAACACACTTTCCATTTATTCCCACCCCACCTAACCTTCAGGATTTTGTACCTGTACCTGGTACCAGCTGGCCAGCTTTCTGCCAAGACTGCCTTTAATACACTGTCAGTTCACTTCATGAGTCCCTGAGAACAGTTGAAGTTGATCCAACAGCCAGTTGTTCAAAGATTCTATTGAGAGTAGTTTATTTTATTCTTGAGCATCTGTAAAGATATGCTCCATTGCGAATTAAGCCTTTTTAGTGACAGAGTACCTGATGACAGAACCCCATCAGCCTTATCAGGATAAGTTCCCTGACCTCATTATTGCTAATGGATCCATGGTAATTCAGCCTGTTGTGAATTCTCATGTTCAATTATGCAGGATAATGAGTGACTCAAAACTTAATATGTCTCAGCTATCGTCCTTATGATGGGACTTGTACAGCTTCTTTCAAAAGTGAAACAATGTTTTAAGTAGAGTGGTTCACTTTTATGTCCAAACAGAAGTTATCACTAATATTCAGATGACCTGATTTTAAAATAAGACAGAATTGCTCTATAACTTTATATTTCACTGATCCTTTTGTAGGAGAGTTAGGACAGGTTTATTCATTTTTAAATGTTAATTCTGGAATTCTAAAAGTATGCAAATGGCATTTGTCTTTGGATTCACAAAAACTCTAGATATTCAGAGTTTGAATTATTTAAACTCCCACAACACATGCACTTTTGCTTTTCAAGCATGAGTTATAATTTAATTAAAAACTTCTGGTGCATTGCTAGCGTTTTAAATATTAATATGTTCCATGGATCACTTTCGATTATCTACTGTCTTGAAATTCTTGAAGATGTCAGATTTTTAAGATTCCCAAAGTTGCACTTGGAATTGTCTGTTGAGGCAAAGGGGACTGTGATAATTACACACATCCATTAGGATCAGCAGAGGAGATAAACTTTGGGGAGGTTTAATGGGCATGTCTCAGTGACAGCTAGCAAAGAGCATTTGGCATGATTAAGGATGGATTTGAATGCAGTTGAAAATATACTCTCATTATGGACACCCAGTGGAAGTTGCACTACAAATGTTAAATTCCCCAGAAGAAGAGTAGTGTGGCAGGGAAGCTTTGAAATCCACTGTGGCCATCAGCCAAATTATTCTCTTTCCTTTATGTCTTTCTCCTGTCAGAATCACTTTGTGATGCCCATTTCAACTCCCTCCATCTCTGAAAAGAGGCAACCTGTTGATCTCTGTATTTCAGATTGTCCGAAGATACATCAAGGATTGGCTTGAGAGAAAGAAGCCTCCTTTTGGTGCTATCAGCAGCAGTGTACTCCTCATGATCATCTACACAACATTCTGTGACACGTTCTCTAACCCAAATATTGACCTGGATAAATTCAGCCTTGTTCTCATACTGTTCATAAGTAAGTTGGAAAATGGGATAGCCTGGCTATCCCTCAGTGTCCTCAATAGCAACGCGTAGCACTGTGTGTTCTCTAAATTCATGTCTAGTGTTAATTTGACTAGAAATGAATGCTTAATTTTATTTTACATTTACTCAGTGACTTTATTCTGTTCTTTTAAAATACATCGGCTTTACACTTATATCGTAATTTCCTTTGTTTTTGCGTCTGCTGCCCCATTTTCTGATTTATAGTAGTTGATGTCAGGTGAGAGAAGCCTTAATTCCTGTCAGATGCAAATGTTAGATTAAGCACTGTGTCACCAATTTAGTTTATTATAGCTTTAAACTGATCTTACCCCTTATTGTGATTTAAAAACAGGATGTATAATATATGATACTATTATTTCTAAGTATAATAACTTGGCTGCGTTGGTTAAAATATGAATATTTACATCATATTTTCTAATAAAATTTACCCAAAATAATGTCATTTCATTTTGAGAAGCAGCAGACTATAAAATGCAGGAAACTGCTAAAGCTCAAAAAGCAACCTTTTGTTCTATTTATCCTGTTATCCCAAAGACAACTGTTACTAATGTTGTAATATCAAAGAATCTTTTGTTATTCTAAAGTATATTGTATGCTACTGCATTTGTGATATTTGTAGAAATATTCATAGTATAAACCAGCTCTTTCTAAATTGACCAAATTAAATAACCAAATCTTAAAGAGGCCTTAGGTTTTCCCTCAATAACAAAGACTGTTTCTGGGGATATCATCAATAAGAACAGACTGAGTCCCACTAATTTAAATGATTCTTTCAATTTAGCAAGGCATGCTTGTTTGGTTTATTTGTTTGTTTTTCTTTTTTAGTTCCTATAAATTTTAGATAAAACAAGTATACCAATAAGTATGCTACAAATACTGCTTTTAGAGTGCTAATTTAGATTCAATCTTTTTTTCTTCAGTATTTTCTATCCAGCTGAGTTTTA
Source organism: Homo sapiens (assembly GCF_000001405.40). Classification (NCBI taxonomy): domain Eukaryota; kingdom Metazoa; phylum Chordata; class Mammalia; order Primates; family Hominidae; genus Homo; species Homo sapiens. The sequence continues at coordinate 146,292,956 of NC_000004.12, read as the reverse complement.
TGCTTTTAACTTTCATCTTTTCAACAAGGTAAGTGATTTGGTATCTCTTGTTATTAGTTTTCTAAATTAGGAATCATGCGGTCTACTTGGCTACTATGCCACTATACACGTTTATATTTTTTTCTCCTTTTACATATGTTTTTCTCCTGTCTCCCTGACCATTCTGCCTCCCTTCTGCCACCTTCAAATTGTAGACATTACAAAGGGTCTTTCCTTGGCCTTATCTTGTCTATCCACATTGAGTGCTTAGGCAGGCCCTTCCATTCTACTGGCTTGAGCTGTTAGCTTCATACTGATGATTTTCAGGTGCAAACCATCCATTGCAATGTTTTTAACTGAGTTTGAACCCTATGTTTCATTTACCATTTAGATATCTTTACTTGACTGTCTTAACAAGACCTTAGACTCAAGATATTCAAAATGGAGTCATGTTTTTCCCAAAAACTGCCTCTTTCTCTTATTTCTTTCCTTATTTTTAGTGAACCACCATCCTCAAAGTTACTCAAGCTGGAATCCTTCACATCATTTTTTTTTCAATTTCCCGATCCTACTTCTGTAATATTTTTTCTGCTCCAAAAGCCACTTCCTTAATTCAGGCTCTTGTTGCCTCTTTCTCTCTAGGCTATTTCAATGGATATCTTACTGATAATTCCATTTCTACACCCAACTTTTGTTATGCATTTCATAGTGCTTCCAATGACTAGAATTCTGATCATGGCTCTCTGGTTCAGATATCTTCAATGGTTATCCAGTGCCTATAGAATGAAGTTTATTTTGGGGGACAAGGTACTCTAGTCTATTTTCCAGTCTCATGAACCACTACTAGTATTCATGCTGTCTAAGCTTTAGGTTGATGTAAAATCTTTGCTGCTCCCTGGAAAGACCTCATGCTTTCTCATTTCTGTCCCTTGCTTAGGCAGTCCCCATATCCAAATTAGTCTCCATGTCCTGGTTCCTCCTTCCTGTTCTTAAAAGCTTACCTCAAATGCAAATTTTTCCACCTTTATTATACGTTACAAATATTACTTGAACTTTTGGTTAGAGAAAGTTACCATGGGAATGCCACAAATAAGAGGTGATTTCAATCTTGCACTGATAACCCAAGTGTCCTCTGGGTGGTACAGTAAGCCAACCTGTATTCAGTTCAAAGAAGAAGGAAGCACTTCCCAAGAGAGTATAGAGCAAGGATTCATGGAAATGATGGGGCTTGACCTGAGCCATACAGAATGGCTAATTGTTCAGCAGTTAGAGATGCCAAGAGGGAGTTCTTGGTGGGAGAAGAAGCAATAATGCAAATGTGGACACATACAAAAATCAAGATATGGTGAGACAAAAGGAGTAGAGGAAGATTAGAAATAGTAATAGTAACTGGAAAGGTAGGCTTGAGCCAGATTGCAAAGCCCATGAACACCAGGCAATAGCAATGAGTGACCACAAGGGAAAGAGCCTATGCTGTTTATAAGGCTTGAAAAAGCGTCAGAGCAGTGGATGGTGCAGGCTCTCACATTAGGCACTTGGCTCTCACAGCACTTGGTGTAGCACTAGGCTGATTGTAAACAGTCAATAAAAACTTATTGATTGATGTAATTTGAAGCATTTTCCCAAGCTAGAGATTGTGATTTATGAAGTAAGAGTAAAGCCTGGAGCCATTAAGTCACAGAGAAAATGTGACTTAATTGGGTAAGTCTGAAAGCAGGAGCTATTTTAAAGTTCTTTTTGTAAATGGCTTGTTATATCACCTTAGAAAAGACATTTGCCTTTCAATGGCAGTTTGTTTGCTTGTCCTTGTGGCAAAAGTGATCATCAGAACCACTCCTCCTATTGGATGAGGTAGGATGCAGATATCCTGTTAATGACTAAAAATTTTCTTGAAAAATAGAACATAGAGCAGCCACTACTGGGACTGCTAAAGGAGGCATGGGTGGCAGAAGTGTGACACCTAGTTGAACTGAAATTAAGATTTATGGCACGGAGTAGACTGGACTTTCATAAGGATCTGTAATTTTGAAATCCTTCTTTTCTTGCTTATTCTGCATTCACTGAGGTTCTGTCAGGGTTTTTGTTTTGTTTTGTTTTGGTTTGGTTTGGTTTGGTTTAGAGACAGGGGCTTGCTCTGTCACCCAGGCTGGAATGCAGTGATGCCATCATAGCTTGCTACAGCCTCAAACTCATGGGCTCAGGTGATCCTCTTACCTCAGCCTCCTGAGTTAGCTGAGACTACATGCAAACACCACCATGCCCGGCTAACTTGTAATTTTTTGTAGCGACAAGCTCTTGTTATGTTGCCCAGGCTGGTCTTAAACTCCTGGCCTCAAGTGATTCTCCCACCTTGACTCCCCAAAGTGCTGGGACTATAGGCATGATTCACCGCAACTAGCATCTGTCAGGTTTTTAACTTCCTTGACTTACAGTCAAACCAGCACTTTCTTTGATAAACGACAGCATATAGCTTGAACATTTCTCCCTCTCTGCACCCCCTCCCCGCCCTGTCCCCTGCCATAGTCATCTACTAATGATTTACTTCGAATTTGTCTGAAGCCTAAATTAACTCTCACATAGCCTCATTCTCTGTTCTCAAATTCCTGGCTTGCCTGGAGAATATCTGTACCTTTTTTTTTTTTTTTTTCTTTTTTGAGATGGAGTCTTGCTCTATCGCCCAGGCTGGAGTGCAGTGGCACAATCTCGGTTCACTGCAAGCTCCGCCTCCTGGGTTCATGCCATTCTCCTGCCTCAGCCTCCCAAGTAGCTGGGACTACAGGCTCCCGCCACCACGCCTGGCTAATTTTTTGTATTTTTAGTAGAGATGGGGTTTCAGCATGTTAGCCAGGATGGTCTGGATCTCCTGACCTTGTGATCCGCCCACCTTGGCCTCCCAAAGTGCTGGGATTACAGGCGTGAGCCACCACGCCCAGCCCAAGAATTTCTGTACTTTTAAAAAAATCTGGCTGGGTGTGGTTGCTCACGCCTGTAATCCCAGCACTTTGGGAGGCCAAGGTGGGTGGATCACGAGGTCAGGAGTTCAAAACCAGCCAGGCCAACATGGCGAAATCCCATCTCTACTAAAAATACAAAAATTAGCCCAGCGTGGTGGCGTGCACCTGTAATCCCAGCTACTCCAGAGGCTGAGGCAGGAGAATCGCTTGAACCCGGGAGACGGAGGTTGCAGTGAGCTGAGATCACGCCACTGCACTCCAGCCTGGGTGACAGAGCAAGACTCCATCTCAAAAAAAAAAAAAAAAAAAAAAAAAAACTAATAATCAGAGATGGGGCATTAGCTTTGCTACTTTGTAATACATTACTTTTTACTTTTCTCTGTCCTAGTTGCTAGGAAATGAGTTGATTCATCAAGCCAAGAGTCAGCTATCCAATGACCTAACCATTCTGCAACTTTGGGAAACTGCAAATTTAAAAAAAAATAAGCAACACACACATACATTGAAAAAGCTTAGAAAAGGAAAGCAGTAATTGGAAATCTTTTAAAAATATATAAAAAGTTAAAAAGTTTGGTAGGCTGATAACTAGAGTAACAGAAACCTATATTGTCATTAGAGTGGCAAAAGAAACTGTTAATGAAGGAAAAGGAAGAAAACAAATATTTGTATATGTGTTTTAATTCTGATCAGTACATTTCCAGTGAGATATCTCAATCTGCCTTTCACCATAGCCCTGGGAGAAGCAGGATGGGAGAATGGGAAAGGGAAGCAGGCAAGGAAGATGGCGATGATCATTAATGGTAAGTTTTCTTACCATTTCAGAGGAGGCAACTAAGCCTTGGCACCCTGGGTAGCTTGTTCAGTGCCACCCAGCTAATGACGGAAGAGGTCTTCTCTGAAAACGAGCAGAGACAAAACACAGGTACAGAGGTTAACAAAGAAGAGGCCTCACTTGGAAGTTTCCTCCTCTGAAAATAGTGGGCTTAGACAGAAGTATCTCAAAGGACCTTTTCTGTTCTACATTCTGTGATTCTACTAGTAAAACCTGACATGTTTTCCTCTGTGGGTACTGCAAAGGAAGGCAAAATAAACATTATGTGGAAAACACTGATTGAAAGCTTTGTAAGAAAGAATAAAAAGACCAGTTGGGAAGAAAAGGAAATAAATATCTCAAGAGAAGGCAAAGTGATCAAAAGAATCATTAAAAACAGGATAAAAAGAAAATCAATATTAAAAAGAGATAAGGTAGAGTTAGAAAATAAATAGTAATGTGATTCCTTTCAAGAATGTGAGCAGACCCAATAGAGATGTTAATCAGTGAGAATAATTTTAGTCATTACTACTCAAATATGATGTACAGGACACTTGATTTTTCTGGGTCTTGTCATGACCTTGTACCATGAAGTCCCCCTTGACAGAGTATGGCTAAGGGTGGATTATTTACCAAGATAGCTGCCCTCACCCATTACATTTTGTAGTGTTTTTGGTTTTAATATTGTCTTTCTCAAAAGGGCAAACTTATGACCAAGGTTTGGGGCAACCAACTTACTAGTTGTGTGACTTTAGGGGAGTTGCTTAACCTACTTGTGTTTCCAGTTCCGTTTTTGGAAAAAGCAGAGCAATAACACTATCTGTTTGTATGGCTTTTCTGAGAAGGAAGTAATACTGGCTGCAACGTGCTTAGAAAAATGCTCAATAATGCTTATGCTGTGGTAATTTACCACCCTCCTGAAGAGAGGGTTAAGTGAGCATCTGCTCTATCAGCTTTCCCCGATACAGCGCTCCAGTCCTACATAGCTAGAGTACAAGTCAACCCTATTGAGGAGGAATATTGTTTTTAACCTTAAATGTTCCCTTTTTATGCCTTAAGGTTCTAATCCTCCTTCCCACTCATGGACTTTTTGTCGATAAGACTGTAGAGCAGTGTTACTGAGAGCAATGAGCCAGAAATCTCCCAGTGTGGCCCTAGCTTTAGCCTCCTTACCTGAAACAGAGGACAAGTAAGCGTATCTTGCAAATATCCTCTTTAGCCACATTGTGAATGCTGCTCTAGTGAGCAGCAGCCAGCGCCAGATTAATTCAGAGCCTCCTTGACCAGAGAGACTGTGACACACTGGAAATGTGCTGTAACCTTGAAAAGAACAAGATATCAAGCCGAACACAGTTTACTAAAGGAAAAGTGTAGTGCAAGACTCTAGGAAGAAAACCAAATGCATAAACCCAGATGCAGCCATGGCTGATATAAACAAGGGCCACAAAAGACAAAGTTTTTGAAGTGCTCCTAACACCACAAACGTTGCTGGACAACATCCCCTACCTAGGACAGCTGATCACATTACATGTTCTACAATCACTGGAGGGCACTCACTCCTGCATGGAAGTTTTTTTATTCATTGTTAATTGACTGTAATTCATATTCTCCAATCTGCCAATTTCAAACTTTTCTAATGTATTTGATTCCCAGGCCTTGGAATTAACTCAAAGTTGGCTCACACTTTACAAAGAAAGTAAAATCTCTGACATAACTTGCCTCTGCTTGCCCGTTCTCTACCTGAAAAATCTCCATATTTTTCACTCCCCTTGTTCACTTTTGCTTCCAGCTCAGATATGTTAGGAAATGCCCTGCTCCAGATAACTTCTTTATTCTTGGCTTCTCAGGCCTCTTTGGGACCTATGTTCATCAGGTATTTCTCTCTGCCGTGTCTTCACTTTCTCTTTATAATCATAGTCAAATATCCTGTGACCTTTTTCTTCCCTTTGCCAGATTTCTTGAAAACACAGTCCTTACCACTCCAAAGACGGTCCTTCTCACCAGTCCAAACTCAGTCGTTCTCACCACTCCAGACACAGTCCTTCTCACCACTCCAGACACGGTCCTTCTCACCACTCCAGACACGGTCCTTCTCACCACTCCAGACTCGGTCCTTCTCACCACTCGAAACACAGTCCTTCTCACCACTCCAAACTCAGTCCCTCTCACCACTCTAAACTCAGTCCTTCTCACCACTCCAAACACAGTCCTTCTCACCACTCCAAACACAGTCCTTCTCACCACTCCAAACTCAGTCCTTCTCACCACTCCAAGTTCAGTCTTTCTCAACTCTCCAAGTTCAGTCCTTCTCACCACTCCAAACGCAGTCCTTCTCACCATTCCAAACACAGTCCTTCTCACCACTCCAAACACAGTCCTTCTCATCACTCCAAACAGTCCTTCTCACCACTGCAAACACAAGCCCTCACCACTCCAAACACAGTCCTTCTCACCACTCCAAACACAGTCCTTCTCACCACTCCAAACTCAGTCCTTCTCACCACTCCAGACACAGTCCTCCTCACCACTCCAGACACGGTCCTTCTCACCACTCCAGACACGGTCCTTCTCACCACTCCAGACACGGTCCTTCTCACCACTCCAGACACGGTCCTTCTCACCACTCCAGACTCGGTCCTTCTCACCACTCGAAACACAGTCCTTCTCACCACTCCAAACACAGTCCTTCTCACCACTCCAAACACAGTCCTTCTCACCACTCCAAACTCAGTCCTTCTCACCACTCCAAACTCAGTCCTTCTCACCACTCCAGAGTCCTTCTCACCACTCCAAACACAGTCCTTCTCACCACTCCAAACACAGTCCTTCTCACCACTCCAAACTCAGTCCTTCTCACCACTCCAAACACAGTCCTTCTCACCACTCCAAACACAGTCCTTCTCACCACTCCAAACTCAGTCCTTCTCACCACTCCAAACACGGTCCTTCTCACCACTCCAAACATGATCCTTCTCACCACTCCAAACACGGTCCTTCTCACCACTCCAAACACGGTCCTTCTCACCACTCCAAACTCCGTCCTTCTCACCACTCCAAACTCAGTCCTTCTCACCAATCCAAACACAGTCCTTCTCACCACTCCAAACTCAGTCCTTCTCACCACTCCAGAGTCCTTCTCACCACTCCAAACACAGTCCTTTTCACCACTCCAAACACAGTCCTTCTCACCACTCCAAACACAGTCCTTTTCACCACTCCAAACACAGTCCTTCTCACCACTCCAAACTCAGTCCTTCTCACCACTCAAAACACAGTCCTTCTCACCACTCCAAACTCAGTCCTTCTCACCACTCCAAATTCAGTCTTTCTCACCTCTCCAAGTTCAGTCCTTCTCACCACTCCAAATTCAGTCCTTTTCACCACTCCAAACACAGTCTTTCTCACCACTCCAAACACAGTCCTTTTTACCACTACAAACTCAGTCCTTCTCACCACTACAAATCTAGCATACATCAGCATCAACTCCTTGGCCTCCTTCCCAAGGCTCACTGAGCCTCCTCTTTAATTCTGTTTCCTTAATGCTCCTCTTGGTTCCATATACTCAAAATTTCTAATTTCTCTTTGGTTCTTCCTTCTCTCTCAAAGCAATAATAATAATATCAATATCCCCTAGCTTGTGTTCAACATTTACATTGTGCCACATTCTTAACAAGCACTGGCATTTATCCCCACAATTGATCCTAAGAGTCAGAAGGTCTTATACTCATTCTACATATGAGAAAAAGGATGGCCTGGAATTAAAATCAGGTGTGTTTGCTCCAAAAGCCTGCACTCTTGAGCTGTTGGGAGGTACTGTTGCACAGAAGTTAACAGAAATTCTTTTCATCCTATCTCCATGTCTCTTTCCACCATCTCCTGTTTTCACTCTGATTCTTTAGACCCTTAGAGCTCCCTGCTTCCTGCCCAGCCTCACCATCTTTAGTCTTACACCATGCTGTGTGATCACTTCTCCTTAAGAATGGATCTACTTATGTCATTCTACTGTCCCAACTCCTTCAGCAGTTCCCCTTATCCCATCATATCAACTCCATACTCCTGATCATAAGCCAGTGTCCCTGCACACAAGTCAGCCTGAAGAATCTGTTCTTTGCCAACTGCCCCCTACACTCCCATACTGCAGTCTCACTGTCCCCTATCTAAAACACACATCTGCACATATCTAAATCTATTCTTTAAGGCTCAGCTCAATTGTTATTTTTTCCCAGAAGGTTATTTGTGCTCTATCATCATCTCCTACTTTCCCTGCCAAGCTAGAGGTGATCCTTCTCTTTCAGCTGAAAGCACTCTATTTCTCTCTCCTCTCCTCTTTCTCATGTATGTCTGTAGTGCTTTCATCTCTCAGCCCATGCATTTACGGAACCTTATGGAACTCCTTCCCCATTAGGCCTACTGTGAGGAATAAAGGGATGAAGAAATATGAAAGCCATGTAATGCAATGTTTAAAAAACAAGAATGCTATTACAATATCAATATGAGAATAAAATGTAGAAACAATTAAGCCAGTCTTATTATACTCAATAAGAGTATATGATATGCATCCATGGGGAATCCTCAACTGAAGTGAGACACCAAAAATTCAGTTTGAAAGTTACCAAGAAACAGCTTAGAAGTACAACTGGTTAGGAAGCAGAAACATGCATGCCTTTTCAGAAGAGAGACCAAAGGCCATTTTAAATATTCTCTTGACACAGGCACAGGGGATGAGGAAGCAGGGTGGGGTGATGGGGGAACCCGGCGGGGAGTTGAGGGGACTCTTCTCTCCTCCTGTGGGTATACAACAAGAAAAACAGGATGTGGGATCTATTTAGGGAAGAGTTTTCTCCCAGCAAAAGTCGTGCATGGGGATGAGATTACTAAGGGAAATGATTGGGTCTCTTTCATTAGGGAGCCTTAAAAATCAGGTACATTGTTATATCTGCAACTGTATAGATGGAGTCAGTTTCTAGAACATTTTTCCATTTGCTAACTCTTCTGTCAGAGTTCAGAGCAGGGAATGAATAGACTCTATATAGTCAAATCCTGATATCCTGACTCCACAGGAAAGAATAGTTTCTAAAATATAAGGGCACAATCATAACAATGACATTTTTAACTTTTTTGGCTTTCTAAACCCTTATTATCTAAAACAGGAAATCTGATTATGACATCCAATTCCCAGTACTGACTCCCCACAACATTTAATTAGTTTTGACTCAGTGAGGTTTTTTTTAATGTTTAACATAGTATATAACAATAGTAGAATATAGTAATTAAGAACACAGGCCTGGGAACTAGACTCTGTTTGAATCCTGGCTCTGTCACTTACTACCATGGGCCCTGAGTACATTATACACTTCTGTGTGCCTCAGTTTTCTCATCTGTAAATAGGAACATTACATCACTTGCCTTTTGGGGTTGTTGCTTTTACATGTAAAGACATTAGAGAAATGCCTATACATGATACTGCTCAAAAAATGATAATTTGTTTTTACTAAAATATATGATGTTAAATCTTTTTTCATACCCTGTATTCTTAAGTGTGTGTTTGCTACCAAAAGGATGTGTTGCTCCTTGAAAAGAGCATTTTTAGAGATATATTTATCCTTTCAAGCCACTGGGTAAATTTCAAGTGGTAACCTAGAGACTTAGAGTTCCTTGTTGCATTATTTTTATAATCAGTCCTGCTCCAGGGGCTGATTATATACGTGATCTTAGGCGACCTCCACCACACATTTTTACAACTGTTCTCCTTTTCATGGATAAATGACTCAGAAGTAGTTCTCTAAAAAGAAATCCAGACACTTCTGTACATTTGGGTGTAGAATTACTACTGTCACCAGGATTGATCAAAGGGATGTTAACATAAAGGTAGGTACTACATTTGATTTTGAATGTGTTAAATTGGCTTTTTATAAAAGTATTTGTCAAAATCTTTTTTTGCCCCTAGGAATAATTCGGGTTTCACACCAGCAGACACAGTGGCTATCATTTTCTGTTCTACACACAAATCCCTTACATTGGGTAAGTGATTCACAGAGTTAAAAACCACCTATTACCCTCATATAGTTACATCTTATGACTTTGATATTCAAAGAACTCTTCAAATTAAATGGAATGGGGTGTTGTCCACACTATTAGATAAGGAACAGTAGCAAAGTGAGGGTGGGTCATTGCTTTGAAATTCTGTTATTTGATTGAACAAATCTCTGTGGGCCAAAATTAACACTGTAAAACTTAGCTTAATTTATAATCATATTTTCAATTCTCATACAAGATTACCAATGTAGAATGTAACATTAGAGCAGGGGTGGAGATGCTGTGGAAACTACTTCTAAATAGGGAATTGGCAAAAACATTGCTTTGGCAGGCCCTAGAGTTGTCCCTGGAAAAGATTAACTTATTTTCCAGCAGCTCAGAGCAAGGTGGGAATAATGTTATTACTCTAATTTGATATTGACATTAGTTTGATGCTTATTTCTGAATGTTATTTCTATAAAGAAACAATATAGTTATCATTAACTCAATCAGATTAGCACTAAAAGTGAAATAAGTATTTATTTAATGGACAAAAATGGATTAAGAAGAAAAGTGCTATTTTCTACTTAGCTTTATCCAATTAGTGGCATTATCCCAATAACCTGTTACACATCCGGAATCTATGTTTTTAGTCATTAAAAGTCATTAAGTAATCAGAAGCTTTATTGAAATATACATCAGTCACAAACTCCTTGGGGTGGTGGGCATGTTATGGCAAAAACTCATATTAAAAATTTCTCTACATTTTAGCACATGAGTCACTTAAGAGAATGAAGAATCATTACAATGTTCTTAGTCTGCTTATGTTAAGGAAATTCAGTCTGTGAACTAGAAAATGAAGACATTTCATAATGTTTTTATTAATCCCAAACATATTTGTCTGATAGTCTACTGTCAGTCTTACCAAGTTTGGAACATGATTTAGAAATTGGACAAACCCTTAGGAGCAGTTGTTATTGAGAGCTTCAGCTTATTTGAATTATATATATATAGTCTATGCACTGCTCTATTTTTGTATCTGTGTAGCTATAATCATCATTAAATTGAAGTTGAAACAGTCTTAGAAACCATATTCCAATCCTAATTTTGTGACCTTAGACAAATCAATTAACTTCCCTGAACCTTAACCTTTTCATCTGTAGAAGGGGCAGAATAACACTCATTTTGTAAGGCTGTTGTAAAGATTAAAGTCTAAATTTGTTAAGTACCTGGCACAGCACTTGGTAGATAATAGGTAGTCAATAAATGACAAGATGTGTGCAATAATCATACTGTAAGTAGATTGATGTGGACTACATGAGAGAGCCCATCTAATAGCTTGCTGTGCTGCCTGGCACTTGGTGAGTACTCTATAAGGTGTAGCTATTCTTATTGATTACTAATAACTATGTTAGTTACAACTATGTTACCACTCCCAAGGTTCGAGTCTCCTGACCCCTGTCTTGTAGATTTTCATGTAACAAGTGTATTTTAGTTGTTGACCTCAAGGAAATCATCTTACACTTCTTTCCCATGTGTGTTATTGTCATGTACTGCCTGGTGTCTCAGGTCTTCTAAAACCAGAGGGACTTTTATAAAGTTAGTGAGTCCAGAGGCAGATGCTGCCAGACTCCTCAGATACACAGAGTGCAGGGATCGAATGAGCCTGTATCCTTAGAGCATAGGCCGAACCATGGCTGCACCAAATACATTCCCACATTTCTGCAACAGGCTTGCAAACCTGACCCACTTTTTTTTTTTTCTATTTTGAAGATTGTTCTTATTTTTCTTTTTTTTTTTTGATTTTACTTCAAGTTCTGGGATACTTTTAAGGACTTGCTTTTGTCAGGAAAACCAGAAAGGGTTTTCTCTGTTTCTCTGTTCTGTGCTAGAGCTAGTTGTGCTGAACAAAGAGCAAAACGCATACTCAGGAAGCACACAGCAGTGTGAACAGTGTGCTTTTCTATAAGCAGAATATCTACCCATTCAGGGTTTTTTGTCTTTTTATTTTTCTTAATCCTAAAGTCATATTTTCTGTCCTTTGTACTCTCCAAAAGCTAATTTTCAGGCAAACAGATAGGTGCTATGAAGTAGTTGTTTTGCTAAAAAGGGTTGGGTTAAATTGGATTTCTGTTTGCTTTTGCAGTGTTCTACCATGAAATAGATCCTCCAATATGATGCTGTACTAGTGTAATATCTATGTAATCCTTAGCTACTTTCATAACATGATAGACATAGGCTGTCTTGGAATTATAAGACCTAAATACTCATCCTGGCTCTTCCACTGATACTTTCCTGGGCCTCAGTTTCCTTGGTTCTAAAATTAGGTAATTTTACTTCCAGCTCCAATATTCTGTCATCCCTTGATCATATTTGGCTTCTGTCTTACAGTCTCTTAGATAGTATTTATGAAAATGCCCTCTTTGCTGCTTCCCTTATCTCAGACAGATCACCGCTATTTCCCCCATACAGCAAGGGATGTTTAGATACTAATGCTAGAATGTTCTTGTTAAGCACTATAAATTTACTGTATCCATTTTCACAAGATCCAATGCATGGATCTACTGGTGACCTGACATCTCTGGTACAGAGGATAGGCCATGACAGTGACCTGAGATATAGGCTGATAATAGTCCTAATGGAAATTCTTTTTTGTTTGTTTTTATTTTTAATAAACTTTATATTTTTAAAGCAGTTTAAGGCTCACAGCAAAATTGAGTGGAAGGTATAGAGATTTCTCACATACTGCTTGATCCCATACACACACAGCCTCCAAAATATCAACATCCCTGCATGGAAATGCAAGAACATCACAAGGAGTATGAGGACTTCATAGTCCAGAAAGCAAGGGGAAATTTTAGGTAATATCAGTTAGAGTTATATTTTCTCTCACTGCTGACACAAAGATGAAATATAACAGATTATAATATAACTATTTGGCACTTTAAAAATGCATCTTTCCATTTGCAGTCACTATCATAGTATTTCTTCTGATTATATATGTGTGTGTATATATGTGTATACACATCTTTAACATCTCACGTAGAATACATTAAGTGAAATATAAAATACCATTCATTATTATATCTAGTATTTGTATTCAAGAATAAATCATTGCAGGCCAAGAGGCAACCATGTAACTAATAAACCAAACATGAAAACTCTTGCTTGAGAAGCTTTCTGAGTATTCTCTTATATACACCTTCGATTTATTTTATTGTTCTTGCTTTTGCCCTATCTCGATCTCTTCCTTGTACTTGCATCTACACACATGCTGAATTTGATTCATTGCTTTTATTAGTGCATTTGCCATTGATTGATTAGTTCTTCGTATTAGTACTTTTTCTATTGATTGATTGCAGATGAAGTGACTATTTGACCTTTAATTATAAGGCTTCCTATTGAAAATGACATTGAGCTATGGCTTCACATAATCCATCTGGAAAGCCTGACATGATGCCATTCCCTGGAGTTCGTTCAGGAAGAAAGAGGAGGCCTGAAGGAAGTGCAGAGCTATCACTGTGCTTCATCTAAAACAATACTACAGGGCTTGTTTGCTGCTCTCCTATAGTTTCAGCTCAGGGTTGGAGGTAATTTTATATTTTGTCAAGACAGCATCACTTGCTGTGGGTTGCCATAAAAGCCATGAACTCTCCCAAAGTATTCTCTAGTTTGATGGCAATTTTTATGTAATAATGAAAAGATATTTTACATAGCAGAGATTGAAGAACAGCTTGTATCCTAGTTAATAATGGCTTAGTGCACAGTCAGTCAATAGATCTCGTCAAGAAAGAAATTAGATCCAAGATATCCTGTAGAATTGGCATTTTACTACCATCTTATTTATCTTTTTCTCTTGAGTATTCAAATCACTTTGCTTATCTAGGGTTCCAATATATGCAGAAAACTTTCTCACGATACTTAGCAAGCAAATGTTTCAGGACATTTGAGGTCCTTAAGTTAAGCATGTTTGTGTTAGTTTTTAATGTTTTTAAATAGCAAACTGAAAGCACATAACCTCAGAGTATGTCAGCTGACTATTAGCAGTCAATGGCAAGACTCCAAATTTCTTATTTCCAAAAGTACTTCTGAATTGAATGAATGCTAATTAAATATTAAATAGAGTACCATCATCAATGCTTATTAAAAGTCCACTGTATATCTTGCCATTTACAGACATTTGTGTACAAAGGCAAATCAAGGAAACTATTTCTTACATTGTTTATATGTACTTAATTATGGGTCTAGTTGCAGTTACACAGCTGAACTATGACAAGAACCTGTGCACTAAGCTAAAAGAATATAGCTTTCTGGTAGACATAGGATAAAGAGCACATCCCTGATTCTAGTCTGGATTCCTGTTCCAGTTCTCTCACCAAAAGCTGGAACAAATCACTTAATTGCCATAGGCCTCATTTCCTCATCCATACAATGAGAAGATGGACAAAATGACACTTGAGATTCCTTCCAGTATTAAGTTTCTGTGAGTCTGTGACTGATATTTCTGCTCTATGAAATAACAAGTTTCCCTATTATGTGCGCAAAGGAAATAAGTTCTTGAAAGGAATAGTTATATAAATAATGTTAACATATTACAGAAAAGGAAATATGTCTATAGCTTCTTCCTAAAGAGGTTAAAAAATACCTTCAGACCCTCCAAACTGTCTTAGGAGAAACATAATCTTAAAAGGATCTTGTTTTCCATTTGATTGGAAGTTTCTTAGGAATGTTAAAGAATTACCTACAACTTCGGCTAAAAATCTCATTTAATAACATTTGAGTCATTTTGTCAAGAGGAAATTGATTTGAAATACAAAAGTTTGCATTTCTGGTATTATTTTCCACACAAAGCCTATTCTACTTGGTACATAAAGAATCTTATCTTAATAAAACTACTCTACAATTGGTCTAAAAGATTAAAGCTCTTAACCCTGTAATATAATGTTACCTAAACAATCTTGAATATTAGCAAGTCAGTAATTGTTGCCTTATTGTGCATAAAAATAAATGAAAGCATAGAAAAAAAATCTTTAAACTTATCCCAGATCATATCTCAGAAACTATATTCCAGGCCTCCTAACTTCCAGAACTGCATTGGATTATAGGATATGAAAACACTTTGAAGACCAAAAATTGCTTTACTGGATCCAAGTATTATAAATATTTGATCTTCGCATGGGTTTGAATTGTTTTATTAATTGTTTAAAAAGAAAATTATTTCTGATTACACTGCTGGTTATAAGACAGTTCTAAAATACTTAACAAATGTAATTGCTCCTATAAACATATACTCCATGTGGCCCAGTCATAAACTGATACTCATTTCTTACATTTTCTTTATTATTAATAAAATAAAAAGTTATATTCTATTTAAAGTAGATCTAGTGAGCCAGCCTTACCTTTCATGAGGCAACACTGTCTGCACTCCATTCTTGCAAACTAAGAGCCACATTGCCGTTTCACAGTAACCCATTAAAGTTGAAATAGAAATCCAGAGGAACGACAGAAAATAGAAGACTATCTTTGGAGTGTAGCCATAAATATATTCCTGTCATGCAATTTCCTTCAGAGTTACAGTTCTGTGAGGAAAGGCAGTTTGGGAGTCTTTGCCATTTGACAGATTCTTAAAGATGCTGCTAAAATTATGGACCTAGTAGATTTTTACCACCAGGCTAAAGAAAAGTGAGGGAGTGTCTGTCATTTTGTGCTATTATTTTCTGATCCACATAAAGAAAGAGAGAAATGGAAGTTCTCAAACAAAGTGATACAATAATATTCTTTAGAGATTTTTGAACTATTTTTGGTTTGGATTTTTTATTCAGAATATGGTATCTGAAAATCATTGCTAGCATATCTAGACTTTGCAATCAAAATTTAGAAAGTCCCCAGGGTTCTAGACAGCAGGTATGAAATTAAAGATATTAAAGCTTCTCTGAAAGATCTCCAGCTTGACCCTCAAGTATCATTCATCTTAATGATATGCCAGATGTTCACCCTGATACTCTCATGCTCTATTCCTCCTCTTCTTCCTCCACGTCAAATGTTTTTAACCACAATCTACATTTAGAAATATATTTTACAATGTGATCCAGAATTGATTTTGTAGCTCACTAATGGGTCACAACCCAAGGTCTAAAAAAGATTGCTTTATAGCTTGCTTAGCGAGAAGGTTTTACCTTCTTCCTCAAATAGTCACCACGTAGGCTTTGGCTTCTGCTGTCCCTTTTTCAGTGGATTTTTTTTTTTTAGATGGAGTCTCACTCTCACTCAGGCTAGAGTGCGGTGGCATGATCATAGCTCACTGCAGCCTCCAACTCCTGGGCTCCAACCATCCTCCTACCTCAGTCTCCTGAGTAGCTGGGGCTACAGGCCTGAGCCACCATGCCTGGCTAATTTTTAAAAATTTTTTTGTAGAGACGGGGGCTTCGTTATGTTGCCCAGGCTGATCTTAAACTCCTGGCCTCAAGCAATCCTCCCACCTCAGCCTCTCAAAGCACTGGGATTACAAGTATGAGCCACTGCACCAGGCCTTCACTGAACTTTAACCCAAATTTCTGATACCATGTAGGAAGCAGAGCTAAATTAAGACTTAAAGTGATTCTTAATTTGCATAAGATTTCTTTTATTTAGATTATTATTTTATTCAGCTTATGTAACAGTTTTTATACCTTTTTTGATTTACTCAACACATTTTCAATAGTAATAATAGCAGCAAACATTAATTGGGCATTTAATAGGTAAACATTGTGCAAAGTGCTAGTTACATAAAGTTTACTTTAAAATACTTCTCTGTGGACAGTGTGGTAATTATGTATGTACTTGTTAGTTTAGACTTCAGTGCCAGGAACAGCCAATTGCTCTAACAGAAAATTTTCACTGTAGTGTTCAGCCACAACTTTATCAGAAGGGAAATACTCACTCCAGAGGCAGCTACAACAAATACTTTTGTTATATCTCTATCAACCAGAGACCTTACTAATTAGCATAATGAATACAGAAATTCATTATTTTGATTGGTGAAATTACTGACTTGTTACTTTGCATGATAAATGTAATAAATGGGTTCTCATTGATATCTGGACTGCCTAAAAGTTTGAGAGAGACTTCCCACTTGCTATAAGAATCTGGCAAATCCCATAGTCTACATATGAAACCATCAGGGATGTGCGGGAGTGATCCCTACCTCATTTTGTGTCCAGCTACTGTTGGGAGGATCTGTGGTTTCCTGAATCTGACTGGAAGATCACCAAATTCTGCTCTGGAATGTCATTACGTAGCTTTGAGGGACCCTCTCATGCAAGGTGCTCTGAGAGCACCTAAAAGGTCCAAGCTGAGACTGCCATTTTATAGGGTAGGTTGCATAAAATATTTTTGTGTTGAACTACTAGTGTATGTTGAGTTTAAAAAAAAAAAAAAACTTCTATGGGGGCAACAACTTACTTTCATTAAAACCTGCTGGCAAAATTATAGTAGTACAGCTAAGCTTCACCTACCTTAAACTTCCTTTGGCCTTGTCTGCTGGAATACCTTATCTCCTGCTTATACCTTATCTGCTGGAAAGAATCCAGAACTTATACATGACCAGCTTGGTGTAGGTCACTTCCCATAAATACTTTGTGGGCACCAGCTCACATGACTTCCACAATCACACTAGATAAGGGAAGTTCCCAAGTGATCCATGACTTGCCCAAGTCACATGATGCCAAGTGGCAGAGCCAGAAATCAAGCCCAGGCCTAGCTATTAGCCACCATGCTAAGCTGTAGTGAGAGTTCTGCAGAAAGAGCCCTGTGCTGTGAAACATCTCAACCCTGTGGTCCACTGGCTATGAAAAGTTCAGACTAGATGATCTCTGGGGCTCTTCTAGCTCTACTATTCAGTAATTCTGATTTTGAAGGGCTTAAGTATGTAGCTTTAGAATCTTGAGCCCTTTGGATGGACACCATAGACCAGCATTTCTCAAAGAGTGATCCTCAAAATTATAGCACATTGTTTCTTAAAAGAAATAAAAATTTAAAAACAAAACAGATTTGCTCAAGCCTACTGATTCTGAATTTTAAGGATAAAACCCTGATGTCCGACACATGTAACATATTTCAAAAGAGGGTATCATGCACATTAAAGTTTGAAAGCCACTCATTATTGCCATCTAGAGTCACCTCTCAGGTTTCAGATGTGCTAGCTCATGTACCCAGATTCTTAGGAAGCTTTGATCTAGCAGAATATTCAGTCAGGTTTTGTGTAGGTGCATTTTGATGACAGTAGGAACCAGTTTCAGTCAACTCTGGGTGGTTGGTTGTTGTTTTTCTTACTTAAGACTGGCCACAATATACCCCACTTTGAAATACTTTATATTCCATCATCAGCCAAAAGAATATCCTTATGACATAACTACTTATGACATACTACTAAGTATTGTATAATAATAAGCAATCATTTAAAACAAATGCAGTAGGCCCGGACCCTAATTTCCAGGAATCACCTTCTTCCTCATTCCATGGTTTCAATATATGATATTGTGGTCCTGTCTAGGAAGGATAAAAACCTGGCTCCAGTTTTTCTAATTTGTAGCTGTGGTTACCACATTTTGCCTAACTTCGAATGTCCTTTTGAGTTTCATTTGTATTAATCTGGTTAAACAACAGTATTTGGATGTAAAAGTATGCCAGTATTTTATTAATATAAGGTATAATCTAGGCCAGGCACGGTGGCTCATGCCTGTAATCCCAGAACTTTGGGGGGCGGAGGCTGGTGGATCACCTGAGGTGAAGAGATTGAGACCATCCTGGCCAACATGGTGAAACCCTGTCTCTACTAAAAATACAAAAACTAGCCAGGCGGGGTGGCAGGCACCTGTAATCCCAGCTACTTGGGAAGCTGAGGCAAGAGAATCACTTGAACCCGGGAGGCAGAGGTTGCAGTGATCCAAGATCATGGCACTGCACTCCAGCCTGGGTGACAGAGTGAGACTCCGTCTCAAAAAAAAAAAAAAAAAAAAAGTATAATCTGAACAAAAGAGAACCACCCATTTAGTGCCCAAAATACCTAGCACTCCCTCCAGAAGCAGCTTGCTTTCTTTAAGATCATGTCTTCCTGGCAAGCTGAGGGCAAAACTGAAGCATATTTAAAATAAATTCAGAATGCCATTTGAAAGTTATCCTTATATAAATCCCTTTATGAAAGGGGACCTAGGTGATTTTTTTAAAACTCTTACAACACAATTATTACTGTAGAAAGATTTTTTTAAAACAAAGAACAGGAGATGGAATCACTGCTTCCCAGAAGTCAGTGTTCTGAAAGGGGCAGTAGACCAAATATGATCATGAGCACTTACCAAGAATACAGGGCTTGTAAACAGATGAGGCCAGTGGGAGTTTGGGCAGCATCGGCGGGAGGGAGTTTCAGTTCCCAGGGCAGTCCACAGCATCACCATCTGCAGTGTTTTAGAAGTGCTGCACACCTCATCCTGAATGATCTCAGTGACAAGCCCCTCCCTGGCCAGTCCTGGTAGACTGCTAAATTTGAGCCCCATAATACTATTTCATAATGCTACTTCTTATAATAATAATAACAACAACAGCAACAATAATAATCCTAATAGCTATCATTTTGGGGATGCTCACTCTATGCCAGGTACTATACTAGGTACTTCCCATACACTGTCTCACTTGAAACCTCTAACCACCCTTCGAGATAGTTATTTTAACCTCATTTGAGTCAGATGTGGAAACTGAGGGGGGTTAGGGTAAGATCATCTGCTTATATAGCTGGTGGGTGGTACAGTGAGGATTTAAACTCAGGTCTCTAATTTCAAAGCCCACGTCCTTTCCATCACACCACCCAGCCCTCTAGATGTACCTATGAGTGGCGTGTTAGCTATCTGATGCTTGCTCAGCCTGAGTGATGGAGCAGGAACAAGAGGGGCCAAGTGCTTGCATGTGTCAGCTTCATTCTAGCTAAGCTCTACCTGCAGTTGTCACCTACAGCTCAATGGCAAGGAGACATGAAAAATCCCACATATTGTACAGTGGCACCTCACAGTATATTGAATCCTTGTCACTGCGCTTCCTAATGACAGCTCTTAGCATTAGAAGCTTTTAATTCCATAGTTTCCTATTAATTTCAAACTAAAAAATACCTTATAATAGAGATGGCTCTAAAGAGATTAATTTTACCCATTAAAAATCAACTCACATGCCCTCAGTGCTCCTGAAAGGGGAATTCCAAAGTAATGAGGGGCACACTTTCTGTTGTTCTGGAGCTTGTCCCTTCTGATGAAGACTTTGCCACATCCAGAAGACCAGAACAGCCTGTTTCCTGGAAATCCCTGTTCATCTGTGCACTCGCTGTCAGTTGCAGAGGGATTTGTTTATTATTATTATTAATATTTAGAAAGTTTACCTCTAGCAGTACTAAAATGTGCATCACAAAACAACACTCATTTACTGCGTTTGAAGTGAAGACTCTCACCCAGGAGAGCCCATCCACTTAAAGTTTGTATCTCTCAATTTCAACTTGCAAACAGAGATCGATAAAAAACAATTGTCCTTTCAGAGTTGCATCTCTCCAATTATTTATTTGGTCATGTCTCTTCCTAGAAGTTCTCTTAATTGAACCAGACACTAGAAACCAGGTTGAGTGTCTTTAATGACAGCCCGCTCCATGCTTCTTTGCAGTAAAGAATACATGAGCCTACAGCTGCAAAGCAAGGGTAACAGTTTCCCCTTGTATGTCCCCATTTACAGCCCCATCCAAACAACTCCAGCCAGAAATTAAAGTTAGCTACCCACTTTTTCAAGCTATGGGGTACCCAGTAGGTTTTTGACAAGTTACCCTAGGGGCAGGAGGAGATATAAAATTGGACACAACTCAAAAGATTCCTGGGCCCCAGGAAGCCAGCTGATTTGGAATGTCATCTGTACCGAAGCTGAGCATGTTAATGAAATTGTAGCTGTGACACTTCCCAGGGCTGCCTTTGCTACAAGTTTGCTCTATACAGTGCCAATGAAAAGATGCTTTTAAAACATAATCTACATCATCCATTCATTCATTCAGCAAGTGTTTATTTGGTACTTACTATGTGCCCTGCTCTAGGCTGTAGGGGGACAGCAGTGAACAAAACACCAAAAAAGTTCTTGCCCTCATCTAGCTTCCAAAATTTCTAGTGGGAATAAGCAGACACTTGAATATACAGGACATCAGATGGTGGTAAGCAATGGAGAAAAAGAAAACCAGAAAGGAGAATCAGGAATGCCAGGGTGGAGATGAGAAGGTTTCAGCCTTAAAGGGCACATTGGGTCAAAATACCTGAAGGAAATAGGGAGCAAGCCTGTGGATATTTCGGGGAAGGAGATTCCAAGGAGAAGGAACAGTGAAGGCAAAGACCTGAGGCAGCAGTGCGCTTGGCATGTTGGAGGAAGGAGGAGGAAGCTCACCTTGGGAGCAGAATGAGTGAGAGATAGGAGACCGGGGAATGGTAATGGGAGAGGGGCCAATAATATTGTGTTAGGCCTTATTGGCCATTGTAGGGACTTGCCTCTTACTCAGAATGAGAGGGGAAGCCATTGGGGGTTTTGAATTGATGAGGGACAAGATCTCACTTCTACTTTGAAAGGATCCCTATGGTTGTTCTGTTAAAAGTAGACTGGGGTTTTGTGGGAAGGTGTGGCAGTGAGAAAGGAAGACTCAAGAGAGAGGCTTTTATCCAGACAAGAGTTTAGGGTGGTTTGGTCAAAGGTAATAGGGGTGGAAGAGTTGAGAAGCTTTGGATTTGAGATCCATTTTGAACACAGAACTAATAGGAATTGCTGGTGAATTGGATATGTAGGTAAAAGAAAGGAATTCAAGATGTTTGGCCTGAGGGGTGTAAGGATCCATTTACTGGCTTAGGGAAGACTGCAGAGGAGCAGATGTTAGTGGTTGAAAGTCATGTGGGAACAGATCAAGAGTTTGGATTTGCACATGTGAAGTTTGATATGTCTTTTTGACATCCAGTGGAGTCTGGAATCCTGATCCAGGCTGAAGTTTGCAGGCTATGGATGTTATTTTAGACTATCAGATTGGATGAGATCACTAAGGGAATGTGTAGAGAAAAGAGCTCCACGGACTGAGAACCTGAGATTCTCCAGAGGACAGAGAGGATATGGAATTATTTTAATAATGAAATGATATGAAAGTCTAAATCAGCCAGACCTATAGACACCCAAACTTGCAAGCCCGTATTCTTCTCCTATCCCACAAGGTTGAAGTGAACATTAAATCACAAAGCAGATGTGAAGACACTTTGAAGTATTAGAAGAAGAGTCTGGCAGTTATTTGGTACCGCCCATGTGCTAGGCACTGCATTAGGCACTTAATTTGCCTTATTAATGCATGTAATCTTTACAATAGCCCTGCACAATAGCTATGCTTGCTCTCATTGTCCAAACTAGAAAACCAAGCCTCAGAGAGGTCAAATAACTCACCCCAGTTCACATAGATAGCAGAGCTGGTGCACCATGGCTGAATTGTCTACCTCCAGAGTCCTCTGACTCCACCGCAATACCAGACCTGGCTCTTTAACCTGGCCCACATTAGAATCACCTGGGAGCTGTGCCGTACTAGTGATGTCAGGACCCTGCCCAACACCTGTTAACTCAATCTGTCAGGATAGGCCCAGGCAGCATAGTTTTTAGAAGCCACCCAGGTGATTCCAATGTGTGGCGGAAGCTGAGAACCACTGCATTTAGACTCGTTTACTCTGTATGCATTTATGTTCTACTAGGTTCCAAAAAGAATGCGAGATGGGTTGTACCTACCCATTGGTTACCAAAACTGACCATTTGTGTACTAATTCTGAACACCAGAATTAGTTGTGTCATAATTAGGTATGTTAAATATTCAGAAGAGAAAACAGAGGAGAATAGAAAAACATAATTATTTTCAGAAGTGACTTCCAGGGTTTTTTAAATTTCTTCTGCCTAGAAGTCTTCTAAATGAGGTCCTAACTGCCAAATGTTTATAATTGTTGAGAATAAATAAAGGCCAAGAGTAGATTATCAGGACATCATCTAGGTTAGATAAATCACAGAAACCTGAGTCAACCTTTTTAAGAGACATGGATCTAAGAACAAATAAGTCTGGTTTTTAATCCCCAAATCAAAACTGCCTCATTCTTTTATGTAGAAGAAATCTCTTCTGAGGCTTTTGTTCAACATAAACACAGTACCATGAAAAGGAAAATTACCACTGGAAGGTAATTAAAGGTCATGTTGACAAAACAAAACAAAATGTATATTAAAAATCGTTAATGTGCATTTGGGTCACAGCCTACTCACATTTACTTTTTAACTAACATTTGGAAGCCTTCTGAAAGTTCCAGTGTCTAAAGATGAAATTATCAATGCAGCCTTTTAGGGAAAACTACATCTAGGTTGTGGGGCAGTGGCAGAGTCAACGAAAGCTCATGTCATACCATCCAGCTTTGCTTTGCATCAGACTCAATAGGTTCAAGTGTTTTTCTTCATTTATATAAAAATACATCTAAAAAACTCTGTAAAATTGGACAACAGTTCCAGAGCCAGTCAGAAGAGGCCAGTTCTGTGTTGGTGACTATGTTAAATATATTCTTTTGACCTTGTGTTATTTTTGTCATATGAAATTCTCATTCTATTTTTGATGTTTTCACATCCTGTGAGTGTGAACATTAGCCAGATTGTCTCTTTAGAAGACTAAACAACTCTTCATTCACAGCCTAGAAAAGGAAAAAGTAATCTCACTACTTCCTGCTAAGCTTGTCTCCATAAACGTGGTGACCCCTCCTGGAAGACCCAGCTAGTATTGGAACGAAGACTTCATGGCTCAGTTCTTTAATTCATTCTTGAATTCCCTGTTTGCTAGTTACTCCTACAATGCTGTCAGACAGGTGAGGGTGTACCTGATCTTCTGAGGCAGAAACCTTCAATTGGTAGAGTTAAATCTTTCATTGTCAGCACCTGGTGAGTCGGCTCAGGCCATTCATTAAACATCTTTTCCAATCACAACATACCTGTTTCAAAACAGAAGCAACACCAGCTGCTCATTTTGGTCTTTTCTTGCATCTTTATTTACATAAAACTTTCAGCAAAGTGATGGGGTTACAGCCTGGGTCGTTGAAGACTAAAACACAATTTTTAATTTTCTTAATGTCCTAAAAATGGTAATCAACCAACCTTTATTCAAAGCCTGCCAAGTAATAAGCACCTTTATTGAAAGGTGTATCTCTCTTGCTTTCAGACTTTTCTGTGTAACGGTTATTTTCCTTACATTTTACCATCCATTATTCTATCTTATTAAAAAGCACCCCTTGCACCCCTTTTTTAGGGTTCCTAAGTACCCTGACAAATTCTTTTCAGGTATTTCAGGCACATAGCATGCAGAGGAGCACAGACTCTAGAGCTAGTCTGTCTGTATTCACACCCCAGCTATGTCCTGATGCTGTGTGTGGCTTTGAGCAAATTTCTATTTACCTGCTGCCTCAATTTCCTTCTCTGAAAAGTGAGGATAACAATGGTAGTTTCACTCATCATGGATGTGAGGAGTGGTTGAGCTGATGCTTGTACACTCTCAGAACAGTGCCTGGCATATAGTAAACGCTGTGTAAGTATTGGCTACAATCAATATTCTGCCTTACCAATAATAAATGAAAACCCAAAATATCTGTGAACTCCAGATAATGGCTTCCGAAGTCCTGTGTAAGGTGTGACTGCTGGAAAACTAGAACATGAATAATGCTCTCTTTTTTCTAAAGGTCTTAGATTACTGGAAAGATCGTTCCTTTCTTTTAATAATGGCCTTAGACATCAAGTTTATGACCTATCTTTGTTAATTTTCCTCCTTTTCCAGGCCTGATTCCTCTTTTTGGATAGAGGAATATTTTTGAATTCTGGTTTTGAAATATGAGGGAAGGCCAAGTCTCTTAGGAAAGTTTTACATAAACATCTACTTAGCATAGCCGAATAGTTCCTGACTACACCAGAAAAGAAGTTTGAGCTTCCAGTCTTTTTAATTGTAGACAGGAAGGTAGGCAGGAGAGCAATAGGAAGGCTCGACAGGAAAGCAGTTTCCTAGTCGGTAGCAAAGGGAAGGTTTAGGTCCAGTTTGTGCAGCACGTTTGGCTGACACGTCCTGTGTGGATTTCAACATGTTCCTTTCCCTCATATGCCACCCACAGAGATCACCCTAAGACACTTTTCAGGCTTCAGAGGTTGGAAACTAAAATTCCATTGGTACATATCTGATAAACTGGTGCAAGATTGTCCTGTTTTTCTGCCAGAGCTCTAGCAAAGGGGGTTTGTCAGACATCCCAGAGGCGCTGCTGTTGGCTTTCTATTTAGCAATTTGGAAATCCTAAATCTAAGTAGATTCAGTGAACCCAACCCTAGGACACTGAGAAAATCATTAAAGAGCTCCAATTTGCATGTATCATTTAGCCACACCTCATTTTGGATATGATTCTTTGTATGAAAAGGATAAAAATGTTCTCTTATGTGTCTCATAAAGCAACAGTAGAGGTTCTGATGCTTGTGCTGGGGTCCTACCAAAGAATTTGGCAGTTTTTAGTTAAAAATGGAATGACACACACAAAAACAGGGAAGCAAGTAAAACATAAATCACTGGCAAGGGTAAGGCAGCACAATCTGCATGTTAAAATACCATGGAGAATTTGAGCAAAAGACCAATCACTTAGATGGGTGCAATGAGAGCAGGTCACGTGATCTGTGATCTTTTACCCCTTCCTGGGGGACTCTGCAGAAAGTTGAGTTGCCAGCCTTTGGAAGGTTCCAGAATGGGTTTGAGGAAAGTCCTAGAATAGTCAGATTATGAACAGAATGGAATTCTGGGGGCTGTGCAGACTAAACCTGCCTGATCCAAAAAGCCACACTGTAGGCTAGTGTAGGGGCAGCACCAGACTGATCTCACAGGCAAGTCATACCCACCACCCTGTAAGGAGGTGGCCTTTCTTTTGACACCCTCTAAAAGGGAGAGAAAATTAAAATGACTGAACTGCTCACTGAATTCATTTTATCTAACATCTTTTTTCATACGACAGTGCTGCATTTTTCCACTGCCCTGTGTAATGATCTTGGTATTGGGTGCAATTGCTCTTTGTGTAACTTTGGCATGGTACAGTCTGTCTTGTCTCCCTATTAAATGAGTAAGAATGTAAGCTCCCATGAGGGCCAGGAATTTTGGTGTATTCACTGCACCTAGAAGAGTGCCTGGCACATAATGGATGAACACTTGCTATATACCAGACATTTTATATTATTTTATTCTTTATTTTTAAAAAATCCAAAAACTGACAAAGTAGGTGCATTTCATTCATGTAAAAACAGGTTAAATAATAACTTGCCCAACCAAGGTCACACAGGTGGTAAATGGTGGTGGACATGAGATCCAAACCCAGGGCTCTCCAGCTTCTGCGCCAAGCTTCTTAACTGCTACACTGTTCAGCCTCAGGCACATTACTGGATATGATCAATGATAAATCCCTGCTTGAAAAACAACTATTATTACTAGAAATTAGCTTGCTTTAGCATAGTCCTAACTGAAAGCCTTTTCTAACCAAATTCCAAAGCCCTTGTTTTACCTTGTCAAGGCATCATTTCATACTCTAAAAAATGTATAATTGCCCCTTTGTTTAGTTATTTGAGATAAATCAGTGGCTGTGAGTTTGACTTTCTGTGACTATTTTGTCTCTGAAGAGAAAGTCTGTGTGTATGTGTGTGTGTGCGTGCATGTGTGTGTGTGTGTGTGTCCATGTGCATGGGCATGTGTGGTGGGTAGGGGCAAAAAGATTGGCATTTGGTGATGTCTGAAGAGTGGCTGTGTTCCTCAATAGCAATTTCCCTCCTGGATTGCACTGTGCTTAAAGGGACCATCTATACCAATGAATTTTAAAGGCAAACATGAGCTTTTCTGAAAGATTCACTAAGGAGGAAGAAATAGAATTCAAATAACAGTGTTAGGACATTTGGATGGTAAACTTATGGATGTTTCTAACTAAGAGCAAACTAAACAAAAGTGAGAAATCACCATGACAACTGAAGAGAGAAGCAACTGGATTCCAGATTTGCCAGCAGCTCTCTCCAAAACCCAGTGAAAAGTCAGAGAAAGCATTTAAATGGAAAACAAGTCATGTAAATTCAGGCGAATGAATCTTTGAAAGACAAGAAATGATCCAGGTGATTGGAGTATACTATCTCATGCTAAGTGGGAAAGTACATGTAATATTAGACTTCAAAAGGCACAACGTGTGTTTTTCAATACATTTTCTTGCTTACTCCATACTTCAGTACTCATTTTGAATTTTGTATTCCTTCGTCAGTCCAGTTTCTTTCCTTCCTGCCATATCAAATCTATTTTTGCCCTGTGAAATATAAGCCTCTCCCAGAGCAGTATGTGAATGCGTTGTCTTTAAAGTCTAGTGAAGCAACTAGTATTTGTTCTAAATCCTATCTTTTTCAACATAGGAAACATTACTTTAGCACCTATTCATAAATAACCAATTATTTATGTATTGAGCACCAGCCCTGTGCTTAAATGTTGCAGGAAATTAAAATAAAAATATAGTGTTTTGCCTATGTTCAGGAAAAATCAAAACCTACACAAAAGAAAATAATGGCAACATCATCAAAGGCTAAATTATGTGATGCATCTAGAACGAGTGGCTTCATTCTTCCAAAAAATGAAGAAATCAATAGGAAAGCCACCTTCATCATGGAGGAAAATAGAAAACTGAGCCTTGGTGACCCCAAAGGATTTAGGTATATGGAGAAAAATGCAGGGCTCAGCTTTAACAAGGATTAAAAAGTGCCAGCCCTGAGCCAGTGATAGCAATTGGCAAGTGAAACTTTGGTTTAATGCAGTTAACACAGCTTAGAGATTAAAAGTAAACACACTGGGGTCCAATTCTGCCTCCACTGCATACCAGCGTAGGCCATTAGGCAAGGTACTTAACTGCTCTAAACCTCAGTTTCCTCATCTTTTAATGGGAAAATTGCCACCTACTTCCTAGATCTGTTGTAAGGCTTAAAGGAGATGGTGCAGGCAGAGCACTTAGCATCCAGTAGTGCTTACATAATAGTGGTAGTAATGATTGTTTTTTACTGAAGTCGAATAAGTAGAGGATTTGATGAATGGACACTGGAAAGTCATTGGAGCTCTTGAGCAGGGTATTGGCTTTAATGACTGTGGATTTGGGGAATATTAATCTCACTGTGATTTGTAGGATTGATGAGGGAAGAGTCTGAAGACAAGGAGTTATGTCAGAAGGCTATAAGTATAATCTTAGCTTAATTTTATGAGGAGCTGAATTAGGAAGATGGCAGTGAAAACTGAGGGGAAAAGGGACTGGTAAATGAGGAAAAAAATCTACAGAATTTGGTAACTTAATCTAGAGGTGGAAGAACAAATAGAATTTGTCAAAGATGATCCCCGAACTTTGGGTGGTAGAAAGTAGGTAAGCTAGTGACAGTAGGAGTTGCAGGGGCTGTAGGAGTTGCAGTTGCAGCAGGAGTTGTGAGGGGCTGGCACTCACCCATCTAATTGTAGAAAGCCAACATGGTTAGGACAAATGCTATGAGAAGGCAGCACCCAAGAAAGTAGGCACCTTGTCTGGGCCATTCTCCTGATATCCCTACCACCTAGACCAGTAACTCACATATAGCAGAGGCCCAAAAAGTATTTTGTTAATGAATGAATGAATGAATGAATGAATGGTAGGAACATAGCACACCTACACAAGTAAGTAAGCTCTGAACAATAATGTAAAGTAGATCATTTTATGTTGTGAACAATAGAGCAGCCTTCAGTGGAAGTTAAATAAAAGTCCATATTTAATCTAAGAAGAAAAATGTCTGTTTCTCAAGGAAAAATAAAAAACTGTCCATCCAATAGAAAGTAGTTATTATTGAAGCTTGAACACTGATACAAAGGGAATTTTTTAATTCAGAGAACATAAAATAAACATATTTAAAATAGAAAAAAAACTTGTTCTTGTACATATTGTTTTATCCTTTCCATCCTGGGTATAGGATAAAAGAAAATCCTTACTTGCTTGTTAGAGGAAGAAAGCTCTTACTTGAAGTTGCTACTTGGCAGATGTCAGTTGAAAGCTCTGCTTATGGAATATGCTGCAGTGTCAAACTCTGTTGGATAATTTTAGACAAATGTGTCATGTGTGACATGGAAATATGGCATGCTGTACATTAGTGATTTCCCAAGTGTTTGGATCAGGTAGTAATGTGCTGAGAAAGTGCTCTTTATCTATCCACACAGTGTACTTGTAGAGCAATGGGGAAATGCTTTTGGTGGAAATTACTTTAGTCAGAAAAAGAATCCATTTACAATATGTGCCTTCTAACATCTTTCAGACAATGCATTGTATTAAAGAGGCATTTTTTGATTAATGTTTTATAAACATTTTTCAGCATGACAGCTTAAAGTCCCTGTAAAATTGTAAATGCGTGCATAGTGTTCACTTCCATAAAGTCAAATGCCATCTCATAAAGTCTAGTTGAATCCTGTCAACCATGGTGACACAGAATCAGTACCTGGGAGCATTAAAATTAATTTGCTTCATTTATATTACCGCAGTGATAGCAAGATGAAAAGAGTCCTATATTTAAATTTTACTTTAAAAGGAAAACTCTTTCTAGTAAGTTTGTTTGGGTTTTTTAATTATTACTTTTTTTTTCTAATTAACAAATGTAGTAAAAATGGAGTGATAGTCTGCACAATAACTTTATGACAGAATCTGGAAAAATACAAGTTCATTCATTCAACACACTCCTTTTGACCACCTACCATATGCTCAACAATGAAGAAGAAACTGTTGCTGACCCTAAGAAGCTTACAGCTTGGTAAAGGAAATGCACAAGAAGCAGGCAATGATAATAAGGGTAGCGAAGGTGAGGCTGGAATGCCCTGGCGTAGGTAAGCATGGAGTGGAAAGGATCTAAAGGCCACCTTGGGACTCTGAGGATGGCTTCCCAGAGGAGGCAACCTAAGAACTGAGAGCTAAAGGATACAGAGGAGTTGGGTGGGTCATGAATGGGTGATGAGCATTCTAGGCAGAAAGAGCTCAGGTGCAAAGCCTAGGGGCAAGACAGAGAATGGCACGTGGCCAAGGATGGGTGGGAGGACCACAAGGTGCCCATCATGGCTGGAGCGCCCAGGTCAAAGAGCAGAGAAGTAGTGAGATTTAGAGTGAAAAAGAGCAAAAGCTTGGGGCAAGTCATGAAGTCCTCTTATGCTCTTATGCCACACTTAGGGATCTCTCCTGTGTGATACACTTCTGCGTGATGTGACACGATCAGATTTGCACTTTAGAATGTTCACTCTGGTCACAGAGTAGAAAATGGCTTGGACAGGACAACTCTGAAGGCAGAGAGACTGGTTCGAGACTGTGGAAGAGGTGCTCTTAAACGAAGGTGAGGGGGATGGAGGTGTGAGTGGTCACCCATGTGCCCAGTAAGTTATGGAAATGCAGGGTTAGGTCAAATCACGCTTCCCAGGATTCCTAGCCCTTCTACAGAGTACTTGATCAGTTACATGAGTTCTAATTGAATAAATCAGTGAGCAAGTGGATTAGTAAGCAAGTGAGTGATGAGGACAAAAGAGTGGTGCGTTACATAGTCTTCTGGAATAAGAGATGCAGCTGATTTTCTCTGATTTGATGTGAAGAGCAAATGTTGCCGAATTCTTGGCCAGCTGACAGAAATCACAGTGTGGTAAGTGCAGTGGCTTTTAGCAGGTTCTCAACCTCTCTCAACAATTGAGATGACCCCCAAGTTTCCAGTTGTTGTCCAGATAGTGCTGCTAACAGCAAAGATGCCTTAGAGAAGAGATATTGAGCTCACCACTTCCAAATGATCGCCACCATAGCATGGAAACTCGAACATGGGAAGTGTTAACTCTCACTCTGCTTATCCCAACTTCTCTTTCTATTCTGACCTTGGAGAAACTGAAGATGTACTAAGTAGATGCTTGGGATTGCAGGGAGGAGAAGTGGGGGAGAGGTTGAAAGAAAGCAAGGAAAGAAAAGGTTGAGATAAATAGATTTAGAAGAAACTCTAATAATTGAAAAGGAAAGTAGATAATTGAATGATTGAAAAGGAAAATTTTAAGTCCATAGAGCAGTGGGGGAAATGCTTTTGGTGGAAGTTAGTCAGAAAAAGAATCCATTTACAATATGGGCCTTCTAGCATCTTTCAGACATGCATTGTCTGAAATAAAATAAAGTTTCCTAAAACAAGTAACATATGACTCGAGTCGCTGGAGTGGGCCTCCCCCTGGCGAGTGATTGACTTGTGAATCCACCATGTGAGAGTGGCATAGAGAGGGTACATGAAAGAGACTTGGACCATGACCTCTGGGAGCTATTTTTTTCTCTGATATATTATTTTCAAACATATTTTTAACATTATTCACTTGTGGGGGTAGAGATAGGAAATTTGATTAATGACTAGCAAGAAGATATTGCAGGCACATAAAGTGGTAGGGGGAAATTCCTATTTAATTTGACAAATTTTGGCCGCAGCTGCAAGTGATCGTGGATCCCTTCTCTTTTTCAAGCAAAGGGAATGACTGTTATACAAGGCAGAGTAAGAAGAGGGCAACCAGGGTCCGTCAGGAAAGCAGAAATCACCCTTTGAATACAGGGAATTGATTAAATAGTGTTGGAAAGCTGAAAAGGGAAATGGCAACAGTGAGGGAACAAGACAAATAAATGCAGAAAGTAGCTGGAGCTGGGGGGGCAAAGGGAAGAAGTTAGAATTTTCAGAACCTAGAAGCTTGGAGAGAGGCAGCAGAGCAGGTTCTCAGACATCTGAGAAGGGGCACTGCCCCGCTGGTGCTGTGGCCCTCAGGGGCATGATGAGTTATAGGCTGGAGCCAAGTACCCCTGCACTGGTGAAGGGGCCTGGCAGGAAGCCCAGACTAGAAAGAAATTCCTCCTCCTCCTCCAGCCTTCCTCTGGGGCCCCTTGCAAGGAGCAGCTGACCAGAAGGACAGGTGTTTGCAGAGTCCCAGCTTCCTTGCAAGAGCAGTGGAGAGAAGGGTGTGTTTGAAGGAGAGAGATAAGAGCTGAAGAACCAGCAATGGCCGGAAGAGAACTTCCTAAAACTTGACATTAGGGTCCAAAGAAGGGAGAGATCATTTGTCCACCTTCAGCTTCTTGAGGATCAAAGCTATGTCTTTGAATCCATGGCTTCCTTGCCACTATTGGGGTAGCCCTAGCAGTTGCTTTTGACATATTTGAAATCACAGGGACGTCCTGGTGTGGCGAGCACGGGAGTTTGACACCATACTGCCCCTGGAAGTGCTTCTGGGAGGTCTTCAAGGAGAATGAGTTCCAAAAGGACAGCTGGACTTGAAAGTGTTTTGCATGCCAGGCCCTCTCCCTTTTCACAGCAGCTGCAGTGCCCATGGCATCTGGAACTGACCTTACCTGATATGGAGAACTGGAAATTCAGGTTGCCTGAGTCGCAGTTTAGAGCCTACCACTAAGAAATTTTCCTGACCACTAGGTGCTTCAGTTTCCTCATCAATAGAACTTTTTGTTTACTTATTGTAGCAGCAGCATCTGGGACTATCTCTATGGCTTCCCTTCTGAGATCACTTAAGCTTGCTGAAGACTGAATGACACAGAGCCCAGATTCTTAGCTAAGAATGGACAACATAGGTGGTTTAGCCCAGCAGCCTCAGTCCTCAAATCTGGGGTTAGCAAATCCTGCTCTGGTCATTTTTAGGGACAAAATATCATGATACTTCTATCACTTGCTCCCTTTAGCCTCACATTTACTCCACTCCCATCCCCCAATGTCTTAGCATCACCTCTTTGGGCCAAGGAATGAATAACGTTTCTTGGAAACAGGAGGAGTTGTGTTCAGATTTTATTTTCTCATTGTAACAGCTTTTCAAAACTATAGTATCAGATGCTGCTTTTCAGCAGTAGATTTTTAAAGCTTTTTTTTAAAAAAAGGCCCTTCATTTTTTATGTTAGTATAAAGACAGAAACTGCAAAAAATCTAAGCATGTACTTTAGAAGCTCTCAGAGACTATGTTTGGGAAGAGTTAAGTGTTTTCAGTTTATGGCAATGATATGTGAGGCTGTGAAAAAGAAAGTAACCATGAAACACATTTTGTGCATAAAGGTTTGAAATTTATTAGAAGGTAAAAATAATTGAAAAAGCTAAGCCTTCCTTGTTGTGTTCTAATAAAAAGTTATTTATGTGCCATCATTGTACATGGTTAGGAGCTTAGGTCCTTTTCAGAGGCTGTTATCAGAGAAACAAGAAAGCTAGGCTATTAAAGCTATTCAGTTGAAGAAGCTGATACATACATAGCACTTCTGAAGACTGTGGCTGCATTAAAACAATTAGTAATAATAGTTAGACTGCTAGTGTCTGAATTGTGTTAGTTATAGAAGCTCAAAAATTATGCTCTATAGGCAGCAGCTTATAAAATATACACACCCAGCTCTTGGTATAATAGAATAGTAGACTCATGAAGTAGTATTCATTTGAGTTCCATGAAGACATTCACTGTGGAGTTTAAACATTCAGCCCTGATTTTCGAGACAGGGTCTCACTCTGTCACCTAGGCTGGAGTGCAGTGATGCAATCTCAGCTCACTGCAACCTCCACCTCCCAGGTTCAAGCGATTCTTCTGCCTCAGCCTCCTGAGTAGCTGAGACTACAGGTGTGCACCACCATGCCTGGCTAATTTTTGTATTCATCTTCCATAGACCAATCTGTATGACCCTTACCTAATGATCGTAAAGCACTTTAAGATCCTTGGCTGAAAGGGAACATACAAATCCTTTAAGGTCCAGTTGACTAAAATGCCTTCCTACTTATAGCAGTGTATACCATACATGATCTTACCGTATTTTTTTACTCTCAAAAGCAAGCTTTGGGACTTTGAACTGGTGCCAAGCAGGCCTCCCTAAAGACCAACAGACTATCTCACTACTAAGCAAGAAGAGATCCATTTTTAGCATCTCCCTCACCAATATTTTTCAGCCTTCTTAAAGCAACTCCATCACACGCAATCTTCTCTCCTCTCCTTGTTAGATAAGCTTCTAATTTGCCGTGAGAATTATTGGTACCCTCGAATACTGACCATCTTTCCACCTTATCCTAGTTAGAACTTTATGTCATGAAAGAAAGATGGAAAGTTTTGGTGACCCATTTCAGACTTTCCCATTTCAGTTCTGTGAATAAACATGAGAAAATATGGTAATAACCTATTCCAAAGTTCTGATTTTGATGGAGTATGCATTTAATTTGATGACAGACTGAATTTGGTTTAGGTTTTCTGTCTTCTTTGTTCAACAGGAATTCCGATGCTGAAGATCGTGTTTGCAGGCCATGAGCATCTCTCTTTAATATCTGTACCCTTGCTCATCTACCACCCAGCTCAGATCCTTCTGGGAAGTGTGTTGGTGCCAACAATCAAGTCTTGGATGGTATCAAGGCAGAAGGTGAGTCCCCAGAAAGATCTTATTTGGATCCAAGTTAGATTAAAATGCTGTTCCTGAATCTGAACTGTTCATACACTTTCGATTTTGCTTGCATATCTTTGTTTTCAAGTACATATTTTCTTACTTAAATACAATAATAATGGTGCACTGATCCATTCCAATTTGAACAGGAGGGTTGAGGTTAAAGATTTTAAATTGTTATAAAAGACAATTATACTTAACATGCAGTTTTTACAAGCTCTTTTGAATTCATTCATATTGAAGGGCATATTATATGGGGTAAAGGTTCAGTAAATATACTCCAAATAGATACCTGCTCCACTCTGGTGCATACCATCTTTGCCTCAGTCTTTCATCTATGTCTTACTTCACATGCCTTTCCAAATAAGATAGAACCTGGCATTATCCAGGTTGCCTACTTTATTTTTAATTTTCCAGATATATAATAACCTATTTGTACAGCAAAACTGCATTTGGGCATTAAAAAATAAACTTTAAGTAGCTAAGAAGTCCATGCAATGTTAATTTCACCACACTTAGAATCTTGTACACATTAGATATTTGTGGATTTCATTTCCTAAATTATCAACAAAATAAGTAAACCAGGTGATTCACAAGAAGTTTAGATGGTGCATATCACGTGGTAGCATTGATAGAACTGACTCCTTCCCAGTGATTTGGACATACCAGGACTTATTTTTGTCTATTCACAAAGTAGTGACTGTTATCAGGAGATGTGTGGGAAGAAGAGGTATCCAATGACAAGTGCCCTGTGTCATGTTCTTAATATCCTGAAAATAGGATGGCCACAGTACCACCTATTGAGCACTGTGTGTGCTAAGCACATCCTATCCTCTACCTGGTTCAAAGGATGGATCTTGGGCCAGCCTGCCTGGGCTCAGAGCTCAGGCTGCTGGCCTTCTCATCCTGTAACCTGGGGCATACTTTACTTCTCTGTAGCTCAGTTTCTGCTGACTAATGATAATATCTACACCCTAGGGTTGTAGAGGATTACGTGATGAGTGTTTGATAATGCTAGCTGCCATAATTATTATCATCATTGTTCATCATTATCTACAATGATGTTCACTGCAGGCTTTGCTCTCTCCATTTTATGGGTTAGGAAATGGGCTCAGGGAGTTGAGCAGCTGGCCTGAGACCATAGGGTAGTTCAGCCAGTGCTGGAGTTAGGACCTGAACACTGGGCTATTTGACCCCCAAAATCTTTACCCAACACGGTGATGACACTCCAGATAGAAATGTAACATCACTTTTAGAAGGTTTGCCCTAGGCACCCAGGATCCTACCTGAGAAGTTCAGCCCATCCAACATGTTCACTAATTCAGTTATTTAACAAAATGTTAACATAAAAAAGATTCCTCTTCTATGCTGGGTACCACTCCAGGCTCTGAGCCTCCTACTCGGAGTTGGTTGTGGAACAGTTCAGTAACTTTTTCTTTCTTTTACTGTTTATCCCCTTTGAAATTTTCTATTTCTATTTATGCTTATGTTTATCAATATGTGTGCAATTGTCAGTCAGAATTTGTACATGTAAATTTTGACAAAGAATGAAGAAAATTATTTGAAAATCCTAATACTCATCAATATTATACAGCCATAGTGAACAGCAAATTAATCAGAGTGAATTTTTCTTCCAAACATTTAAAAGCTCTAGAATTTGTTCTGTAGAATAACAGAAGCATTTCCAAAAGGGAGACTAAATTGTACACTGTTGTTCATTTTTCCTTTGTGTAGAAACTACTCCAAACCAGGGGGCCACTGGCTAACTTGAATAATCCAGAAGGCTTGGAATATCTATCCATCAAATTTGGGCATTAAAATAAATACCAAGAGTCCATCCTCCAGGTATCCATGAGTGCCTCCTCTGCTTTGCACACAGTACTGATTGAGACCCAAGGCTACCATCTAGTGCACAGGGGAACCATACGAGTAGCCAGGCCAGGTGTGGGAGGGGAAATGACAAAGTCTGCTGGCCAGAGAGGTGGGCAGGGAAATCTGTTTGTATCCAGAGGTTTGGATTATTGGTTATATGATGCCATCTGGGTGGGCCTCTTCTTCCTTCTAATAGCATAAATTATCTGGTGTTAATTGATGCTTTCACTTTCCTCATGGATACTGTCCAACTCTGAACATGTTTTCCTTCCTTGTAGGGAGTGAAGCTGACAAGGCCGACAGTATAACAAAGGAGGTGGACTTTCTGTAGCAATGTATATATGTACAGGATTGTACATACTAGCAATTCTGAAGACTTGTACTTGTGAATGTTGCCTCAATGCATATTTTATTTTTTTACACAAAAATATGAGATCCTGTTTAAGTGCCTTAAAATGTATTTGACAAGAGCGTTATTTCCAAAATATGCTTTGTTGATTACTGCCAGGGGTGGTACAATATTTGGGGGTTAATTTTGCTTTCCTAATGCAGGAATCAGTCATGGTAAGTGACAAAAAGCAAACATGCTTTCCCTGCAGCACCTTTGTGCAATACAACCCTATAGTAGTTACTGTAATGTTTGAAATGAGGTCACACCATCAGGAAAATGCCCTTCTGATGACAGTGAAAATTTCCAAAGTCTTATTCATGCATACTTTGATTTACTGTGTGATTCTTTTTTTCTACGACTGTGACATGCCTCTTCCTTATCAACTCAGCAGGGGTCATAGATCGAATAGATGCTGAAAAGCGTAAGATATATGCATTCCTTGACATCATTTTTAAAGACATTCCTTCAAATAGTTTCCACACAGAAATTCCTCACTCCCATTATGAGAGATTGTGGTTATATGTCTTAAATTTATTATAAGCTGCTTCAAAGAAAGGGTCTGAATGTTTGAATTATGAGTGAAATCATGTGAAATTTTGAGTTAAACTCTGTGATTTGATTTTCAGGGTCTTTAAAATATATCTTAATATCTTCTTCCTCTTTATTCAATAATTTCTGTCTTGCACTTACACACTCATAACAGCCAAATATGAGGCACAAAAATGTTACAATCAGTTTGAAAGCAGCATCAATTAATGGTAGATTCTATTCACATTCCACAACCCAGACCAAATTTTTTTCCTATTACGCAGATGTGCTGAGCACTTTCCAGATTGCCCCTGTTGGCCAAAAGCAGCCTGTTACATCCTGGAATTAAGCACACTTAAGGTATTTGAGACAATTTATTAATGAAAATTTCCTTGGCAGATTTGACAAATGTTGGCAATATTTTTTTAGAAGTTAAATCATATTGCTTTCATGAATAAATGAAAATATAAAGGTCATGGATGCAAACAAATGTTACATATACACATTCTGTCTCTCCAGATGAAAAGAACATGCAAAACCATTTAATAACCAAAATATCAAGTAAAATTAGTTCCCAACGGGGCAGCAGCTTTCAAATGAGTGTCCAATATTTGCTTCTGCTATAGCTGCAAGAACTGTAACTGGACCCAAGTAGAGAATGAAGCCACGTATAGAACTACGAGAACACTTTTCTGTGTTTCCCCCATGCCGTCCTGTCACATCCTCTTACACGTCCTCTCTTGATTTGATAGACAATATTGGCATCCTGGGTCTCACTGAGGCCGTGCTATGTCCTCAGCAGCTGTTTTTGTTGTTTCGTTATTATGCCCACAACAAAAAATCATTCCTTAGAAACTCACCAAGTTTATCTACTGTGTAAATTTATATTATTGTTACTACCAGGTCTCATCTTTTGTCAATGTCATTGAATAAATTTCATAAGAGTTATTCTCAGTGTGAATTTTAAGGCTAATGCCAGATCCTGCAAAAATCTATGCTAACCAGGCTGTAGTACACACTGTTATAAAGAATTTTACTTGTGTCTAAAACTACAGTAATTTTGCTTAGGTAATTGTGCTTACCTATGGAGCACAGGAAGGCTCTTAGGTTTTGTTCCTACAAGTTTCTTTGAATTTTGGAGTAAATGGAAGTGTCTGTCTGTCTGTCATCTATCTGCCCTATCATAAAAATCTTTCTCCCTAACATTAAAATACTGATCCCCGCCCCCAACTTATCTACCTCTATTGTCTAACACCTATAGTAGGTGTGATCATGGGATAAAATTCAACTGAAAATGCTATGATAACATTTTATCGTTTGCTTTAAAAATGTGCTTTGTTTTCAAATAATCTTTACATAGTGAACTTTGGTGGCGTTAGTGATATGTTTATGCCTATTTCTTTTTTTTACACAAATTCCTTGGCATATTTTTTCATAAAGAACAAAAAATAAAATCAAAATTTATTTTTAATTCATGCTTATTGGGATTTAATTATTCAGAGCTTAAAATATTTTGTTATGTTTATACACTGTAAAGCTATCTGTTTTATGCATTTGTTTTGTCTAAATGTATTTATGAAAGAAATACATTAGATTATATTTATGTTTACTCATTTTTCCACCTGGATTTTTTTTAATGGTTGTTACAAAATTAGATTTTTTAATGGGTAATAATGTTGGTATTTTCATGTTTTTTCTTAGTATTAAAATTTTTGTGGGTTTTTTAAAATTTTTCCCTATTCTGTTAAAAATTAACACACCTCTAGCTAATGTTCAGTGTTTGTGCTAAATACCAAATTTTTTCAAAAGGATTGGTTAAGTCATAAAGTGGATTATTTATGATGACTGGAAGATGAAAATAATTATATGATTAAACAAAGAATGTTTCAGAAATCACAAGAGAAACTGTGGCTTATTTTTAACCTGATTTCAGATGGCCTTGTGATGCCTTCTAAGTGTCTTTAGATTTCTCTTGATTCATTTCTGCACCGTTATGTCATTTGTCGTTATATAGATGTAAACTTCATAGTCTCCCGGGTATTTCTATGGGTACCTCCACCACACCATGATGTTAAAATCTAGAGGTAGCCCTTGCCTTTTTATGAGAGATATTTTCTCTGCATCAAGGTTTAGGACCAAAAGGAAAACATATGCAGCAGAAGGGACAAAATGTAAGTGATCTGAATTTCAGTTTTGAGAAATAGGAATGATAAACCTTAGAATGCCATTCCCAACACCAGTGTTTCTTTGATGAGCAAGCTACCTTGTATAGAATTTCATACCTTTGTGTTCTTGTCTTTGCTGTCTTCTTGGCATAGAAATCCTCTTCCCCTGGAAGCCTGACAAAAATGTCACCTCCTCCATGAAGACTTCCCAAGCCAGTGCCATACTTGCGTCCTTTGACATGTCCTTACAACGTGTCCCTCAAGTCTTCTGAAACCTCTGCATAGTTTAATCATTAGTTTATATTGCTGTCTCCTCCAGTGCAGTAAACATTTCTGTTTTTCTACTGTGCCTCGCACAATGCCTGGCTCAAAGTAGTAGCCAAAAAATGTGTATTGACTTTTCAAATTGTGATCTTAATAGGTAGGACATGAACCTTCACAATTACAAGCACTCTTCTCTATATCGGGTCATTATTAATTTATAAGGAAAACTGACTCTTTTACTACAATTCCTATTGTGAATAAACTGTGAAGCACTGCCTTGTGCTCCTCATAGGAATATATTACTTCATAGCTGTGTAAATATTAACTCTCCAAGGCAAGACTGCAGGTATGATATGCAAGCAACTTTCATCTTGCATGCCTTGACAGAACAATAGACCCTCAGTAATTTAAGCTAAATCAAGTTAGATCGATCTGAATTGATGAAAGCTTTATATACATAAAAAATAAAAGATTTCCTTATAGAAATTCTGATGTACTTACTTTAAAAACTAGATAAAAATTATCATCGTCAGTTTGTATACAGGCAATATATGAAAGGTCTTATAAGACTTTCTTTAACAAATCTTAGTTGCACTATAGGACAGTTTTTCTCAAATGTGAGTAAAATGCAAAACCCATTTAAAGGGAAAAAAATTTTGTAGACTCTGGAGAACTTCTCTTCAAACCTGATTATGAGAAACTCTGTATTAAACATTGAACACTGTCACTCTAGCAGGGTGCGGTGTGGTTGTCAACACGAGTGCAAACAAAGGCACTGAAATCACAGGGTCATGCTGGATCATAGGGTCCTCATCCAAATCACCTGAAACGGGCTCTCCCAGATCTCCACCCACTTCTGAACTCTCCGGCATCTCAAACGCCATGGCTGTTCTCTTCTGTGAACTTCATCCACCCAGACATGGAATTCAGCTCCAGTTACTTGATCACTACAGAAGTCTCAACACACTGAAAGTCTGGGGATGTACAAACTTTTTTCTTTTTTTCTTGATATGGAGTCTCGCTCTTGTCACCCAGGCTGGAGTGCAGAGGCGTGATCTCAGCTCATTGCAACCTCTGCCTCCCAGGTTCAAGCGATCTCCTGCCTCAGCCTCCCAAGTAGCTGGGATTACAGGCACTTGCCACCAAGCCTGGCTAAGTTTTTGTATTTTTAGTAGAGATGGGATTTCATCATGTTGCCCAGGCCAGTCTCGAACTTCTGAGCTCAGGCACTCTGCCCACCTCGGCCTCCCAAAGTGCTAGGTTTATAGGCATGAGCCACCACGCCCGGCCTGGGGATGTGCAAACTTAAATGACTACTGTACATCCTGTTCCTGCCCATCTGCCAGCCACCAGCCATCTGGAATTTCTCACTGACCACCCCTCCCTCCCCAAAGGCTCCATCTACCTGCCCTGTTACCTGCTCTCCCCGCCCACCTCCCTTCTTTTCTCTTCTCTCCCCAATCCCAAAATTCACAGAAATGCAGCTAGCTCTGTTCATTCTCTAACTTTCCAAATGTGCCCTAAGATCTACTTGCAATGGCCATGGGAAGCTTTAAAAAGCCATATTCCCCGAGATGGCTATATAACCTGACAAGCATCATCACTTCTACTTCCCTCTCATTTAGGTGAGCTCACATTTCTGAACTTGGAATGAGGCAATATGAGGATTCAGGTATGTCCTGGAAAAGCTGTTCCCTAAATGTCAGGGAGAGAGAAGGGAGTATTTGACTTTTAAGTACAGTAGAAAACAAGCAAATGATATAAATGGCTAATTTATAGAAGACAAAATAAAAACGAATAATAGACATTTTAGAATATTCAAACTTACCATGGATCAGGGAAATGTACATTTAAATGAGATACTATTTTTCACCCATGAAAAAGATTGACAAAAAGTTTAAAGTTTCATAATATTCAAATACTGACAGAGTGTGGGGCAGGGCACTTCTGCCCTGTAGTGGGAGTGTAAATGAGATGGAATTTGTGGTGGGCTATTTAACACTACTATCCAAAGCTTAAATATATGTGCCCTTCAACCCAACTCTTGCATTTCTGGGAGTCTACCCTGCAGAAATAAGTGCACAAGAGTCCACTGACAAGGATGTGTTCGGAGTATTGGTAAGACCACAAAGAACACCCAAATTCCCCGAATCAGGGAAGCGTTTAAATAATCAATGGTGCCTTCTTTAGAACATTTGGACCAATTTAAAGGAGTGAGGGTAGACTGCCTTGGAATAGCAGTATTTTGTTGAGGGGGAGGAAAAAGTACATTTCAGGAAAAAATATGCATTTTTGATCCTATTTTTACAGATCCGATATTTTCATTAACTAAAATGTTACATATCTGTAGGGACACTACATGCTTAAAAAACATTTGGAAGGATAATTATAACTACCATTTATTGAGCTCTTCCTTTATCCCTAGTACTTTTCCAGGCACTGAACATTATCTCATTTTACCCTCACCAACCTTATGACGTAGGTAATATTAACCCTGTTTTATAGATGACAAGACTGAATCACAGACTAAGTAGCTTGCCCAAAGCCACAAAATTATTAAGTAGGAGCATTTTAACCATTTTTAGACTATATTTCACAGTGTTTACTTCAAGGAAGTAGAAATGCAGAGGTGGTGTATAATTTTACATTTTACTTTGATCACATTTTGGAGGGCTTATAATAAGCATGTAACACAAACTGGTGCGACCTGTCCTTCTTCTTGAGGGAACAGCATAAGTCATGTCTAGGCTATTGGACGTTTGTCAAGAAAAACCTCTTTTTCATCATGAGAAAGAAAGAGGAAGGCTTAAGCACAACCTAGGTGGGTGAAGGCAAGACAAGAATCAAATTGTTCTACAAAGTGATGTGAGGGGAACTTGGGGTGAGAGTAGACAGCACGGAAAGAAGGGCTGAGACGTTCAAGAATGGAGAGAAGAGAAGAAAAAAGAGAAATAGAAGCTTTTAGCAGTAGACTTTTTAGCAGTATGGCTGAAGACTGAGGAGGAAAGACACAGAAATGTCTGATGGCAGTAATGGCAAGGGCCTCCTGAAGACAGCGACTAAATACATCAATACACGCAGAGCATTTAGGAGCAGGCCTGGCACATACTTAGTGACCTGTGTGAGTGGTGACGGTGGTGGCAATGGCAGTGGTTGCTATCAGCAGCAGCATTGTTAGTTTAAGTTATTTGCACTTTTTGCAGTTCTAAAACACGTGTGTCCCCTCCCTTCCTCCCCACTCAAAAAAAAAAAAAAAAACTTTAGTGAAAATCTGCCTTACATCAGAGCTTTTTGTTCATTTGGGAGAAAATGAAGTAAAACGTTCAGCATCCACCAAGAGGGTATATAGAGGACAGGAAGCAAGCATTCCAGTAATAAAGACACCAAGTCATAGGCAGGAATTCTGTGCATGAGATGATCAGAAGAATGGAAGCTCCTGGAAATCTTGGGGAGAGAATACTTCCCACAGAACATGGAATTCATTCTCAAACCATTACATCCAAATATAAGTTAATACATATTCAGATGGAATGGGGGATTGTAACGATAGTTGCTACAATTCATACTAGTTGCTCTGATTTGCAGCACTTGCCAATTGCTGGAGTATAAATGCTCCTGACTGGGCTGGTTTCAAGCTACCAGCACCGAAGGCAGAGTTAGGAAGAGATGTGCACCATTGGCTCTCACAAGCTGGTACAGCCAACCCCAGCATACCTCTACACGACAGGCCAGTACTAAATTTTTTACTCGAATTTTTCATTTAATTCTTTCAACAACCCTAGTAGGATACGTACCATTATTATCTGCATTGAACAGGTAAGGAAACTGAGACCAAACAGTAAGCAGGGAATGCAAGCCTCACAACTCTTTTAGTGGTGGAGTTGGGATTCAAATTCAACTTTTCCTGACTCCAAGAGCCCACATGTCTAACCACTAAGTAGACTCCATGACAGCCCAAAAACCTCATAGTTCTTGGAAGATCTTGTTTTCTCATGTGCTAAAATTCTGGAAAGTCGCAAT
This sequence comes from Homo sapiens, assembly GCF_000001405.40. Taxonomy (NCBI): domain Eukaryota; kingdom Metazoa; phylum Chordata; class Mammalia; order Primates; family Hominidae; genus Homo; species Homo sapiens. The sequence goes on along the minus strand of NC_000004.12, from coordinate 146,249,430 downwards.
GATTCTGAACTTCTTGAGCTCTGCAAAGGCTGGAGTGCAGTGGCGCAATCTCTGCTCACTGCAAGCTGCCCCTCCCGGGTTCATGTCATTCTCCTGCCTCAGCCTCCCGAGTAGCTGGGACTACAGGCACCCGCCACCGCGCCCGGCTAATTTTTTGTATTTTTAGTAGAGACGGGGTTTCACCGTGTTAGCCAGGATGGTCTCAATTTCCTGACCTCGTGATCCGCCCGCCTCGGCCTCCCAAAGTGCTGGGATTACAGGCGTGAGCCGCTGCGCCCGGCCCTCAATGAAAGTTTTAATACAGGATGTTCTGTCTTCATGTGGAGTGAGTCAAAAGCCCTACAACTCAGAAATTCCAGACAGTTGGAAGGAAAGAGCCTTGGGTTTCTGACATATATACCAGGTCTCAGAGTTCACTGGTAGTAAAAGACAACATGATGAGGAAATGGACCCTGCCCTCCACCCTAGAAATGGGTCATTTCCTTATTATCTGCTATTCTAAACTTGAAATTTTTGTAACGATGTTGACTTGTGCTCATTGCTGGAAGTCTGGACTCTGATTCTGTGTGCTCACAGAGAGCACTGCTGTCAGTGTGGTCTCCTGGGCTGGTTTTGCCAACATGGCTAGAACTTACTCAGTTTCTTTTCCACAAATAAATGTTTACCAAGACTTCCAACTCTGGGCCCCACTGCTATTGTTGTCTCATGTGTGGTGCATTCTGACAATCCCCCTCCCTCTTAGCAGCTAATCTGTCCACGCCTGAGAAGTCTTGTGCATGCTGAAGAAGAAGCAAACTGTCACTTGAAGAGTTCACTTATCTTCTTATGAAGCCAATGTGAGAATTATGTAACATCATAGGGTTGTTATTAGGGTCGAATGAGATAATTCCAGCAAACAGCTTGTTACCGTGCCTGGCAAGAACTCAATGAGTGCCAGCTATGATTGTTATTCAACAATGGATGGGCAAACCATATTGGGTGTGTGGAGTCGAAGTGTGTTGGCACATGTCAGGCTCTATTCTGCATGACTTCTAATCTATGCAAAAGATCTATTATGGTGCCCATTAAACATTACTAATCAAGTCAGGAAGTGACCAAGGTGTGAGTGTCTACTTCATTAGTTAATGAAGACACTGGATTCTGGATTTTAAGATGGCTGTAGCAACAGGCCTCCCTGGCTTCCAGCAGGCCTCCCCAAGAACACAAAGGGGCAAGTGCGTATTGAAAGGTCCTCCAGGCCCACTGTTGCTGCTTGCCTTTTCCTACCTACTGCAAAGAACACCAAGTAGAGATTTTGCCCAACTCCTCCAAATGCGCTGAGTCCAGCTGAGAACCATCTGGCAATGCGGCTGACAGACAGAGCTACCCTCATTGACTCCAATTGCCTAACACCTGTCAGAGAGGAGCTCCAACTCTGGGGCTGCTCCTAGGGCAGTTGCTTGGTGGTCACGGCCCTCCCAGAGGGCTGCACCTCCTGCTCTAATTGTGTCCAAGATGAATTGTCACCTTTCCACTCCATCAGTTGCCACCATAACCCAGGAGTGGCTGGCTGTACCCTTCCAGGCCCCCTTTTCTACTAACCCTTTTAGTGTTCCCATTTCCAGAAAATCGGGTCTCAGATCCTTCTTCCCATACCCTGTGTTCTCCCAATGGGAACATCTGAGCCATTTGCATATGTCAGCCACTTTCTGTAAACCGGCAAGACCTCCCAAATCTGTTGCCCTGAGCTCATATTTTTAATTGCATTCCGAATGTTCCCACTTGGGCATCTTCAGGCACCTCTAACCCCACATGCCCTGAGTGAAAATTCAATAACTTCTTTCTTTCCCTATGTTCCATCCTCTCCACCAGCTTCCTCTGTAGGCATAGCAACCACATGGCTCTCCTCCCCCTCAACCTTCACATCCCACTTTTTACATCCAGTTAGTCACCAAATTCTATTGATTCCATCTGCAAAACCCCTTTTTCCTCTACATCTTCTGCTTCCCACTACCACCTTCTTAAAAATACCTTTCCCAGCTATTCTTTTTTCCTGCAGTGTTGCCCCTGTCCAATTCATGAAGCCCTTTGCTGACAGTTATCAATCACCTACTATGTGCCAGGCACTCTGATAAATGCTTTACCCATTTAATCCTTACAGCAATTTTTGACATTGGTGTAATTATTCCCATTTTACAGCTTAGGATGTGGAGGGCCCATGAGACTAGGTTCCAAGTCCCACAGCTTATAAGCGGGAAAGCCTAGATTCCAGCTGGGTCTCTGATGTGGTCAACACCTGTGCTTCCCTTCATTTTACCTCTGCTCTAATTCCCAGGCTCTCTCAATGCTTCCCACCATCGTGAGACACAGGCCTTCATTTTCAAATGACAACTGAATTTCTTCACTTGCTATTGATATCACTTATCAGATTGTACCAGGTTTTCTTTGTCAACATGTCTCTTCCCCTCTAAATGATTAATTTCTTCAATGGGAGCCTCATTTTGCTTATGTCTATAACCCTGATAGAACACTTGTCTGCTAGGAGGAACTTCAATAAATGTTTAATAATGAGTTAACCCTTAAGGCCCTCCAGTTTGCTTTTCTGATTCTGGAGGACAGATATTTTCCACCTGTGAAGCACTGCTTTTGGAGAGTGGTGTGTGACTCTTAATTATCATTCAGTGAACGGGGGTCATCATGTTAATCATCTATGGATGCCCCTGAAAGGGACTCTTTTTTCATGAAAACTATCAGTATGAATAATGATGACAATTTCAACACCAGAATAGTTGACACCTGGAGAATCTAAACTCAGTATTACTCCAGACCCACACTCCTGGTGGCCTTTGCATGGGAGCCGTCTGGCTGGCCGACAGGCTGCACAGATCCTGAGAGGGTCAGGCCCTGGCTTCACAGGAGCACATGGCTTTTGGCTACACGCTAATCACACTGCAGTCCCACCGTCCCGTTCTTCTTCCACCTTTCATTTTCCATTCCCTAAGACACTAATGCATCTTCTGCTTGCCCAGGGACATCAATCACTTAGCCCCAGTGCTAAGTCAGGATCTAACCAAACTTCAGCTGCATGAGGAGAAAGCATGGGCAGATGTGAGAGAGAGTCCTGGGCTGGGAGTAACAAGGTACAGGCAGCCAGTTATTGTAAAGGGAGCCCTACATCAGGCCCTTTTACGTCTGGGTCACGGGTTCAAATCCAGCCAGGCCTCGCCTGACAGAAAATCATTACCAACTCTGTGTCAGGCTGCTTGACAGATGGGAAATGAGTTTCTGTCTCCATCCAGCAGGCAAGTGTCCACATCACACTTGGCACTAAGCAGATCTCGACTCTGTGGAGACAGAGAAGTCGTGCAAAAGTCACACAGTGTCAGGCAGGTCTCCAAGGTCGGGCTGAGTCCACATTTTGGCATCTCTGTGTGTGGGTCTGACAGCTCCCTTATCTCACCCCTTTCATGAGCACTTTATTAATCAGCCAGTTTTGGGGTTTTTTTCCCCCTTCTGAAGACATTGTTTAACAAGCAGTTTGAGGTAATGGAACAACTGAGAATATCTCATTCTGCAGCATTGAAATAAGGTCAGCCAAAATCATAACAGAAAAATATCTACAGCGAACATTTTTATCCTTGGCCCTAAATTGGGTTCAATCACTTAAGTGCCTCAAAATTTTCAACACTGTAATAATAAAGGAAACTACTTTCCAAAGGAACCTTCGGGGCAGAGTCCACCTCACCTTTCCAGTCCTTCCACCCAGTACCCCACAGTAACTCAGTCCTTCCTAGAGATGCCCAAAGGCACAGGGTTGGACTTGCAGACTGCAGGGAGTGGTAGCTCACACATGGATCTGATTCCTCAATAAACAACCTCCCTCCCAGAAGGGCCACAATGATATGGCCCTTTGCTGATATTTGCTGATATGGCAAGATAAGGACGGCTTGGCTCTGGACAGCTGATCTCATAGTGCTCTGACCAAGAGCACTCATGTGAGGAGGGCCAGCCTATTCATGCCAACAGTCGCCTGCCTGGTCCTGGAGTGTCCTGTCATGCTGCTCATCTCAGACTCCACAGTGATGCCTTGACTGAGCTCACTCCTTTACAGTCCAGAGAAACCTCAGCTGGGCAGGGCTGGGCTGGGCTGTGTTGCTGGCTATGTCCACACAGAAAGCTCGGGCTACTGAACAGGGTAGGCAGGGCAGGGCAGACTGACCTTCACCAAAAAACTCTTCAAATGAGACACATTAGGGACCTCTCTCTTCTTCCCTCCTAGAACCATCTAAGCCACCAATCTGAAGGCACTGCAAGTTTAAAAAGACCCTTCTTTCCTTCCTGTGCACCCACATCCTCAGAAAAGTATCTTCCAAACACTTACAGGGTACATTTTTTTCTTACCATAACCCCCCAGTGGGAGGAACTCAGCCACCTCTGGGTTGTTCTAGCAAATCCAGAGCATGGTTTTATTCAGCTCCACATTTCCGAACTCCCTCCCCTTCCCTGGGGCCGTGACACCTGACAGCACTCTGCAATTTCATTCTTGGCCCTTGGAGAATTTCATCATCAGAGGTGTCCTACGTAATTCCTCAGGGGAATTGCTGCAGAATGCCCCATCCTGGATCATTCCAGAAACATTCAGTCCTCCCGAGGGTCTCTGGGTCTAGACAGCCAAGCCCACTCATCAGTTTGGGTCCGTCCCCAGGGAGTTTGCAGTCCAGGGATTCCCTTGATCAGCACGGGACCGCCTGCATCTTCCCCTTTGCTGAGTACAGTGGGCAGAATAGTGGACAGGCCCTGAGGGTGTAGTGGTGGTTCCCACAGCTCTTGCGGGTACCTGGCTTGTGGGAAGCTGGCGGAGGTGTGTGGTGGAAACTTCTAAGCAATCCCTAGGAGTGAAGAGTCAGCTCAGGGAGCTCACTGTCATGTTTCTGTCTCGGGGATACCGCTTTTCTCCTCCTGTCTCTACCCACTACGCTGTGCTGGTTAGGATGGGAGCCAGTGGTCCCCTGACCTGAGCTCCATCCCACACCCTGTATAGATGAACTGAGCACGGGGGCCGCACAGAAGGGCTCCCAGGAGCACTGGCAGCAGGGCCAGGGCCTCTGCTCCTGCCTGTCTCCCCTCCCCAGCTTTCTTACTGCCCTCCTCAGGGTTTTCTGAAGCAATCTGGCAAAAGAAGTCCGCAAATTCCCCGGATGCATCTTTTCTGTTCCCACCCTCTGGCCAACACACTGGTATTATTAAAGAGAGACAACCCCTATTGTATCTGCTGCTGTTCACATCCACCAGACGTTTTGAATACAGATTCCCCGCGCAGTGAGTGTCATGGACGAGGCTCCGCATCCGCATGCGCAGCCACTGGTCCAGCATATGGCGCCACTTCCGCTGACAGGTCGAGCAGGAGCAGCCCCGTGCTCATTGAGAAAAACCCAGAACGGAGTCCAGTAAGAGGAGCGGTCTGCAGGGCACAGCTTGTGGCTCCCCTGCTGTTTGCCTGTCCCACGTTCTCTGCTGCCTTAGCCTTGAGGCCACAGAGGACCTCTTCAGGGCTCCTCCGGGTACACCTGGCTTCTCCCAAAGAGCCCTCTGTCTGCTTTGAGATGCAGCATCTAGGCTCACCCTAGACAGAGCAAAAGGGAACAAGCCGCCCGCGCACATTTCCTGAACACACAGAAGGCTTCTGAGAGTTGCTTCTCTGCTCACACGTGGGCGTGCACAGAAGGGATGCCCCCCAAGAGGGGCGGGGCGGAGAGGCAGGCTGAGGTCTGAGCGCCGGAGACCGCCCTGGCCTTCTGGAAGGCCCTGCTGCTCCCAGGGAGGGCGCCCCCTACTGGCCCAGCCCAGCACAGAGCAGCCCCTGCTACCCCGAGACCCCCACGCGTGCAAGAGGTGGCAGCTGCCTTCGCGCTCTCCAGCTTCCTCTTCTAGCTGAGCTTCTGCAAGAATGAGTAGTTCCAAGGGAAGCCAAAGGGCTTGCCTTGACATTTACAGAGCCTGTTTCCGAGGAAATGCAAGACGCAGCATCCTGTTCACACCGAGCCGCGAGTCCAGCGCACAGCAGATGCTCAGTAAAACGTGATGTAGGAGAGGTGAACTGATTGTAGCCCCAGCCCCACCGCCAGTGCTGTGGGACCCTGTTGGAATCCCTCCTCCTTCCTGGGTCTTGGTGTCCTTCTCTACAATGGGGCTGATGATGATGACACCTACACAGGGCTGTTTCCAGGATGTAATGAGGTCACTCACATGACTCAGTGATATAAACTCTAAAGGGTGACACAAATGTCAGAGATAGGAAAGTTGAGTGCTGTGTATCAAACATGCTCCAGAAATAAGGTTGTCGTGGCTACAAAGTAGTTATAATTTCTCTGTTGACATTTTTCTATTCATCAAGTAAGAAATCCAAGTTGTAGGAATTATCTCTCCTTCCCACCACCACCAATGGAACTCAGTATATCTATTTTCTTCTTGGGTGAAAAAATATATATATATATTTTTTTTTTGAGACTGAGTCTCGCTGTCGCCCAGGCTGGAGTGCAGTGGCGCAATCTCGGGTCACTGCAGGCTCCGCCCCCCGGGTTCACGCCATTCTCCTGCCTCAGCCTCCCGAAATATATATATATATTCCCCCCCCCCCTCAAATTGGGCTGTGTGGAAAAAAAAAAAAAAAAAAAAAAGAAGGCGGGGGGAGTGCTTACCACTGCCCCAGACAACCCTGGCTGCACAAAATGTGCCGTATCCTTCCAGCGCCAAGACTTGGCCTGTCTTATTTACACTTATTTACATATCGAGTGAGATCTCCATGGCTGCCTGCCTGGAAGGCCTATTTTTAATTGTGTACTCCCCAGCCACCCCTCTGACCCTTCCTGGCTCTTTTCTGAGGATTTCCGGCCACTGCTAGCTTGTGAGGGAAGAGCAGAAGATGGGACTCCACGGAGAGGATCTCAGCCAAGGCCGAATTTAAACCAGGGGTCCCTAGATCAGGACCCCGCATTCCTTTCCAAGGTGCCTCTCCTTGCCCACTAGGGCTGGCCCGAGGCGGGTGTGGGAAGGCGGGGATCTGGGCGCCCAGGCCAGCTTCACAGCTTGGGCAGCCCGCTGCATCCCATGTGGACAAAGGGATGGAGACGAGGGAAGCAGCTGCCTTCATGCTCCCCGGCTTCCTTCTGGAAGAATGAGGAATCGTTCCAAGTGGAGCCAAAGAGCTTGCCCTAAATTTTACATGGGCTTTTGTTTGTTTGTTCCTTTTAAAAACAGAAACATTTCCTAGACATAGCAATAAAATATGTATCTATAAACATTTTCCAAGACTGCCCTCTAGTGGAAATCTGGAGGCAGCAGCACATCTTACAAATCAGTGCCTTAGATTCCAAACTTCTGCATAAAGTAAGCACTTACCAGTGAGACCTCCTTCACACGTGATCTGAAAGCATATCGCATTTCTTCCACAGGACCCTAAAATGTCGCATGCCTTGACTGGAAATGAAGGCTGCCATACGTCTTTAAAAAGAAATCATGGTTTACATTTAGAACTGAAATCATAATGTTATGTGTACGATATTTTAAAACTATAAGTGCAGGGAAGTGTGTCGAATAGAACAATGGAAGAGAGCCGTTGGTTGTATCCTAGGCTGTGCATGTGTTACTGGCCAAGTGCTTTTATTTTGGCTGAGGAAGGAGCCAAGGCTGCAATAACATCCAGCCCTAAAGGCCACACACACTGCTGGGTTTTTACCTTGGAGGATGTGGGACAATGAGTCATTTGTGCCTCTTCCTGGTTCTTCCTGGCCAAGGTCAGCTTTCCCACTGGAACCAAGCAGCTTGGCCCAGGGCCCGAGCCGTCTGGAGCCTTTCAGTGGTGCAGAGCCCAGGGAGAGGGTGTGGCCCCACCCCACTCCCCCCCGGATGGCCCCAGTTCAGGCTCTGAGGCAGCCCTTGTCCACATCATAAAACATTCACTCTGCTCAGTTTGACATAAAGGGCCTCCTGGTGGAGGCCTGGTGAAATCGGCCATCCTTAATAAAGGTTCCCAGGCAGAATTCTGTGAGGAGGAAACTTGAAAGGCTTCTGATCATTATCATCCTTTCTGGTGAGCTTTGCAAAGATGACAAAGTTGTGTCTGTTTATGCTGGTTCTGATACTGTGTAAACCACTGCCACTACTAGTAGTAATTAAGTAACGACCATTCATTTATGTGTCCATTCAACAAATACATTTTGAGCACCTGCTCTGTAGCAGGCATTGCTCTAGACTCTGGCCACCCAGAGAGACAAGATTCCTAACCTCATGGAAATTACAGTCTAGTGAAAAAGTAGACAATATACAAATAATGTATCGTTTCAGGGACTATAAAGGAAAATAATATAATGAATAACAAGGGGATACCTATTTAGATAAAGTATTGAGGCAGAGTTTTCTGAAAAGTTACATTTAAGCAGCTACCATGTGCCAGATATTTACTATATTAGAGGTTAAGTATACAAAGATAAAGAAAATACCATCTGTCCTTTCAAAGACTTCAGAGCCCAATAGAAATAATAATTTCACAAGATTTCAAACAGCTGAGCTTCTAAGATCTACTGCTCACAACAAATCTGCCAAGTAAATAATGTCATCCCCATTTTATAGATGTGAAAAATGAGTGTAAAGGATATGAAAGTACTTGCCAAAAGTTGTTGAATTTGCTGGATGGCTCACTCCTGTAATCCCAGCACTTTGGGAGGCCAAGGCAGATGGGCCGCTTTGAGCTCAGGAGTTCGAGACCAGCCTGGGCAACATGGTGAAACTCCGTCTCTACGAAAAATACAAAAATTAGCTGTGTGTTAGTGGCTTGTGCCTATAGTCCTAGCTACTCAGAAGGCTGAGAATGGAGAATTGTTTGAACCTAGGAGGCAGAGGTTGCAGTGAACTGAGATCACATCACTGCACTCCAGCCTGGGCCACAGAGCGAGACTCCATCTCAAAAAAAGAAAAAAGTTGTTGAGTTCATCAGGAGCACTGTCAAGATTTGAATTAAGGCCTGTCTTACTCCCACATATTTTCTTTTCCTATGCCATGGTGCTTACTAGAAACAGGGAGACACACTCAATGAAATCCCAACATCTCTCTTAGCTCAGGGTTTTATGCAGACACACAGCACTGTCTCACATGGGTTAATGGTACGCTGCTCCACTGGTCTCTCAGCATCTGGCTGAAGGGCTCTTGCTAGAGTACAGAGTAGGGACTGAGGTGGCAGACGGGCTACAGCTCCAACCAAATACATTGTTTTACTAGCTCTCAACAGTAAGTGGTACAGAAGAAAGGCAGCTGATTTCAGCCCCTCTCGGCCTATGTCGCGATGAGATACTGAGGTCTCCATCAAACTAACTCAGACCTAAGTCCACACCCAGGGTTCCTCTTCAGCTTTCTTTCATGAGACATCTCTCATCCATCAGCTAAAGGGACAGGGCTCCTGACTCTGGGAGAAGGACATCCTTCATTTTCACAAAACTCATCTTTGACTGGACCCTGAGCAGGAGCAAGGAGGAAGAGAAGGCCACCAAAAGGGGCCCTTGACTGTTCCTCAGCCACTGGTGGAGAAGGACAACAACCCACAGCTGGCTCCGTGCAGATAGTAAAAACTGGTGGCTTAAGCCTCCTCTCCTTTGAAAGCCATATTGTCACACCGTCTATCCCAGGAAGCCAGAGGAGGAAAATTAGATCAACTCCTTGGGTGATAGCGTTGTTGATTTAGTGTCAACTAAACAACCTGAATCCAGAAATATTAGGCTATTCAGAGCAAAGGCGTGCAGCCTGGGGTCTCAGCCTCCAAAGTCTTAAGGAAAGCATTTTTGAGGGGGATAATGGAGGGACAGGTGAGAGAACAGGACTTTCCTCCTATGCAGAGTAGCTGTGCTTTGGTTGGATTTACATCTTGGGCTTCCATTAAGAGCAGATTCTTTTTTGGATAAGGGACTTCTGATGCTTGGAAGAGAGGAAAGAGATGGGTGGAGGTGGGAGGCTGGACTAACATTTGGCTTAGTGTCAGCTCTAGGGCCAGCCTTGACATCGGATGATTTTGCCACCCTGCCACTGGCCCACTCCTTAGAGGCAGGGTCCCAACCTTACTTCCTTTTGTCTCCTCAACCTCCAGTGCAAATCTGGTCACTTGGTGAGTGCTCAATCAACATTTCTGAGTGATCCCAATTCATTCAGGTTCCAGTTGAGTCTCCAGCTTAGCATGTGTTTCATTTGGTCCTTTCAGCCTAAGCCCTCCCTTTTGACAGTTTCATTTCTTGATGTTCAACCTCTCCAAGTCAGTGTTGACCAGTGCCAGAGAAGGATGGAGATAGGGCAAAGGGGTTTCCTCCAGGACACAAAGGAGGCCTTCAGGAAGCCCTGCCCATGGAAAGGGAATCATTCTGCCTCCCTGAGGCCGCTCTCTGTAGACAATTGCTAGTTCCACAGATACAACTTCCCCTTTACACCCAGGAAGAACTGGGAACATGCTGTGTGTCTACTGCTGCCAGAACAATGAGGGACAAAAGTGACTGGCAGCAGGGCTCTGGGAGGTGACCCCCTCCACAGATGCTTTGAATGGCCTAATTATGTACAAACTTTTTTTTTTTTTTTAGACAGAATCTCGCTCTGTCACCCAGGCTGGAGAGCAGTGGCACAATCTTGGCTCACTGCAACCTCCACCTCCCAGGTTCAAGCAATTCTCCTGCCTCAGCCTCCTGAGTAGCTGGGACTACAGGCGCATGCCACCATGCCTGGCTAATTTTTATATTTTTAGTAGAGACAGGGTTTCATCATATTGGTCAGGCTGGTCTTGAACTCCTGACCTCAGGTGATCCACCCACCTTGGCTTCCCAAAGTGCCATACTTTTATCTGTTACAGAAATGCCTTGTTTCCCCCATTGCCCTTTCATTTAGTAAATCTATATTCCATTTCTACTACAAGCCAGAGTCTGTGCTAGATGCTGGGGTATACAGCAGAAAATAAACATTCAAGAATTCTGGCTCTTGTGGAGTTTCTGTTCATCAGCATCCAGCGCCACAGCCTCAGCCCTGGCTGCACTTTAGAATCTCCTGGAAAGCCTTAAAAAATAGGGATGTGGATTCCGCTCACAAAAACTGATTCACTTGGACTGGGATCCCTGCAACAGTGTTTATATGAAGAGGACTTGGGGCTAGATGAGAAGGACTCTAAGAGTCTCTGGAGAAGTTTCTAGTCTTTCCAGTTGTGCAATGACCAATCTCCCTCCTTGTTCCAGGCTGGCGGAGGAAAAAGGGATGTGTACTGCTTGCTTTTTTTTTCCTCTAGAATGTTACTACAGCTTAATATGTCACTTTTATTTACTTAATTTCTTCTAAAAGTCGGACCTTGCCAACTGAGGTCTAGCGATCTGGATTTCAAAGATGCTCAACCTTTGCATTCAACTACCCTGGGCCACTAATCAGCTGTCTTTGACTTTCCCCCTTCTCGTTTAATTACTTCTCTGTTGCCTGTTCAGCAGGTCCTCAGTTTCCTTTATGGCTCTGAGAGAGCAATGACCCGCAAGTGGGAATAAGGGAAATTTCCCCTTCTAAGCCCATGCAGCATCTCTCTTTTCAATCCTCCTTACCATTTCCACTCCCCGATCCATCCTTTCTCCTGCCCCTACTCCATTCTTTATGCTTCCTCTAGATGCATCTGCCACTGGGGCATAGAGCCCTGGAGGAGAGAGAAGGCACCCTGTCACTAAGCCTCTGGGGTAGAGATTGCATTTCATGAAGCTCTCACCATCCTCACCCATGTTTGGCAGACAACCAGGCCTGCAAAATGTTTCACCAACAAGCATTACAAAGAGAAAGAAAAAAATATTTGTTTGTTTAATATCAAGAGGAGTTTATGTCCAATCCCAGAGGGTCTGAGCAAGGAGGGACTGAGCTTAAATCAGAGGGCTTGGGCTTCCATATGCCCGCCAAATCATAATAATAACAATAATAACATACTAGCACTAATGCTTGTGCTACATTTGGAGCTTGAAATGATCAGCGACATTTCCCCTGATGAGGTTAAACAGCCTGGCTCGGGGGCTGCACATTTGCATAATAAAGATCAGAAGTCACTGCCTTCTACATCTCTCCCAGCACTGGCCGCCTGGTGTCCTTGATTCAGGGACACCACATCCTAATGTACTTCCATATGCGGCCCTGTGCAGTGATTCTAATCTTTGGCTTGCATGTGAAATGTCAGCTTCTTTTTTCGTCTGGGAGAACAACAAATTATATTTTTAAATGAGAAGGTGCCGCCTGTAATGGATAATATAATCTGAAAATGCAGAGGCAACATCTGTGACCCATGGTGCTAACCTAGCAAGCTCTAGTCTATTTTTCCTGCCTATCAGTTGATAGGAAAATATCACTTTCGATATAATAATTAATCATTAGTCAAAATGTATATCCCATTGGTTCCTTGCCTCTCAGACAACCATGCGTAGCTTGACAATAAATCAGGGAAATACAGTCTTTAATATCCAATAGAATGTATTTCCAGGCACCCTCTTTCCTATATAAAGCAACAAAACACTTTGCAGAAGACATCTATCATCAGGTGAGGGGGGACGATGCTCCCAAGATGCCATCTGAAGGAAGGAAATTGCAGAGCCCACAGAAAGGAAGGCAGTGAGTTCAAGATGGTGGCTGTAAACCAATGAGAAACATCTTCTTGCCGTGGTGAGCTCCTACCTGGGATAATGTCAGTCCCTCCCTCCCTTGCTGTCTCTCCTCCCTTTGGCCCACTGCTGGGGCCCTGTCACAGCCTGGCAGGTCATGCCCAGGCCTCACTCACTATGACTGACCAGTCTCCAGTGTCCTATCATCCTCCTCATTCCCAGGGTGGCTGTAAAGTGATCACTCCAGGCCATTTTTCTGCTTGATTCCTGGCTCTCTCTGGATCTGTTGAAATATTTACAATACCTAACATGATCCAAGAGAATAAATGAGCCGCCAAGTATGGTGGAAGGAAAAGCGGATTTGGAAGTCAGGGTGGGTCGAAGGAATCTGAGGACTCCCCTAGACTTGCTTGTTGTTGGACTGACCTCTCCGTGGCCTTGTTCTCCTCATCTGAAGAAGGCGTTGTTCATGGTTTTCAATCCCTGTTTGCTGGAGCCCTGAGTTTCTGAGGCAATGGGCAAAAGGGATGCTGGGAGAAGGAAACAGGAGGGGAAGATATCCCCAAACCTCCCCTAGAGCATTCAGTTTTTTTTTGGTTTACTGACTTGGTTTTAAAAACCACTGAGTCAGAAGACCTTTAAAGGCACTCCAATTTGTAAGCCCTGTAGTTCTCCATCTCAGTACTGCCCACTCCATCCCTGGGTGTGGAAATCATGTGGGAAATGCCACTTCAGCCTGGGGCCTATAGTCACATGCCTTGTTTCCTAGACCGGTGGCTCCCCAACAGGGGTGATTTTGCCCTCCAGGGGACCTTTGTCAATGTCTGGAGGCAATTTTGGTTTTACAACTGGGGAGGAGGGAGCCACTGGCACTGAGTAGAGGCCAGGGATGCTGCTAACCATCCGGCAAGGCAGAGGACAGCCCCCAAAATAAGCAATATCCAACCCCAGATGGTGACAGCACGGAGGTTGAGAAACCCTGCGCCACATGATGTAACCTGAAGAAAAGCTGTCATGCGGAGCTTCTGAGTTGGAAAGACTCCAGTCAGCCTTCCTTCTGCCCCAGCGCAGATCGAGAGGGAAGTCTATTCTCGGTTCCTCCCTGCCCAGAACTCCCTGGAGCCTTGGATCTGAGACATAAGAGCATTTCCTGCACTGAGGACAGTCACCCATAGAACTCTTTTTAATTCACCTCTAGGAGGGAAACTTACATTGCCTGATTCCCAAGTGTTCTGGAGCTACCCAAGGTGCCACGTATTCAACTTTAATCTACACTAAGAGCTGGTGATAGTAACACGGGTATTGAACTTTTCACTTACAAATGTAACACATACCTACTGATTACTTACTATGTACTAGGAATAGTGGACTCCAAGCTATGTACTAGGAATATAGCAGTGAACAAAACAAAGTCCTTGTCTTTATGAAGCATCTGTGTCTGGGGAAGGCAGAAAATAAACAAACACAGATAAATATATGACTCAAGTGGTTATAAGTGCTATCAATATTATTAAACAGTGTAGGAGGCTAGGTTGATTAGAGGTTGCAATGGTCAGGAGAAGGCTCTCTGCTGAGGCAGCTCTAGAAGAAAGCTCTGAAGGCTGGATGCCTGGGGGAACAGGGTTCCAGACAACAGGAGAGCAAGGGAGCTGCACAGAGCTTCCCGGAGAGCTCAGAGCAGCACAGTGAACACACAGGAAGAGGGCAATGTCAGAGGGCCAGCTCTCGCAGGACATAGCCCAATCAGATGTCCATATTTTATTCTGAGAGAGATGGAAAACCATTAGGGAATTCAGAGACAGCAACATGAACTGATTTATGTTTTGAAAGCAAAAAATCTCTGGAATACATCTGACAGGCTGTAGTTGTCCTGGTGGCCTCAATCGTCATGGGTAGAACAGGAGTCTCAAAACGCTCCCATTTTCTTTGTGAATTTAAAGAGCAGAATAAACAACCAAACCACTAGTCTTCCTTTTATCACTAATGTCTTCCTGATATGCTAAACCAGGAGCCAGAGATGACCACCCCTGGTTTTGCACCATGCCAGGGCAGATGGAGCAGAGTGCTCAGAATACTGTAAGCCTGGAGAAGTTCTCAAGTTTAATAAAACAAGTTAATGCAAATTAATTTCACTTGAATAAAAGAAGTTTCTTGCTACTTTTAGAAGAGGGATAGGCTGGAGTGAAATGAAATCAGAACACGCAGTCTGTGTCCCAGAAAGGCTAGGATCACTGATTAATACTGGAAGTCTGAAACAGGGAGAGGACATGGCCATCATCTGAAATTTATTCATAAATTGCCAGCCCTTCCCAGATAACTTGCAAATAAAGTGTGACCCATGTCTAAATATTTACTGGTTTGCTGACTTTTTTTTTTTTGCTAATTAATTTTTTTTTTTAAGGAAAACAAACAGCATAACAGCAAATTAATGCAGATAGCCTCAACAGTGGGACAGCAAGCCAAGCTACAGTAAAATGTTAAGTTGTACTTTACTAAAATTCTATCTATGGGAAAAAATCAATTGAAAATATCAAAAATAGTCTCTGAATATAAAAAGATTAAGGCTACCACTACCCATGGTGTGTAGTTATTAAATTAGCACTATAGATATAAAAGCATTAGTTTAAAATATAATAAGTTTTCAGCAATTATTTATCCATCATTTTCCCTCAAATATGTGTTTAGCCGCATACCTTCTTTCCTCCAAGAAGAGGTTGGCTGAGCAATTTTGTAGCTGTTCCTACAAAACACAAAAACTATTTTAAGATGTTGTATTTGAGTCCTTTCCCTTCTTTTTTTTTTTTTTTCTTTTTACTTTTAATGGCTTTATGCTTTAGTAAGAGCTTTCAGGTTAAGTTAACACTTCCTACTCATTCCCCTCTGGGGCTTCTGTGAAGCTTAGAGGACCTTCACGATCACTTATGTAGTTTGAGTATAGGCCCATGGACTCCAGCTGCCCTGGCCAAAAAAGAGTCTAGTCAGAATGCTGCAGCAAAAAATTATCTGATACGTGGTAGGAATTGTAGCCAGTGACTACCATGACAACTCGTGTGGCCTTCAAGTGACTGGGCCAGGGAAGTGAGGTGGGAAGTTTGCTTCAAGAGAAGTTGTCAGCCGGGTGCAGTGGCTCACGCCTGTAATCCCAGCACTTTGGGAGGCCCAGGTGGACGGATCACAAGGTTAAGAGATAGAGACCATCTTGACCAACATGATGAAAATCCGTCTCTACTAAAAATACAAAAATTAGCTAGACATGGTGGTGCGTGCCTGTAGTCCCAGCTACTCAGGAGGCTGAGGCAAGAGAATTGCTTGAACACAGGAGGCAGAGGTTGCAGTGAGCTGAGATTGCACCACTGCACTCCAGCCTGGTGACAGAGCAAGACTCCATCTCAGAAAAAAAAAAAAAAAAAAGGAAGAAGAGGAGAATTTGTCATAGAAAGAAAGTGACTTCGGTGGCTCACGCCTGTAATCCCAGCACTTTGGGAGGCCGAGGCGGGCGGATCACAAGGTCAGGAGATCGAGACCATCTTGGCTAACACGGTGAAACCCCGTCTCTACTAAAAATACAAAAAATTAGCCGGGCGCGGTGGCGGGCGCCTGTAGTCCCAGCTACTCGGGAGGCTGAGGCAGGAGAATGGCATGAACCTGGGAGGCGGAGCTTGCAGTGAGCCGAGATTGTGCCACTGCAATCCGGCCTGGGCTAAAGAGCGGGACTCCGTCTCAAAAAAAAAAAAAAAAAAGAAAAGAAAGTGACTTTTTTTCATGATCACAGAATTTCTCTAAATGGGCTACACGTAAAGACAGTGTTGCAGCTTCAAGATAATATTAATGACAATGGTATGTCAGTTTGGTTATGGATAGCTAAATATTGTGTATGCATTCAATCTTTACATCAACCAAAAGAGCTGAATGATTTTGTGATGTCCTTTTCTCTGATGAGGAAGATGAGGCTCAGAGACCTGGCTAACCCTTCTGCATCACTTTACTGTTTTGTATAAGCTGGAAGTCCAACTGGAGAAGAGAAAAATACCGGACCCTGAAATCTGGAGACTCCTCTCACCTCCCTCATCACCCAGGGATGAATGGCATCTCTTCAAGTCTCACACAATCCCCCCATGGCAGATCAGCAGTCTAAGCAGAAGGGCAAGTGAATTAAAGATGGCTGCAAATCCTCTGTCACTTCTCCCATCAAAAAGTGAAATCTGTTGCCCTTCCTTTTGAATAATGAGGGTTGGTCCTGTGACTCACTATGACAACTTCCAAGGGCTAGGTCTTAAGAGATATGCAGCCTTTGGTTTTGTGTGCTTGGCACACTTCCTCTTGGAACTCAGCCACCATATGGCATAAGAAGACGCAAAGAACAGAACCATATTGCTTCCCACATTCTTCAGCAGACCCATTTGGGCCCTTAGCTGGCAGCCAACACCAACTGCAAGCCATGTGAGGGAGTCAACTAGGCTGCCCCATCCCATTCATTAACACTGAGAGCAGAAGAACTGCCCAGCTGAGCCCAGGCAACCCCAGAATCATGAAAGATGATAAATGGTGGTGTTGGTGGTGATTTTATTTTCAACTACTAAGCCTAGAGGTAATTTGTTCACATCAATAGACAAGCAAAACAGTCTGTTTACATAGGAAAATTCTCTCTTAGACAGAAAAGATCTAAAAAAGTTTGCATACATGGTGCATCTGGCTCTGATGTGATGTGGCCAGATGAAAGCTCTCCACTAATGGGGTCCCTTGTTTGCTTCTTGGGGAGAACGTCTTTTAGAGGGCTAGACATACAGAAGGGATATCTGTGGCCTTATTAGACTACAGTACTTTTGTTTCTTTCCACAGTATTCCTAGAACACTTTCATTTGTGAATGCACAAATTACCTAGGTCTCCATGCATCTAATGGCTGAAGCCAGGGAACAGAGCTACCTAGCCCAGAATCCAGGAGGAGAGAGTCTTGGAATTGATGACCAATGAGCTAAAGCGAGGTGTGGAAAAGGCAGGAGCTGTCTCTTTCCTGAACACTCAATTTTTAAAAATTGTTAAATTGAGGTATAAGGAAAGCCTCATTCTCCTTGGAAAGCTACTGAACTTATTCCTCATTAAATTTTTGTGAGAGTTAAATGTGAAGATATACGCAAACTACTTAGCACAGTTCCCGTATGAATTAGGTGTTCAATAAACAAATATCCTTTCCGAATTTGTAGTGATTTTTGTTTCTGCATTAAAATGATGACTCTATAATAGGTTTCACTCTGAAAAGGCAGCTAATTCCTATGTGCTATATTAGGTGAGCATATTTAAGAGTTATATTCAGATCTGTTGTTTTGACCTCAGATAGTATCTGTGGAGCCACTGTTAAATCAAAGCAATCTTCATAAGGTTATGAGATCAGGTAGATGACCTTCATCCATGAAGCTTTCTTCCTGATATTCCCTGAAAAGACAAGTAAAGACTGTTCTTCAAACTATGCTGGTATAATAATGTTTTTCAGCCTGACCTTTGGCAAAAGGCACTATGTCTGCTAGCTGTTGGGATACACGAATGTTTCCATCAAGTGTAAATGGATGGGAGGTCTCAGATCCATTTACACCTGATGAAAAGGCTTTCTTACCCCACTCTGGTGTTTACGGCCTTGTGTTGCATGTATATGTTTTCCTGAAGATGTGTTCAATCAAGCTCTCAAAAACTTTCCTGACTTTGGATCAATTTCCATGGCGGATTTGCCAGGCTGCTGAGTTGCCCAGAAGACCAAATACCCTTGCATTCACCTAGTCATCCAAATCAGAACTCTAGCAAGTTGTTGAATTCAGTTTTGAAAAGAAAACTTCTTTGGGGGTGGTTTAGGAAGGCAAAGTGAGAGCTGCAGTTCTTTTTCTTGCAGGAGACACAACCCAACATTACTTTTTTTCCCCAAAGAGTTAGAAGAGATGAGACACTAAGGAGGGACAGTATTTTTATTTCTATGGCTTCCTTACCACAACAGAGGAAGCTTAGTGGCCACAGGGGTCTAGTTAATGAGCGGGTTATACAATATTCATTGTGTTGAGTTTAAGTCTTCAAACAGAACGTCTAATTGCAAAAAGAAAGAAGGAAGCCCAATTACAGATGTTAAGACAACAAAGCTCAGGAATAACTCCCTCTGTTGATGAAAGTGTCCTCTCCCGGGTTCCTCCACTAACTGCACATTGACAGAGGCACAATGAGTCCCTGTCTTCATCAGTTATTCTCATTATCTCTGCTCTGTCTGGGACACTCTCCAGGGCCCAAGGAGGGCCACTGAGAGGTCTGGGGTGACAGTCTTCTCAGAGGACTGTTTTCTTGCTACCCACAGAAGGAGTGATCCAGTTGTACTCTGCTTGAACCAAAACAAAACTGTTCTCCCCAATCTTCCTGACGTGCACAGTCTCACCACTGTTGCTCCTGGCAACAGCATCCGAAGCGGGCTCACTGAAAGACACTTCTGTCTGCTGGTGGCAATACTGGGTGTGCAGGTAGCGAAGGCCAGCGGCCAGGGCCATGCCCAGGGTGGCTGACAGGCAAAGCAGAATTCCCAGCTGAGGAGTTCTGAGCTGGATACCCAGAGGGGCCTGGGCTCCCTCTAGCCCAATGTCAGGCCGTGGGTTGGTCTGCCGAGGGTATCCCACTCCACCCTCTCCATTTCCCTTCCCTGCTCTGAGCTCCTTGTGCTTTGACTGAGGTAAGAAGCTGGCAGAGGCCCTGGATGCCTCTGACTGGTCACCAGCAGCAGGTAGCCCAGAAGTGCCAGAGGTCTGGAGGACAGGGATTGGGTTGCTTGCCCTGACCCCATTCCCTGTGAAAGTTTCAGAGGACCAGAGGCACTGGGGATAGGTAAGCTGGACGGTGGACAGAGGAGGCTGTGTCACGGTCCTGTTAGAGGCCTTCGTCTTGTCCTAGAAAAACAAAGGGAAAAAAGAGTCAAAGGTACTGGTCTTCCTCCTAAGCTGCCACTGAACTTTGTAACTAACTGGGGTTCCTTAAAGACTCCCAGGAGGCAGCTAAAAACCCAGTCTCTTTCTTGCTACTAAAGGAGCTCAAAGTAAAATGCCCAACTAGATACAAATGCACTTGTTATTGATGGGGATGGGGTAGCTAATGGAAACCCCACAGAGAACAAGGAAGCCAGTTACAAGAATAAGCTTAGGGTCCTTTAAGTGGCTTCCAAACCAAAATATCAATGGGTGATTGCATCATCTTCTATGGCTGAGAGATTTGAGTGTGTCTTCTTATGATAGGACCCATGCAAGAGGGACCATTTAACCTCACTGTAGGTTCTGAGAAATGTAAGTAAGAACATTACACCTTGTTTTATTTTGTGTTCCTTCTAAGACTTCAAAGGAATAGTAAATCAGTGGGCATTTATATTTTATATTGACCATTGATCTAACTTCTGGGACCATACATGGCATTTTGAGGTCAATGTTATGAAGGAGGGATAGAGGAGGAGAGAAGAGAGTAATTATTAACTGTGGCTAAGTGAGAAGACAAGTCACTAAAACATCAATTTCTACAATTGCCGATCACTTCAGAGACACTGCATATAATGGAAAGGTATTGATTAGTAGAAAGACACTGTGTGTATATTGTACTTTGCCTTCTTCTCTCTAACTTTGGCTACTAGTCTAATAGCTCTGATTTCCCAGCCTGAAACTGACCATTCTAGGATCAAAATACCAGTCACAAGCCCACTTCACAGTTCAGGTTCTTACCTGTTCACCCCCATCTGAGGACAGGCAAGTTTCCAGTGAATCAAAGCTGGGATCATCCTGAGTTCTAAAGGGAAGAATGGAAGGGCTGAAAACAGGTCATTAAGTTTTGGACCAAAAAGCAATGTTTCCTACCACAGTTGTGTATGCAGATGGCAACAGATTCACTTGAAAAACTTCTGATTTTGGAGTCAGGAACCATAGAGAAGAGGAAGGGGAGAGATGAGTGAGAATGGTGGCAAAGAACTCACCAAATGCTGTCGCTTATTATTTTATATAAAATATACATTTCTATGTTGTTATTATAAATATATTTAAAATATAAAAAGTCACTTTTAAAGTTTTACTTATAACAGCACCTCAGAGATCTCACCCCATCCAAGAAAATAATTTCCCTGGGTAATTAACATACCCAGTCCTTCTGACAAGTAGCCCTGCTACATCCTGGGTTTTTCACACACTTAAGAAAAAATATGGCTGAGATCTTTTTTGTCAGACTCCACATGATGCACTCCAGTGTTCATCCTAGTCCCATCACCTGTCCTGAATGGCCCACCCATCACCCTTACCTGTGATGGGTGCTAAGGCTGGAAGCAAAGCTCTCTGAGGAGACTCTCTTGAGGGCCACGAGCCTCTCCAGCCTGTGGACCTCCAGGGACGGCTCTAGGGTGGGATTGCTGTCCCCGCTGGGTTGCTGGTTGATGCTGCCTTCAGTGGCTGTGTGTGAAGATGGTTGGGACAGAGTCTCTGCATCCCCAGGAAACTTTGTCACCCAAATACTGGCAGGAACAGGATCTAGGTTGTCCTCCTCTGCAGCTCCAGGAAGGGCAACAGCAAAGACATGTGTGTGCTGCTGTGGAAGAGTGATGGGGGTCCTGGGAGCTAAGCAGAGGTCCAAAGACAGCGCAGAGTGAGTGAGAGCATTTTCCCCGCATCGATTGTTACAAACAGCTATGATCAGGGGTAAACAGCAGTGACTCTAATATGCCTCAAGGAGAGACCATTAAGTGTGAGGCACTTAAAAGTGTCAGCATAAAGATGACCTGCCTGATCATACAAGCCCCTGACCACGCAAGGGCTTATATCTTTTTAGAGAGTGAGTCCCTGGCCTGTCTGGGCTTGTACCTTCTTAACAGCCACCATTCAGGGAACACAGAAAGCACTGTGACCACCATATTTATTTCACCTCTGCCAAAAACTGCTTCTAGCTAGAAAAAGGAGTGAAATCCCACAAATCAAGACTTTTCAAAGCCCTAGATCTTTCTTGCCCTAATATTAACACTCAAAGTTTCTTTCTCTGGTGATAATGACTTGAACATCTGCTATGAGAAGAGACGAGATCACTGCCCTTCAATGCCCTCCACCATCTAATTTCCCATTTGTGACTGGCTAACCTGACAGCCCAGAGCATGAGAAAGAGCTTCACATGGAGCAGCAAGCAAGCAAGTGCAGGTTTTAGAGTCAGATTCTTTTCTGGGTTCAGTCGTCCACTAATTTCTGGCTTTGGGGAAGTCCTCCCAGAGCATTAGTTTCTTCATTTGCAAAATGAGGCCAGCATAGGATTGCTGAGGGGTTGACATGAACTCATTGAGGTGGAAGCGTGAAGCAGGTGCCTGGCACACAGGTACACAGGCAACATGCACAGAGGGTTTACCACAATGATGATGAGGATGACATGATGGCATTGACCAAAACAGTGTTGGCAGAAGTTTCTCTGGCCAGGGCTCCAGGTTCTTTATGGGGGTGGAGGAGGTACCCCTTTGCTCCAATGTTTTTAACACTCAAAAACGTTGAGGTGAAGAATAAAGCAGCCTAGCCCAGACATACAGAACATGGCAAACTGATAGTTTCAAATTCCTGCCTGAACTCTAAGAGCATTTGGATATTTCCTGCAGACCCGCTGTGTGCTGGGTATTGTTATAGTTGTTGGAGATGCAAACATAATGCAGACTTGTAATTGGTGTCCCTGAACTCAAAACTGGGAAGAGACACCCTTACATGTCAAACTACCTAAATTAATAAAGAGGCCGGGCGCTCGCGCCTGTAATCCCAGCACTTTGGGAAGCCAAGGCAAGTAGATCACCTAAGGTCAGGAGTTCGAGACCAGCCTGGCCAACGTGGGGAAACCCTGTCTCTCTACTAAAAATACCAAAGTTAGCAGGGTGCAGTGGTGCATGCCTGTAATTCCAAGCTACTTGGAGGCTGAGGCAGGAGAATCGTTTGAACCCAGGAGGTGGAGGTTGTAGTGAGCTGAGACTGCATCACTGCACTCCAGCCTGGGTAGCAGAGAGAGATTCTGTCTCAAAATTAATTAATTAATCAATTAATACCAGAGCTAAGGAAGCAATTATATTTGCCGCTATGGTCTTAATGTGCCCCCCTCAAAATTCATATGTTGAAATCAAATCCCCAATGCAATAGTGTAAAGAGGTGGGGTTTTTAGCAGGTGCTTAAGTCATGAGGGTGGAGCCCTTATGAATGGGATTAGTAGCCTTATAAAAGGGGACTGAGGGAGCTTGTTCACCCCTTCCACCATGTGAAGACAGCAAGAACGCACCATTGTTGAGGCACAGATCATCCCTCCCTCACCAGACACTTATTCTGATGGTGCCTTCATCTTGGACTTCCCAACCTCCAGAATGTAGGCAATACATTTCTATTGTTTATAAATTATTCAGTCTAGGATGTTTTGTCATAGCAGCTGGAATAGACTAAGATACTTGCCTACCAAGAAGTATAAGGAAAAGTTTCACAAAGGAGATATTTGAACTGTGCCTTGAAAGACGCAGAGAACTGTTGTGTGGAACAGTCCAGTTTGAGGAAGTGTCAGAAGGGAAGGCACTAAAATATAAAAGTAGACCATACCTAATGGGGTGGAGGAGGACTCAAAGTGTCTTGGTCTATTGGGAGATAAGTTTCAGATATACAATATACTAATTTCCCAATTTTGAAAATTTATAATTTATACTTGCCTACGAATTCTTTGTACAGTTAAGAAACCTATTTCACTTTATTAGATGAAATAAGGTGAAATAGATTTCTTAACTGTACAAAGACAAACTTCCCAGAATACATACACACACACATGCACACACGCATGCACATAAATACATACATGCGTGCACAAGCATACATACATGTTTCTTTTTCCTTTGGGAATCACTAGGGTTTGGGTAGTGGAACAAATGGGGAAGACAGGCTGGGGCCAGAAGGAGAGGAATGTGGGCAGTGTAATGAGGAGGTTACCCTGTAAACTGCTTGGGCTGGAGGCTGCAACCCCCAGCGGACAAGGTTTCCAGCGGAGTCAGGCATAGAAAGGCCCAAGGCTCCACATGACACTTCTTCCTGAAGCTTCACTTTTATTCATATTCATGTTCAAACAAACATGGTTATACTTGGGATTAAAACATGATACTTGCATCATTCATAAAATAAAACATGAGATTTCAAACATATGTCAGGGGTGCAGGGTCTTCTCCAGGCCATGGTCTCAGGCTCCGAGATCTTTACTCTGCTTTTAGGAGTGTCTTGGTGGGAAGGTTGGAGGAGTTGTGCTGGGTAATAGAAGAAGACAAAGGTTGTGGGGCAAAGGCAGAGAATGGAGGGTGGTCCCCACTGTCTCTGTACCTGGGTCTGCTAGACTGAGAAGAGGCAGGGATTCTGATTGGATTCTGGCCTTAACATATTAGCAAAGAGTAAAGGAAAGAATAAGCGAAGAGGAGAATGAATGGATTAAGGGTAGGGTCTTGTGTGCATGTGTCTGGATGCTTTTACGAGTGCTTGTGTTCATAGCACTTAACTAGAAATAAACAACAAAAAGGAGTTCCATACCACCAGGGATTTTCAGATAGGTCAAACAGCCTCTAGCTGGCTAGTGGTTTTCCTTTGTTTTGTTGCTTTTCTTTTCTTTTTTCAGGAGTTCATGGACTAATGGAATATAAAGCCATGTAGTGAGCAAGGAAAAATCCCTTCCCATTGAAACAGTGATTCCTGATTCTGTTCTCCAACCCAGGTTGCAAAGAGCCACCTACCTACTATGAAAAGTAACAATAAAAACTGGATGCGTTTTTATGAGAAAAGACGAAGAAAAGCTCATTTCTTTTTTGTGCTCCCTGCGTAGCTTCAGGGGACTAAGGAAAACAGCAGAAATATTGTGAGGACTAGTAAATGTTGGGGGAAGAGGTGTATGCTGTTTTTTGGTATTGCAGCACAGCTCTCACTGTCCACCCTGGGGCCTGACTTAATGTGTTAGGTTGAGCCAGACAAAGTGTGTTTGCTGCAACAAACAAAGCAACTGCAAGCGTTCCCTCCCTCTCACTGCTGCGTTATCACATCCCCAAGAACTGCTGCAGTTGGCCACGGCAGGTGTTTATTGCTTGTTTTGCAGGAACAGGAAACTGGCAGTAGTAACTTTTAAGTGAAAATAGATAACTGTAAAAATAATGATGACAACCAGCCTGGCAAATACAATGACAAGCTGTACCTGGAGCAGCTCCTTCAACATCGCCCAGCCTCTGGTGAAGGTTTGGCATCAGCAATCTGGGCTCCATGCGGTCGTCAGAATGGGCGCTGCTATGTGTCTGTTGAGACACAACAGATGATTCAATCCTTGCCCAGTAAACAAAATATGACTGGACTACTGATAAACTGGGGAAAGAGAAAGAGCAGAGCAGTTCACGGATTTAGTTTCCTTTAAATAATAACTCAGGCCAGCCTCACAGAAAAGAGAGAACACACTAACAGATAAAGAGGAACAAAACTAAATAAATAGCAGAATGAGAGAGAGAGATTATATTATTACTCTTTGAGTGACTTCATTCTTTTTAAAAACAAAAACCCCATAGTTGCAAATAATTAGAATAGGAGATGATATGAACAAATCAATAGTCCTCTTGAATAAATACAGTCACTAAAAATCTCATTTTAACTAAAAAGTATCTCCTCAAACTGTTTAGACTCCAATAAAAGGTTTTATCATCAATGTTACTATTAGCCATTCCTGATATAGTTATTATGTCATGATTTGAAGATCTTATAATTCTGTTGTATAATTGTACATGTCTACCCTTATTGTAGATTCTATTGGAAATTAGAGATAAATCCTTAATATTCTAAATAATTTTTTGAAAAGCAATTCTTCAGTAAAAATCACATTCACAAACATTATGCCATTTGTTCTTCCAAATATTTCAGTAAAGGAGGGATTATTGGCAAGTGCCATTTTTCCCACTTTAAGTATTCAGGAGGCAGACATAACAAGGTGATTAATTTGGCCGAAGTCACCCAGAGGCTCGAGACGCAGTGAGCGTCATAGTTCAGGCCCCCAACATGCGGTTTCCAGACTCGGCGGACATTATCGTGCGCAAGCGTTCCCGGAGGTGGGAGATCACAGGGTGACTTGGGACAGGTGTCTCATCAAGTGACTTACCTCGTTTTTTCTGTCAAATGGAGATCATAGCTTCTACACTACTTGCTATGTGGCACGCAGCAACTATGATGGTACATCCAAAAATAGGAATTGAGGTGCTTTGAGAAAGAAAGGTGACTGTACAGGTTTAAGGACTTCAAGAAGCAGACACCCTCTGCGCTGCGTAAGAACCAAAGCCAAGGGCAGAAGCTGGGCACACCCACAGGTAAGCGGGCCCTGGGCCTTCCAAAGAGGAAAAATCCTAAGGCACGTGTTTCCCTTCTTGCTGTCCTGTCTGCTGCCCTGTGCCACCAGGAGGTGGGGGAGAAGGGACACCACAAGCTAGGGCCACCAACCTCCTCTCCCACTGCTCCCCAGAGCAGAGGGGAGTCCTGGAGGGGAGCATGTGAGCTGGACTACCTCTGCCTGCAGGCGCAGTCTCCTTCATATTTAGGAGGGTGTGGGGAAGAGAAACAGAAACACACACCCTTTCCCGAAAGAGAAAAATTATCTTTCTTGGTAAATGCAAGTGTCTGAAAAGAATGACAAAACAAGTACCTCATTTTGAGTACTAATGATGCTTTTAAAGTGCTTACTGTTGCCAGGAACTCTTCTGAGCGAACGTAGGCTCTCTCATCCATATACAACCCTGAGGGAGGTGCTGTGGTTATGCCCATTTATAGAAAACAAGCCAAGGCACAGAGCCTCAAGAAGCTTTTCCTGGGCCCAGGGACGTGTCCATTTGTCCATCTGCCTGTTTCTCTCTTTCTTGGCTCTCTCCTGCCTTCCCCACCGCCAGCCATTCTGTCCTCTGGTCAGAAACTCCTAGAGAGGTTGGCCAAGATTTACCTGTGCCTGGGGAGGCAGGGAGATAACACACTCTAGGCCCATGGACAGTGATGAAGGGATGAGTTTGGGGGCAATATTTTTTTTAGTTTCCCTCTGCATAGGCTCTCCAGTTTAGGCAGCATCCATGACCCTGTCCTTGCTATAAGGTGGCCACATAAGGAGGGGGAAAGGGAATATGAAGTCAGGGCAAAGAGAAGCTCCCCTCTCTCCAAAGTAGAAGGCTCAGTTTCTAAGAAACAGCACTTCACTCTCTTACAGGAACTTAATGTCCCCCACAGGCTGGGCTGGGGCCTTCCACACGAATGACAGGTTTCTCTTCAGGGACTTGTCAGAGTGGGTGACTGCATCAGCCTCTTGAAAACAAGTCATCAGTTTGGAATGAGGAGGAATGA
Source organism: Homo sapiens (assembly GCF_000001405.40). NCBI lineage: Eukaryota > Metazoa > Chordata > Mammalia > Primates > Hominidae > Homo > Homo sapiens. The sequence continues at coordinate 146,222,443 of NC_000004.12, read as the reverse complement.
GAACGAAAGTGCCAGCGATTTGATGATCGGACACTCTTCGAGCCTGAAGGAGAAATCCCATGAAATCACGACTGCTTCTCACTGTCACTGCAACAAAAACACCCGTTCAACATGAACACGTGTGACTTAGTTCCGTGTGGTGATTTTATGCAGCTTTTTTCAAAACTAAAAGCTTAAGATCAGCCCCCAGAAAGTGAACAATTCATTAGAGGGGGGTAAAGTTGAAGTCCTATTTCACACCAAAATAAATTCCATTTGGATCAAAGTTATGCGAAAATGAAATAAAAAATAACTAGAAACTTTTTTTCTTTTTATAAATATTGGATTTAGAAATACCTCTCTGAGCAAAACCCAGCTGCCATAAAGGAAAAGATGAGTAAAGTGTGCTATACTTTTTTAAAATATGAGTTTAGGTGAACCCTGGACAGATGATTAAAAAAAATTATTTTCCAAAAAAAAGTATTTGTAAGACATAAAACAGACAAATATTCATTGTCATGGTGAATTCATAAAAAGATGACTGCCTCAAAATAATGAAAGGATACAAACAGAAATAAAAAAAGCTTAGTAATAATTTTTTTTTTTTGAGACAGAGTCTCGCTCCGTCACCAGGCTGCAGTGCAGTGGCACGATCTCAGCTCACTGCAACCTCTGCCTCCTGGGTTCAGGCGATTCTCCTGCCTCAGCCTCTCGAGTAGCTGGGAGTACAGGCACGCACCACCACGCCCAGCTAATTTTTGTATTTTCAGTAGAGACAGGGTTTCATCATGTTGGCCAGGGTGGTCTCGATCTCTTGACCTTGTGATCCGCCCTCCTCGGCCTCCCAAAGTGCTGGTATTACAGGCGTGAGCCACCGCATCTGGCTGCTCAGTAATAATTTTTAAAGCAATTATACATGAGATATTATTTTATACCTTTCATATTAGCAAATGTTAAAATGTGTGGTTGTAAGCAGTCTTGATAAGACTATGGAAAAACTAGGGCATTCATTCACTAGTGCTGGAACTATAAACCATCCAACTTTTTGTGGTGTAACCTGACAACATCTTCCACATTTAAAATGCAGTTACCCCTCTGATACATGCTACCTTATCAGTTAGCCCTGAAAACATAGTAAGTAAAATAAAGCCAGACCCAAGATGACAAATATTGCATTATTCCACTTATGTGAGGTACCTAGAGCAGTCAAACTAACAGAGATGGAAAGAAGATTTAAAGTTATCTGGGTCTGGGCATAGGGAAGGATGGCCAGTACAGAGTGTCCATCTGGGATGATGGAAAAGTTCTGGAAATGGATAGTGATGATGGTTGTACAACAATGTGAATGCGCTTAATGCCACTGAGCTCTGTACAGCTATAATGGTAAAGTTTATGATATATGTTTATAAACACAATAAAAGAAATGCCCTCCAAAAATCATTACTCTTTGATCTAGAAATTTTGCATCTAGGAATTTTCCCCACTGACAAACTTGCACAAATAAATATGGCAAACACTGATGTCCAATACCCAACAGCGATTGTCCGCTTATTCCCTGCTAGCAGAACAGATGGTTCTGCTAACAGAACCCAGATGTTACATTCATGTGGAAGTGGAGACCACCTGTCTTCGGGGAAGTTAGGCCTCTCCTTTTCCCCAGGGGATGAACTGTGATTAGACTAAAACCAGTGTTGGTGATTCTGTTCCCCTTCACCAGATAGAATTCTGGCCAATGAGGCCAGATCTGCTGAGAGAACAGCTAATGTCTAAGGATCAATCTTTTCACGTAAGGCCTTTATTTCAGCTGTCATCCCAGTATGAGGCCTAAAACCATGGCACTCATCCTGAAACTGTGCGATGTCAAAGGAATGAAATCCCAACTCGCTGATGATGGCGGAGCAGGAAAATCGAAAAATCTTAGGATCTAGATGATGTCATTGAATGGCTTCACCCAAAGCAGAAACTGTGCCTCCACACTTAAGAGAGAAAATTAAGTGTCTTTATTCATTAAGTTTCTGTTAATCAGTTTTTCTGATACTTGGAACTAAAACAATCTTGATGCATACAGTGAGCAAAGACATATGAATAAAGATATCCATCAAAACCATTTATGAAAAAAATTTAAAAAGTAAATACCCATAAATAAGAAACTGGTTAAATCAATCATGCGACCTCTAGACAATGGACTGTCATGAAATCATTAAAAACAAGCTCTGTGGCTGGGCACGGTGGCTCACGCCTGTAACCCCAGCACTTTGGGAGGCTGAGGCGGGTGGATCACGAGGTTAGAAGATTGAGACCACCCTGGCTAACACAGTGAAACCCCATCTGTACTAAAAATACAAAACAAAAAAATTAGCCAGGTGTGGTGGTGGGTGCCTGTAGTCCCAGCTACTGGGGAGGCTGAGGCAGGAGAATGGCATGACCCAGAAGGTGGATCTTACAGTGAGCCAAGATTGCGCCACTGCGCTCCAACCTGGGTGACAGAGTGAGACTCTGTCTTAAAAAAACAAACAAAAAAACAAACAAAAAAACAAAATTCTGTATCCAATAAAATATATCAGTCTGATTGTTAGGTAAAAAATATAAACATTAAACAGACATTTAATTTGTGTCTGCTTAAGATTATATTAATTTGAGATCTCACTCACATATGCTTAAATGCATGGAAAACTTCTGAAAAGAGGTGCAAGAAACTTAACAAAGGTTACCTCTGGGGAATCAAATTGAGTGTTCAGAGCCAGAGAAGGAAAAGTACTTTTAATTTTCTACCTTTTGATAGTATTCTAACATTTTTAAAGCATGTAATATCTTCAAGCTATTTAAAATTTTTTTTAAAAAAGCCACTCATGTTCAAGGGAATGAGTGGCTAAAATCAGGGTCAGACCTTTATAAGTTTGCTAAATGCAGCTTGGTGTCTAGGATTGTTTTATTTTCCACACATTTGAACTTTTCTTAATAAACATTTGAACAAATATTTAGAACTATTGAACACCAAGCACTATGCTAGGAGTTGAGTATGTATCTATGAGCAGGATAACATGGTCCTTACCTTCAAGGAGCTCACAGATCCCGGCAAGAAAACAGTATACTTGCAACGTAAGTCAGTAATAACTGACTCTCATTGAATCCATGAGGCACTCTGTCAAGTCATTTATTACATATGCTGTCTTGGTTCCAGTTACAATCCAATTGTGTTTCCCTCAGGATACCTTCAGAATTTAGGTATCACAATATTTTTAGTTATTTCTGCAGATTTTTCTCACTGACATAGTGGTTTTTTGGTTTGGGGTTTGTTTGTTTGTTTGAGACAGAGTCTCACTTTGTCACTGTCACCCAGGCTGGAGTGCAGTGGGGCTATCTCAGTTCACTGCAACCTCTGCCTCCTAGGCTCAAGCAATCCTCCCACCTCAGCCTCCAGTGTAGCTGGGAACACAGGGTACAAGCCACCATGCCTGGCTAATTTCTGTATTTTTTTTGTAGGGACAGGGTTTTGCCATGTTGCCCAGTCTGGTCTCAAACTCCTGAGCTCAAGTGATCCACTCACCTTGGCCTCCCAAAGTGCTGGGATTACAGGCATGAGCCACCATGCCTGGCTGACATAGTGTTTTGATTCTTACCGTTGTTATTCCCCTAGCCACAGAACACTAGGATACTGACATACCAATCCCTTCATGCTGGGAGGGGCTGGATGCACTCTAGGGTGGATGGAGCCCCCAAAGAAGTGGCCTTCCTTGGGGAGCCTCTTGCATTTGCCCCGGTGTGCTAAATACACAGACTCACTTTCTGTGTCATGATGTGACAAAGTTTGGGAAGCTCTATTAGAATAGACTTAATTCAGTATATTGGGGAGTATATTGATGTTGAACTCATATACTATCCACCCATGTTTTTTCACACTTCTCAAGAGAGCGAAATGAATGGGTAAAACAATATTTATAGAGTAAATTTCATTTTTGTTTATCACCTTTAGTTCCTATCAAAAGAATCAGCAAAAATCAAGAGGGGTTTAGGGCAAAAGTTGCTGATGTGTTGGAGCTCACCTTGGGTGCATAGTTCTCTGCCTACACTTCGTGGCATCTGAAGTATCTGTAGCTTCCTTCTCTGCTGTCCCTCACTGCCACTTCCAAGCTTGGTCCAAGGTAAGCTGTGGACTCTGAAGAGTGTGTGTGAGTTTGGGGAGTGGGGGCGGGGCATGGAGGTAGAAACACCCCTGGTGGGGGCAACCCGAAACTGGTAAGTTCCCTGCCCCTGCATCTTCCTGAGAGATGATTCAGAGGTGTTTCACATGGCTTCTCAGAGGGTCCCCACTGGAATGCACCTCGGTTGCCCACAGCAGAGACCTGCTCAGTTGCACGCCCTTGACTGGCATCTCCTCTTGCCCAGCTCCCTTTCCCTCTTCCTCACCTGTGTTTCCTGGGATGATCTCTCACATAAACCACCTGCGCTCACGTTCTTTCCCTGCTTTTATAGGCACCTAAACTAAAAGAACAGGAAATGATTTTTTCATCCCCCAATATTTTAATTTAAAAAATGTCAAATTGTATATATTTAAAGTATACAACATGATGTTTTGATATACTTACACATAGTGAAATGGTTACTATAGTCAAGCAAATTAAAATATCCATCATCTCACCAAAGTGTCTGTTGATGGATGAATTTTAGTTTTAAATAATGAGAAAAAAGTGTATTTCACACACATAGATGATACATGAAGGTTGTTCAGAGTAACTATATTTGTGTCCGTAATAAGATACATTTATATCTTATGGTAAGGACAAAATAATTATCTATAATAATATTTGTGTCTTCTTATACAGATCACAATTAATACAGAGATTAGTTATCATGTGGTTTTTATGACACAAATATTTTATGCTTATTTTTAACCTGATAATTGCTTCTTAAGATTAAGCCAGGCTGGGCATGGTAGCTTGTGCCTGTAATCCCAGCACTTTTGGAGGCTGAATCAGGAGGTTCACTTGAGCCCAGGAGCTCGAGACCAGACTGGGCAACATACAAAGACCCTGTCTCTAAAAAAAATACAAAAAATTAGCAGGGCACAGTGGCATGTGCCTGTAGTCCCAGCTTCTTGGGAGCCTGAGGTGGGAGGATCACTTAAGCCCAGGAGTTTCAGACCAGCCAGGGCAACACAGTGAGACTCCATCTCTACAAAAAACAAAAAAAAGGGATTAAGCCAAATTTAGTCCAGGAAGCTTCTGACTGGGACAAACACAAACTGGAAGGTCCATGGGGGCTCTGGGGCTCCTCGGAGTCTCTCTAAGCCTCTCTGGTACATACCTGGAATCTTGTCACCTGGTGCATAGGAAGTCCTGTGGGTGTGGATGGTGATGTGGTGGCTGTCCTGGTGCTGAGGCTGGGCTTGGATGTGCTTGGGCTGCATGTCATCACAGGCCACCGTGCTGGCACCATGGGAAAAGGCAGATGAGCAGGAAGCCAGGCAGAGGGTGGTACAAGCCCAGCCCACGAGGGCAGCCTGCATCCTCATCCTGCCCTCTCCTGTATCATGACAAACAGCAGCTTCAGTCCAGACGTTATTTAGGAAAACGACATAAAGTCTTCTCGGGATGTGACTAACCTGAACCCCACACTGCCTCTGTACCTGAGATGCTTTTAGTGCAGCCTCCCAGGATTGCTAATGTTCAAGGCCAAGATCAAAAGGAAATGCCAGGCTATAGGAAGTGTTTCATTTCCAAACACCTTTTTAAAAACTTCTGTTCTTGTAATTTTCTCATAAGACCAGACTGCTTTTTTTGTTGTTGTTCAAAAGAGAGGCTTTAATTATTGAGTCAAAGAAATAAAACCAGAAAATGTTTGTATCCTAGCGTGAGCTCCTTGCAAGCTGACTGGTACCCAAAGGCGGTGTGGCCTCTGATACATTATCTGAAGTAGACACTCAATACACCACCATGGTCAGGCAGCATGGCATGGGATGGCTTGGCTGAGCATCTTATCTCTGTTGCAATTGAAAATTACCAAGTTAAGTGCTACAAAACATCTACCAACTATCAATTATTTAGAAGTGACTGTTAAGCTGGCAATGCTTTGATATCTCTTTGCCCTTTCTTTGGCTGTTTTTAGCTATTTCACTACTTTTAGTAAAGAAGATGAGCAGAGAAAGAAATACTCAATTTATTCTATAACTTCTTAAACATACTGATAACAATTTTGGCTCAGGAATAGAATACAATGATTGAATAAAATAGCATTTATAGAGTAAATTTTATTTTTGTTTACTACCTCTAATTCCCATCAAGAGGAAGAATTAAAATTTGGCAATGTAAAAGAAGATGACAAAAATAAAATGAGAGATAGCAAACAAGGCAGATGAAAATCTGCCTACATAAATATTTAGGATTATCACAGGCATTTTTTAACAGTTCTGTTTTAGGCCAGGTGCGGTGGCTCACGCCTGTAATCCTAGCACTTTGGGAGGCCGAGGCAGGTGGATTGCGTGAGCACAGGAGTTCAAGACCAGCCTGGGCAATACGGTGAAACCCTGTCTTTACTAAAATACAAAAAATTAGCTGGGTGTGGTGGCATGTGCCTATAGTCCCAGCTACTCGGGAGGCTGAGGCAGGAGAATTGCTTGAACCTGGGAGACCAAGGTTGCAGTGAGCTGAGATCATGCCATTGCACTCCAGCCTGGGCAAAAGAGCGAGACTCTATCTCAAAAAAAAAAAAAAAAGTTCTGTTTTTTTTTTTATAGTCCTGCACACAGGCATTTTAGAAGTTTGGCTAATTTTTTGACCTAAGGAACAATGCAAGGCAAAAAAAAAAAAAAAAAAATGCCCTCCCCTGTAGTCAGCTGGTTTTAAAAGGTGAAAATAAAATCCTGAAAATGTAGTAAAACTAGCTATCAGAACAATAGACTAAGGAAATAATCCATAAACCAAATAATCAAGTGTCCTCCACTCCCATTGTCTCTTCACACAACACCACCTTTTACATTCACAAGCTAAAAGAAGACAGGAATATGATCTATACCTCAAATTTCTTAGACATAAGAGTCCTTCAGACAATGCCTTTCTTTTCTAAGTTTGTTTTCTATGAAGCACCAAAGTCACACATCTCCATACTACAAGGAACCATGGCTACAGCTTCTCAGACACATTAGGAGATAATGAAGATGAACTGTGTAAAAGCACATTCTCAGTCAAGGGGGCTCAGGGTTCTTCTCATTTTCTTTCATAAGGGCCACATACAAAATGCCCCTTGAATGCTGGGCATGGTGGTGCGCACCTATAGTTCCAGTTGCTCAGGAGGCTGAGGCAGGAGGATCACTTGAATCCAGGAGGTCGAGGCTGCAGTGAGTTATGATCACATCACTACACTCCAGCCTGGGTACAGAGCAAGACCCTGTCTCTTAAAAGAAAAGAAAGAAATGAAATGAAAATGCTCCTCAAGTCCTTGCTGATGGCAAGTGGTCTTTCCAAAGGCAGATCAGACACAGTTGCCTACAAGGGAAGGGGAGTGAGTGCCTGGACTCACAGACTACGGCCACAGCCCCACCTCCCACCCTCCTGCCTTAGGTTTCACTGTGTCTTCTTTCCCACTAGCATCTTGTCTACCTGAACCCTGAAAACTATCCACTTGGAGCTGAGCATGGTGGCTCACACCCGTAATCCCAGCACTTTGGGAGGCCGAGGCAGGAAGATCACTTGAAGCCAGAAGTTCAAAACCAGCCTGCGCATCACAGGGAGACCTTGTCTCTACAAAAATAAATAAATAAAAACATCCACTTACCTAGGAACACAGTTTTCTTCAGGCTTGATAGAATGGCTTCCTCCCGCAGAGTTGCAAACACATCCCTTAAACATAAGTATTTTCTTCTCCTTTCAGTTTTTCCTCTAATGGGGAGAATAACAGCTGCTACCACTAATCCTCAGCATCTCCAGGAACTGTTCCTCAGTGTCCAAATCCAACCTAAATCGTATTAGCACACACATACACACACACACACACACACACACACACACACGGTTTACAGTCACATCATTGTTCAAGCCTGCGTGAAGAACTAGAAAGAACCGGAACTGGTTTTGCACAGGACTGGCACTGACATCCTTGGCAGAAGCTGGATGCCTCCATCTTGATCTCCCTGCAAAGGGGAGAATGTTTGAATGAAATGCATCTCAGCATTCTTGGCTTCTTGAGTCAGTGTGGACTGAAGTTACTCTTGGTGAAATAGAATTGATACGTTAGCCCAAGAGCAACGTTTGGTACAAAAAAATAACACGTGGCATAGGCACCTCCCGTATCAATTGCACTAAAGCTGGAGTTCACATTTTCATTCATCTAAGAATCTGCTGAGACACCTGATAATACCAGAGAGCCTATAGATCAGTGTTCCTCAATGTGTGGTCCCTAGAGTGCAACACCAGCATCACCTAGAAGCTTGCAACATTAACAATGAAGAAAAAGAGAGAGGAATGGATTTGGGAGATCAGGAGATCAGGTGGAGGTAGGATTTGGTGGCTGTTTGAATGCAAGGCGTCCAAGAGAGAATCCTAGGATTGATAGTCCTGGGTGATGTGGAGTAGGGGGCTGCAGAGAGAGCAATGTTCTGACTGTTAGGCCTTGTCTCCACTCAGAAAAAACTAAAGCTATGAGTGACTGAATAGGCAAGGCACTGGCTTAGGGACCAGGTTGCTAAGCCTTTTGTTGCAAGTGTAAATGAGACTATCTATCCTATAAACACCAAGGGAAATTGGGCTTCCTTGGCCTAGGATACCAGTATTCCCCACACACAGAACAAAAGCAAACAAATTCAATTTGGTTTCTCTAAGCTTCTATCCCACTAGGATTGGAGGCAATCTCAATCTCCCACTGAGTCATGAGAAATTCTGGGAGGTCTAGAAAATTAGGATACATTCCTTCCATGGCTGCTGTTATGATAGTTTTCAGAGCTCATGTGGTCACTTGAAGACTGTTAGTTGGAAGGCTTCTATGCCAAAAAGGGGCTCAGGTCTTCAGCAAGGCTGTGGCCTGGGTTCTTCCCACCCCCTCCACTGGGTCCTGACACAGATCTCTGCCCCTAGCAGGAGAGTGGCTAACCTCTTCTCCACTCCACTCTGCTCCTATCCCAGTCTTAGAGACAAAAGTGTCCCTCCTCTCCTTTTTTTTTTTACTCTCACCCCATTACCCTGGGCCACCTGGCATAATCCACCTACCACAGGTAGAGTGGTAATCTCCAACACCTCAGCTTTGCCCCTGAAACACAAACTCCCTGGATATACGGATTCTCAAAAGGCCCAACTACCAATTAGAATGAGGAGAGGAGTGCAAAGGTAGAGAGAGCGCACCTGCATGGCTCAATAAATAATCCTGCCATTTGCTCATGTAATATTTCTTGTTGAAAATCAGGAGGACACCATATCTTAGACATGGCCTTATCCTGCCTGCCACACCCACAGCCTCTGCTGAGCCGGCAGCGCATCTTATGCCACTCTCCCGACAAAGCTGATTGTACCAGGGGGGCATTCATCACAGGCGAGGGCCCTGCTGACTCAGGGCTGAGACAGAAACTCTCCCTGGGAATCTGACCAAGAACACATACAAGGCTACTCTATACGAGTGCTGGCCAATAGAAATAGAATGCAAGCCACATATGTAATTTAAAATTTTCTAGGCCGGACGCAGGGGCTCACGCCTGTAATCCCAGCACTTTGGGAGGCCAAGACAGGCAGATCACCTGAGGTCAGGAGTCCAAGACCAGCCTGGCCAACATGTTGAAACCCCATCTCTACCAAAAAATACAAAAATTAGCCAGGGATGGTGGCACGTGCCTGTAATTCCAGCTACTCTGGAGGCTAAGGCAGGAAAATTGCTTGAACCTGGGAGGTGGAGGTTGCAGTGAGCTGAGATCTTGCCATTGCACTCCAGCCTGGGCGACAGAGTGAGACCCTGTCTCAAAAACAAACAAACAAAAAAATTGGACTCTCCTTATTTTTAAAAAACGTGAAAAGGAACAAAAGACATTTGTTTTAATAATAAATTTAGTCAATTCAATATATTGAAAACATTTCACATGCAATCAGCATATAAAATATCATTAGTGAGATATTTTGCATTCTTTTTTTCACAGTAAGTCTTTGATATCCAGTGGTATTTTACACTTACAGCACGTCTCAATTCAGACTAGACACATCTCAAGTGCTCCGGAGCCACATGTGGTAAGCTGCTACCATATTTATCAGCGCAGGTCTGTACAAAGGAAGGTGGTTGAGCCATAGGTCATGGTGTGGGGTCAGACCTGAGGCCGTATTGTACCACGTGCAGGATGTGTAAGAGGCATTGAGGGGACAGGATAGTAATTAAACATAACAGCATATTTATATAATGCCTGCACAGTACCACACACTATTCTAGTCAGCTAGTTGGCAAATTACCTCATCGATACAGCAACACAATGAGGTCTGCACTATTGTTATCTCATTTTATGGATAAGGAAACTGAGTCACAGTGTTTCTGTAACTTGCCAAAAGTTCCCACAGCATTCAGGAAGTGATAGATAAGGTTTTTCCCTACAGTTTTGCTATAGAATAGCTTTGTAACATAATCTACAAGATGAAGATAACTACCAGTTCCTGTACCTGCATCCCGAAGTGCTGGTGAAGTTTCAGTGAGGTAATAAATAATAAGGAGTTGGTACTTAGTATGGGGTTTGAGACAAAGGAAGGGCTCTGTACCTGTTTTGTCTGGGGAAAGAGAAAGCTGGCTGAGCCACAGAGAGGGTTGGTGCCCACCACGGAGAGGAGGCGGTGAGAGAGTGTGGCTCTGAGCCAGATCATGCGCTAAGCCCGAAGCCCGAGAGACAGCAGTGAGTTGGCCTCCAATCCCCACCCACATGAAGGAGACCCAGCTGTGTGCACCCGGAAAGCAAGAAAATACTGTGTTTTGTTTGTTTGTTGCTTTTATTTTGGGAATCTGCTTGAGGTCATTTCACACTAGCAATTTGGCTGGACTTGATATATTAACATGATTGAATCTGTTACCTTAACATCCCCTGGCCCTGAGTAGAACAGTTAATATTAACGTCATACCAAGGGAAAGTCTTGGGGTGGGTTTTATGGTTATAAATCAGATACTCTGTGTCCTTCGGTAAATCACTTAACTTCTCTGGGTTGCCTCAGGTATAAAATAAAAAGGTTTGAATTAAATAATCTCTTCTATTTCTTCCAGCAAGAAAATGATACACATTTTCAAGGTTTTATTTTAGTTATAAAGGCATAAGAATGAGCTACTCTTAAAACAGCTTGAGATGGCATGCATTAAAGTCTGGCACGTAATTATAACCTGCGTTGACACCATCCCACACTCACTCCTGGTTTAAGAGTCTGCCTTGGAAAAGTTTGCAAATGAAGGAGGAACCTGTTGAGCTCACTATTCTAGTCCTGTTTCCTGCTCCTTCACTCCAGCAGACAAGTGGACATTTTCTTCATTTTCAAAGATCTTGGAGATGAAGATAATGGCTTTTGTAACTCATGAACAGTCTTTCCTATCCAAATGTTTTTCCTACCTTGGTAATGACTTCCTGCTGAGATTGACTGGTGTTTTTACATAGAAATCTGCTATTCCAGTATCATCATTGTGATTAGCATTTTAATGTTTAGATAGATTTTTTAAAACTATCTGAAGATTTCTGGAGTGCTGGGATAATCTATGTAAGAGAAAAATACAATTCTCTTTAAACTCTACATGAAAGTGGGAAGTCAATGGTCATTCATGTACGTTTAGCAGGTCTGCTGACTTTTGCATCATCCTCCATGCTACTGTGCACTTTCTGCCATTTAAAAAAAAAAAGTTGAGTGCCTTTTTTTTTTCTTTTGAGACAAGGTCTCACTCTGTCATCCAGGCTGGAGTGCAATGGTGCAATCACAGCTCACTGCAGCCTCAACTCCCAGGCTCAGGTGATCCTCCAGCCTCAGCCTCCTGAGTAGCTGGGAATATAGGCATGTGCCACCACTCCTGGCTAATTTCTGTATTTTTTGTAGAGATAGAGTTTCACCATATTGCTTAGGCTAGTCTCAAACTCCTGTTTGGGCTCAAGCAATCCTCCTGCTTCTGCCTCCCGAAATCTTGGGATTACAGGTGTGAGCCACTGTGCCCAGCCTAGTGCTTTTATTCTACCCAATAATCCTCTCCTTCATTATCCCTGTTAAAGAACAGTACAGTCAAACAGGATTTCTAAGTTAATTAATATTTGAATTCTTACTATTTGTAAAGCAACTTGCAAGAGAGTCTGCTGATAAAGTATCGGCAGGATCTTCTCCCTAGGAACTGACATTTTACTTGGGGTGAGGTAGCAAGGTAAAGAAGAAAGAGCTCTGAAGTCAGACAGCAAACTAGTTACATGACCTTGGAAAGTTAATGCTGGTGAGCCTCAGTTTTACCATCTGCAAAATGGGGAGACTATTAGATTTCTCACAAAGGTGTTGTAAGGATTAGATGCTCTCTAGCAGTGATGCAGAGCAGTAAACAAGCTATGATCAGAAGAGAGATAAAAGCCAGGTTACCAGAGTCTGGGATGCCAGAATATTTCAAGTAGAATCAGGAAAATATGGTTGATTTTAGAGGTTAGGTGGAGTTTAGACAGATGAGATGGGTAAAAGGATATTCAAAGCAGGAGAGAGAGTTTGAACAAAGGTGTGAACACTAGCTGTGTTTGTAGTAATTATCCAGACATAAAATGAGGTGCATTTGACGCAGGATAGTGGGGACTGAGATGTTGAGAGAGTAAATGGAAGTAAGACTTGGAGACCTTTTGTATGGAGGCAAAGTGGGGATCAAAAATTGGCATTTAGGGAGTCTGGACAAGTACTATAATTTATGTCCAAAAGAGGGGAGTTGGTGGCATTCAATTTTAGTTACACTGGAAATGTACTCTGAGCATTTATTCATTCCTTCAGCCAACCTTTATTAAATGCCTACTAAGTGCAGGTCATGGGCTCTGGGCAGGGGATATAAAGATGAATAACACATAGTCTTCACTCCTCCAGGGCTGGTAAAGCAGAGCAATGCATCAGCAGATAATTGCAAAACAACGAGATTCATGATTAGAGAAATATGATCATGTATCGTTATAGCAGGACAGAAAAAGCATTACCTGGAGTTGATTAAGAGGCTCTTTTTCCCTTTTCAAAGCCTAAACATTCATATCTTGTGACTGCATGCAAAAATGAACCTCAAAGATTGGCATTGAATAATTCTGGGGACTTCTATTATACGTATATGAATGTTTTATCGTATCTTTTTAGGATCCTACACCATGTATACCCTTTATCCTTGTGTAGGCACTTGATCCCATACACCGCCCTGGATTGCAACTGATCAGCTTTAAGTGTGCCATCTTTCCTACTGACCTAGCTCTAAATCCCTGTAGGGTAGGAATTGTCTTAAAATTGCCGAGCTTGGATGCGTAGCACAGCACTATGAACATCGTAAGTTATCTGTGAAATAATGTAGCATAGACCTACGCTAAAGAAGACAAAGGAACATGGATCTCTCTGTTCAGAACTCTATGTGTTCCACTTATTTTAATGCATCCTTTTTCCAACCTTTCCAAGGATAATAGGTCCCATGTATTGAACTCTTACCATGTGCCAGGCACACAGCTAACATTGAACATGTATGAACTCACTTAATCCTCACAATGATCCTATAAAATATGTTCTAATCCCATTTCCACTTTACAGATGAGAAAGCTAAGGCACAGAAAGATTAAAGCAACTTGTTTGAAGTCACATTGCCCATGATTGGAGGCGCTAAGTTTCAAACCCCTGCAGAGTAGCTCTGGAGCCTGTGCCCCTAAATTCTAAGCTGTTACAATGGCCATTGTATAGTCACGAACATGGAAACATACAGAAAAAGTGATGTGGGATGGTTCCAAAAAGCTAATTAAGGGTGGGAGACAAGACTTTGGTTTCCTGCTTCTCTGATACGGACCAGGGTTTGGAGGGCCACTCTGAGTAAGTAAGAAATCTAGCCGGAACTTTCTTTCTCTGCAGACCTCACATCCTAACCCAGCAAACCTACCAGAAGCGGGCAAACTGATTTTGGGACCCACTACTTCAAAGCAAGAAGGTAAAAGCTATTTCAGGGTAACTAGACTTCAGGAGCCCTCAATATTGAACAATGTCAAATGTTTGTCCTTCCTTCCATCCATGGCGGGTTTTCTCAAATTAAAGAACATTTAAAAATTGTAAGGATATATTTTCTTTTCTTCCTTCTCTCTCTTTTTAAAAGTAAAGAATGCAGCATTATGGTTGAGTATCTAAATGTCATCCTTTATATTCTCATCGTCCACACTGCCCTTTGATCGCCCATCACAGAAGCAGTCACAACAAACAGGGTTTACTCTCCTTTAAAGAGGCAATCCAAACCTCTTATCCACTCTGCAGCAAGAAGCAACTAATTGTCTGGTTAGCCCCCAATCTCCCTTGGCAATGGGGAAATACTAAAATCTTTGAATGAGAAAGTCCTTCATCAAATTTTTTAACTTTTAATTTTAAAACATTTTTTCAAGGAACCTGCAAATGCCAAACTCCAAAAGTGTTTCTCTGGTCCACGTTCATGGGCCATTTCTGCAGGACCAATTCCTTCTTTTGCTCTAAGACTCAGCTCCAGAGCTGGATCCACATTTCCTTCAAACCAGCTGCAAGTCTGCCATCACAGTCCTTTCTTTTACTAAACAGACATCTAAAACCGACAGGCCTCTTTCACCACCTCCTGCAAAACAGCAATAGAGTCAACTTCTCAGGCAGCACCCCAAAGCTGTGAAACGTTACGCTGGCACTTACTGCTAGGATCTGAGCCAGTTCTCTTGGGAGCAAACTGCCTGGTGACACAGAATCCCAGGAGCCCGCTTAGCACACCGCCAGTATGTGAGTGGCCCCAGCTTAATAAGTTTGAGGCACCTTAGGAAATTTAATCATTTGTTTCCAACCATCCAGCAAGCAGTCTAGAAAAGCTGGAAGTAGAAATACCAGATTTCCCAATTCCCCTTCAGTGCTTAACAATTTCTTCCCATAAAAACCCTTCAGTAACGTGAGCAAAATCCACATGGCAATAGATCCCTTAAGAGTTTAACAGAAGGTCTACCGTAGGCCAAGCCAATGAGACTTCTTTAACACCATCTTTTCACTAAACCCTATGTTGACTGTTTTCCCTATCTCACAAGATAGGGGAGCAGCAATGATTAGCATCAGTTTTACTCCTCCCCAAAACACCTGCACTTTCCCCCACAAAGCCCAATTCACATGTCTCTGATGGAGGAATCTATAGGTAAGCAGAAAATACTACTTGAAATAGTTTAAGTTTATACAAAATTCTGGTATGATAGTCCTTAGTATATTTTGCTTTTCTTTTTTCTTCAATTTTTACTTTAGGTTCAGGGGTACATGTACAGGTTTGTTACATTGTTAAACTCATGTCATGGGGGTTTGTTGTACAGATTATTTCATCACCCAGGTATTGAGTCCAGTACTCAGTAGTTATTTTTTCTGCTTTTACCACTTGTGATAGTTAATTCTATGTGTCAACAGAAACCAGATAGCTAGCTAAACATTATCTCTACGTGTGTCTGTGAGGGTGTTTTTGGAAGGAATTAGTATTTGAGTTGATGGGCTGAGTAGATTTCCCTCCCCAGTGTGCATGGGCCTCATTCAATCCACTGAGGACCTGTTTAGAACAAAAGGGCTAAGAACAGTTGAATTCACTCTCTGACCGTTGAGCTGGAGCATTGAGCTTCTCCTGCCCTCAGAGGTTTGATTCTCAGGACTTGGCACTCAAACTGGAATCTATATCAGTGACTCTTGGACTCTCAGGCCTTCAAATGACACCACTGGCTTTCCTGGGTCTCTGGTTTATAGACAGCAGATCATGGGACTTCTCAGCTTCCATGATCATGTGAGCCAATACCTTATAATCAATCTCTTTCTCTATATCTATACAGGCATAACTCAGAGATATAGCAGGTTTGGTTGGGTCCAGATCACCGCAATAAAGCGAACATCACAATAAAGAGAGTGACACAATATTTTTGGCTTCCCAGTGCATATAAAAGTTATGTTTATACTATACTATAGTCTTCAAAGTGTGTAATAACATTATGTCTAAAAAAAGATATACATACCTTAATATAAAAATACTTCATTGCCAAAAAATGCTAATGATCATCTGAGCCTTCAGTGAGTCATGATCTTTTTGCTGTTGGAGGGTCTTGCCTCGATGCTGATGGATCAGAGTGGTGATTGATGAAAGCTGAGGTGGTTGTGGCAATTTCTTAAAATAAGACAACAATAAAATTTGCCACATTGATTGACTCTTTCTTTCACAGAAGATTTCTCTATAGCATGCAATGCTGTTTGATAGCATTTTACCCACAGTAGAACTTTTCAAAATTGGAGTCAATCTTCCCAAACTCTGCCTCTGCTTTATCAATTAACTTTATGTAATATTCTAAAGCCATGGCATCATTTCAACAATGTTCGAAGTAGATTCCACCTCAGGAAACCATTTTCTTTGCTCATCCATAAGAAGCAACTCCTCATCCATTAGAGTTTTATCATGAGATTGCAGCAATTCAGTTACATCTTTAGACTCCACTTCTAATTCTAGTTCTTTTGCTATTTCTACCACATCTGCAATGACTTCCTCCAGTAAAGTCTTGAACCCCTCAAAATCATCGATAATGGTTAGAATCAAATTCTTCCAAACTCCTGTTACGGTTGATATTTTGACCTCCTCCCATGAATCGTTAATTTTCTTAATGGTATCTAAAATAGTGAATCCTTTCTAGAAGGTTTTCAGGTTTTCAATTTACTTTGCCCAGATTCATCAAAAGAATCACTATCTATGGCAGCAATAGCTTTACAAAATCTATTTCTTAAATAATAAGACTTGAAAGTGGAAATTATTCCTTGATCCACGGGCCACAGAATGGATGTTGTGTTAACAGGCATGAAAACACTAATCTCCTTGTATATATTCATCAGAGCTCTTGGATGACTGAGTGCATTGTCAATGAGCAGTAATATTTTAATAGAAATATTTTTTTTTCGGAGCACTTGGTATCAACAGTGAGCTAAGGTATTCGGTAAACCATACTGTAAACAGAAGTGCTGTCATCAAGGCCTTATTGTTCCATTATAGAGCACAGGCAGGGTAGATTTAGTATAATTCTTAAGGGCCCTAGGATTTTCAAATGATAAATGAGCATTGACTTTAACTTAAAGTCATAAGCCACATTAGCCCAAACAAGAGAGTCAGCCTGCCTTTTGAAGCTTTGAAGCCAGGTATTGACTTCTCCTCTCTAGCTATGAAAGTCCTAGGTGGCATCTTCCTCCAACAGAAGGCTGTTTTGTCTACATTGAAAATCTGTTGTTCAGTGGCACCAGCTTCATCAGTTATCTTCTAGATCTCCTGGATAACTTGTTGCAGCTTCTGTATCAGCACTTTCTGCTTCATCTTGTGCTTTTGTGTTATGGAGATGACTCTTCCTTCCTTAGCCCTCATGAACCAACCTCTGCTAGCTTCAAATTTTTCTTCTGCATCTTCCTCACCTCTTTCAGCCTTCATGGAATTGAAGAGTGTTGGGGCCTTTCTCTGGATTAGGCTTTAGCTTAGGAGAATGATGTGGTTTGATCTTCTGTCCAGACCACTAAAACTTTCTCTATATGAGCAATAAGGCTGTTTTGATTTCTTATCATTCATGTGTCCACTGGAGTAGCACTTTTAAATTCCCTTAAGAACTTTTCCTTTGGATTCAAAGTTTGGCTAACTGTCTGGTGCATGAGGCCTAGCTCTTAGTCTATCTCAATTTTCAACATGCCTGCCTCACTAAGCTTAATCATTTCTAGATTTAAAGTAAGAGTCCTTTGATTCTTCCTTTCAGTTGATCACTTAAATGCCATTGTAGGATTATTAATTGGCCTAATCTCAATAGTCTCATGTCTTAAGGAATAGGGAGGCCCAAAGACAAGGAGAGAGATGGGGGAATGGCTGGTTGGTGGAGCAGTCAGAACAGATACATTTATTGATTAAGTTTGCCATTTGACATGAGTGCAGTTCATGGTGCACCAAGAGAATTACAATAGTCACAACAAGGTCGCTGATTAGAGATCATCATAACAGATACAATAATCATGAAAAAGTTTGAAATATTGTGAGAATTACCAAAATGTGACACAAAGATACAAAGTGAACACATGCTGTTGGAAAACTGTCACTCATAGACTTGCTCGACACACAGTTGCTACAAACCATCAATTTGTAAAAAACACATTTGCAAAGCACAAAGAGAGGTATACCTATACTTCTATCTCTCTCTCTCTCTATTTCTATCTCCATCTCCATCTCCATCTCTATCTCCATCTCCATCTCTATCTATACAGTAGTTCCCCCTTATCCAAGGGGTATATATTCCATGACCTTTAGTGGATACCTGAAACCACAGATAGTACCAAACCTGATTGTCATCAATCGGAACATATTTCTGTTCACATCTTCTATCTACAAATTGAATATCTTTTCCATCTTAACTAAGCACTTATCATGTACTGTGGCCATAACTTTTATAGTTTGAGGTATGACAGCAAAATTAGCATGAATTTCTTTTTCCTTCTGTACAATTTTACAGATAGATTTATTCTTATCTTATATCTTAGGAACCTCCGTATATGATTCTTTTTCTTTCCTTATTAAGTTGAGAATGTTCTTCTTTTCACTTAAAGGAAGCACTTTACAGCTTCTCTTTGGCATATCCGAATTGCCAGCATCACTATTCTTGGGCTTTGGGGCCATTATGAAATCAAAAAAGGCTTCTTTGAATACAAGTACTGCAATACTGAGACAGTTGATCTGGTGATTGACGTGGCCACCAAGTGACTAATGGGTAGAGAGTGTCTATGGCATGAATACGCTGGACAAACGGATGACCCATGTCCAGGTGGGATGGAGTGGGACAGCACGAGATTTTACCATGCTCAGAAAAGGGCACACTTAAAACCTATGAAGTGTTTATCTCTGGAATTTCCCATGTAATATTTTCAGACCATGGCTGATACAGATAGCTAAAACCACAATGAAACCACGGATAGGAAGGGAGTACTACATTTCTCTATATAGGCACATCTATATCTATATCTACCTATCTCCTGTTGGTTTTGTTTACTGGAGAACCCTAATATATCATGTGTTATTATTTTATTTTTACTAGATTTTAAAAGTGGCTTAGACCCATTAAAAATGGACCGTTGACCCATACTCTGAGCTTCCTGGCAGAGAAGTAAAAATGGTAAACTTAATCAGCTGCCTATTTCTCATTACCTTTAGGGACCATAAAAAGAAAAATTGGTTAAAATAACACAAAGACAACTAGATACATTCTAAACTGGCTGCAGAACGTCCCCTAAAGGATGCTGACTGTCAGCTCTGTCATGTCACCTGGACAGGGGTTCCCTGTGGCTTCCCTCCAGCACTGTGTGAGAAAGGTGTGGCGGGCATGCACCTCTGGCCTGTGGGTGACCAGCCACTGGGAGGAGCAGGCAGATGACTGCATGACAGAATAATGATGAAAAATGATCTTGACAGCCCAGAGCAATGAGCTGAATCTAACAAGATGAAATTAAACAAGGACAAATGTTAAGTGCTTTTCTTAGGTCAGAAAAAACCAATGGCTTAAACCCAGGATGGAGGAGACAGGGCTCACAAGCAGACACTTAAAAACAAAACAAAACAAAACCTTTAGGGTTTTAAGCTTAAAATATGCCATGAAAAAACAGAACAAAAGAAGGTTTTGGGAGCAATTTTGTCTCCTGAACAAGGGATATAATTGTCCCATTACACTTTGAGATTACTAGTCTACATTTGAAATTAGATCCTGAACACCCTACTTTATTTCTATGGAAGATGGGGTATATGCCAACATTAAACACAATTTTTGAAAAAGCAAAGTAATCATCAATAAGCTCCTTCGCCTAACACAGCTCCTCTCATTGTGTGCATGTTAATTTTCATGTTGCATGCTGTACTTTAAAATTAACATACAGTTGAAAATAGAATAAATGTACAAAACTGGAGTGTATTCTAAAGAGAGTGACCAGGGTGGTGTATGGACTCCAAAATTATGCATCTGTGAAGAGCAGTTGAGCCAACAAGGAGTTTCATCTTGAGGAAAGAAGATTCATAATAGCTTCCTAAAATATCTGAAGGGTTGACAACAAAAGATTAGGTTTGTTTAAGGTAAACTTAAGGGTTATAAAGAATAGCATTTGTAAAATCTTCAGAGTTTTTAATATGCCTTCTATTTTAAAAAAATCAATTTTACCCTCATAATAGGTATGGAAAATATCGATCTGTTATTTTAAATATTGCCATTTTTACAGATAAGAAAAATTTTGGATTAAAGAGGTAAAATGATTTGAGCAAGATCTTATGACCAGTATGTGGCAAGGCTGAGACACAAACCAAGGTGCTCAAGCTACAGTGAGACAAATTTAAATTCACTACTAAAAGAAAAATATCTCCCTATGAGCCAGATGTGTACAAAGACAAAAAGGATGCCCCCCAGATTTCCTTGTAGACAGTATCTGTAAATGAGGCAATGAAAGAAAGGTATTTAAGCATTGGCCATAGCAGTGGATTTCAAATTTTTTGATCACAACCTATGGTAGAAAATATGTTTTTTATCAGCCCCAAGTGTACCCACACCAAGAATAAAATGGAAACATATTTAACACAATAATACTAAATGCTATAAATGGTGCACATTGATTTGTTTCCATTTTTTTATTGATGACCTTTAACCACTAAATTGATTTAATTTCCCATGCCATATTATGCAGACTGAAAAACACAGAACTAGAGAACTACTTAGTGGGACTTCTTGGGTGGGCTAGAAGACCAAACATTTCTTCCAACAATGAGACTCAATAATTCTGGGTCTCCCCAAACTGTGTTATATAGCTTTTTAAAAAAAATCCTAAATTGAAATGCCTTTTGTCTCCAGCTTAATGCTTTCATTCTCTTATTCTAGCTTATTGAATTTTTTTACTCTTGATTCTATTATTCCTAGTATTATCCATCCTTCCTTATACTACATAATATGAAAAATCTTTGATTCCTTTACCTGGGAGTTGATGAAAATAATAAACTCTATAGAACCAAGTACAGGAGGTTGTGATACATTTTAAGTATAGTTGCCCACATGGCTGTATTTATGTGCACTGCCTTTTCTTTTCCAAGCAGTTATAAATCCTCCAGTCATACTAACAACTACTCTATTTTATTTTTGTCCACATAGTTAAGAAATTTTGTTCAATGTGTTGCTAAGATTAAGTGAGACCATACTATGACATAGGGTGGTTGGTTCTGAGGATTAAATGAGGCAGTTTATACTGAGTGTTGCAGATATATAGCACCTGTAACAAAGAAACTGCTCAGTAGTTTTTACCCAGGATGATAATGATAGTGGCATCAATGATGATGATGATGTTACAATTACAATATCCTTCTAGTTTAGTAGTGTAGAAGGTATAGGTTCTACATATTTTAATAGATGTAGTTTCTAGACCTATTAAAATATTCTGTGGTCTTGACATGCCTTCTTTAAGTGAACCCATATTGGCTTTTAAACCACAACTTTTTTTTCTACATATTTTCTACTTCTTTTGAGTATTCACGGTTTTTGCATCAAGGTTGCTGGTCTGTTGTTTCCCTACCCTTTCTTCCTTTTTAAAACCAGGGCATTTATTTGCTCATGTCTCATTTTCCTCAATGTCTCACAGGTGCCTAACAGTGTTTCCTGTGTCACCTGCAAGTTGCTTTGTGCAGTGTGATATCATCAGTGCCCCTGGAGAGTTAACTTAGAGGAGTTCCAGTCTTCTTTATTTTGGTGGATTCCGTTTCTCCCCTAGAAATATTTTCAGCTTGGAGATGATTCTTTTTGAAGGACAAAGAAACAAAATAAGACCCGAGTTGCCTGGCCTCCACGCCATCTGTTAACACCAGGCTATCCTCATTAATGAGTGGCCTTGTCCCTTTGTTGTCCACTTTATTCTGAAAAGTCTCAGCATATCTGGGAGTTTGGTCTTCTTTTCAAGTAATTATTTTAAATTTTAATTAACATAATAATTGTATATATTATATATTTATGTGCTACAATATGATGTTTTGATATATGTTTACATTGTGGGATGATTAAATCAAGCTAATTAACAAATCCAACTCCTAACACATTTATCATTTTTTTGTGGTGAAAACATTTAAAATATATTCTTTTAGCAATTTTGAAATATACATTATTATACATTCTGTGTAATAGATCACTAAAGCTTATTCCTCCTAACTGAAATTTTGTACCTTTTGATCAGCATCTCCCTATTACCCAGCTACTCAAGAGGCTGAGGTGAGAGAATCACCTGATCCTGGAAGGCTGAGACTGCAGTGAGCAGTGATCACATCACTACACTCAAGTCTGGGCGATGGGAGTGAGACTCTGTCTAAAAAGAAGAAAAAAAAAATCAGTAACATTTATTTACACTAAAAATGAATTACCTCAAAAAGAAATGAAGAAACCAATTTCATTTACAATAACATTAAAAAAAAAAACCACTTAGGAGTAAATTTCACCAGGGAGGTGAAAGATTTATATACTGAAAACTATAAAACATTGATGATAGAAATAGTAGAGGACACAAACGAATCGAAAGGTGTCCCATGTTCATGAATTGAAAGAATCAATATTGTTAAAATGTCCATACTATGCAAAACAATTTACAGATTCAATGTAATTCTTCTCAAAATTCCAATATCACTTTTTAAGGAAATAGAAAAAACAATCCTAAAATATGTATGGAACCACAAAAGACCCCAAATAGCTAAGCAATACTGAACAAAAACAACAAGCTGGAGGCATCACACTGCCTGACTTCAAAATCTATTACAAAGTTATAATAATTGAAGCAGCATGGTATTAGCATGAAAACAGACATACTGGCCAATGGAACAAGACAGAGACCCCAGAAATAAGCCCACATATCTAAGATCAATTGATTTTAGAAAAAGGTACCAAGAACACACAATGGAGAGAGGACTGTTTCTTCAATAAATGGTGCTAGGAAACTGGATATCCACATGCAAAAGAATGAAAATGGATGCTTATCTTGCAACACATACAAAAATTAACTCAAAATGGGCTTGGGCTTCTTGACATATTCAGGTGCAAGTGGTTTAAAGTCTCTGGACCCAGACTGCTGGGTTTAAATCTCACCTCTGCCAGTAACTAACTGGGTGATATTGAGCAAGTTTCTTCCTTTCTGTGTGCTTCAATTTCCTCATTTATAAATGGAATAATAATATCAATTTCATAGGGTTGTTCTGAAGATGAAATTAGTTGTAAAGAGCTTAGAACAATGGCCAGCACAAAGTAAGACTTGAATATGTGTTAGCTCTCTGAAGGCTCTCTTTTTCTTTCTCTTTGGAGTTTGTATTCAAAAAGATACTTTACAAATTTTCATAAACTTTCTGTGTCTTCCCACAAGATGATATTTTTTTTTTCCTGAACTGAACTTTTTATAACTGCTTTCACAAAGGCTGGGATATGTGTCTGACTACACTTAAGATTTATTTCAGCTGGGGGAGGTGGCTCACGCCTGTAATCCCAGCACTTTGGGAGGCCGAGACAGGCAGGTCCCGAGGTCGGGAGATCGAGACCATCCTGACTAACATGGTGAAAACCTGTCTCTACTAAAATACAAAAAATTAGCCAGGCGTGGTGGTGGGTGCCTGTAGTCCCAGCGACTTGGGAGGCTGAGGCAGGAGAATGGTGTGAACCCGAGAGGCAGAGCTTGCAGTGAGCCGAGATCACGCCACTGCACTCCAGCCTGGGCGACAGAGTGAGACTCTGTCTCAAAAACAAAACAAAAAACAACAACAACAAAAGATTTATTTCACTCCCTGGCATACTCGCCAAGATGACAGCCACCTTTTTTCCCAAATTCCCATCAATTCCCCGTTCAATGAGCATTCTCTCCTTATGAGTCCAGTGTGTTGTTTCTTCTGATTTCTAAGCAGTAAAACTGTCAGCCCAACAAACCAAAAATGCATCAGATGGTCAGCTTGCAGCAGAATGAACTTCCAGCAGATGGTAGAAAATTAAGGACCTTATTACTGCACTGCAACTTGCCTCTTTGCCAGTGTTTTCAAATTTTCAAATAATAATAATGAGCCTGATGCTGAGGATGAGAGAATTTCTATCTGGAAGCCAAAATGCTTACCAAAGACCTAGGTAAATTATCTAAAGACACCAGGATTTTGTTTCTATGTAATTATTTGTCAGCAGGAAAACAGCAAATGAACACCAATATCTCAGGCACCTTCAGGCACTGGAAATAAAAAGCCAAGAGAAACACAGCTCTGCCCTCAAGGAGCTTCCGATATACAATGGCACTGAAATTGATCTGGTCTCACTGTTGTAAAATCCTGATAGGAAACTCTTTTCTTCAGGTTTTGTCAAGTTCCTAAAGTACCTAGGTCAGTGGCATTCACACACCAACTGCCCACAAAATCACCAGCTATGTCAGGAGAACAGCTTCCACTGAGATACAACAGGGACTCCAGCACAGTCCCTTCCCCTCCACACAGAAAGCTTGAGGAAGGGTCAGCTTGTTAAAATAATAAATAAGTTGACATGAAATTCAGAATAAGGGCAAATAGGAGAGAAATAATGCCAAGATAATTTAGGCGAGGTAGGGGTAGGGGATTCCAACTACAGAGTTTAAAAGCTGGCTTCTCCCATAAAACAGAAGTAGAAAGAGGGAGAAAGAAGAGAATCATAATTTGGGGTAAATTTCACTTCATTAAAGGGAAATGAATGACAGCAGCAAAATTGATCATGTTAAAAGTCTGCACTGGTTTTTAATTAAAAAGAATGGCTTTCAAATTATCTACCTAGCTGGACATAGTGGTGTGCTCCTGTAGTCTCAGCTACTCAGGAGGCCGAGATGGGAGGATCACTTGAGGCCAGGAGGTTGAGGCTGCAGTGAGCTATGACAACACCACTGTACTCCAGCCTGGGTGACAGAGCAAGACTCTGTCCATTCCCCACCGCCCCCCGCAAAAAAATTCTCTACCTGATGATCATTCAACCTGGTTTTCCTTTCAGTTAAAATAAATTCATTTCTCTGAACAGGGTATATAGGTTCACTCAGGAAAACAGTTCTAATCATGGGAAATAGTATCTATTATCTATTATCTCTCAACCTCTCACCCATCTATTTTAATTTTTTTACAATAGATGTTCCCCTTTTTTCTGGAAATGCAAACACAATACGGCATTTTGATCAAGGCTTGCTATATCTCTTTGACATCCTGCATTTTTCCCTCACAGTACTTAAAGTGATCAGTTTCAATGAAAAGTTAAAAAAAAGTTCTAGGCCGGGCGCGGTGGCTCACGCCTGTAATCCCAGCACTTCGGGAGGCCGAGGCGGGTGGATCATGAGGTCAGGAGATCGAGACCATCCTGGCTAACAAGGTGAAACCCCGTCTCTACTAAAAATACAAAAAAAATTAGCCGGGCGCGGTGGCGGGCGCCTGTAGTCCCAGCTACTCGGGAGGCTGAGGCAGGAGAATGGCGTGAACCCGGGAAGCGGAGCTTGCAGTGAGCCGAGATTGCCCACTGCAGTCCGCAGTCCCGCCTGGGCGACAGAGCGAGACTCCGTCTCAAAAAAAAAAAAAAAAAAAAAAAAAGTTCTAATGTTTTATAATACACTGAAAAATGATAAGAATAAGAAAAGAGAAATTGTAAGTAAACATGTCACAAAAAATGTACTTAACACAAAATGCACAACCTAACATGGTTGAATTTAAAATGATTGCATGGTGATTTTAAGCAATGTGCCCAAGGTTGGGGGTAGAGTGGTTTTGGGGTATGGGCTGTGCTCAAGGAATGGGGCCTGGGAAAGTCCTAAGTACACAAAATGAGAATGAGGGATACAGAGAAGGGGGCCAAGTGACATGGCAAATCTCACGTGAGAAAAGACATTAAATTACTTCAGTCTTGGGGCCAGGCATGGTGGCTCATGCCTATAATCCCAGCACTTTGGGAGGCCAAGGCAGGTGGGTCACTTGATGTCAGGAGTTCGAGACCAACCTGGCCAACATGGTGAAACTCCGTCTCTATTAAAAATACGAAAAGTTACTCCAGCTACTGGGGAGGCTGAGGCAGGAGAATTTGCTTGAACCCAGGAGGAGGTTGCAGTGAGCTGAGATCATGCCACTGCACTTAAGCCTAGGCAATAGCGTGAGACTCTGTCTCAAAAATAAAAAATAAAAACAAATTACTTCAGTCTTCATTCAGCATCTGAGCAAATGAGTCACTGACAAAAGAACCACAGATTTAGTCAGCATTGCCCAGGGAGGGAAAGTCGATTCAGATGCACACACAGCCTGTCTCCACTTCTCTCCTACAGACCTACTGGGTCTGATGATGCACAGCTTCTAACACAAAGGTCCAGCAAACGGCTGCTGGGAAACAGCCTGTTGAGTAGTAATTAGGATTAGAGAGACTCCAGGGAAGAAAAAACAAATTCTAAGAGACAGTCATCTCAAAAACTGCTAGTCTCTGCAAACAGTGCCTGCAGACGCAAGCCAAGGAGCAGTTTTCTACCTTGGCCCGGTGTATAAAGGGCTGTTGGCCAACTATTGATATTTCCTGTCACACTCAAGCAGGATGATAGCAAATCACTGTCAGCAACATCATCTTTGAATGTAGAGGACAGCAGTCTGTGTGCACACTTTGGGACCTTCTTCATTCGACTACTGGTAGGATGAATCAGAAGAGAAGATTGATTTATTAATTAAATGCATGCTAGAAGAAGAAATCAATGGAGCCCACACCTATGCACTTGATCAAATAGCAGAAGGAACTGTTACTGTAGTTGCAGCGACTCACCAAGTGACCCTCGGCAAGTCACTTTAACCTCTTTGCTTCAGGTTTCCTCATGTGGAAAAAGGGACTACCTTGTTCAGTGACTACGAGAGGAGAATGTGAGGATTAGCTTAGTTGGCTAATGAAACCAAGGTGGAGGTCTGATCCTCATGAGTCTCCTCTACTGCACTCCCAGCATGGAGAAATCATCTCAGAAATCTATCTATGTCAGTGCCAGGGGGACAAGGAACAGGGTGTGAAGCAGGCTCTGCCAAGAATATCACAATTAGGAAAAAGACAAAAGCAAACTGGAGATCAGGTCCTGTTGATGGGACATCTTTGAACAAGACAGGAACACATGCACTTTCTCAGGAGGAAGATACTTGTAAAGAGTTTTGAATATACTGAAAAGGGAGAGCCATAAAAACCCACTGTATGAAAAGTGATAAGGTAAAGTTTTAGCTGTAACATGCCCTGTGCCTTTGAGACACATTTTACATGAGGCAAGTTCTGAGGTATACTAAAGACTCCATGATCATCTCCTCACAGTATGTGGATGGAACACATTTGGTTGGCTTGAGATAAAATTACCTGGTCTAATGAAAGATGGTCACCTTCTGCATTTTCTTTTAAATATAGGAATATATTAATTGGAAAATTGTAAATTAAACTGCAGCAACAAAACCAAACCAAAACAATCTATTCAGACTCAGCTTCTGAAACCATGAAGAAACCAGTTACTATTTTCTTTGGAATCTAATGAAAAATAGATTAAGACACCAAGAGCACAGGTCCCTCAACCCAAGTCTTAACAAAGAAAGAATTCTTTTTTCAATATAGTAAAAATCACACCGATGCTTTATACTTCTGAATGCTTTACTAATGATTAAGAAAATGTATAATGCAAAGGATATGGTTAACATACCATGATAGTTAACTTCATGTATCAATTTGGCTAGGCCATGGTACCCAGATATTTGGTCAAACATTACTCTAGATGTTGCTATGAAGCTATTTTTTAAAGATGAGATTAACATTTAAATAAGTAGACCTATTTAAAGTAAATAAAACAGACTACCCCCCATAATGTGGGTGGGCCTCATCCAATCAGTTGAAGGCATTAATAGGAAAACACTGACTTCCTTGGAGGAAAAGGGAGTTCTTCCAGCAGCCAGCCTTCAGACTTGAGTGGCAATTCTTCCCTGGGTCTCCAGGCTGCCAGCCTACCCTGCAGATTTTGGGCTTGCCTCCACAATTGTGGGAGCCAAGTCCTTAAAATCTCTCTATACATCCTATTGGTTCTGTTTCTCTGGAGGAACCATGACTAGTACACATCATGTGGTAGGTTACTACCACTGTTCACCAGTATTTCTGGTTGTCTCTCCTGGGTCCATGAAAGGATTATACTTTTCTGAAAACTTAAAGTAAGCCCTGACCGTGTAACTTGCTTTGCCTAATAATGGGGTAGAAGTGACACTAGCTTTAAGCAAAAGGTTTTAGGAGCCAGGGAGTGATCCTTTCTGCCCTTCCCCTGCCACAGCAGATGCTGATTCCTCAGGTTGAGATGGTGGAAACATAAGGTGCTACCTCCCTCGGCCTGGGCCCCCAGGTGACTGCAATCAGTGGAGTCCCACCTATGGGCCCCTGTGCACATGGAGCATAAGTAAGATCATTAGTTGTTTCAAACCACTGAGATTTGGGGTTTGTGACTAACACACTACTGTGGGCGGGGTATAAGGAGCCCTGTATCCCAGCAACATCCACTCTACCGTACATATTACACATTTTTAATTTTTTCATTTTTCCAAGTTCAATAAAACGTCTATTTGATATAAACACTGAATAGTGACTTGAAATACCGTATGCACATGATGGTAATAAAATTGCCTAAGATTGTTACGTAAACTTTTCATAAACTAACCTCTCCTTTAATCCAAATTATTGGTATATTGCCAAACTCACCAACATCCATCCCATTATAAAACTTGGAATAAATTAAGCCCATGTGAATTTGGACATTTGTGTAACCTAGGCATTGAAAACTAGCCTATCCCAAGTGTTTCAGTGTTTTATATTTCATGAAATTCCTGGAATATGCCTCTGCCTTTCTATCTGCTATAACTCCCAAATTACTATGAAGAAAATCCTTCAGTGCTGCAGATGAGTCAAAATGGGTCTTCAAATAAAAAAAAATCCAACATGACTGTTCAGTTAAACCACACAAAAGCTGGCTTTTCTAGGAGAAGGAAAAAAACAAAGATGGGAGGCTGAACTACCTGGGCCTGTGGGTAAACAGGGCATAGTTACGTTCAGATTTCAGAATTATCCACTCCTGAGTTTATTTGGAATTTCAAGATACGAACATACAGTTGAGATGCTCAAATCCATCTAAAATGTTCAGGTTTTTAAAAGAATTCTTACAATTTTGGCCCAATTTTTTAAAAAAAGGATGGAGGGTACCACTTTCCCCCATAAATACCCAAACCTACAAACTCAGTATGGAAGGTGCAATGTCATATTTCCTTTTTTATCTACCCCCCTAAGGTATAGCACAGTGCCTGCCTACAGCTGTCATCCAATAAATGCCAAACTGATTTCTGCCACCACATTCTGAAATCCCCACTCCCTGGCCACCTCCCGCATCTTTTAAAGGAGGGACTAACAGGTATCAGAGAGGGCTCTCTCCACTGTCCTGTCGTACATGACACATACCACTCTCACCGTCCACTCTTGCATTTTCACCCCCACTCTGGCTAATTGGACTTCAACAGTGAATCTAAGTTAGTCGGTCAACAACAGAGACACAGCTGTACTGCTGTGTACTGGTGGTACAACAGACAGCAGCGACTGGAATTAAGATAGTTGCTGGATATTCAGACCCCAGAGGTCAGGACTAACCCTGCCACTCTTAGGTGGCATCTACCTCCACAATGGTCAGGGGCAAGCTTAGCGAAGACAGGCAGAGACACTCCACTGAGCACACGGCCTCCTGAAACCAGGTCGGTGGGGAGAAAAACTGAAGGTTGTCTTCCTTTCACCAACAATTTCTTTTTGTGGAGAAAAAAAAATTATAGTTAATGCAGTTGGGCTGTGGGGAACAGCAAGGCCACAGCATGGGCTGGGATTTACCTCTGAATCTAAGAGCTAGCCAGTACTCTGGAGGATCATCTGCTCGGAGGACAAAGGTCAGTGCAATCATAGGCGTGTCTGCCCCCAGTAAGGGAACATTCTGGATCTTTGGCCTGGAATGCTGTACTGAGGTCACCCAAGAGTCAGTGATTATCAAAGACAATTTTACCCCCTAGAGGTTGCTTCTATTGTTACAGATTATTATAGCCTCCGGGGCGGTAAGCCTTACACAGCAAGTCCAATGCTGCTGCACTTTTAGACCTTAAGGAAATCCCGTAAGCATTTGTTACTATTATTAATTAAGCATAATTAAGCGCTCCTAGCATGCATTCCATATTGCCTTGAGCAGAAAGCTTCAGATGTAAACCATCTTTCAATAACATTCCCTTCCTGAATGCTGAGATGAGAACATGAAAATCATACCACATGTCTGCCATCTGTATTTGTACTTGTCAACAGCTCTGTTTTGGGATAAACAGTTTTGAAATAAGAATCAATTCGACTTGTTGGAAGATTAGCCAAGGAATAGCTCAAAGACCAAAACAGAAAATGAAGTCAGATAGTCTGAAAATCGAGCACAATTTTGTTTCTCGCTAAACATTCTGTTTTGTCACAGCCCAAGAGAAAGAGTGTGGCAGACAGGGTTTGGGGGCACACAGACAGGGAAAATGTATGTTCTCAAGTAAAAAATTCTTCAACCTGGAACAAATGTCTTCGCTACAATGCAACTAGAAATCATTCACTGACCTCTAGGAGACTACAGTTAAGAACAAAGCAATTTAAGCATTTACACTTTGTTTCATGGTTCTACTATGTGAAGGTATACACAGGGGACAACTTGAGCGGGTTCAAGTGCATAATACAGTCCTTTATTACCATAAAAATGGCAGCACTTCCCAAAGTTGATCTTGATTAAAAGTAGTTCCATGGTTGAAAACAGTACTCCACTGTAGAGCTATTAAACTAGAGAGATGGCAAGGGGAAAATAAAGACTTATATATCAAAGGCGAGGTCAGGGAAGAAGTTAGAAAAAACAGGACGCTACAGATTAGTGGGAGACTACAATGGAATTGCTTTTAGAGGTGGCTGATATAAGTGAATGAAGGGACACAATAACCTGCAGCCCCACATATTCTACAAAACAAATGAGAACATGTATGCTCCACTTGGAGAGCCATCCATTTTCTCCTTAAAAGAACTCATTTATAAAAGAGCAAATTGGTGATTTGTACTTACATACTGGACCTTTTCCAAGCCCCTGTCAAGAAGTGATAAATTATTGAAGCATAGCATAAAGTGTTTTATTTTCAGTGTGCACACGGTAAAACCCTGTGAAATGCTTCTGTTCACCTTTCCCAAGTTATTAATTAAAAAATAATTGTTTCCAATTACTCTCTGATCTTTAAAATAAACCAAGACAAAACACTACATACACCTCTCCAGAATCAGCACTGCCCCTTCCCTCTCTCCTTCTCGATCCTGCCCCCCATCCTTCAACCAAGCAGTTGTTTCGAATCACACCATCGGCTCCTGAAATAGGAATGCTATTTAGATTGGGAAGGGAGGGAAGAGGAAGTCCAATACAACATTCACACAATTGTCTGGTATTCATTCAACCACAGTGCCCAGATATATTTGTTGTTCCTAGAGACAGCGTAAAACTGTTTGGAGAATAAAGCAGGGTTGTGGAAAGCTCATTAATAAATTGTGAAAATCCTCTCAGCAGGAGTCACATAACCAGAGGAGCTGCCTTGTGCCAAGCAACATAAAGCCTGGTGCTCTGCTCCTGGACAATGTCAAAGGCAAATACAGCTGATTTTTGAGAAAGGCCTCCCTACAGCCACTTGCTAGACCAGAGTTAGGAAAAATTCTTTCCCAATCTCAGCTCGGCAATTAGAACCTGAATTATGTTTACAAACTCTAGGCTTTGCTTTAATCTGACTGTGAGAGATGTACAGGAATGGCCCCTCCCCTACTGTGTTCATAAACTGAGAGAATAACGTTGATGCCAATGCTCCTGAAAGGGAGCAGGGAAACCTAAAAAGTCTAATTGCATAAGGAGATGCAGGGGGACCACTGACAGGAGGGCTTTCTCCTCACTGAAATCTTGTTCATCTTTAGGATTTCTCCAGCACCTCAGTTCGAATTCCCACTCCTTATGTGCAAGTGGCACTCTTGGCTTTCCAATTCTGTTTTTTATTTAGGTGACTCAATCAGTGGCTGAACTTCTGATCCTGTGGCCCCTTTTTGTAGCTTCAGACTGAAACTGGATGCCTTTGTAGAACATATTCACGCAAGGATTCTGTATGAACAGAAAAGGATGCAATAAAGGAGGATTCCTCCAAAATGTTTTAATTATATGTCCATACAATATATAAAATATATGCATCATTTTAGCTGGATAAGAAAAGCAAGTCAAATGAAATGACACTTCTCGAAACTTAAGTTAAATAATCTTGTAGGAAGAGGTATATTTTGTCTTTTTTTAATTATTTTAGCATTCTGTACACTGACAACGAGGTAAAAGAAAATGACTGAAACTTACAAGTGAAAGAACATTTCACAATTAAATCCACAATTGTATACATTTATCTTACTCACATGTCAGTGAAAAATCACCAACTATTATAAAAAGAGGACAAATTGTATCACAAAAGAAGCAAAAATTAGAAAAAATTCATAAAAAAATATATCCAACTATGAAAAGCGTTGCTCTCTTGGTGTCTTCACATCCGTCTCTTCTGTGTACTGATGTACAACACTGAAAAGAAAAAAATACATAAATTGAAATTTAAAAAACCCTGCTTGTAAGTATACATAGTAGCAAGTTTAAAAGCCAACAGATTTTGGTCTGATACATCTGACATTTAAAAGGAATTCTCGTATCATTCAATTAACTCTAGAAGTACTGTAAGACTAGTTTTATGAATCTACACCCAGGTTTGATGTCTTACAAAACTGTCCTAATTTCATCCATGTGTCTCACTGACTCTTTAAAGTGTGACCAGGAAGATAAAATAAAATATATGTGAAAGTCCCTGGTATCTAAGAATGCTTTATAGTTAGAAGTATAAGAATTATGCTTTTCAGGGCTGAACACGGTGGCTCACGCCTGCAATCTTAGCACTTTGGGAGGCTGAAGCGGGTGGATCACTTGAGCTCAGAAGTTTGAGACCAGCCTGGGCAACATGGTGAAACCCCGTTTCTACCAAAAATACAAAAAATTAACCAGGCATGGTGGTATATGCACTTGTAGTCCCAGCGACTTAGAACGCTGAGGTGGGAGGACTGCTTGAGCTTGGGAGGCAGAGGCTGCAGTGAGCTGAGATTGCACAACTACACTCCAGCCTGGGCCACAGAGCGAGACTTCATCTCAGGAAAAAAAAAAAAAAAAAAAGATGCTTTTCAGAAAGTAAATCAGTAAATCTAACCAGGCTAGATCTCAAATTAAGAATAAACAACATATTTTCATCTGTCTCCCCAATACAAACTCTAAACTTGCTGTTTACCTTCTTAAATGCAACAGGATAAACAAGAGCTAAGGAGTTTATTTTTTATTTTTATTTTTTAATGATACCAAAGTCCTTATTCTGAGTTCCCGTTAAAAGTCTCATACTTTGGTGTTACCTAATGTTCTGCTTAGTGGTCTTCTCATGACTACCAACATGAACTCGTAGGATGTGTGGTCCGTAGGAATGAAACAAAATGAAATGCTTGGGTCACTTTGGCCAAACTAGAGGTGGTTCTCCCTTCCACCTTCCATGCCTACTCGGCTTCTGAGAGGTCTGCTCAAAGCGAACAGTAAGGTGTCTTCATCAAAGAACATAGCACAGATGAATCAAATAAGTCAAGATCCTCTTTAAGAGCCAATGATGTGAACTTGGGAGTCTAAAGATGAGTGTCACTGATTACATCATGGGAAATGTGACATGAAGGGAAGCATCAGAATGCCAGTACAGCCGCCCCCCAACCCTGCCCCCCAAGTCCTAGGGGTAGTGTGCACGTTAAAGGATCTACCCTATCAACACGCACAGAACCCAACCTGCCAGTGACTGCTGCCATTAGCTGTCTTGAGGTGAGACAAGATCATAACATTTCTTAGGAAAAAGAGGAGGTCAAATAAGGATATGAAAAATAGGATAAATAATTCTATAAATAGAAAGGACTAGAAAGCCAGGAAATAATGTATGTAAAAATATGATATGAAGAAATAAGGTCCTGTAAGCATAGGGGACAGACTCTTATTATAAAAGTCAGGAAGTTTAGTTTATAGCAAAGAGATCCAACTATTTAGGGGGTTGAAGACATCCAGAATTAAAGAAATCAACAAAAAATCTGAACTCAAGAATCCCAGAGTTTCTGGGAGATGGAACCAAAAAGTGGGGTAATTCTCATAATTCTGATATCTTTCCCTCCCCACCAAAAATACAAATATGACTTTATTATAATTTTCATTTTTAAACTAGGTACTTAAAAATAACTATAAAAATCATAGCAATTTATTAGTTGTTAAAAACTGAGTAACTTTTTCTATTTTGCCATTTTTGCCAAACTGAAGGATGCAAATCTGCATAGAAAGCATCTGAATGTTTAATAGAGAAGGGACAAATAGGACGAACTGCCAAATTATGCAAATCAAAGACAGCAGGGAAACGGTGCCCATTCTTACATCTCCAACTTCCAGGCTACAAGAAGCAGGAATATGTGTTGGGGAGATATACTACACTATATTCGAGAAAGCAGGGTTCCAGGTAAGGAGAACAATGTCCCTCAGTTCCTCATCACTAAAGGAAGGGAAGGAGAGAATTTTGGTTTCAAAATTCCATGAAGCATCTACAAAATAACTGGTCAAACTGAAGATCTGACATATAAGCATTTTAAAATAATCAAGCCTAAAAGTGGACTTTTAAATTATCTAGAAACCTCTTTGGTGATCTGGATTATAAATAGAAAGGCTTATTTTGAATGCTGTACTGTAGGGCGAAGAAATGTTACCATTGTTTCCTCGGATAAATGCATCCCCATACTTATTCTTCAGTTGTCCATTTACATATTCTTCTGTCTGCTCCAGGGCTATATTCATGTAGCCATCCAGGCAAGCCAGGACCCCTGCAGACATATTTAGTCAAAAAGAAGATACACAAGGCAAATAAGAGTTGAAAATTACAGGGTATACCTTAGAGCAGACAATCTCTTTATTCATTAGTTCTTAGATGCTTAATATAAAAATTCACACCATAAATGAAACTCAACAGCTTAAGCACAAAACAACTCTATGCCAATCTGAATGAAGTCTAGGAAGGCAGTCACGCACCCACTACTACCCGGTAAAACAACAAACTGTCACTTCCCTCATGGTACGTATGACCACACAGAAACTTTTAAAGCATTCAAAAAAGTAAGAGAATAAGACTATTCCGGCAAAAATACCATTCTTTGAAAGCTAAGCACAAGGTGGGCAATTATGCATAAACAAATGATCCTTGGTTCCAGTGGCATTTCCTACTTTAGCCACTAAGTGAAATACGGGTCTGGCAGATTTATTTCATTCTTTTACAACATCTATTGCAGCAGATGAATGTACTCCAGGGTTAAAAGGAAGTCTCCACAATCTGTTAAAATAATAGAAGAGGAGACAGCAGGTGCTCCCGAAAGAACATCTTAAAGCTGTGACTCACAGTGAAGAGCAGCTTGAGAATATAGGGCAACATATTGCATTATAACACATCTTGTTCTGTTTTGTTACAGCTATAATATTTTCCAATCAAAACTAATAGAGAAAATGGCCAAAAACATTCGAGGGAGCTTTCAAGGAAACAGTTTGAGTCAATCTTTAATTGTGTTAAGATGGTATAAATTTTGTAAAATTTGACCTGATGATCTTTTTCAAAAGATGAAAATCTGTAAGCCTCTAATTCTGTCTCTAATTTAAAGTGGTATTTCCTAGAAAAAAAAATTTAAGTAAAAACAAATACTAGATTCAATTCAGTCGAGTCTATAGTTTCTCATTTGATGTCTTAACTTCATTAATATGCTCCTCACTCTCTGCCTCTGCCCCCATTATCCTCTAAACAAAAAAGTTTCCTTTCAAAATTGTGTAATGACAGCAAAAGACATTAATCTACCAGAATTCTGCTAAAAGCGGTAAACTCTCAAAGAACGAGAATGGACTGTGAATAATAAAATTATTTCCTAGCAAAAGAAAGCTTAAGCTACAACTTTAGCTCGTTTCCTGCTGTACTATTTTACATACAAACTGCAATTATAAATGAGCAAGAAAAATCTGAGGCACAATATGCAAACCTGTTTGAAAACCAATGAAAAGAATTTCAAAATGAAATGTCCAGGCTGGGCAAAGTGGCTCATGCCTGTAATCCCAGTACTTTGGGAGGTAGAAGCTGGCAGATCACTTGAGGTCAGGAGTTCAAGATCAGCCTGGCTAACATGGCGAAACCCCGTCTCTACTAAAAATACAAAAATTAGCCAGGCATGGTGGCAGGTGCCTGTAATCCCAGCTACTTGGGAGGCTGAGGCAGGAGAATCGTCTGAACTTGGGAGGCGGAGGTTGCAGTGAGCCAAGACTGAGCCACTGCACTCCAGCCTGGGCGAAAGAGTGAGACTCGGTCTCAAAAAAGAAAAAAGAAAAAAAAAAAAGAGTTCACTTCTAATTAAAATATCTATTCTCACAGCAAAGGCAAAAACAAACAAACAAACAAACAAGCAACAACAACAACAAAAAAACTGCCCAGGGGGTTAGAAATACAACCCTTTCCTTCCATGAGATAAACTACTATACAAAACCAAAAACAAGACATTTTCTCAAAGAGAAACTGCTACAGAGAGTTGCTGGAGTTTTTCTTTTTTTTTTTTTTTTGGTATGTTGTTGTTTTGCTTTGGGGTTTTTTGGGGTTTTGTAAACCACAAAATAAGCACGTTCCTTTAGTAAGGCTATCTAATAGTATAAAACATTTTGCTTTAATAGTATAAAGGCCATTCATAAGAGGAAAAAAAATTATGGTTACTATCCATGTGAAAGACTCCTGAATCTCACTAGTAAACAAAGAAAATATATGTAGAATGAGATATTACTTGTTGCCAATTAGATTGGAAAAGATGAAAAAAAGCTAATACAAGAGTTGGTGAGAACATGAAGGATAAACCCAAGTTCCCTGATGCAGGGCCATGGAATACTCTCTGACTTGTAAATCCTAGCCCAGGGAATTGATTCTAAAGAGATGTTTGGTCAACTTCACAATATATGTCAAAGTAGAAGAGTTGTTTATAGTGGCAAAAAACTGGTCAACACCTAAATGTCCATTAATAGGAAATTGGTTAACAGTAAAAGCAAAACCATGGTACAGCCACACAAGAGATTCCTATGCAGCCATTAAACCCTCTATATTATTACAAAACTAAATGTACTGTTTCAACGTTTAAAAAAAAAATCAGGTTGCATGTAGTTGACTCCATTTATGTCAAATTATGCTAATATAGAGGTCAAAATTGGTAAACTGTCTCTGGATAGTAGCATTGGGGATCCTTGGCTTTCTTCTATATACTTTTCTGTATTATTTCCTTTTACATTTCTAAAATTAAAACAAAACTAAAACATGTATTGCCTTTATAAATAGAAAAATTTTCCCTAAAGAGTACAGAGAAAAAAGGTCAGGCTGGTTCATCTCTTCAATAAAGTGGGTACTGAGAAGACATTGAACACAATGTCCTCACTTTAATCAACTGTCAAACAGATTAAAACCCCTAGAAGTCTATTACTTCCTATGGGCCCATCATCAAAAGTTCGCAGGTGAGAGGCAGTACACGGAGACATTATACTACCTCAGTATTCCGTATGAATCCATTAATTTTACTATAAAAATAAAATTAAACTGGAGATACGTTATTAATGTCAAGAAGCTAAAGGAGTACATAATCACCAGAGTGGTTTCTTAACAAGGCTTATGAGCCGAGCCTGAACTTGAGTCCTAGCTCCTCCTCTACTAGGTGGGGATAATCAATAGAGATTTCAAAGGAAAAAGCTCAAGAGATTACTATGACTATTAATTATTCAGAAAAGAGACCAAAAAAAGGCCACAAAAACCTGTGCTATGGTTTGAATGTGTCCCCTCCAAAATTCAGGTGTTTGGCAATAGGAGAGTATTAAGAGGTGGGGGCCTTTAAGAAGCAAGCAGACCATGGGGACTTGCCCATTAATGGGATGAAGGCCTGCATTAAAAAAAAGTCTTCACGCAGTGTGCTGGTTTGCCCTCTGCCTTCTGCCACGTGAGGACTCAGCATTCCTCCTCTCTGGAGGACGTAGCCCTCACCAGACAACTGAACCTGCTGGCACCTTGATCTTGGATTTCCTAGCCACCAGAACTGTGAGAAAATAAACTTCTGTTTTTGAAAATTACCCAGTCTAGAGGCGGAGCTTGCAGTGAGCCGAGATCGCGCCGCTGCACTCCAGCCTGGGTGACAGAGCGAGACTCCGTCTCAAAAAAAAAAAAAAAAAAAAGAAAATTACCCAGTACAGTGCTCAGGTGACGGGTGCACCAAAATCTCAGAAACCACCACTAAAGAACGTATCTATGTAACCAAAAAAACCACCTGTACCCCCAAAAACTACTGAAATAAATAATAAAAAAAATACAAAAAATGAAAATAAAAATGACCCAGTCTGTGGTATTCTGTTATAGCAACCCAAGAGACCACGTCCCTCTGCTAATGA
The DNA here is from genome assembly GCF_000001405.40 of Homo sapiens. Taxonomy (NCBI): domain Eukaryota; kingdom Metazoa; phylum Chordata; class Mammalia; order Primates; family Hominidae; genus Homo; species Homo sapiens. The sequence goes on along the minus strand of NC_000004.12, from coordinate 146,183,657 downwards.
ATCAGTTATAGTTACACCTGCCAAATATTTCAGGTAACTTAACATACCTTAGCTTGGAAGATAAGAAATTCAGTAACTTTAAAAAACGGAATTTAAAACCATTCTTCCTATAAAGTTAATTTCAAAAGCACTGCAGCCTCTTAAAAATAATATTCTCTCCAAGAACAGAAAGGCATTTTTTTTTTTGAGACAGAGTCTCACCCTGTTGCCACACACATTATACGTTATATGAGTGGGACATTCAGGTTGTAAAATGATACTCAACAGCTGCTTGCCAATCTTGAATACTCCTGCAAAAACAAATGCTGCTGCACCAAGATGTTCTTCAGTTGTGTTGTTCATACCTGAGTTCACTAGGAATACCTAGCTATTACCAGGGAATTTAGGCACATATGATCTCAAAGCAGAGACAGGAGACAGAAGTCACACAAATCACACTGAAAGGCAGAAGCACATGCTATACTGTCAGAGTTGTCCTTCTAAAAGGAATGATCTCAGAGATAGAAAAAGATATATGCATAAAAACTACTGATGACCAGTACTTTTTTGGCCTATTGGGTATACTTAAGAGGTTAATAAATATCAGTAAGTCACATTTACTTATTCAGTTATACCAGTGAGGTTGAAACATGAAAATATTACCTCGATAATCCACTCCAGAATTTAATTTTACCACAACTGGTCGTCCGATGATTTGCTTTAAGAAGTCACTAGGGGTTTGCTTCCGAAGACTCATTTTAACAATCCTAAATCAAAATATGAAAAGGAACAATAAAAGGTAAAGACCAAAGTTGATTATTCAACAAAACCCTTAAAGCCCTTAACATACTTACAGAAAATGAAGTATCAAAGGACCATGCGAGAAGACGCGTATTACTCCACTGCTACTACATGACAGCTAACATGTTTTCAGTACTTACTATGAGCCAGATACTAAGCTAAACATTCTACATGCATTATCTTATCAGTACCCACAACACCATGGCACAGTCTCATTAGGGAAAGTCCTGTGTTTACAAAAGCACCTGCTCTTAATCACTTATCATTACTGCCTGACACATAGTCAGTATACCCATTACAACCATTACCACTTCCATTCAGTGAGTGGTTGGTTATTTTATGCAAAGCATTCTGCTAAGGTCTTTATAAACACTATCACATTTCATCTTTACAAGAACCATGGGAAGAAGGTCTTAATACCCTCATTTTGCTGATGAAAAGTAAAGGCACAGAAAGATTAAATAATTTGTTCCCAAATGTGATGGAACATTCAAGTTCAAATCAGCCCTATTTTAAAGTCCGTATTATATAGAACAGACATATTTATGAACAACTGATGCCTAAATGGTATCTCTGAAAAGAATTATAATCTAAAGGTAATTTTGAGTGTACTATATGCCAGCACTTTTCCAAGAACTTTATATATATTAATCAATTTAAATTGCTCTACCCTAAAAGGGAGGTATTGTTTTTATCCTCATTTTACACATGAAGAAGAAGACACAGAAAGATTAAACACTCTGCTCAAGGTCACACAGCTAGAAAGTGGATAGCCAGCCCATACTCTTAATCACAACCTTAAACAGCTTTCTGAAAGTCAATAACACAGTCAAAGATTTTTAATTACTCTATTAGGACTATAGCAGATATGTGCTCTAAATAATGAAGAAAAAAGTCTTAAAACTCAAGTATAACAGGAGTCTAACACAGAAAAAGAGATAGCATTACACACCCAAATCAACAGCATCAGACATGCAAAGCTGCACATCACTCCTTTCAAAACGCATCTTTTCTTATAAAATAGCTCTCTTTCAAAATATGTTGGTAAGTTAATAAAACTGTAGTTAAGCAAAAACTGAGTAAAAATATTTCAGAAATTAATTTTTCTGTTTCAGTCAAATTCAGCATCACTATTATTCAGCAGCTATATAGCACTGAGACTTAAAAGTTAGTATGGATACAATATTTTAAGGATTCCCTTCAAGAACTCAAGCTGTTCTTTTGTTTTCAATGAAATTTTTTCATTAAATATTCTTCCATTATTTTTTCATTAAACATTCTTCCACTATGCTTATTTCATTCTAAGTCCATCCACTCAATAATCTGAGTTTGTGTGGAGAAGGATTATTTGGAGACGTTCTCATAGTGAATTCACACGGGATCAGCAGTTGTAGTAAGCTGGAACTCTAGGTTACTGGGCTCAACAAATTACATGTACATGTACACACTGAGCAAGGAAATTCAAAAACATGTCATACACAAAGGCTCTGCCTTAAAGAACTTAAAATCTAGAAGAATTTAAACTCATTTAAAGAGTGTGAGTAAACAAACGCAATCATAATTTAAGTAAAATAATTTTATTTAGCCAAGAAAAGTCAACATCCTAAGTCAAATAAAAGAAAATACAAATTTCAGAAATTATCTTTGAATTTTGGGCTATCATTTGGACAATCTACACTGCCCCCAAGGTTTGAAAGATGTTTTTAAAATGCAATAAATTATTTTGCTCAACAAATGTTAACTTAACTTTTCCACTGAATTTCTAGCTTATTTTATTAGCTCCACAATCTCAACAGATAACTACAATTACAACTACTATTACAACTACTATTCAGGACAACCACTTTTCATTCAGGACTCAGATCACACAGTAATTTTATTTACACTGTTCTGAGTACAAAGTGAAAAAATACAAAATAAATACTGTAACAGATTCAGTACCTTTAATGAGTTTAGTGAAAATACACAAATCTTCCCATTCATCTATAAACCGCCTTATTTACATTTTGAATACATGCTGTTTTGAGGCTGAACACATCTAGAGAGAATATTAACTCTGAAGGCCTGATACTCAACTGATGAGTCAGGTGCATTTCCTATCACAGATGCTAAATCCCATTATGCCACAGTTTCATTATGTATAAAACTGAGATAAAAGTAGCTATTTTGTGTTAAAAATCACTAAAATGCTTTGTAATGTGATTCTAGTTCATGGAGATATTAACTACTTTAATTATTACTAATTTCATCTGCTCATAGAGTATTTACAGTTTCAGATTAAAAACATTTGAAAAGCAAAAGCTGGAAAGAGTTAATAACTGTCAGAAAAAAGAATGCAAATCTTGACTATCAGTTGCTTGACAGTATAGGTTATTTTAAAAGTATTATTAATATTAACTTTCCACACCTTTTTATAAACACAGATATGTTCTTCTAAGCTCACCAAAGATAACGCCTTGTCCATTATGCTTTATCTGTATTCCAATTAACATCAATCTCTTCCTGAAGGCAATCAACACTTCCAACTTTCACGGAGCACCTGTCAAGTTCAGGCGCACAGGGTTGGGGAATGTAACACAAAGACAAGGCCTTAAGCCCTCAGAGTTTACATTCCAGAGAGGGCAAGAAACATGTAAATGCAGAATTTTACAAAGGTGATGTGTATTCTGATAGAATTATGCACAAAAGGGCAGAGAACACTCTCTTACCCCAGGCTTGGCAGATCAAAGAATTTCTGGAAGTTAACACCTGAGCTGAATTTGAAGGAAAAGGCGTCACCCCCTAGCTGAAAGAAGAGAAGTCAGAAAAGGCACGGAACAAGTGTCTGGGTAGAACGTAAAATCTACATAGGCAAGGAGGAGACGCCTCTGCGGCAGGGAGCTGTGCCACATTCACAGGGAGCACAGAGTTGAGGCTCTGGGTCAGTTTCCCAAACTTGAATCATTAGGATCAGCTGGAGATTCTACTCAGTAGTTCTGGGGTAGGAGCCAGCAATCTATTTGAACAAGCCTAGGAAATAACTGGCAAGGGGAAATACTGTTGTCAATGATAGGAAACAGGGGTTTTAAGCAGGAACTTGCTTGGGTTCCACTCTCTACTTTCCATAGCAGAGTGCAGATGCCCATCTCACCTACTTTTGGCATCACATAGTTTGGCATTTGATTTTATTTGCTATAACCTGTCACTATGCCCTCTTTTGTATTCTTTATGTGGGTCTTTTCTCCCTCAAAATACTGTAAGCCACATGACAAGAGGGGCTCACAAGCTTCTCATCTGTTCTCTAGAATATCTACATTCTACTAAACCTCTTGGAAAAAAAATACTTCTAAGGTTATTTGGAAAAGAGTATATGGGTTGCCTCAAACACATTTTATCCATCACTTTAGGAAAGCCGTATCTTTTACATTAGTCTTCATTAGGCTTCCTTGCTACTCCCTGTTACTTAATGACTTGCCCATAAATCCATTTTGTATGAGTAAATTGGTCTTGACACCACAATTTTTCCCATCACTTGGCTCAAGTAATTTTAAGTTTTCATCTTTTAAATTGGATAAAGCAGAAGAAACAGTTCTGACAATTTCTGAAGCAAGAGATGAGTCTCTTGAACCATAAACACATAAGAGGAAAAAGACCTTTCTTCAGGGTCACCCTGGTAAAACTTCTCCTTTCAAAATTAAAGTCATAATCACTCTCTATACCTCCTCTCCCTCCCCTGACTCCTACTCAGGCTTGTTTTAAATGACCTATTTTCATAAATGACTATTAAGTCAAAGGCAGTATATTTTCTGTCAGAAGCTACTGAGAGGTCTAGTATGAAAACATCTGCAAAGTGCCCTGCAGGGAATTTTTTTCTTTTTGGTAAAAGAATGAAGAAAAAAAAGAACTTTTATTAACCCAACTATGTGCTACCAGAGTTAGATTCATAAGCAATTTACAGAGAAACCCTGTGAGGTGGAAAGCAAAGCCAAGGCTGACCCCAAAGCCCAAGCCCTTTCACAGGTACAGCTGCCCTTCTGAATATGTTAAGATTCTCTGGTTAAATCTTGGGGAATCGCAATAGAGGCGGTGAGAAATCCAGTTGGAGAGTAGCAGCACTGGGGAAAAAAAATACCTAACGTGACAAAGTGCTGTAAATTAGCCTCAGAGAAATACAATGGACAGATGCAAAGAAATCTATCTCATGTGATTTGAGTTATGCCACTGAGCAGAAGACATGAAAATCCTTATTTCTTGGCAATGTTTACCTGTAAGTTTTTACCTACTCCTGGCGTATTTACAGTTTAGGGTGAAAAGAATTTGAAAAGCAAAAATTGCAAGGAAACATTACAATCCAAGTAATTGCAGCACTAGACTAATAGATCAGTGTCTGAGGAGGCGATCAGATAGGCAGAAGAACAGCTCTCTAAATCCTCCCTTCGGACACAGTGGAGTTCCTCGCTGTCTTTTGAAGGCTTCATACCAATCCCTCCTTCCTCGGCAGCAGGGGCTACTTCTCTCCCTCTCTCCCAAAGGCGAAGTGAGTCCACTCAGAGCACCTCTTTCCACTCTCAGTCATGGCCCTTATCAGGCTGTTTCGTAATTTTTCCATTTGCTGACTGGTCTCCCGTGCGAATTTAAAGCTTCTTGGGGACAGGGAAAATATCTTACTCACTTGGTGTCCCTGGTACCTAAGCACACTACCCAAGTCTGTGGAAGAGACATTCAAGGCCAGTGCCAAGCAAAATCCCTGTCCAGCCCCCATCAGCCCAAACTATGGATACAGTGACCAGTAGGATCATGCATGTACTTCAACAAATACTAACCAAGTAATCTCTATTATGAGCACCAAAAACTGAGAAAACAACTGTTTGTGTCATTCAAGAACCAGCTGTTTCCAAATCTAGAGATGCTTGTTAAAATGCAGATTTTCCCGAAGTCTACTCAGGTAAAGGCACTGTATTTTACATTTTATAAAGTTCTCCAGATAATTTCTATAAGCAAATGGTTCTCATCTAGGGGCAGTACCCCCAACCCTGCCCCACCCTGCTCAGGGACACTTGGAAATATCTGGGGACACTGAACTGTCATGACTGAGGAAGGTGGTGCTACTGCTATCCTAGTGGGTAGAGACCAGGGATGTTGCTAAACATTTTACAACTAACAGGACGGCCCTCCACAACAAAGGACTGCCCAGCACAAAATGTCAATGGAAGTTGACAATCTCTGCTATAAGCCCTAAATAAAAAAATAAATAAAAATAAATAAAAATAAAAAAAATTGTTCTTTGGTTTTAAAGTGAGGAGTTTTAAAGAAATCTCCAAGGTACCGCAAATGATAACCAAAAGCTACATTCTAACCAAATGATGGAGTGTAGGTTATAATTAATCAGGGGTGTTTTATTCTAACATATAGGGAACCTGAAAACAACTGTCAAAATCTTGAAGGGGTTGCCATTCTAAATAATGGATTTCTAGTCTTGGCCATGAAAATGATCACTTTCCAATTTTTCAGTGTTACAGGTCTCTCCGATGATTAAAATCTGTTAGTACACTTTTAAAAGGAGAGAATAACCCAGGTGATGTAAACAAATTTTTAAATTCTAGTATCTACTATGCCACAGTTCAGTGAGAGACTGCCTGATACAGCACAGAGTACTCACTTGGGAGGCAGGAAACCTGAGTTCTAATCCCAGCTCTGCTACTTAATTAGCTGTGTGACTTGGATAACTCATAATTTCACTTCTCATGGCCCCAGGTTCCTCATCTGCAATATAAGGGAGTTATGCCAGATGACCACTTAAGTCTCTTCCTGCCCTAACATTCAGGTAGTCTAACGCATTAACGCCAGTGACACACACACACACACACACACCACAAACACAAGCCTCTCAAGATTTCTGCACAATATTTAAGCAAGTAAAATTACCAAACATCTCTAAAACTTTTTTGGAAAACACTGCAGCAATGTGTATGAAGGCCTAAAACAGACCTTTCAGATGACAGCATCTAATCTGATAATTTCACTTCTGAGAATCTAGTCCAAGGAAATAATCTAAAAAATAGGGGGAAAAGAGTTTATCAAAGCACTATCTGGGATGCTAAGATGATGTAAAAATTCAAAAACAATCTAATGTCCCACAATCGGGAAATGACTGAATAATTTACGGGACCTAAACTGGGACCCACAATGATAGGACAATCAAAAGAAGATACAAAATTAGAATAATATTTAGGAAGAGTTTTTAAATGGAAGTGGAAAACTACACTGTTAAGTGATTAAACATGTACACTCTTAGTTCAAGTAGAAGCTAGCACATACAAGAGAAAATGATCGTAGGTGAAAGGGTTCAGTGAATATTATTTTCTTCACTAAAGTCTTCTATGTTTGCAATTTTCTACAATAGTCACGTATTACTAAGAGCAGTGGGGCAGGGTAATCCGCATCATCTTAATCCTACACACCTTAAAAATGCCTGCTATGCAGGTGTGCGGACACGCATACGCACAGAAAACCTTGGGCGATAGGACTTAAGACCATACAATCGGGTTCCTCGACCTGACAACTTGGTAAGACAGGCGAGTCCAGCCTTTAATTCCTGTGGTCAGGCGCAGCCACCCCGATGTAGGAGAGGGTTCGCAATTCCCTGAAGCCCTCCTGGAAGACAGGCGAAGCCTAGGCCTGGGTTCGGGATCCGCTTTCCCGCCGAATCTTGGGATTAGCGTCGGGGCTCCCTGGGGAACTTCAACAACCTGAATTGATCTCGGACGCCAACTCGGTAGGAGCCGGGACGGTGCCGCTCCTCTCCGCGCAGTCTAGGCGCCTCGCTGAGGGCGGTCCCGGCGCCCACCATCAGACCTCTCCCAGCCATTCCATGCGCGGAGAGCTTGGACGCGGCATTTCGCGGGGACCCGCCACCCAGCGGTCCCTTCCCGGAGCCCCAGCCTGTTCACCGCAGGCCCTTTCCGGGGCTGCCTCGCCCGGCCTAGGGCCGCTGCAGCCGCCGCTCCACAGCGCGACTGAACACTGGGGCACCGAACCTGGGGCTGCGCCCGGCCCCGTCGTCGGCCCGCGCAGCGGTGCGGCTCACCTCGCCGGCGGGAACCAGAACCCTCACTCCAGGCGCCCCACGAGCCCGGCCGCCGCGGATGATCCCAGCCAAAACCGAAAGCGCCGAGGCAGGGGCACTTTTCTGCCTCAGCCAATCAGTGCTCTTCTCTGCTACGGCAGCCCGCTGGGGCCGAAAAAGCCTGTCAGCACCAAAGCGCGCAAATCCAAGATTCCTGGTTTGTCTAGTAGCAAAATTGGTGCAGTGGAGTTCCTCTAACAGAAATCTGAGTACAAAACAAATACAATACAAAACAAAAACAAAATTCCAGGAAACTAGAAGTGATCTTTTGGGCAGGATTTATTTACAGAAGTGTAAAAAATAACTTGAAGTCATAGGAAACTGGAATTTACTGTTTAAGTAACGGCATTGTGTACCCAGAAACGTCCTTGAATAGTTTAAAGCAAATAAATAAATAAATGAAACACCTCAAGTCTTTAAATCTACCTCTGGATATTGATTAAATGTGTGAAGACTTAAGCCATTTTAGCAAGAGACTGTTTCCATGGCAATGTTAATTGATACAAAAATAATCAAAATCACTCAAGTAACTCCAAATTATAATGACATTAATTGTGTTACATTACTAGTTCCTATTGGAAATGGTGTGCAGACTTATTTCAGTGCTACTATGGGAACTTGGTTTGGAATTTTGCATGAATTCTCAATACTCTTTCTATTAATGGAATTGAAAGGGAAAAAGAAGAGAACTGTTACACCAGGACTTGATTCGTTTTTCCCCCTCCACATATACTCTCATCAGTTGAAAACTTATACTTTAATTATATTTATGATTTGTAACACTATACACAGAGTGATAAGATCTTTCAACACAGATCCTTAACCCCATTAGGTGTTATAAAATCTAAGATGCAAAATTTTTTTCGAAGATAAAGAGTTCCTCCCTTGTAAACTTCTTTTGGTTAAAGGCAGAAGAAATGAACTTTTGATTGATATCAGGGACAGAAAACAACTGGATATGATTTGTTAAAGAATAGAGACTTCCTTATATCCTTCTATAAAAGTTCAGTTTGGATAAAGACCGAACAGTTACTGATTTATTGTGAGGGCTGTATTTGAAGTTCTTGCAATATAAAATACAATGTAAATAAAAATTTTAAGAAAAGTACCATTTAAATCAAATAATTACGTGCAAAGAACAAACATAATAGGATAAAAAGCCCTGTTCCTAAAAACTTTCTTTGCAAACGACATCAAATTGCACATTCCTTACTGATTGTTTAAATTATTAAAAAAAAAAAGAAAATTTTTGATTCAAACTTCTTTCCCTTTCCTACAGAGCCCTAATCGAGCCGTTAACACTAGTGTGGTGGGTAGGGAGCCATGAGGAGTTTTAAGGGCCTAGTTCATCTGCTGAGCAGCTGCAACCTTCTCTAAGGGGAGTAGCTGGGTAAGGGCCCAGTTTGACACACGGGGTGGGCATCCTGAATTAATTCATGAGCTAACAAGCTTATAAAAAGTGTGGCTGTTCCCAAAAGCCCCTCAGCAGCTTATAAATGACTTTTACTAACTCACAAGGCAATTTTCCGTATTTCCCAGGTTTTTGCTTTCAGCATCTTTTATGATGCAAAGAAAACACTGCAAGACTTTTGGTGAATACTAGTCTTCAAAACCCTGAATGTAAACATTAATTTATTAAGGAGCCTTAAAGTCATAAAAATATTTTGGCAAGCTTTAGTTTAACTTATGTAGTTTAGTTTCATTTAGTTGTTAGGACTGATGAACCTACACTGACACATCATTATCATCCAAAGGCCAAAGTTTACATTAGGGTTCACTCTTGGTGTTGCACATTCTATAGGTTTTGACAAATGCATAATGAAATGTACCCACAATTACAGTATCATACAGAATAGTTTCACTGCCCTAAAAATTCTCTGTGCTCCACCTATTTATCCCTTCCTCCCCACTGGCAACCGCTGATCTTTTTTCTGTCTCCAAAGTTTTGCCTTTTTCCACAATATCATATATTTGGAATCATACCGTACACAGTTAGTGGTGCATACACTGCACCACCCCACTGTGTAGCCTGTTCAGACTGGCTTCTTTCACTTAGAAATATGCATTTAAGACCCCTCTGCGCCTTTTCATGGCTTGACAACTCATTTCTTTTAAGTTCTGAATAATATTCCATTATTTGGATGTACCACAGTTTATTTATCCATTTACCTACAGAAGGACATCTTGGTTGCTTCCAAGTTTGGGAAGTTATGAATAAAGCTGCTATGAATATGTGTATGCAGGTTTTTGTATAGAAATAAGTTTTCAGCTTATTTGGGCAAATATCAAGGAGTATGACTGCTAGATCATATAGCAAGGGTATGTTTAGTTTTGTAAGAAACTGCCAAACTGTCTTACAATGTGGCTGTACCATTTTGCATTCCCACTAGGAGTGAATGAGAGTTTCCATTGTTCCACATCCTCATGGGCATTTGGTGCTTCCAGTCCTTTGGATTTTGACTAGTCTAATAGCTGCTTAGTGACTATCTCATAGTTGTTTAAAGTTGTAATTCCCTAGTGACATATGATATGGAGGATCTTTCTATATACTTATTTGCCATATGTATATCTTTGGTTGTTCAGGTCTTTGGCCCAATTTTGAATCAGTTTGTTCTTTCTTTTTGTTGAGTTTTAAGAGTCCTTTGTATATTTTGAATAATAGTTCTTTATCAGATATGTGTTTTACAAATATTTTCTCCCAGTTTATGGCTTGTCTTTTCATTCTCTTGAAGCTATTATGCTTAAAATAGACAAATGCAGATATATAAATGCTAAGAGAACTCTTGCCACTTCATTGTTTGTCCCTTCTACAGTTCTATAGTACATATGCCTTTAAATAACTATGTCCTTCAATGTTTCATATTCATAAAAGATGGTCTCATGTCTAGCTTATTAAACACCCAACAGCCCTGTGAACATGTAGATGAATGTATTGTGATGTTGTTGTGGTTGTTGTTGATGATGATGATGATGATGATAAATACAAACATGTAATTGGATTGACCAACACTCTCCAAAGCAGATTTTAATATGTAACATGGATGTTAAGCTTCCAAGAATACTGGCTGGTCTTGTTGGAGCAATGCATTAACTGGTATGAAGTGCTGGCATGGACCTGAACCTTTCCTGGACCTTCAGACTGTACAATAGGAGCTCATAAGCTGTGATGTGCTAGTTTTGGATACTTGGGGCCACCATTATCTGCCTTTAATCATGGGATATGAAAATTATTTGTTATAGAAAATGAAGAGAGGCCGGGGGCAGTGGCTCACACCTGTAATCCCAGCACTTTAGGAGGCCAAGGTTGGCGGATCACTTGAAGTCAGGAGTTCAAGACCAGCCTGGCCAAGATGTTGAATCCCGTCTCTACTTAAAATTAAAAAATTAGCTGGGTGTAGTGGCACATGCCTGTAATCCCAGCTACCTGGGAGGCTAGGCATGAGAATCTCTTGAACCCGACAGGCTAAGGTTGCAGTGAGATGAGATCATGCCACTGCACTCCAGTCTGGATGATAGAGCGAGACTGTTTCTTAAATGAAGAAAGAAAGAGAGAAAGAAAGAAAGAAGAAGGAAAAAAGAAAGAAAGAAAGAAAGAAAGAAAGAAAGAAGGAAGAAAGAAAGAAAGAAGAAAGAAAGAAAGAAAGAAAGAAAGAAAGAAAGAAAGAAAGAAAGAAAGAAAGAAAGAAAGAAAAAGAAAGAAGGAAAAGAAAGAGGGAGGGAGGGGAAAAAAGAAAATAAGGAAACAGACAGACACTCTCTGGTTGTTGAATACCTTCTAAGAAGTGATACAAGCTCATTGACTGGTGGGCAAATTTCTCAGAAAAAGTAGTATGTCGTTTTGCTTACCCAAGGAAGTGATATATTCTACATCATGGGCGCTTGGTTTCAGATGTAACATGTGAGATGTTTAAATAATGTTCGGACTTCATCAGCCATCATTTTGGCATGACTTGAATTTTAAAAGAGATAGGATCAGAGTCTGAGCTCCTGGAAGGAGAATCTCCCAAATGCTGTGATGCTTTATACTCCACCGTGAACTCTAGAAAACCTCTCTCAGCTGTAAAATTTAGTGAAATCGGTGTGAAGCTGCCCTTGTATTTTAATCAAGATGAACTTGAAAGGTGAACATTATAAGTGGGAGAAATTATTTATAATTTGGTAATAAAAGTTTATGTCTAACACTCCAAATTTCATACATCTGCTATGTGCTGGCCCTGAGATATAAAACAATTGAAGTTGCCTTTACATTTGGCCTTATATGAAAGGTCATAAATTAGAGTGATAGCGTTCATCCTCTTTCCTAGCTCACAAAATTTCCATATTAACATCTTCACCTCAAACATAAATGGTTACCCAGCTACAAAGAAAAGAGTTGTGTTGGCCTTTATGAATTATAGTTTATGTTGGAAATCTGTGCTACACAGGGCTGCTATTCAGCTTGTAGGAGAGTACATCTACTTCAATGAAGCTAATTCTACCACAGTGAAACCAATTAAAATCATATGGCCAATTTAAATAAATATAGTATATAAACACTTGGGAATACTTTCAAAATTAGCAAATGGTTGCCAAGGTATGTGATTCTTTTAACTCTTAAAAATGCATTCATAGATATTCAAGGGATTTTCTCTGCTAGAATACCCAGTAACAAGTTTATTTTCAATAAACTCACTTTCAATTTTTAAAATGTACTTTCTAATGTGGTTTTAACTGATAATGTGAAAATGCTGGTTTTTTTAACTACAAAAAAACACACAGCTCATTTTATTATAATATATAGTAATTAAATTTATTCCAAAATATTAATGAATTGGACCAGTGCTTCATGTTTAGGCTTTCAAAAAATGTTTATAGCAAAAAACAGATGTCCTTAATTATTCAGGGTGAGTTATAAAATCCATGTGCTTTTTGTGGACGTTTTTTTTGCTAGCCCAGTGGTGCAGTTAAAATGCAGCATAATGTAAACTAGCAGGGTCAAGTTCAAGAACAACTTCAGAATCTCAGGCCTTCATCCAGGGAGAATGCAAAAATGTAAGAGCAAATTTTAGTTACCAGTAACTTTTAACATTAGGATCTCTTTTTCTCAATTCTAGATTAGTGAACATGATGTAGCTGAAAATTACCAACGTGGTAGCATGTCTTGGTCTTTTCAGGCTGCTGTAACAAAATACCTTAGACTGAGTAATTTATGTAACAACAGAAATTTACTGCTAACAATTCTGGAGGCTAGGAATTCCAAGATCAAAGCTGCAGCAGATTCAATGCCTGGTGGGGGCATGTTCTCTGCTTCATGGATGGTTCATTCTAACTGCATCCTTACGTGACAGAAAGGGGCAAGGGAGCTTGCTCAGGCTTCTTATATAAGGGCACTAATCCCATTCATGAGGGTGGAGCCCTTAAGACTTAATCACTTTCCAAGGGCCCCACCTCTTACTACTATTGCTTTGGGTGTTAGGTTCCAACATAGGAATTCTGGGGTGTGCCAGCGTTCAGATCATAGCACAGCATAAGCTCTTTCATATCAATTATGTTTTTCCTAAGTAGTTGGCTTTCTTCTGTCTCTAATTTCAGGATAAACGAATGCTGCTGCAGTTGCTGAATTCCTTGCACTAGAAAGCACAACTGTTAGGCTGGGTGCCGTGGTGCATGCCTGTAATCCCAACACTTTGGGAGGCTGAGGCGGGCAGATTGCTTCCAGCCTGGGCAGCATGGGGAAACCCTGTCTCTACAAAAAATACAAAAATTAGTCAGACATGGTAATGCACGCCTGTGGCCCCAGCTTCTTGGGAAGCTGAGGTGGGAGGATATCTTGAGCCTGGAAGGTGGAGGTTGCAATAAGCCCAGGTTATGCCACTGCACTGCACTCCAGCCTGGGTGACAGAGTGAGATCGTCTAAAAGAAAGAAAAAAAAAAGCACTTCTTTTGTCACCTAAAATTCTTAGGAGCAATGAGTATAGTTGTTTCTGTTGAGATGAAACTTGCACCAATATATGCATATATTTCTAAAAGATCACTCATACATTGAAGGTGATCAACTGTCTCACAAACACATTATTCTCTTTTTGTATCTGTCTCCCCAAAAATTGGGACACTCTCAGCCCCATTCATAGATTGTAACTAGAGGAAAAATTAATATCCTCTTAACATTGAGGGTCTTCTGTACAAACTCAATTGAAAAGAATCCTAGCTGCCTTCTGTTAGGAGAAACTAGGCCTTCTAGTTTATGCTAAAGAACTAAGACCAGTTGCAGAGGACACAAAACATGGAGAGAAAAACACAGCTTCTAATTTAGTCATGAACAATGATGGATTTTATAATTGCTGGATTTACTTCAATCATATTGGGTAGGTGAAGTACCAAATAATTGATGTAGGCACTTGCTAGATTAGGACCAACCTAACATTATTTCCAAATAGCAGCATGTTCCCTTTTTAACTTTCATATATCTTCTCAATTCTTGGCAAAGAAAAGGTATTCTAAATATAAGTGGATGAATAAATGACTAAACAAATGAATTCTCTATTGGTCCCAGGATAAGATCCTTTGAGTAGCACAAATTTAATAAATCTTAAATTAAATATGAAAGAAAATGAAGTCCCTTGATGAAAACTCTATAGGAATCAAAATGTAAGCACTTCTTTAGCCATATACCCCCAACACAAATCACACAATTAATTCATAAATGTTTCATCATCACTTTTAAATGTCTGAAATTGGTGATTATAGCCCAAATCTGACTTTTTGCATCCATTCCTGTTTAGGAGTAGTAAAAATCTCAAACCATTCGTTGTAGCTTAGTTTTTACCTTCCTAATTAGACAAAGGACACACTAGTTCCACCTACAGCATGTAAGTTAACTCCTGATTACACTTTACAAATTAGAGTCTTAAGGATATTACCCTACCCCCAAAAGAACTCAGAGGCTTTTCTGCTCTCATTTATTGTGAGAACAATTAAATAGTATGCTTCTAAAAATTCAAACTCCAGAGAAAAAGAGATTCTGGAGGAAAACTATCATAGAGAAAATTGACTGCCTTTTCACAATAGAAAGGAAGATGATTTCTGTATTCTTGGGGTGTGTATAGGTGTTTTAAAAGATAATATTTTACTAGTCTCCACTAGCTGGAGCAAAGGAAGCCTTGGCTAAGCTCTGTGCATGGCTTCTTCCCATCTTTGAAGTTCTTTCATTCCTAAACCACTGGCGACTTTCCCCTGGCCCAAAAGTGCTGGCCTAACTTTGGTATTATTGACAAAGTGTGAGGCCCAGAATTTTCACACAGACCTACACAAAGTGCCACATTAGAAAGAGTGAAAATTTTGCCTAGATGTGGCTGCTGAACAAAACTAGGGTAGGAATTATTTTCATCCTTTGACCATTTGCAAGACCAATGCCAGTACTAAAGCTGCATATCTGCATCTGATGAGGATCTGCAAGCATTGATATGTCTGGCAGTCATTAGGTAGGCTGCCATAGCTCACTTATCATTCAGTCTGAAAGGAACATGACAAATCAGATTCAGCACAGAAGAATATCCACCAGAAGACACTCTAGAAACAAAGTTACTATAGAGAAAGGGTGTGAGGAAAGAAAGCCTCAGGCATAGTGTCTTCCACCTTCAATGCAGATGGTGTGTGCTGGCCAACAGGGGTGAGCCATTTGAAGAAAGTAGTTGTCTTTGATGTCTTCCCAAAGTTTCCTTGCCAAGGTGCTGCTTCTTCCCCAGTCTGTTTGGTCATCCCTGACTATACTGGAATTCTCACCATGGCATCTCTCAAAAGAGCATCCCTATCTAACCAAGCCTTGGCTCTTGGCTTTGGATTTCTAACCCCTAAATGTTCCTCCAAAATAATTTATGTGTTCTATATTTCTTCCCTATTTTTTCAGCCAAATGTCATCATGGCAAATACCTAAAATACTCATTTCACATAAGGGAATAATAGTAAATCCAATATGGTCATTTTCTCCTTTACGTTTTAATAAGGTAGAGTTTCTCAATAGCTTAAAGTAATAAATCTCTTGTTAGGAAATCTGCATCAGTGACAGGTGTGAGAAGATTATGCAGGTATTTATAGGTATGATGGCCTAAGCAGATGAAGTGCCACATTATTTTTTAAACCATTAGTCTTTGATTTGGGTGAGATAAGCACAGTCTAATGTAGTCTACTCTTAGATATATGTAACAAGAAGGTGCCTATATCTTCCTAAATATATGGAATAACAGGAAACGTGCGCACTTGCCCAAAGGTACAGAGCAGACTTGCAGACTAGCCTTCCTATTGTGTATATCTAAGAGTGGGCTACATCAGACTTGGTTTATCTCACCCAAATCAAAGAATAACAGTGAAAAAAATGTGAATTGTAATTAAAAAAAATAATGGTTTAAAACAGCAGCTGTCTTCCGAATAACTTTATTGAAAAATGGGCAAAGGACTTGAATAGACATTTCTCCAGGAAAAACACAGAAATGGCCAGGAGATTTATGAAAAGATACTCCACATCACTAATCATCAAGTAAGTGAATATCAAAGCCACAATGAGATATTACCTCACACCTGTCAAGATGGCCATTATAAAAAATAATCATAATAACAAATGTTGGTGAGGGATGAGAAGAAATCAGAACCCCTGTGCATTGTTGCTGGGAATGTAAAGCGGTGCAGCTGCCATGGAAAGTAGTATGGATGTTTCTCAAGAAATTAAGAATAAACCTACCGTAAGGTCCAGAAATCTCACTTCTGGCTATTTAGTCAAAAGAATTGAAATGAAGACCTCAAAGAGGTATCTCCATTGCCATGTTCATGCACTATTCACAATAGCCGAGATGTGGATGAATGGCCGAAGAAACTGTGGTATATATACATGTATTAGTCTATTCTCATGCTGCTGTGAAGAAATACCTGAGACTGGGTAATTTATAGGGGAAAGAGGCTTAATTGACTGACAGTTCTACATGGCTGGGGAGGCCTCAGGAAACTTACAATCATGGTGGAAAGGGAAGCAAACACATCCTTCTTCATATTCAGGAGAAAGAAGAAAATAAGCCACTTATAAAACCATCAGCTGTCATGAGAACTCACTCACTATCATGAGAACGGTATGGAGGAAACTGCCTCCATGATTCAATTATCTCCACTTGACAAGTGGGGATTATTACAATTCAGGGTGAGATTTGGGTGGGAACACAGAGCCAAACCATATCAATACCCAGTGGAATACTACTCAGCCTTAAAAAGAGGGAAATTCGGCAGCACGTGGCGGCTCATACGTATAATCCCAGCACTTTGGGAGGCCAAGGCAAGCGGATCAGGAGGTCAGGAGTTTGAGACCAGCCTGACTAACATAGTGAAATTCATCTCTACTAAAAATACAAAAAAAAACAAAAACAAAAAGAAACGAGCCAGGGGTGGTTGCAGGCACCTGTAATCCTAGCTACTCAGGAGGCTGAGGCAGAAGAATCGCTTGAACCTGGGAGGCAGAGGTTGCAGTGAGCCGAGATCGTGCCACTGCACACCAGTCCAGGTGACAGTGTGAGACTCTGTCTCAAAAAAAAAAGAGAGAGAGAGGGAAATTCTGGCATTTACAACAAATTGGATGGACTTTGAGAACATTATGCTAAGTGAAATACACCAGTTGCTGAAGGACAAAGACTGCATGATTCTACTTGCATGAGGCATCTAAAGTAGTCAAACCCATAGAAGCAGAAAGTAGAATGGTGGTTGCCAGGAGCTGGGGGAATTGGGAAATGGGGAATTCCTGTCTGATGAGTGTAAAATTTCAGTTATGCAAGATGAAAAGGTTCTAGAGATCTACTGTACAACAATGTGCATAGTTAACAATACTATACTGTATACCTAAAATGTTTTAAAGGAGGTAGATCTCATGTTACATGTTTTTAAATATAGCAATAAATAATTGTAAAAACAGCAGCTGTTTTCAAAGAAAAAGGGTAGAAAGAAAGGACATGGGGATGGAGTGGTTATATTTTATTCAACTTGAATGCTCAACATATTTATAAGCCAAAATGTTTAAGCCACTCGCTGCCATCTAAAGTCCTTTATTCCTCAACCCCAGACAATTAGGATAATGGCAGCTGTTATGAAGTCAAGGGCATCCAAGACTTTTGAGATGAATACATTGATGATTATTTCCAAGAAAATCAATCCAATTAAACCACAGAAATGACACATTAGTTAATACCAATACTGTTAGCATTTTATGTCTAACTTTAGAATGTAGTGATGCTCCATCCATGAACTTGGACTTGGAAGGGCAAGACGCCTTCCAGATGGAATCTGTGTCTTCTTAGCTCATGTCCTGTTCTGGCTACAAACTTGCATTTCACTACTATTCTAACACATCTAAATCTGAGCCAGAAGCTTATTCCAAGTCTGGAAAAACTGATGGTTTGTTAAATATGCCTTTTTATTGAAGATGGATCAAGAACTGAGGACATATATGAACCCTGAGTAAGATGTGGTCATTCTTTTTATAAAATTAATTTATTTTTATTACACAGTATGGCATATTTCCTTTTTTATTTTGTTTTATTTCAATAGTTTTTGGGGAACAGGTGGTTTTTGGTTGCATGGATAAGTGGTGATTTCTGAGATTTGGGTGCACCCATCATCTGAGCAGTGTACACTGTACCCAATATGTAGTCTTTTATTCCTTGCCCCGTTTGCACCCTTCCCCACCAAGTCCCCAAAGTTCACTGTATCATTCTTATGCCTTTGCAGTCTCATGGCATCGCTCCCACTTATAAGTGAGAACATACGATATTTGGTTTTCCTTTCCTGAGTTACTTCACTTAGAATAATGGTCTCCAACTCCATCCAAGTTGCTGCAAAGGCCATTTTTTCATACCGATTTATGGCTGAGTAGTATCGCATGGTGTATATATACCACGTTTTCTGTGGTTGATGGGCATTTATGTTGGTTCCATATTTCTGCAATTGCGAAATGTGCCGCTATAAACATGCATGTGCATGTGTCTTTTTCATACAATGACTTCTTTTCCTCTGGGTAGATTCCTAGTAGTGGGATTGCTGGATTGAATGGTAATTCTACTTTTAGTTTTAGTTTTTGTTTTGTTTTGTTTTGAGTCACAGTCTCACTCTGTCACCCAGGCTGGAGTGCAGTGGCATGATCTCAGCTCACTGCAACCTCTGCCTCCTGAGTTCAAGCGATTCTCGTGCCTCAGCCTCCCGAGAAGCTGGGATTACAGGTGTGCACCACCACGCCTCACTAATTTTTGTATTTTTAGTAGAGATGGGGTTTCATGATGTGGGTATGGCTGGTCTTGAACTCGACCTCAAGTGATTCGCCCACCTTGGCCTACCAAAATGCTGGAATTACAGGTGTGAGCCACTGTGCCTAGCTACTTTTAATTATTTAAGGAATCTCCACACTGTTTTCCACAGTGGTTGTACTAGTTACATTCCCACCAGCAGTATAAAAGTGTTCCCTTTTCATCACATCCAAGCCAACATCTATAATTTTTTTTGATTTTTAAATTATTGCTGTTCTTGTAGGAGTAAGATGATATCTCATTGTGGTTTTAATTTGCATTTCCTGATAATTAGTGGTGTTGAGCATTTTTTCTAATATTTGTTAGTCATTTTTATATCTTCTTTTGGTAATTGTCTATTCACATCCTATTCCCACTTTTTGATGGGATTATTTTTCTTTTCTTACTGATTTGTTTGAGTTCCTTGTAGATTCTGGATATTAGTCCTTTGTCGGATGCAGAATTTGCAAATATTTTCTCCCACTCTGTAGGTTCTCTGATTTCTCTGCTGCTTATTTCTTTTGCTGTGCAGAAGTTTTTTCAGTTTAATTAGGTCCCATTTATTTATTTTCGTTTTTGTTGCATTTACTTTTGGGTTCTTGATCATAAAATCCTTGCCTAAGCCAATATCTAAAAGAGTTTTTCTGATGATATCTTCTAGAATTTTTATGGTTTCAGGTCTTAGATTTAAGTCTTTGATCCATCTTGAGTTGATTTTTGTATAAGGTGAGAGATGAAGATCCAGTTTCATTCCTCTACATGTGGCTTGCCAATTACCCTGACACCATTTGTTAAATAGGGTGTCCTTTTCCCACTTTATATTTTTGTGTGCTTTATTGAAGGTCAGTTGGCTGTAAGTATTTGGGTTTATTTCTGAGTTCTCTATTCTGTTCCACTGGGCTCTACATGCCTATTTTTATACCAGCAGCATGTTCTTATGAGAACTATAGCCTTGTAGTATAGTTTGCAGTCGGGTAATGTGATGCCTCCAAATTTGTTCTTTTTGCTTAGTCTTGCTTTGGCTATGCAGGCTCTTTTTTGGTTTCATGTGAATTTTAGGATTGTTTTTTCTAGTTCTGTGAAGAATGATAATGGTATTTTGATGGGAATTGCATTAAATCTGTAGTTTGCTTTTGGCAATATGGTCATTTTCACAATATTGATTCTACCCAACCAAGTATAGCATATTTTCTGTAAATGAATTGGAAGTTACAGATAAAGCTCAAAACTTGCTTCTTATTTCATCACTCAGAGGAAAACAATGCATGAACGTAGTGCTTGAAAGCCACTCTTGTATCTATATCTCACTCCTGCTCAGTATGATACACACTGTTCTATCATCTAATTTTTCTCATTCAATTATACTTTGTGAAGATCTTTACATTTCTGTGAATATAAAATCATTTTCATAGCAGCATAACATTCAAAAATTTAATCTCATTGTCAAACAACCATGTATTTTGAATTCTTTGCCATCAATTACAACATATATTTAAATATGTGTAGGTATATATATACATATATATATATATATATATATACACATGGATATATATATATATATATATATACATGGATATATATATATATATCATATAATTTATATATATAATGCTTATCTGAGTATTTCCTTAGATAAATGCCCACAATGCAGAATCACTGTTTTCAACTATTTTCAATTACTTGCATATTTTAAAGGATACCTTGCTGTAGATAGTGCCATCTTTTCCCCAGGAAAGCCAGTTATATCCTTTCAGAATAAATGATAGTGCAAAAAGATAGCTGTTTTCAAAAATAATCTGTCTAGTTTGTAAATATATGTTTATTCTCCACTCTTCACATATGGAGTATAAGCTCCTGTAGGACAGGAAGAATGCCAAGTCACTATCATGTCCCTAGCACTGAGCAAATGATTATTCCTGAGTATACCTAATATTTGTAACTTTACATATTTGTGTTAAGAGGTACCAAACTGAATATGCTTCAGACCCTACAGAACCTGTAATTCTCCTGTTAACACTTAGTAAGCACTTCCTATTTGCCAGTCTGAGTTTGTTTTGTGTTACTATACTAGAATACCACAGACTGGGTAATTTATAGAGAAAAGAAATTTATTTCTCACAGTTCTGGAGGCTGGGAAGTCCAAAAGCATGGCACTAACATCTGGCAAGGACCTTTGTGCTGCATCATCCTATGACAGAAAGCAAAAGGATAAGTGAGCCAGGAGACAGAGAGGGATGGGGGTTGAACTTTATATTTTTATTAGCAGCCCACTCCTGTGATAACCAACCCACTCTCATGATAACGGCATTAAACCATTCATTACAGCAGAACTCTCATGACCAGATCACCTCTTACAGGTTCTACTTCTCAACACTATTACAATGGCAATTAAATTTCAACATAAGTTTGGAAGGGGACATTCAAACCTTAGAAGCCAGGTGCTGTTCTGTGAATTTTATAAGTATTAATTAATTTAATCTTCACACAAACCCTATGAAGTTACTATAGTTATCATCCTCAAACTGTAAGTGAGGATGTAAGTTGATTGAGGCTCAGAAAGTTGATAACTGCAGTTATCATCCTCAAACTGTAAGTGAGGATGTAAGTTGATTGAGGCTCAGAAAAGTAATTTGCTCAAGATCACATGGCTAATATGTTGTGAATCTGGAATTTGAACGCAGGCAGCTGACCTCCAGAATCCATGATCTTTAACCACTTTGATTTATTTTAAATTGCACGGATGCCAATCTGTGGATTGCAGCAGTCATAGGTCAAATAGCTAGCTTCTTCTTTGCATGTATAAAAAATTATCACACAACTTACTGATTTTACAATTAAGTAAAATAATAATCATTTTACTATCTTTCAGCATCTGCAAGTTAGAATTTGGGACAGGAAGATGGTAACTAGAGCTAGCACTATAGTAGGCTTATGTAGATGGGGGCAAGCTGAGCATCTCTTTCTGTTTGTGTGGTCATGAGGTCCTTCAATATGGTCTCTCTTTATGGGCTAGTTGTGCTTCCTCACAACATGGCCACCTCAGCAGTCAGACCATTTACCTGGTGATTGAAGACTTTTTAAGTAAACAAACCAGGCAGAAACCTTTATAATCCAGCCTCAGAAGTCACATAGAAGTCACTTCTGCCAAAATCTGTTAATCAAAACAGTCACAAAACACCTCCAGTTTCAAGGAAGCCATTGACCCCACCTCTAAATAGGAGGAGCATCAAAGTCACATTGTAATATAACATGTGGATTGGAAGACCTTGTTGATGCCCTCTTTGAAAAATAAAATCTGCCACATAATTAAAATTTGTTCAGCCCATAAAACATGCTTTAAAAGCTGTACGTCACACAGAACTGATAATCTTCATTGCTTGTTTGTCAGCAGCCCGCTTGTATTAGTCAGGGTTCTCTTAGAAGGACAGAACTAACAGGATATATATGTACACACACACACACACACACACACACACACATAGAGGAGTTTATTAAGTATTAACTTACACAATCACAAGGTCCCACAATAGGCTGTCTGCAAGCTGAGGAGCAAGGAGAGCCAGTCCAAGTCCCCAAACTGAAGAACTGGGAGTCTGAAGTTTGAGGGCAGGAAGCATCCAGCACGGGAGAAAGAGGTAGGCTGGGAGGCTAGGCCCATCTCTCCTTTTCACGTTTTTCTGCCTCCTTTATATTTACTGGAATCTGATTAGATTGTGCCCACCAGATTAAGGGTGGATCTGCCTTCCCCAGCCCACTGACACAAATGTTAATCCATTTTGCCAACACGTACACAGGCACACCCAGGGTTAATACTTTGTATCCCTAAATCCAATCAAATTGACACTCAGTATTAACCATCACACCACTCTTCTGAGTGATAGAATATGCTTATAAAACGGCACATTGGCAGTGTATATTTACAGGATGTTGGTACAGTTTATGGCTCTGGAACAAAATAAACTGACCAGCCTATATGTAAATTGAGCCTAGGACCCCGGCTCCAGTGTTTGAAGTTTTCTAATTGTCCGCAGCATTTCAACAGTTTTTCTGCTTCTAAAAAATTATCCTTATTGCAAAACTGCTTTTTCTTGCATACATGAATTGATTCGACATTGCTGACTGCAGATTCTCTGTGGGGTCACTGATATCTGGTCAAGTGTTTGCCTCTGGCAGCAGGCCAGCAATAAAAGGCTGGGAGCAGAAGGGCAAAGGCAAACTAACCTCCTCCCCATGCAGTGATGCCCACTGCAGTGGCCTGTCCCCTTTCAGCTGTGATTCCATGTACTAAACAATACTGATTTAGGAAGGTGTTTGCAGGAGCAAATAGTGACTGCTGGAGGTTTCAATCCTATTTACTTCTTGGCTGTAGGTAAAAAAAGGTAAAGCTCCCCAGAAGGGAAAGCAGCTAGGAGTGATTAAGTCACTCCTTCATTGCTGTGGGGATGTTGGGTTTCTTACTGTTTGTGTGCTTCATAAAGCTTGTCATTGATTTCAAACTAGTGGAGTCTGAGGACACTGCATTTCTGGGTAGGTTAGCACTCTGGTTGACAAGTCACCACTGCCTCTCTGTGCTAAATGGTCCCATGTGGCCTGGAGGAGTCAGCAACAACCCCAGCGTCTGACTTACTATGTTAAGTGTCACAGAATGGCTCGAGCTCTGGCCCATTTTATGTGAAAGCGTGACTGTTCATTCAAAAGGAAACAGCAACCAACAACAATAACATCTCCTGCTCAGTCCAGAATGCTTATAGCATGGCTAGAAAGAAAAGCTAGATAGCCCTAGGCCAAATTCTGTGAAACCCCAAAAAGATAAAGATTTTTCTCCCCTCCCTCAACAGAAGGATCATTAAGTCAGGGATTTCCTTAAATGCTGTTTGGATTTGATGCTTAGTGTGAAGATTTGGTTTCATTTTGAATTGTG
This sequence comes from Homo sapiens, assembly GCF_000001405.40. Lineage (NCBI taxonomy): Eukaryota > Metazoa > Chordata > Mammalia > Primates > Hominidae > Homo > Homo sapiens. The sequence goes on along the minus strand of NC_000004.12, from coordinate 146,159,560 downwards.
ATTTCCCCCGGTCTAGACTCTGCTTAGGTAATTTTCCAGGTGATAGAGTCTGAACTACCATTCTGTTCTTGAGAGCACTTGCCATCAGCTTCTATATATTGTCATTTGTTTTAAGTTGTTAACTTTTGTAACATGGTCTAAATTTTCTAAGGGGAGAAGAGGGGAACTAAACTAGCCCTTGAGAATTTTCTGTTGATAACTTATAACATGGTATTGCCTCAGTAGATAGCTGAGTGTCCCAAATTCCTATTCTGAAACATTGCCAAAGAGGGTTCTTTGCCATAAGAGACAATAGAACTTTGTTCTCTGTTTTAATTTTATTTCTAGGTAAAGTTGACCCTCAAACAATGCAGGTTAGGGGTACCGACACTCTGAGCAGTTGAAAATTTGTGTATAAGTTTTGACATCCAAAACTTAACTACTAGTAGCCTACTGTGGACCAGAAGCTTTACCAATAACATAAATAATCAATTAACACGTTTTGTATATTATATGAATTATATACTGCATTCTTACAATAAAGCAAGCTAGAGAAAAGAAAATGTTATTTAATCATAGGAAGAGAAAATATATTTAAGGCCAATTTAGGGTTTCAAGATAAGGATCTTGGGAAAATTGAAGAGCTAATTTAGATCACACCAAAAGAATTAATGAAGTAAAGAGAAAAGAAAATGTTTAAAAAATATATTAATTAAGTGGAAATGGATCATCATTAAGATCTTCATCCTCATAGTCTTCACATTGAGTATGCTGATGAAGAAAAGGAAGAGGAGGGGTTGGCCTTGCTTGGGGTGGTAGAGGTGGAAGAGGTGGAGGAGATGGAAGGGGAGGCAAGAGAGGTAGGCAAGTTCGGTGTAACTTTATGGAATTACATTGTAATTTCTATCTTTTTTGCTCATTTATTTCCCTATAAAATGTTTCTATATGGCACCAATTCTTCTTCCACTGTTTGCTTTGGTTTCAGTGCCTGTATCATAGAAGGAACTATGCCATAAAAGAGGTCAAAAGCAGTCTTGAATAACCAGAACCCTTCCGCCAGATTGTCTAATGTCAATTTGTTTCCTGGAACAGCTTCTTCTATGACTTCTTCCTTACTGTTTGGCACTGGCTCAAAAGCACTCATCTCTATCAAGCTGTCCTCTGTTAATTCCTCTGGTGTGGTGTCTATTAGCTCTTGAATTTTTCCAAGATCCATTTCTTGAAATCCTTCACCCCTCACTTAAAAAAAAATTCTTTTTTGCCATATCCACAGTCGCTTTCATCATTTTCTTAATTGGTTCTGTTGTAAATCCTGTGAAGTCACACACAACATCTGGACAGAGTTTTCTCCAGCAGGAATTTATTGTTTTGGGCTTGATGGCTTTCACAACCTTTTCTGTAACAAAATGGCATCTTAAATGGTGTAATCCTTCCAGACTTTCGTGATGTTCTCTCTGTTGGGATTCTCTTCCATAGTGTTGACAATCGTTTCCATGGAGTACCCTGTAATGAGCCTTAATGGTCCTTATGATCCCCTGATCTAGAGGTTGAATTAGGGACATTGTATTTGGGGGCAATGAGACCACTTTGACATCTTTGGTGTTGAGCTCATGAGGTTCTGAGTGTCCCAGGGCATTGTCCAATATCAAAACAACTTTAAAAGGCAGTCCCACTGGTGGTGGCTCAAACTTGTAATCCTAGAAACTGGGAGGCTGAGGGAGGAGGATTGGTTGAGGCCAGGAATTCAAGACCAGCCTAGGCAACATAGCAAGACCCCCATCTCTAAAAAGTAAATAAATATGTAAAATAAAAATAATGTTTTAAAAAAACCATCCCTTACTGGCAAGTTACTTCCTGACTTCAAGGACAAAGCATCAGTGGAATCAACCCAGGAAGGGGTTTTTTTTGGCCAAGACTTCTTGTTCTACAACTGAAAGACTGTTAGCTGGTGTTTATCTTTTCCCTTCAAGCTGGGGGGTTAGCAGTTTTATAAATGAGGGCAGTTTTGTTCATAAACCTGAATGAGTTTTCACAAAACGATAGAGTTAGACTATCTCTTTTTTCATTAAATCCTAGTGCTTGCTTCTGTTCATTACTAATAACTGTCCTTTGTGGCATTTTTTTTTTCCAGGATCGGGTACTTTTGTTTGCATTTAAAACCTGTTCAGGAAGATAACATTTCTCCTCAAATAATTTTCTTAATGGCATCTAGAAACTCATCTGCTGTCTCGTGGCTGGCAGAAACTGCTTCTCCTGAAATATTGATATTTTTTAAGTCAAACTTTCTAAAATTATCAAACCATCCTTTGCTGGCATTAAATTCTTCAGCTTTAAATCCTTCACTTTCCTTTTGCTTTAAGTTGTTGTCTAATTTCTCTTTTTCTCAAACCATATTAGAGTCTATAAGTCATCCTTTCCTATAGCAATCATGCACCCACATAAAAGCTGCATTTTCAATACAAGATAAAAAGGTATTTTACAAAAAGTGGAAGATTTTTGCTCCTGCTTGTGTAGCTGCAGCGATGGCTTCTTGAAATTCTTTTCTTTTTTTATAATGGTCCTTACATTGGATTCATTTATCAGGAAATGGACTACCATAGCTTCAGACCTCAATCTATATCACATCTCAAGCAATTCAACTTTCTCTTTTAATGTCATGACTTTTCTCTGCTTCTTGGGAGCATGCCCAGCATCACTGGTGGTACTTTGTATGGGTCCCATGATATTATTCAAGGTTTATGGTATTGCACTAAACGCGATAAAAAATACACAAGAGGCCAGGTGCAGTGGCTCATGCCTGTAATCCCAGCACTTTTGGAGGCTGAGGCAGGTGGATCACGAGATCAGGAATTCGAGACCAGCCTGGCCAACATGGTGAAACCCCATCTCTACTAAAAATACACAAATTAGCTGAACATGATGGCATGTGCTTGTACTCCCAGCTACTCAGGAGGCTGAGGCAGGAGAATTGCTTGAACCTGGGAGGCAGAGGTTGCAGTGAGCCGAGATCACGCCACTGCACTCCAGCCTGGGCAACAGAGCAGGACTCTGTCTCAAAACAAACAAACAACAACAAAAAAATACACAAGGACTGTAAGAGATCACTTTTTATGACATGAGATTTACTGGAGAGATGAACTGCTCATGTAGACATGATTAGTATCACATAGCATTTTAAGCAGATACTGGCAACACTGGAGCTCACTTAAATAGCAACAGGAGGTGGCTAGGAAATTATTACAGTAGTACAGTATGCACTACAGTTAATTTTATGCAGTTATCATTTAAAACTGCGTCTTTACATCTTCTAGGTTTCTCTCAATTGCAAATGGCACCATGTATGGTGTTAAGTGTGCGTGTAAGTTTTGATAAATTTATACTTTTTGTAATAAACTTGTGTATATTTTATGTCAGTAAATGATAAAATAGACTAGTATCTATCTACATATATTTTATGCACTCATGACATATCTTTTTCTTAAATTTTTTCTGTATTTCTAGTCCACATGATTTTGTCTGTGGGTTTTTTCAAATTGTTACAAATGTCCAAAAAAATTTCCAATATGTTTTTTGGAAAAAAATGTGTGTATGTGTATAAGCGGACCTGCATACTTCAAACCCATGTCGTTCAAGGGTCAACTGTATTTCCAAACGTTGACTAACCTCACCTGGACTTCCTCCTCTACTGAGACAGCGAGAGAACAGGTTCCAGAGAGTAAGGCTGGAGTCATGACATAGCGCAGAGCACCTAGCATTGCAGAGAAATGTCTGAGCTTCAGTTTCCTCCTGAGAGGTTTGTCTTTTTTTTTTTTTTTTTTTTTTTTTTTTTGCTCATGGAAATTGGATATTTCCATATTTCCTCAAATGTCTAAGCCTTTCAGAGCTTGTGTGATTATGGCTATTCTCATTTGAATTAATCCATTAATCCATCGTGGCTTTCTAGCTACAAGTCATATGGAACTGGACTTGCTGAATTACAGATAAATACTATACATAAAATCATTGCACAGTTTACTCTGGAAGGTTATCATGTAGAGTCTACACGGCATTGTGTCAGAGCAAGAGAGGAAGCAATGTGTCATTTCTGTCATTTAGTGACAGAAACAGAGAAATATGCATATTTTAGCCTTTTTTTAAAATGAAAAAGATGTTAATTCCATTCTATGGAAAGTTCTTGATCTTCTCAGTTTTGAGAAGCTGAATTATCTGAGTCTTTATGAATCTATAGAGTACATTGACTGCTAAACACAGCTGTGCTACTTTTTTCTCTTAATGAGATGCCCTGAGTGACCCCACATTGATTCTGGTAGTCACTTCTGCAAAGAGAAATAATAGTACGTGAAGTCTTAGTACCCCTTCACAAACTATGAAGTAAGATTAAACTTATGGATGAGCCTAAAGACTGAATTGAGAATCACCCATTTGCTTCACAGATGGATGTTCACTCATACTCCCTGAGTCTAATGGTGTTTGAGGATTTAATTTAATTTAGGTCTTTCATTGTAAGATCTTCCAGAAACTGTAAATGTCTCTATGCCTGTAAAGGGTTAATCTGAAAGCCTGAAAACACATAAAGGCAGTTGGATATGGGGGAAATTATAGGCTCCTTAATAATTTTTCTGTGTTTTTATGTGGTCAGGTAGAAATTGACTCCCACCTTCCATTGAATCTTCCATTGAATAAGACTCATTATGCTCACCTTACATTTACACATGTATGAGACAGGCAGGTCAAACAAGTTCTTCCATAAATTGATGATTTGGTGATAGTCTTAAAAACTGTTAAGAAAAAGCTTAAATTCAAACACAAAGACTGCTTCATTTGTGAACTAAAGGTGAATTGCGGGTTAAGTATTCCTTTGCCACTTCTTAGACTGGACAACTGAAAATGAAGGGCTAAAATCATTGAAAATGTCTAATGATTTACTATAAGAGCAAGTGTGAAATACATGCATTAATAAATCATACTCCAGCTATATTTCCTATCTGAGCTATGGCAGTCAGCTTACTAAGCCTGAATTTTAAAAACTTTTTTTAAAAACGGAGAGAGCTATCTTTTCAAAATTTGCTTATATAACACTCAGTTAAGAAAATGTATATTTATTTCCTAAAGTAATGTCATTACTAGAAGTCTACCTCTTTCCCTTTGACAGTAAAACAGAGTGCTTATCTTCATATTTTCATAATGAAAACTCCCCAAGCTCGGGCTACTCTGGCAGATTTACAACCTTTGAGCAGGAGAACTGACAGGCATTTTAATATGAAAGGAGATATGATGTCTTTAATGTACAGTGATGTCACTTCTAACAAGGTGGAAGCAGCTTTCCGCAGTGCAATCACCATAACAAGTCAGACCTGCCTGCTGCAGAAGAGACCTTTTAACCTAGAGAAAGGTCACCAATAATACAGAAAAGAAGGGACTCTCCTAATTCAGGTGGAAGGGTACAGTGTGAGGTTGTGGTCACAAGCCTATTGTGGATATGCATTAGCTGCAGGAAGTTGAAGCTAGGAACTGTCTAGACAGAGCTGACCTTGAGAAGGAAAAAAGGTAAGGCATGACACTGAAAGGGTAATGGAAATCCTCCAGGGAGTGTTAAAATGAAAGCCGACTGCCTGTTGACCATCTTCTTTCTCCCCTTTATCCTATGCTGAATAGGTCTCGTAACTTGAAAGTGATATTGACAGTCACACCGTCATTAGCAGGGTGCTTGATTATTGTGCCAGGATAAATGACAGTAAGTAAATGCCAGAAACTTGCCATCTTTTATTTGCAAATGAGAACTTGAAGGTTTAGCATTTTGTGTAGAAAATACTGGTTCTGGTTTTGAAAAGAGCTTTATATTCTCAGAGGCTGATATTCAAATGTCCTTGTCCTAAGCCCCTAATTAAAACTGCTACTCACTTCTGACTGAGCAGAAAAGGATTTTTATCAAGTAATCTGATAATTGCTATGCAGCTAAATCCCATGTACCTGGGAAAGGCTGGAAAGAGCCTTCTGAAGGCCATTTCCCATGGAGTCCCAGGAGCGCTTTCCACTACATCAGAGAATGCAGCTAGTGCGTGGTTCTCAAGGAAAACCCTCATACTCAAAATCTGGGTAGGTTCTCAGTACGCAAATAAACTTTCACTTGTTAAGCAAAACTTCCGGAAGTAGAGGGTTAACTAAAGAACTTAGAAGGTTTTGCCAACTCAGGATAGCCAAGCACTTAAAATTTGCCAGCACAATTAAATGCACTGCTCTTTAATTAAATGTAGGCACATTCAGCCATCCACATACTCAAAATTAAGTCTCAGATTTATCATGTAAGGGAGCCAAACAGCCAAGGCAAGGGTCAGAACTGACCAATATCACAAAGAACTGTAATTTTTTAATATGTTATTATGCAATTAATTTTAATGCAGTGAGACAGTGGTTATAAGCTTGGGCAGGCAGTTCTGGGCTATGGTCTATCCCTGCCACTTGCTAATTATATGACTTAGAATAGTTACATAATTTCTTTAGGACTCAGTTTCTTTACACATAAAATGGGAACAATCACTTTACCTACCTGATATGATTTCTGTAAGAATTAATTGAGCTAGTGAATAAAAACCACTTACCACCCAGTCTAAAGCATGGTTAAGCACGCGATGAATGCTGTATTACTCCTAGTATTATTATCAAAAACAGATAATTACCCACATTAGTCATGTGTCTTACATTATAATTTCATTTGCAGTACTTCAGAATATATAAAATTACCTTATTCACAATAGGTATACTGTTTGTAATAGAAATTATTTTCATACCATGGTTACTTGAAGGATCATATTTCAAGTTCTAAGAAGCATGTGACCCCAGCACCATAAGCTAGTCAGCCTTTCCTGATGATTTTGACTTAAAAATGTATTCAAATCTTAATGATGACTACTACTCCTCGTGCCTGCCCTCCCACCCTCCATGCTACTTTAACTCGGTGGCTCTCAAATTTTGATGCACACAAGAAAATCAGGGGAGCTTATGATAACTTCAGAACTTCTGATTTGATGAGTTTGGACAGGCACCCAGACATCTGTAATTTTAATAGATGTCTCAGATGATTCTGATGCACATGATACATATTGACCCTAGTGGCCCAGTAGAACCCTAACAATGCCTGCCTTCCATGTGTCAAGGATGACAGGATGCACCTTTGGAAGGATATATAGTTTCCTTTCTCTTTCTTGGTAAGACTTGGATTGCCTTCTGGATTGCCTTCAATACTCAGATCTGGAATATTGAAGTGGGCCAAGTTAGGACCAAGAGAAAAGAACAAGGCAGATTTCTTAGGTTATCTGTTTCATGGGTTCTAAAGGAAAGAGATGGAGGATTTCTTAACATTTTACTGGAGTGGGAGAAGAGACAAGGACTTGGCTAGAAACTTGGCACAATATTTAAGACTGTGCACATGGCTAGGGCATGTTTTATAGTTGTCTCTTGGGTTTAATAAGAGTGTCGATAGGTAGTAGGAGAGATTTCAGGTTCAGTGGAGGTAAGGGAAGAAATAATATCCTTGGGACATAGGTGGCTAAGTGGCAAGGTCACAATATGCTGTAGTGGCTCTTAAACTTTGGCCCACTTAGGCTGAGCACAAGACTTCATGGCCCCCATATCATACCAGTTCTTATCTTTCAGGGTTTTGTTTTTGTTTGCTTTTCACCAATCGCATATATTTATACATGTAGAGCAAGAATTGCACAATATTGTAGGTCATGGTAGGCAGCCTTATTAGTATAATACTGAATCACCTTCCCTAAAATTTTAGTTTATAAATGGCAAGCAAAAGAAAAGTCTCGCTCTCCAGTTTCCAGTCTGACATGTAAGGAGCTTGGAAGTCATTTCTCCCATCTGTACAAGAAAAAAGCTGAACATACTAAAAATCAACAACTGTTTTTAGATCCATCTGAGAATTGAAGTCACAAGGCAAACCGCTGCCCTAAAAGTTGGAGAGATAGGTGGATTCAGAGAAACATGGTTTACTGGAGGAGAAACCTCCACAGGAACCAGTACCAGGGCCAGACAACCTAAACGGTAACTGATGAATTGCTAGAGGCCCCGTGTGGACAGCTTGAGAGTTAAAAATGCCAGGGGGAGCCCAGTCTTAGGGGGCCTCCACACTTTCAAGAGTTTTACCTCCAGGAGCCTTATTAGGTTCTTACAGTGAAGGTTACAAAAAAGTCATTTGTGCTTCCATCAGCAGGAGGGGACATGTACAGATGCTCCTTAACTTATAATGGGATTATGTCTTGATAAACCCATCATAAGTTGAAAATATCGTAAATGCATTTAATATACCTAACCTACCATACATCATAGCTTAGCCTAGCCTACCGTAAACATGCTCAGAACACTTACATTAGGCTAGAGCTGGGAAAAATTATCTAACATAAAGCCTATTTTTTTAAATGTTGAATATCTCATGTAACTTATTGAATACTGCACTGAAAATGAAAAATAGAATGTTTGTATGGATACTTGAAGTATGGTTTCTACTGAATGTGTATACTTTTTGTACCATTGTAAAGTTGAAAAATTGTAAGTCAAACCATTGTAAGTCTGGGAAGTCTAGAGTCATTTTGAAATATACCAGAGCTCTATTCCTCCTAACAAGACCTACCTTCAAGGAAAACCAGTTTACAAGAGCCTAACCAAAGTAGGGTCTACCAGAACCTAACTTACCTGGGGGGAGAAAAATAACCAACTCTAACCCTCTGTAGCCTTCCTGTCTCATCTAAGAGAAAAAAAACTGAAAAGCATGTGTGAAGGCCATGGTTCAGGGGCACAGGCTCACTGAAATACTGCTACCTAATCATAGGCCCATAGAATGATTCGCCTTTCCCCACATCATATCAACACATCAATAAGGCTCCTATACAATAACAGGAGATTACAACTGAAATAACTGCACCTCCCATACTTTATTTTAGAAGTCTCTAGGCCAAGCATGATGGCTCATGCCTGTAATCCCAGCACTTTGGGAGGCCGAGGCGGGTGCATCACTTGAGGTCAGGAGTTCAAGACCAGCCTGACCAATATGGTGAAACCCCATCTCTACTAAAAATACAAAAGTTAGCCAGGCATGGTGGTGCATACCTGTAATCTTAGCTACTCAGGAGGCTGAGACAGGAGAATTGCTTAAACCTGGGAGGTGGTGGTTTCAGTAAGCCGAGATAGCGCCACTGTACTCTAGCCTGGGTGACAGAGTGAGATTCTGTCTCAGAAAAAAAAAAAAAAAAGAAGCCTCTAAAGAAACCCAAAGATAACAGGAGAGACTAAAACAAGGCCACCAGAAAAAAAATTAGTCTCTGATACCTACAGCTACAGCAAACAGTAAACAAAGTCTAACTCTGGCCACGTAAACATAAAACCTTGCACTAAAAGTTTATTCTCTTCATTCTCTTTCACTCACTACATCACATGCTACTTTCAACAAAAAAAAATTACAAGGCATACTAAAAGACAAAAAACAGTTTGAAGAGATAAAGCAGAATCAGAACCATACTTAGATACAGCAGAGATTGTAAAATCATCAGACCAGGCATTTAAACCAATTATGATTAACATGTTAAGGGCTATAACAGAAAAAGTGGACAACATGCAAGAACAAACAGAAAGATAGTAATGTGAGTAGAGAGATAGAAATTATAAGGAAGAATTAAAACGAAATGCTGCAAATCAAAATCACCATAATGGTAATGAAGAATGCCTTTGGAAGGCTTAGCAATAGGCTGGACACAGCCAAGGAAAGAATCAATAAACTTGAAGCTATGCCAAAAGAAACTTCCAAATCTGAAAGACAAAAAGAAAAAATAATTGAAAAGATGAATACCCCCCAAACTGTGGGACAATTACAAAAGGAATAAATGCCAAACACTGGTCACCATGAAAGGAGAACTAATTCCCTGAGGTCATGTATCCTTGGGGCGGCAGGTAATAGAATAGCCTGTGGGCTATCCTTGCCTCTCACTCACTTTTCCCAGTCAGAAGAGAAATAACTTATTTGATTGGTGAGTTTGGAAAAAGAATTTAAGTATCTTGAGAGTACCACGTTTTTCTCTGTTTTACTGTTCTCACTCACCATGCAAAAAGTGCCCTGTCTCAGTTGAAAATACTGTATTTTTCCACTTCTGCCTTTTATTGTGTGGGTACATTTTATTCTGTCCGAAATATTCAGAAACCCATTGTTGCTGCACATTGATTTAGCATAAGTTAAGACAATAAACAGAACCTGAAGATGAAGCTTACATGCTAAACTTTATTGGGAAGGAGTGCAACCTTAGGACAATAGAGAGTGGGAAAACATAAATGAGGAGGGCAAGGAAGGAGAATAAATATAAAGTGATATATTATGAGGCTGGCCACAGCTTTGCAAAAGATAAAACAAAGGAAGAGAAAACCACAGCAAGTTATCTTGTCACATGCCATATATCCATACAACTATGTGGAACCAACCACCATCTCAAAAAAGTCCTTCGGTGTGTGGAGGGGAGAACAATTAGTTACTAGCTCACCTCCCCCTTATTTCTGTATACTGTCTCTCATGGGTCAAAATTTGCCCCATAGGACATTTACTCCCTTACACTTGTGGGTTGCATGACCTGCCCTTCCAGGCAGCTGATGGGGGAAGTCAGATCCAACATCTTCTGGGTGGGAAGAGCTAGGTCCTCAGTGGGTCCCATCAGTTTGGCCTAGACACCAAACTGCTGTGGCTTTCATCATGGCACACATGATGGCAGTAGTGTCCGAGCCTAGCCCTGGGAAAACCCATCTCCTGGGTATGTTAAATGAAGTGTGCCCAAAGTTGTCCCCAAGACAGGTAGCTATGGGCCCATTCCAGACAAATTCAAAGGATGCTTCCAGGGTGTAATAGTAACAGTAGCTTCTCATAGTAATCAGAGTGGGGTTTTACCAGCCCATATAGTTACCCTCCCTCCCTCTGCCTGCCCCACTCCTTTTTTTTTTTTTTTTTTTTTTTTTTTTTGCCTGCTACTCTACTAGTATGAAAAGTGGCTAAGGAGTAGTTGAAGCTTCCAGGTTAGTGGAACTTTCACTGTTTTGTCTGAATCAAGACCTCCCTTTCCTGGAACCAGGACCCTACCCAGGAAAACCTAGGTTTGAAGAGTGTGAGAAGCTGATCCTACTGTTTTAATTGACTTTTTCTTTACCCTGTTGGAGAGAGAGGAATTCCCCCTTTAGGTGTATGGAGTGGCCAAACACAACACCCAACGCTGGACAGATAAAACTGACAGCAGTTCATTAGTCACGTATACTATACTCACGGCCTGGGGAAGGACAGCATGCTCCATGCAGGGCCTCATGAAATTACACTTGAGAACAGTGAACAACCAGACCACAAGGGCCAAACTCTGAGCAAAGTCCAAATCCTTTCTTCTTCCATCAACTGGTTGTAGTCCCCTCCCCGTGAGGCCATAAGTGTGAATTTAGGGACAGCCACTGATGCAAAAGAGGTAGGTGACATGAGATTTGAGTCACCTGTATACATAATTTGTGGTATCTTCTGGATTAACTTGAGCCAAGTCCTGAATATACCATTTCCATCAAATAATGTTTCTGCCCAACTTTATGACTTATAAATCTGATCACATTGAGCTCACCATAGAGAAATATTCTCAAGTGAAATATCAGCTGCCTCTAAAATCCAAAGAAGGCCAAAATGCACTGTGCCTCTTTCTTGGTGGTAAGAGATGCAAAGGGCAACCATTTTTGCTTTATTTTATAAGGGGTTGTTCTGATGTGCTTTAGGCAAGTTGACAGGTGACTTGACTCCTAAAATTTTCACCAATGTAGAAGATCCTCAACTTCTGTGAAATTAATCTCCCACCTCTGGCATTCATGTGACTTGCCAGATATAGGGTTCCTGAAATCTCCTACTGATCAAGTCCAATTAGCATAATCTTCTCAATATCGTGGACCAGCATGAAGTTCTATGTAATGTCAAGGTTGCCATGGTTCCTGTGAAGTATATGATGACAGAGACAAGAGCTGACATAACACCGAGGCAAGACGGTGAAGGTGAGGCTGGGAAGTCCAAGACCAAGATGCCACAGATTCAGTTCTTGGTGAGGGCCTTCTTCCCAGTTTGCAGATGGACACCTTCTTGCTGTCTCCTCACATAGTGGACAGAGAGATTAGCTCTAGTGTCTCTTCTTTTAATAGCATTAATCACACTCATGGGGGCTCCAACCCATGACCTAATTACCTCCTAAAGACCCCACTTCCAAATACCATCACATTGAGAATTTTAGCTTCAACACATTAATTTTGGGGGGAACACAAATATTTAGTCCATAGCACCACTGCTAAAAGTGGGAACCGTTCATGAGCCCTGAGTGTCCCTGTGCATTGTTGCTGGATGTGCGAAGAATACAAGGCTCTGACCACTCTTTACCCAGGTGATTTCTCAGGATTGTGTTTGCATTGAGCAACCTTGAAAAATGAGTTGCATAACCTCCTAGGCAATGCAAAGGTTTATAGTAAAAGCAGTAAATTCCCTAACTCAGAATCCCTCTGTTGTAATGCAATACACTAGGTGAGTTGGAATCCTCTTGGCCCACCTGAGTCATCACCATCGCTCCCCTCTGTGGGATTTAGAGGATACAAGGAACAAATACAAATGAACATGAAGCGCTGGTTACTGCCTTTTCTGTGAGTGCTAAAGCTGTTTGTGTCTAACCCAAGATCTTATTATGTCTTCTGCAAACTTCCATGAAACTGTGGGAGGGCTATTGTTAGCTTATAAATAGGGTGAAACCTTAGACCTTAAATATTTCTTGACAGCCAAAAAACACAAGCTGCTTCTTTTGCTAATAGCTATTAAGAAGAAAATCCTTGCCATATCAATAGCTGTATATCCAGTGTTAGAGGGTTGGTAGCCATAGTAAAGATATCTCATCTGGCACTGTAGCTTTGATTAGGTCTGTTTTCTGGTTACATCAGCATCATCCTCCAGGGTCCATCTGATTTTTACAGAGTCCAGAGAATTGAATCAAGAGAATATTAGGGAAATGAATCCCTTTATCTTTGGTGAGGGTGTTAATCTCTGTAATTCTTCAAGGATTGTGGTATTATTCCTGCAATTGACAAGAGATGAGGCCATTTTAGAGACTTAAACATGGCCAGTGGTTTTCAATCAGGGGTGACTTTGCCCTCTTAGGGACATTGGGCAATGTCTAGAAACATTTTTGGTTATCATAACAAAGGTCGTTATTGGCATATAGTGGGTAGCCAGGGATACTATTGAACATCCTACAATGCCCAGAATGACCCCACAACAGATAACTGTCTGGTTCAAAATGTCAAAAGGGCTGAGGTTGAGAGACCCTACACTTAGCCCTTCCTACCACAATGACTCTTACTCCACAGGACAGGCAATTGATTTGAGGGTGCAGCCAGAAGCTAAGTATATCTTCTCCATCATACTTTTGGGAACAAGAGAAATAATTGCAAAGTGGGTGTCCAAAACCACTTAACCCTTTAGTAGACAGACTTGGTCTCCATAACCCTCTCTTCTAATCAAGTCTCTGTTCTAATATGATGGTGTTTCAGGTCTCCTTTTGTCAGTATCATCTCATATACTGTAGCTGATAGTCCTCAAAAAGTCTAAGTTTTACTCTTTCCCTAGTGTCCAGTTACCCTGGCAAATTACTTTGGTTCCCTCTGGGGAAGGATCAGAGGACTACTTACTGTATATGCTTGCAGTGGCATTACAGGGTCCTTCCTCTGTGGGATCCAGAATCTCCTTCAATCAATGGACTCTGAGTCTGTTAACTGACTTAGATCTGGAAACTCAATGATGGAGTGCAGTTTTCTATTGTGGAAGGCAATGATCACCTTCTACGCAACAGCTCTTGATGTTAAGTTATCCAAATCAAGCATCCCCGCCCCTCGCCAGTCAGTTTCCCATTACAATACATCCTTGAAAGTAGGCACTCACTCAACTGGGGCCTTGCTGTTCACAAGGCTTATTAGATCTATCTTTTCCTTGATGGTTAATGGCTGCCACCTGGTCTTTGATCATCCACATTCCTTTTACCACCATGAATTAAAGGGGGCCCAATTCCAAAGCAGCACCTCCTACTGTGAACCTGGCCTACAGAGGACAGCCACCACTGGGTTTCTCAAAGATGCTGCTGTCCCACCACTTACTCTAACCCCATTTCCCCATGGCATTCTTTATTGCCTCATGAAGGCAGCCTTATGGGAAACATAATCAGGTGGTAGGTCTTACAAAGTGAATCTGTTCTCACATGCCTACCTCCTTGAGACTTCTGCCTCCTTTCTCAAAACTATGTCAAGGAAGTTCTCTTATCTCTACTTCATTCACTTTAGGCCATCATAGTGATTAGGCTTGAAGGCATCATTGTAGCAGCATGTAAGGACAAGCGCCAGGTGTCCTTATCAGAACACCAAATCCTCTGTCACAGTGGAGTGGTTCATGTCAATCCGTTCTCACCGATCCAGCCCGTGTGCCTCCTACAGTCTAATGCCTTCAAGATCCATTCCCACAGGTGTTCCCACAGTTTCTGCCAGCACATTTCATCAAGGTCAAGATTTCCTTTGGCACAGAGGCTATGTATTCCCCAGCAGGAAGAAAATTTGCCTGGAGGCAGTGAGAGGAGGTTAATGTGGGTGTTGAGGAAAAGTTTAGAATCAGTGTGATTTTGGGGGCACCTGCTTCATAAGCTTGATCATTGCATGCTTACCAGGCAAGGGGTGATTCTTTACCACTACCAAGGGGAAACAGTCTCTTTTGTCAGTCAGAAAGATCCAGGCTTGCCTACAAATATCCCCATTCCAGGTCTCAATTTTCCACTCTTCCCTATCAAGACCCTGACTTTAATATCAAGTCCCTATTGAGACTGCACATTTAGTTTTATTTATATATATAAAAACTAAATATATATATATATATATATATCTGCCACCCTTATAATTACATCCTAAACCAATTTTAAGTGCAGCTTCAGGAGATAAGCACCTCATTTAAACAGAGCCTCTGGCTTTCATTGCATGACTTAAGTTGATAATAAGATGCCCTGAGTGTATCATTTTCTTTTAGCAAAGCCTCAAATGTCCCAAAAACAGCTCATCTGCACTGCAATTGCCACCCCTTTACTGACCAAAGGCGGTAGCTCCGTGATTTTCCAGGTTTGCTCTCCACCTGTACTTCATCCCAGTTAACCACAGGTGAAAGAATTAGCAACTGTGTATCCACTTCTAGAGGCTATTGCTGTCCCAATTATCTGATTGTTTTCAGACAGATGGGCATCAAATTCAAAGTCCCACTCCAAGGTCCTCCTTTCTAGGATACTTCTTGTACTAACTTTCTTAGTAAACAAGAAAGTTTACTAAGCTTGGTGGCTAATGCTTTATTTTTTGGTAGTATAATCCCAGGCTGGGCTGAGTCAAGCAAAAGGGGAAGTGAGGCAGGGAAGGAGGGACAGCAAATACAGTGTGGTCCATTAGTGAGCCGGCCATAGCTTCGCAGGAACACGCAGCCAGTTGTTTCATCATATGAGATGAATCTCTATAGACTGTTATGAAACACTAAGAACAGCCCAATGAGGAGAGTTCCAGTTTTCTCTTGCTATGTAAAAAAACTACCAGAGAATGTAGTGGTTTAACACAACCATTTTCTCTTGGCCTTGATTTTATGAGTCAGGAATCCAGGAAGGGCTGGTCTGGGTGGTTCATCTCTCCGATCCATTTGCCATCAGTTATGGTGGCCGAGCTAGAAGATCACTATCAAGGTGGCTTCTTCACTCACCTGTGGCACCTGGTCTAGGAAGGCTGGTAGTTGATGCTGGCTCATGGCTGGGAACTCAGCTGGGGCTATTTGACATGTGAATGTTCCATGTGGCTTGGGCTTCTGTTAGCATGGTGATTCAGTACGCAGAGATATGTCTCAAAAAAAAGTATTCCAAAGAGAATCAGGCAGAAGTTGCAAAGCTTCTTATGACTTAGCCACTTAAATCCAAGAATATTACTTCCGCTGCATTCTATATGTCAAGCAAGTCTCTAAGGCTGATGTAGATTTAAGGAGAGAGGTAATTAGATTCTACTTCTCAGTGGAAGAAATAGCAAAGAAACTGCAGCCATCTTTAATCTACTACATACAGTCCACAGGCAGAGAAAGAGGGATAGTAAATTCAAGGTGGTGAATTATTGACCTGGCCAGAGTTTCACAAGAAAACACAGCCAGTGATTTAAACATCACAGTCTCCAAATAGAATGTTTGGAAAAACCATCTCAGGAGATTCTACGTGGAGGAAGAGGAAAGAAAAGTTTATCTGATAGTTTTTCACCCCTATGTTATCTCTTGTCTTTCTAGTATGAAGGAAAGACAATTTTTATATGAGGTGGTAATTCCCCTACACTTCTGGGCTGTCACTTAGCTCCCCTTCCTCCCAGGAAGCTGCTGGGGAAGCCACATTCCATGATCCACTTCATGGCCCTTCCTCTGAGTCCAGAAGTAGGTGGGAGGATCCAGAGCCTCCATGCCTGGTGGCAAAGCTCCTGTAGCTCTTGCAGTGATAGGCATGTTGGGTCATGCTAGAGCCAGCCCTTACCCTGGGGGAGGTTAAGATGTGTAATGGTGTTAACAATGGGTGTTGATTAACTTAGGTGACATTAGCCTTGGGGAGACAGTGGTGCTGTCTACTGAGAGCAGGTGTGGCCAAGTGAATCTGGAAAGATGCATAAGTTGGATCCAATACACACATCTGAATCTTGTCATTCAACCTATCTTTCATGAGTAATGAAGTGGATATTTTTAAAATTCATTTGAGGTCTTTCTTTGTTAATTTAGAATAGGCTGTGTCTTTCTCAATTGGTTCCAAACTTGGGAGGGGGTGATTAGATAATTTCGTTGCCTCACGAGGTGTCACACTTATGTTTATCTACCCTGCCTGTGCTCTAGAAGGCTGCCTTAACAGACTGTACCTATAGGCTCCCCTGTTTTCTGGCTTCCAGTTGAGTTAGCCAATGGGATGCACTAAAAGGTTGTCAGAGTTGGCTGTGTCCCTTTAACAAAGACCATGGCTCCTATCAATCTTCTACAGCAACTCTCTTTTTTTTTTTTTTTTTTTTGAGATGAAGTCTCGCACTTGTCCCCCAGGCTGGAGTTCAATGGCGTGATCTCAGCTCACTGTAACCTCTGCCTCCTGGGTTCAAGCGATTCTCCTGCCTCAGCCTCCCGAGTAGCTGGGATTACAGGTGCCTGCCACCATGCCTGGCTAATTTTTGTATTTTTAGTAGAGATGGGGTTTCACCATGTTGGCCAGGCTGGTCTCAAACTCCTGACCTCAGGTGATCCGCCTGCCTCGGCCTCCCAAAGTGTTGGGATTACAGGTGTGAGCCACCAATTCTCTAATGGCCTACAGAAACTGCCTCTTCGGCTTGTCCTGTCAGTTCTAGGAGTAGTGAGATGGCTCACCTGTGTTGCAAGCCCTGGGGTACAGCACCGCCCCTTGCAGGTTTCCTTTAACCCAGCCTACACTTTGTGAAGAGTCATTTAAAAACTCTCCTTAACTACAAGTTTAAGGGTGCCTTCTGTTTTCTGTTGGGACCCTGACTAATACAGGTGGGGACAAGAATATAACTGTCACCCTCAGATCCCCCAAAGTAAGCCCTGATAATTGTTAATAGATTATTAGTAAACTCTCTTTAGCCATGTAAAAGTAAGAGGTATATTATTGCTCATTGTTCTCCTATAAGTAGAAAGTAAAGGACTTCATTTTTAAATCTGTTTGGGACTCATAAGGAGAGCCCCTGGGGCTCAACTAGACAATTTCAGGGATAGCATGAAATGCCAACAATATTCTCAGGGGAAATAGCTGGAGCTCTCATTTCCTACCATATGCCAGGAAGAATTGAAAGTAAAGAGGTAATGAAAATAGTTAATTTACTCTTTTTGGGAAATTAGGCAAGTCCCAACATTGATTTTATTAAGGCAAAAGGAACATTACTAAGTGGCAAGTATCCATGAACAGTTTTATCTGAATATAATTCAACAATCTTAACTCTGGAGCTGGGCCTTCCAACAGGGTAGCTACCAACCACGTATAGCTATTTAAATATGAATTAATTAAAGTCAAATAAAATTAAAAATTCAGCTCCTCAGTCACACTAGCCCCATTATAAATGCCCCATAACCATATGTGGCTAGTGGCTGCAGTACTGGGCAGCAAAGACGTAAAACATTTCCATCACCACAGAACATTCTGTGAGACAGCACTGCCCCTATGAAAGAAAGTTCACCCCCATTTCTCTATGTTGTCTGTTTTTTTTTTAACTAGCATGTTTATTGAAATTTTAGGATGCTAAGTTATCAGATACCAGAGAGCTATATTAAATGGGAATGTGTTATATCATGTGGATAAATAAAAGAGTTCTGCATTGTGATTCTATAGAAAAGACTTTATGACTGATTTCAAAACCTTTTAAAGTATTCATTTTAAAATTTGTTAAAGTTATTAAACAAAATAATAAAACAAGAAGATATTCAACCTAATTGAATTAAATATGTGTGCTTTTTTTCTCAGATATTAGAATCAGTATTACAGGAACTTAATTGGTTTTGAAATTAATTATTGAAATGAAGATAGAATTTAAAAGCCATGTATAATATATTCAATATTATTTTTGTTCTAGCATATTGAAAGGGAAAGCTTTTTAAATAAAAGCATGAAAGCCAGTAAGTAAACATGTATCACCCAACTGCACCAAATAAGATAAAGAAAATTGTTAGGTACTTCAACTTGAAATCTATTTGAAAACAATGGGAAAGTTAGTTATTAAGCATTCCAACCATAACAAAATCACTTATTTTAAAAAAGAGAAAAAATTCTTACCAAGTTGATAAAACATCTAGGATATTATAATGACTCAATATACAAACAAATAAACAATAAGCTGAGCTTAAATGCAAGGTTTTGAAATTACTTTTGTATGTATCTCAGTACGCATCTTTTATGTATTTTGAAATCAAACCAGTTTGCAATTTTTACTTTTAAACTCTGAAACAGAGAAGCCAGGGTTTTCTTAGAAAGGCTGTCATCAATACTACCTTCTCCTGGAAAATATGTTAAATGCCAGACTACATGGGTGGGCACTGAAAGTACACTATTGACTATTTAACATTGACATGCTGTCTTTCTGGAAGAAAAACAAAACTGAGGGAGATGGAAAAGAGGTAAATTGAGGTCATCTTGGAGAAAGTAGACTAAGATTGGTTAGTCTAATGGGCTGTTAAGGTTTTTAAAGGATTTTTAAAACAATCACCTTTTTTTCCTTATTACAGAAATAATTCATACTTACTTTAGACATGTTAGAAAATACAATTAAGCAGGTAGAATAATATGAAAACGATAATTCACCCTCCTTAGTGATAAACCCCACCAGTAGTTTGGGATATATTCTTCCAGGATTTTTGTTTCCTTGTTCAGAAAAATATATTAGTTCCACCACTTGAGGGTGTAAAGGTGAAAGTTTTAAGTTGTTAGACTATTTTAAATATTGTTCTGAAACCTGTTTCTTCCCCCAGATCACAACATCTTATATTACTAGAAATTTTTAAAACATCTATTTTTTAAAGGGTTGCCAGAATTGTTCCCAATTTCCTGATACGTAGGGAAATTCACTATAGTTATTTTGCTAAATATTCCATTTTCTTAATTCAATAAAGAGCCTGATTCAGACTATTTGTTCTAGTGAGACTCGAAACAGTCAGCTCTCAATATCTTTTGTGGTCAGAAATAAATGACCAATAAAAAATTAAACATCGACAAATGCCCCCTACATTTATGTTCCCCAAACCTCATTTTAATTGTTTCAATGCATTTTCAAATCCGAAAGGGACCCATTTGTATCTCCAAAGGAAGGTAGAAGATTTTTCTTTAAACCACTCAGGAGGAACTAAGAAAACTTAAGCTCCTAATCATAAATTAAATACAGAATACCCTCCAAAATAAGAGTGGTGATTTTGTCTGTAAACAACTCACTGGTGTTAAGCATGAGAGTAATATCATTTAGTGTTTTAGGACCATCCATCTGGAGGCAAGGAGGTCGCTGGAGGCAATACAAGCAGTGGGGAGGTTATTGTTGCAGATAAAGGACAAATGGCAGGGCAGGACTGAGGCAGGCAGCATACCCAGGGACGGGGAGCAGATTAGAAGTATTCTGAAAAAGTAGATTCACTGAATCTAGGCAAGTAAAGTGGTAAATGTGGAGTCATGAGGGGACAGAAAGAGTCTATGTAAATTGAGGTCATCTTGGACAAAGTCTAATACATTGCCAAGATTTTAAAGGATGTTTCAAAAATCACCCAGGTCTTTTTCTTGGACAACTAAAGTACCAACTAGGGAAAAAGATAAGGATTATAGGAGAAAAGGAACATACGAGGAGAAGCTTGGAGTCGGGCAAAATGATGCCAGTTTTGATCATGTTAAATTTTAATTGCTATGGGACATCTAAATGTAATATGCAGTACACAGTTGGAAACACCATTCTGAAATGTAAGAGAGGTGCGTGGGCTCAGAATATAGATTTAGGGCAATGATTCCCATAACATATTCTGCAGACTACTGTTACTGCAGGACTTCACAAAGCCTTTAGTTTGCTAATGTATCCTGCAAACCCCTAAGAACGAGATGTGTATCACTGGCACTTCTCTAACTTATTTGAACATGGAACCTAGTGCTCTTTGGGTCATCATTTTGTAGGCATTGGTGTGTTGGTGTCATCAGAGGCCGGACACAGATGAGATTCCTAAAGAAATAATTTTGATTGGGAAGAGAAAGTGCTGACGATGAAACTTTGGAGAATCTAAATATGTCATGCCTAAAGAGTTGAAGGCCCAGACAGTGCCTTTGATTCCCCTTTATCTTACTTTTCTATCCTGATGAAAATTTTACTATTCTTATACTGCCCTGGAAGAAATAAAATTATGTCTTAATAAAATTGTGTCTTTGCAATTTACTTAGGTGTATTAGGTGATTTTGACAATTCCATCTCCATTCGCATATTTATAAAACTTCTTTTAACTCTGAAAAACTGTACCCCCAAATTCAGACGTATGCTGGCGAATACCAACATTTAAGAGGTGTGCAATAGAAGAAGAGGCTGGAAAGGGACAAGGGGGAAAGATTGGAACAGCCAGGAAGGAGGCCCTGCTTAGAAGATGTGGTAGATAATTGTGTGTCAACTTGGCCAGGTTCTGATGCCGAAGACAACTAGTCTAGATGTTGCTACAAAGGTATTTTGTAGATGTGATTAAGTTACAATTAGTTGACTGTAAGTAAGACAGATTACCCTTGATAAGGGAGGTGGGTTTCATTTGATTAGTTGAAGGCACTCAGAGCGAAAACCAAGATTGCCAGAAGTAGAAGGAATTCTGTCTCAAGACAGCAACATAGAAACCCTGCCTGAGTTTCCAGCCTGCTGGCCTGTCTTACAGATTTCAGATTCGCCAGCCCCCACAATCCTGTGAGCCCATTCCTTAAAATAACTCCCTCCCCCTCTCTCTCTCTGCCTGACTCGATACAGAAGCTGAATGAGGAGAGTATTTCAAAGAGAAGACCACGGTCAACACTGTTCAGTGCCTTAGAGGGTCAAGTAAGATGAATAAAAGAAACATCATCAAATCTAATGGAGTTTTAAAGCCTCCCTATAGTACTAACTTTTTTTGACTGTTTTAATTCTATTTTTTTTTTTTTTTTTTTTTTGGAGATGGAATCTTGCTATGTTGTCTAGGCTGGACTACAGTGGCCATTCACAGGCACAATCGTGGTGCACTGCAGCCTTGATGGCTTGATCCTCCTACCTCAGACTCCTGAGTAGCTGGGACCACAGGCATGCCCCACCATGCGTGGCTTCCATTTTTGAGAAGCATTTCAAACCAATGTAACCATCTTCCTACTTTGATCACTGTCACCCCTTGTTTACAGGGTTGCAAGCTGAAATGTAAACTCTTCTCAGTTATGAGTTCCTGCCAGAATTTATTCTTCTTTTGTAATCCTGACAGTTCCTAGTACTGAACCCAGTGGGGTCAAAGAACGTTAATCTGAATTATCTTCCTTTCATCACCTGTAATTAATGAGATACAAAGTGTAATCATTTCCTCTTTCTTGCTCAAATCTGTCCTGTTTGTTGTTGTTGTTGTTGTTGAGACAGGGTCCCTTGATCCCCTAGGCTCAAGCAATCCTCCTGCATCAGCTTCCTGAGTAGCTGGGACTACAGGTATGCGCCACCACACCTGGCTAATTTTAATTTTTTGGCTAGAGACAGGGTTCTTACTCTGTTACGCAGGCTGGTCTCCAACTCCTGGGTTCAAGCAATCCTCCTACCTTGGCCTCCCAAAGTGTAGGGATTATAGGCATGAGCCCTGCACCTGTCCTGTCCTGTTCCTGTCCTGTTCCTATTTGTATCACTGTAGCCCAGACCTTCATTTCCCTGTACTCTCAGGAGCTTTGAGGCTAAGCAGGACTTCAGGGTTGGTGGTGGCAGAACATGAACAAGAGGGATTGAGGAGCCTCCTGGGAAGAACTGGTTCTAAGAAGAAACAGACATGTGCTGTGGCTCAGCTCAGAGGAAGGGCATTCCTAGCACAGCGTTGGCGTCATTCCCCCACACTACAGCCCACTCCAGCTTCAGCTTGTGCCCGAGTCCTCGGGAGAGACAGGAGGACAGAAAGGGTCTTTCCCACAGTCTTCACAATCTTTCTGAGACTCTGGAAATTCAAGGCAGTGCTCAGCCTTGGGAAAATGCAGCAGAGTAATATTGAAGGAGGTGTGAAGGATTCTGTCCACGTTATTACAGAATATAAAAGCTTGGCTTTTGTGGATTTCAGACAGTAGTGTGCTGGGAAATGTTTAACAACCAGCTCTCTGGAAAAAATAAATAGATAGAAGCTGTAATCCGTCCTGAGTCTAATCACATCACATCGGCAGCTTGAAATTAACCATGGTGGGAAAGCTCATACCATGAAAATCAGCAAGTTTTACAGAGAAGGCAGTAGCACATCTTTCTATAATATTTTCACTGTACAAATACAATAGATGTAAATAACTTTAAGAACATAGATTATAGTAAAATAATTTGGAAGTGATGAGTTTTGAAGATACATTGCTTTTGTTTTTGATATAATTTATTTTGCTGCCAGTTTATATAATTTAATTTTTAATAATGCGCATGTTTAACAATCACAGGCAAAATTCCTAAACATGTAACAATTGGCTGTGGTCAGCCTGTCCGCACAGGCTCTAGTACACCACTGATTCTGGACTTCAGAGCATAGCACACCTGGGGCATCAGGGGCCTGGTGCTTCCACAGCACCTACAGCCGTGGCTGTGACAAGCCTCAATGCACAAAATTTGCTACTGCTTACTGAGTTTAACTGAAAAGCAAATTGAGTTTAACTTAGCAAGGTCAGCTGCAACAAGTCTGCAATGCTCATTCATTTCTGTGAATGAAAGCTTCATCATCTCTAGTTCATGACAGAATGTAACAGCAGAGCAGGCTCTAGGAAGTCTTCTTGCATTTCATCAGTGTTTCTTCCTTCTTGTCAGTCTTTCTTTTTATTTTAATGCCTTTCCTTGCCAAAAAATGCCCAGTGAACTTTGTTCAAGACTCCCAAATTCCTTTGGCTGTAGTTGGCTTCATTTTTGCAACTTGCTATCTTATTTTTCCAAAATGAAGTTTTTCTTTTTTGTATTTTTTTCTTATTAAAAAAGCAATCATACCTTTGTTTCAGGAGGAAAAATGGGAAAACATAGTTAAATAAAAATGATATAAAACAAACCATGTTAAAAAAAAAACCACTATTGTTAATAACATTATTGCCCTTGTCTGCCTATTCCTGGCTCCATGGTGCTTACCTGAACTTGCCTTACTATTGAAAAAGTTCATTCTACCTTGAGGGTAGATCTTAGAAGGGTAGGTTTTTTTACGACCTTTTTTCGGGGGCAGGGGGTGGGCATCAGAGCAGAGGTTCACAGCTTCTTTTCATTAATAAATTATTTAAACTCATAGGAGGTTAGCTTTCCCTATCCCACTCCTATAACCTTCCTAGTCCTTCTTTAGCCTCTTAACTGATTTGAGGCCTTTATCCATGAGCTAGAGGGGGAAGCTTCTTGGAAAAGGGCAACTCTGGTATTTTTGCAATAGTGCTTCTTACCTCTCTACAACTATCAGAGCCACTTTTTCCAGGTCCTCACCAGTACACAAAGAGTAATTTGCTGTCTGTCTGCAATGACGCTTCTCTGGCTGCCAAGGCAGTGTGTGGCTCTGGGGAAGAAAGACGGCCTATGCTTCTTGTTGTGTCTTTCTGTGCTTTGCAATGCCCCATTTGTATCTTTTGCTTATACAAAAGAAATTTTCATTTTAAAAGAAGCATCCTGAATCCAGAAAATCCTATAATACTAATTTCTTTTCTAAGAGGAGAAAGAATAGAGTGAAAACAATGCATGGTGATTAAAGATTTCCACGGCGACAGCTCCCTGGAGTGAAACACGAGGCCCTACTTTGGCAGCACCATCCACCAGGAAGGCTCTTCGTGGACATGCTGTGTCACTTGCTTCAGTCCCTATCTGAGCCGGGATTGGACTGGCACATTGCCTTGTTGAAATTGGCTCCGCACCTTGTTTAAGTGGGCATCCTGCCATACTAATTGATGGGTATGAGTGCAGACATGCTAGAGAACCAGGATGCACAGCAGATCTGGGTAGGAGAAGAGTTTCAGCCCAGAAATATCAAAACAGTCAATTGTGCTGAGTTTGTGTGCCAGGGCCTAGAAGAAGATGGTATCAATGCTCTGCTGCAGCTCAGAGCTGGATTTATTTTTAAATGCCCCAAATAGCTGAAAAAACAAGGAAGGTATGGGCCTGAGAAGGAGCAGGAAGGGGCAAGGTTATTGACTTTCAAAAGAAATAGCTAGTGTCTGCCAACTGGGGTACAAGAAGGTTTTTCATCCAAGCTGTTCCATGATTACAGTAACTTTCAAGCTGAGTGCTTTGGGCAGATATGGAAATCGGAGGCACCTCCTGATGGGGCTTCCCAGGTAAGTCACAACAGGGACTGCTGAGGGTGGATGCAGACGGCCGCTCCCAACCTGGGGAACATCCTCCCTGCTTGTCTGTGATGCCTCAGCTACCCCATGAGATCAACGAGCTCATCAAGTGCATCCAGCAGCCCAGCCCCTCCCTGAGAAGCACAGCCATCAACCCGTGTCCTTCCGTCAGTTCCATTTTTTGGAACACAATTGTCCCTCCATTGAAAGAACAGCTGGCTAACAATCCAAGTTGGTGCAGAAGAGAGAAATTTTTCAATATTAAAATGAGGAAGATGTCAAAGAGAGTTCTGAATGCATGTTAACACAGACTACCCCGTGTTTCCCTCTATGGCTGGCAGTCACCTTCTTCAAACCACCTAATGATAAACAGCCCAGGAAAAAATGACATTGGACTCCAACACCTAATAACAGAGATAATAATAGGGTCATCAAGAGACAGAACGAGGTAAATGACAACCACACTGATGCTGGTGGAGATGAAATCTGTACCTCAATATGGCCATATGTTACAGCATAACATACAAGGCTGAAATACAAAAAACTTTGGCTGGACTTCAAGAAAGTGCCTGTTTGAAGACTTGAAAAACTCACTCTTTGAATTGTCCCATCATTATTTGAATCAATTGACAACATGGGGGAATATGGACTGGTCTGTTTAGCCTCCCTGAGCTTTTGAATCAGATCCATTTTATTAACAATTGAATTCTGCACAGAGTAGGATTAGAAGCCATTGCTCTGACCCCAATTTTATATAATTTCTCCCTTCCTGATGGTAAGAGTGCTTCATAGTTTTCTAGTATTTAAGTCATGAAGTCAAGATGAAGAACTATATACACAGTGGCCAAAGTAAATGTGATCATGTTTAACTCACGTTTAGTTTCTCCTTACTTACAATTTTTTTGGTGTGTGTGTGTGTGTGTGTGTGTGTGTGTGTGTGTGTGTGTGTGTGTGTTTGTGTGGCATTTAAAAAAAGTCAACCTAAAAGGAATAGAATCAAGGAGGGATAGTGGAAGCCAAACAAAATCCTCTCAGTTTTAGCTAAATTTAAAAGATTGGAAGTAAGTCTATTTTGCTTTTACCATAAGGCCCCGATTATTCACTTGAAACCAATGGAAAGCATTGAATTCAAGAACAAAAGCCACAAGAAAATCTTTGTGTAATACTTGGAGATGGTACTGAAAGAACAGGAGGAAGTACGTTGATTGGATTACACTCAGTGAAAGGTAAGCAAAATCATTTGGGTTTAATGGTTCTACTTCTAATATCTCATAATTTGGGATGCATTCTAAGCTTCTTACATAGAAACGTGTGTCCATAATTCCCAGTTGTGCTCATTAGAATGACTCATGCCTATGGACATTTTCTTATCTTGGATTCGAATCACATAAATTTTGATGAGTCCATCAGCTTTCTAAACTGACTGTCGTTCTCCACACAAACAGCCCTATTCACAAGGAGCTTCGAGGAGTTCCAGGTTGGTGGGAGTCACGCAAAAATTTTTCAAGCATTTTCTCTTCATGGCTAATTAAGATCAGAGGATGGAAGCAGGTCATTTTCCTCCTCAGTTTTCCTCATGTCCTTGGTTAACTTGCCCTGCCTAGTAACCTTTAAAACTTGAATTCCGCAATTCCTTCTGACATCCCCCAAGCTGCTCAGAAATAGCGTACTGCCCAGCGTTTCCCTTTATGATTCTGGCTTCTGAAACCGGGTGGTGTATGATGGATGACTCTTTCCATTTTGAGTATTTTCCTTCACAATTCTGACTTCTCACGCACTCAACAACCAACTCTTTGCAGGGTAAGAAATGATTTCTCTCTCTCCAAAGGCACCATTCGCCACAATGCTGCACTCAGAGTTCTCAGTGGCCAGCCCAGTGTTCGTCAGGCACACCCCACGGGATTCCCCAGTGTCTATTACTCACAGTTTCACTCACTCATGTCCTGACCCTGTCTTGACTCAGTGGAAGAGCAGCCCAGGCCAGCAGCAGGTGCAGCTTGTAGTTACCCTTGTGACCATATACAATCTAGAATACTTGAGGTGAGGCCTTGGGACCTGAGACCCCCTGAGTAGTCCCCTCCCTGTACTCATTTCCCAGGGCTGCTGTAACAAAGTACCACAATCACAAACTGGGTGGCTTAGAACAACAGAAATTTATTGCTTCACAGTCCCGTGAGCCAGAAGTGCAAAGGTAAGGTGATGGCAAGACCATGTTCCCTCTGAAACCTTCAGGGGAAGAATCCTTCTTTGCCCCTTCCAGCTCTGGTATCCCCAGGCATTGCTTGGCTTGTGGCTGCATCACTCTAATCTTCATGTGGACTGCTCCCTATGTTTCCTCACATGGTCCTCCCTCCCAACATATCTGTGTTTGTGTTCAAATTTTCCCTTTTTTATAGGGACACCGGTTGTACTGGGTTAGGGGTCATTCCAGTAACCTCATTTTAACTTTGCTACATTTGCAAATACCCTATTACCAAATAGGTCACATTCTGAGATACTGGAGGTTTGAACTTCAACATTATCTTTTTGGGGGACACACAATTTATCCCAAAGTACTCCCTCTCCACTCACCACTATGCTGGCTAGTTCATCTCTCTTCATTCCACAAACATGTTTAGTTGAGCACCTACTATGTGCCACAGGCTGGTGAGGCACAAGAGGCAGAGCAGTGAAGAAAAATATGGTCCTTTCCCTCACAACGCGTGCCCTGTCATAGCAAAGGCAGACAATAAACAAATCAATATAATGTGTTGTGAGATAAATTCTATGAAGGAATTAACAGGGGCTCCAGTGGGGAAGGGTGGAGGCACGAGCAGAGGCTGCTTTAGAAGGGAGGTCAAGGAAGGGCTCACCAACACAGTGATAAAATGCAAAGGGAGGGTGAGGCTGCCGTGGGATGAAGAGGCAGAACAGTGTTCCAGGCAGAGGAAATGGGCAGTGAGAGCACTGGGAGGTAGGAAAGATTGTGGTGTGTCCTGGATGCTGTGCAAAGGCAGCCATGGGGGCACGGCACAGATGTGGCTGGAGACAGAGCCAGTGGCGGGCCCAGCAGGGCCTTCCAGGCTGCTGGAAGTTCTGAGGATGTGATTTTGGGTACAATGAGATTAGGCAGACATGATCTAATATATGTTTTTTCACGACACCATTCCATCTTGTATGGAGAATGGATCAGAGCAGGGCAGCAGTGAAGCCAGGGGGACTGTTAGAATGATTTCATTATCGGCCAGCTGAAGGCCAGTACAGGTGGCTTAGATGAGGCTGGGGGCAGCAGTGAGAAGGGATAAGAGAAAACTGACTTGGGTTTTTTTTGGAAGATAACTTACAGGGCCTGCCAATGGGGTGGGAGCTTGATCACAGTGAGACTGGAGGATGTTTTGTGTGGGTGGGAATCGCCTGGTTTCCCCATTCAGCCCTTTAGGCCTCTGCTGGACTGACCTGTATGGAGCTCCTACCTGCTGGCCTGCCATTCTGCCACCTGCCGCTCACTTACCAGGCCCCACCATGAATTCCCTGGTCACCAGCCCGAAGCCATACCGTGAGGGCCCTGGTTGGCGAGGTCCCACCAGCTGCCATCTGAAAATGTGAAGTCTGGGCTTTGCCTGCACCTTGGGTCTGTGTCCCACCTTTAAGGGACACAGGACCTTTGAGAACTAGTTTTTATATTTAGGCTTAACTCCCCCCAGCCCTCACTACATTTAGCTTCAGCTTCCTCTGTGTTCCTGCTCACCGTTTTAGCTAAAGCCTCCAATCATGTTTATCACTCCAAAACTCTGATGAATTGTTCTTTGTCACAGCACCCAGGTTGACAGCCATATCCATTGCAAAAGATAATGAGATGGTGAGGTCTGACTTCTACTGGGTGAATTTGTGTGATGCTCAGCAGAGGTCAGGTGTCACACTCTTTTAGGAAATTGAGTAAGACTTGTACCATAGACCTAAGCAGGGCTGAGAGGGAGCTTCACGAACAGCCTGTTTGGCTGTATGATGTGGGGATTCCACTGCATGGGCTTGCTGCCTTTTACGATCAGGCCCGCCCTATGTGTATGGGAAGATAGGCTGAGAAGGATGGAAGGATTTTATAATATGATATCTCTGGCATAACCTAGATCTTAGAAGCTGGCCCAGGGAGTGAGGGTGGGGTTTCGTCCAACTGGATGCTCAGTACTAATTTCAGAGTCCAGTTTTTAAAGAGCAGTAAAGCTGAGAGGTTTGTTTCTTGAAGGAATCATCTCATAGATAAATGATAGCCATCCAGCATGAAAGCAAATGCTGTGAAGTGTTTCCCTCTTCATGACTAGGTTAGGGGAAAACAGCCCTCTTCACTGAAGCAAACTCCATTTTTAAATGAAACGATGATTATGAAGAGCAGAGATCTCTAGCAGTGAGGTCTAGCATTTACTGAGCACCTACCTTGTGGAGAGGCTTTTATGTCTATCACCTGTGGGCCTCACTTCATCCTGCAGGGTGGACTGCTTTGTCTCCCAGCATTCTCTCCCCCTTCCTTAGGAAATGCTTCTTCCCCAACTTGAATGATGGGGTTCAAATGAGCCCCAGGGAGATGAAGAATTCTTTCCTGAGATTTTAGAATGTAACAGGGAGCATGAGGCAGGCCCTTTCTGGAGACAGACAATTCGAGGTATGAGGCAAGAAAAAGCTGGGCTGTAGGAAGGGTAAATAAAAGGCAGCATTAGCCCATCCTTTTTTCATGGTTTGGTTTTTATTGCTTCCTATGCACAGAAATTTTCCTTTGTTTTGTAACCTCATTTTTATTACAATTCAGAGTTCCAATTAATATGATGCTATTATTGTCGCATTTCACAAATAAGGAAACTGAGTTTTGGAGAAGTAATCATTTATTTGCGTGAGGTCACATGGCCAGTAAGTGGTGGAGCCAAGATTTAGATTTAAATCTGGGAGACTCAAAAAAAATCCCATTATACACCCTGCAGACTTCTTATTGCCGTTAGATCCAGCGATGTGCTATTTCCATGAAACATACTTAAAGCAAACTGTCACTGGTTGAACATAAAAAGTAGGCAAAGATATATCAGCCAAAAGTAAACTAAACAACTTGTAAAAAATTGTCTTAAATATATTTTTAATGGAGAAATCATTGAATAGTGCAATAGGAGATCTTTTATACTGATTTCAAAATACAATACATAAAGAAGATAAAATAGCCAATAACTATTTTATAACTGAACAACAGTGATCAAAATATATGTAAAAACCAAGAAGTTGGAAATGCAAGGAGAATTGTCAAAACCACAATCATAATGGGAGACTCATACTGCTCAAACCTCAGCAGGTGAAGTAACCAAAAATTTATAAAATTATAATGAATTTGAATCACAAATAATTAACAAGCTAGCCAAGGCACAGAAACTACACATGCTTTCCAAATCCCCACAGAACATTTATAAATTTTATTGTGTATCAGACCACGAAAGAAATTTCAGTAAACTCCAAATATTATATATAGTCACATTCTCTGATCATTATGCAAGAAAACTCGATGTTAAGAACAAAATATGTCAAAAATAAATCTAACTACATGGGGGAAAATATTATTTTAATAATTCTTTTTAAAAAAGAACTATTCAGAATGAGGTACATCTACATGTGTGGCTATGACTGTATCTCCAAGTTATATTAAATTAAAACCAGCAGATGATAAAACAGTTTATAAAATAATCTAATTTTTGTATATTTAAAAGGATTTTTGCATATTAAATTAAATACATAAATAACTTTCCTGGAAGAATGCATAAGAAAACTGTTGACATTGGCTATCTTAAGAGAGAGGATAAGGGTCAGAGGTAGGGAGAGGAACACTATAGAGAACTTAAATCATATGCAATTAACAAGCTACCCAATATACAAACTATGCATTCTTTCCAAATCCCTATTGGATATTTTTAAAGTTTATTATGTACCAGGCCATGAAAAACATTAATAAATTCTAAATACTATATACAGACCACATTCTTTTTTGTACTCTTCAAATTTTTCTTCTACCTAAAAAAAATAAGATGAAGTGCATTTTATAATCTATTGTTTATAAAAGTAACCTCTAGATCAAAAATACAAATCCTCCAAATTATTAGCAGAACCACACACAAAACAACAAAGAGCCCAAATAGTGGAGAAACATTTTTAAAGCCATAGAAATAGAAAGCATACTATTAAAAAATGACAGAAATGTAAATAAGTTAAATCCACCTATTAAAGAAAAAGTTTATAAAATTGGATCACAAAGAAAATTAAACTCCGTGTTGTGCATATGAAGAATGCTTAAAAGATAGACATTTAGCAAAGGTTAAAAATTAAAAGATGGTTAAAGTTATACCATGAAAATATAAACAGAAACAAGTCAGGGGTCATGATTTTACTATCAGAAAAGGTGAACTTGGATCATAAAGGATTAAACAAAACAAAGAAAGGCACCTTATAATGCTAAAGGGTGTAATTCATTATAAAGATACATATTCATAGATAATTACATAGAAAACTGTATTTTCTGAAACTGATTTCAGAAAAGATATCCACCAGATTAATTTATTATCTTAAAAATAGACAAAGTTGTGAAAAATCTAACTCAAGACCCCTTAAAAATGTTTCTAGACAGTTTCACATAACAATTTATGTAAATTTCTAAAGAAAGATGATTCCAATGCTCTTGAGACTGTTCACAAAGTATAGAAGAAGGAAAGCATCCATTTTCTTTAACTGAAGTGAGTACAACACTGCAAAAGCTAACAAATTGCACCTAAAAGAAAACTACATACTAAATTCACTGATGACTCTCCATAAAAATATCATAAATAGAATATTAGTAAATAGAGTTCAACAGTATCTTGAAATAATAATGCACCATGACTAGGGTTTAAGAATGTAAGAAAATTTCAATATTTAGAAATCATTCATGTGATTTTCCATATTACTACATATAAGGAGAAAAACCATATGATTATCTTCACAGATGCTCAAAAGCATTTGGTAAAATTCAAAGATATTCTAGACCAAATTCTCAACAAAACAAGGCTAGAAGGATATTTCTTCAACATGATTTTTTAATCTATATATAGTCATGCGTCACTTAACAACAGGGAAACATTCTGAGAAGTGCGTCATTAAGTGATTTCATCGTTGTGCGCACATCATAGAGTGTACTTACACAAACCAAGACGGTATAGCCTTCTATACACCTATGTAATAGGATATAGCCTATTGTTCCTAGGCTAGAAGCCTGTACACCATGTTACTGTACTGAATACTGTAGTCAGTTGCAACACAGTGGTAAGGATTTGTGTATCTGAACATATCTAAACATAGTAAAAATACAGTATCATAATCTTATGGGGCCACTGCTGTGCCCCATAAGATTTATCTATTATACATGTTTATCAGAACATGCAGTCTGTTGTTGACAGAAATATTATACAGCACATGGCTGTATTTATGCAACAATAGATAGATTAGATAGATAGATAGATAGATAGATAGATAGATAGATAGATAGATAGATAGATAATCTTTTCTCCAAAAACAGGAACTAGACTCAATTTGAACCAGACTGTGAACTCTAAGATTTACCAATTGACTAGGAACCACACTTGAGGCATTATCAACCTGTGGCTCCCAACTGATATGGGTCCCACTTGGGGGTCCCCAACAGTTGTAAAAAAAAATTCTTTCCATGGTACCAGCTGCACTCCCAGTACCAACTTTTAGCTGGAAGCCAGGCATTAACTTGCATTCCTCCCCAAAATATGGAAATTTCCACCTAGGGATTGGAGAGATGGTCATAAGAGACCTTCAAGTGTTTAAGGAAACACCATCAGTAGATCATGTAGCCTTCATATGATGTAGGGATCTCTCCAAAATGAGGCCACCCTTAGTTACTTGGGGTTGCTTCTTGGAAAGATAACTTGTTATTTATGCACACTTTGAAATCGATTGTCAGGAGTCTTCCAATTAGAAAAGTTAGTAAAAAAAAATTGTCTTTGACTTTAGCTGAAGTAATCAGTGTTACCATCTGAGCCTCAGAAGGCATTTAGATTAGCCTGAACTCACTGGTCAGAGTTGTTATGGGTGACAAAATTGCCCTAGATTTCTTCATCATGAGCCAAGGAGGAATCTGTGCAATCAGTAATGCATCCCGCTGTACCTGGAGTAATGCCTCTGGCCATCAATGTGGAAACTTAAGGAGAAAGCCACCTGACTTCTAAGGTAGATGTGGATAGTTTATGAGATGTGTTTAGCTATTTGGCCTGTAACTCTGGGGATCATGGTTGAGGTCAGTACTGGTTGTTCTCATCCTGTTAATAGTAGCCTTAACTGTGGTAGCCTCACAGTGGCCTCGTAAATGCTGTATGAGATTATATTGAATGAATTTGCTTCCAGCCTCTGTCAGTCAGATTACTCAGATTAACCAATGAAGTGGCATACTGATGGAGAAAATTCTCCAGAAGTCACTACAGTATAGAAGAAAGTGTGGATATTGTTGGGGGACAACCTTCTATTGACCTGTTACATTTCTGACTATCTTGAAAACATATATTGACTGCCCTTTCTTTCAGACTATCTTTTCAAGGATATTTGCACAACGTACAGCCTTGGAACTTAAAGATATGTCTCCCTCCAGAGAAAAATGTAGATTTTCTTACAGCCTTGAATGATAAAGGTAATGTATGTCACCTTCTGGAGAAAAGATCACACATGCTTATTGCCGAATATAAAAGATTCAAGTTCCCTAAGCTCAGGGTTTCTCTTCTGTAAGGCAACCTACTGCATATACAGGCATCTATCTGGGCCTATCTGAATCTCTCTCATAGGACTTGAGAGCAAGGATAACTGACACAAATAGGCTGATGTTCATGCTTCTTGCTTTCTATGAGTAATAAAATCCTGTGTCTCTGATCTAGGAGTCTCATGTCTTCTGCCAGCAATCATGCTGTGACAAGCCAATGTGTTACCTTGCAAGTAGGGTAAAATCTCAAGCCCTTCATATTTCTGGATAATAACAGAAGACAAAAATGGAGTTGTCTAGCCCAGTTTATGGAGAAAACTATTTTTAAAATCAAAATACTTTGATTTCTTGTCTAATAAGAACTTACGTTTTCTTCCTATGCCTTGGGCCTGGTGGAATTGTCAAAGCCTTCCCAAAAGCTGCTCCCCAGTACAACCTCCAGGCTCACGTGCCAGTCCAGCCTTTTCTATTCTACAGTTTCTAAGATTTCTACAATTTTCCTAGGTTCTACCTCTGACCCTTCTTGAAGAAGGTCTTCCTTTATTTATTTTAATTTTAATTTAATTTAATTTAATTTTTGAGATAAGATCTTGCTCTGTTGCCTGGGCTGGAGTGCAGCTCACTGTAGCCTTGACCTCCCAGGCTCAAATGATCCTTCTACCTCAGCCTCCCAAGTAGCTGGGACCACAGGCACGCATCACCAAGCTGGGCTAATTTTTTTAATTTTTTTTTTTTTTATAGATGGGGTCTCCCTATGTTGCTCAGGCTGGACTTGAACTCCTGGGCTCAAGTGATCCTCCTTCCTTGGCCTTCTAAAGTACTGGGATTATAGGCATGAGGCCACCGCACCCAGCCTTCCTTTATTTGATACACAAAATTCCTCCCCAGGGACATCAAGCTGTCTTGCAAAACTGGTTTCTTCATTTTTCTTCTGGAGATTTCAATAGCCCTGGGTCCCTGGAAATCAAATTCTTACATCATTCACTCATTTATTTTGTCATTCACCAAATATCTCTAACACCTTATGTACTCAACACAAAGTAAGTGTACAATAACCACTTACTGAATGATTAATAAATCATTTAAATCAACACCATCTCTCAAATCAACACTCAAATAATATATCACTGTAAACTGTGAACAGTGCTATGAAAGAAAAGTACTAAAAAAAAGGACAACATTAACAGCTATAGAGGAAGTGGCATTTAAAGTGGGAACTGCAGGGGGAGTAGGAGTTAACTAGGTACAGGGATGGGGATATATTCCAGGCAGAGAGAAGAGCATTGACTCACTTTTCTTGGTCCTGTGCCTTTTTCCAAGTCACAGTCAATGGCCAGCTAGAAAGACTTTTCCTTTCAAGAGGCCCTATTTCTTCCTCCTCTTTTGTAAGGTGGACTCTGTTCCTCCTCCCACCATCATCCCGATGGCCTCAGTGGCAGGCATCATCTTTTCTGGAGTTGTCTCTGCTTCATCAGCCTCTCCACTGACCCCAAGAGGCTCCCCGTCGCAGTAGCTTCAGACAACCACGAACTTGCTCACTGAGGGGCGCATCCCACTCCTTGCCTATTTGCATACCCTGAGCCCAGTTACTCACACAACCTTTAATGGTTACTGCTTCTATATACATCTCCAGATTCTCATTGATAGCTCATCCCTCAAGCGACTTTAAAGAAATGAGATGCACATTAAGCTTTATGATACAACATGTCTTAAAAAGATTACAGAAACATCAGAACTAGAAAAAATAGAATGCCCACTCCTTATGGGATCATTTGTGAGCTAGGCAAATTCTTATAATACAAATTGACCTGGTGTTTTCCTGAACAAATTAAGTAGAAAGTAAGCCAGACACCAAGAAAAAAAAAAAACAACTCTGGTGGCCAATGTTAGAACTCATTTGTTGTAGCAAATACTGCTACCTTTAATCATATTAAAGTAGTTGCTGCTGCCTCCTCATGTGTTGGCACTGTAAACAGTACTTACAAACTACTCTATAATAAAGCATAGAGATGTCTATGTTTTAAACGTCCTCCTTCATCATTCAGATCAGAAAAGGGATGTGACTTTGAACAGAGGAAATACGTGAGTGACATTAAGTGTGGTATAAGCCTATTTTATGTTCCAGCTCTGGTATGGGGCTGGGTAAAGCATCAATTCTGGTAAATGCCAGCCAAATTTGCTGTCAATAATAAGATAAATCCATGACAGGATAAGAATTGCTGTCTACTACAGAAAACTGCTTCTTGTTAGCAACATTACTTTGCTGCTCTATGAACTGCTTCTAGGGGTGATGAGTAATATGACAAGCTTTTTGTGTGCGTGTCCAATAAAATATATAGTTTCTTGTAGCAAAATGAAACTGGGCATTGAAGCTATGTACAGTACCTAGATTGATATTTTCTTAGCTATTAACTTGAATTAATCCTGATATGATACTATTTTCATTTGAAAAAAAAGTGCAGATGATTGCTTTTTGGAAACCTAATTCTGAGTCTCTGAGGTATTTTTCAATTCACCCAGTCTACCTCTTTCTGAATTATAAGTTTAACATTAAATACAGTCACCAATGATTGTTTAATAACCTCTTGCCTGAGGAGTGTATGGTTTAAAATCCATAGATCTTTGGTTTCAAAATTGCAAACCAAATAAGAGCCAATATGAGTAGTTATTGAAGGAAGATTCCATTAAGTATTCTCTGAACATTAATATAAAATGACAACAGCAAGAGAACAACTGTTAAGGAGTATCCGTGGGCATAAGGGAATTATTGGTCAAATTGAAAAGAAAATCAGTAAAGCCTCTCCCATTTAAAAAAAAAAAAAAGACCAGGAAAAAGTTTTTCTTCTTTTTACATTGAATGATTAAGGAGAACATTACACAGAATTCAAGAGGAAATGAATCCAGGGATTGAGAGCAGCTGGCTGTGACAGTTAACCAGAGAGAGGAAATCCAAATGATGTGTTTTCAGGACTTGCACCTTGCAGAGCGCTGCAATCTATGCTGGAGAGAGGCTGGAAAGGCCTGTAGACTGAGTTCTGGGAATCAAAACCCAAACCAGCTGTGCCAACGGGCTGGATAACCAGGTTTCCACGAACAAAAACATAGTTGCCAAGTTCAGATTAACTTTTTTAAAGAAAAAAGCAGCAAGAAGTTGATCATCTTACACGTGACCCAGCCAAGGCAGGGACTAATAAAGCACTCTGCTGATGGACTCTAATTGTATCGTATTCTCACTGTATGGCTACCACTGGCAGCAGACTTACTCGTGGGGTTAGAAGCCTCTGTATCCTTTTTCTCCACAACCCTACTCATATTCCCACCATAAACCAGGAGTACCCACTTTGAATAAAACCTTACATAGATAAGCAGAGAAAAGGAAACAGAAAGCATGCTGATGATTGGCAGTCTCCTAAAGTACCTTCCTCTAGGTCAAAGCTTTCTATTAGGTTGGTGCAAAAGTAATTGTGCTTTTTGCCATTTAAAGTAATGGCAAAACCACAATTACTTTTGCACCAACCTAATAGTTCATCTTCCAAGCTGAAATCATCAGGAGTTTCATTTTTTCCCTTTAATGCTTTAAGGTATTAAAGGTTGTCATCCTCCTTAGTCAAAATGACCAATTCAGTTGTCTGGACAGGCCAGCAAAGGTGCCTCCTGGCTATAACGCCTCCATATGGTGAAGCTTTAGAGTGTCTACCACAACCGCAGCCTCTTCTGAAAGATCCTTTGCATAGGTCAGTGTGTTGGCATTGTGTGATGTCACAACCACAGTCAGTGCTGATTGGACCTGTGATGGGTGTTTGTTAGCTATCTAGAAGTTGTCCAGGGCTCCCTGAGGGAGGCCAGCACAAGAGCTCTGCCATAAAAGGACATTGGACAGAAGTGAAGAGTCCAATCAGAAACTCTTTTTGAGAGACTGAACGCAAAGCATTCAGAGAGTCAGCAGGCTGGAGAGGCCAAGACACACACACGAAGAAGGCAGTAAGTAAAAACTGGGTGGTAGGAGAAGTTATGAGTAAACAGAAACCTGGAGATAAATAGAAGAGATTAAAAATAGTTATTCCATCGTAGTAGTAACAGGAGCAGAAACAGAAGCCAAGAGAGGGTAGAGAATTAGTCCTAGCGAAGAAAAAATGAGTGCAGATAAGCAGAATGGAAGACCGGAATCAGGAGCACAGCCAGCTGCTAGAGTCAGTAGACGTTATTATAAAACTTTTCATTGTGTCCCAAATAGCCATAATATTTAATTCTCTGGTGGCTTAGCTTGAGTTATTTTCATTTTTTCTGAGTTTTCGTACTTTCCTGGTAATCTTACAATAAGCTCTGTTAACTGAGATAATGGATTATTCTTTATTCTTTGCATCCTGTAAGAGCCTAAGCAACTTCTCAGGTCACCTTGTAAATGGCTCAGAGTAACACATTTGAATGTAAAATACTGTCTACAAAATCCAAAGCTCCCCAGAGTGTACCATTTTAATAGGTAGGGGCTACAACATGTACCAATCTGGCATTCCCTTTGAAGAAGAAATTCCAATATCCTGGGACTATCAAATTCCTGGAAACTTTATTGAAAGGGTAGGCTCCTTCTTGCACTTTTATAGGATATATCTCCTTCCCTCTTATAGACATGTATCTTACCATGGCATTGAGAGTAGCTCTTAATTTCTGCTCTTCAACTCCTGTCAGCATGATGTCATCAATTTAGTGTACCTATGATCCAATGATGTTTTATAGGATGATGGGATGTTCAAGGCACTGATCTCCCGTATTGTGGTATAAAACCTGAGATTTGATGTAACTCTGAGACAAAATAATAAAGGTATTCTGCTGTTCCCACCAGGTGAAAGCAAACTTGACTGTTTTCTCTGCTTAATGGAATATAGCAGGGGTCAGCAAAGTAGAGTCTGAAGGCAAAATCTGCCTTGCTGCCTTTTATAATTTTTATTAATAGACTTGCATTTTTAGAGTAGTTTTATATTTACAGAAAAATTGAGCAGAGAGCACGTTGAGTTGCCAGTATACCCATAATTTCTCCTGTTATTAACATTTTATATTAATATGGTACATTTGTTACAATTAACATAGATTGATATACTATTACTAAATAATCCTTTTTATATTCAATGTTCTACTGGCAAGGCTGAGAATTCAACAGATCAAAGCAAAATTCAGAATTAACCATTGCATTTGGTTTGCAGCTATTTTGGCCCTGCTGCAAGAGATTATTTTAGAATAGTTATATATGATTCCTTTTTTTCATAACTGTGCCTTGGGCTGAGAATTTAGTGATTTGAGTTTGTTATTTTCTCTATTTAAACCTCTCCTGATTGTTCGTATTAACCGTACCACCTCACAGTCCTTGTGTGACCCTTTCCATCCATTCTCTTCAGACTTCCTTAATTTTGACCTAATGTCCTTTTTCTGTTCCAGGATGCCATCCAGGATACCACATTACATTTATTTGTCACATTTCGTTAGGCTACTTTGACTATGAAATTTTCTCAGATTTTCCTTGTTTTTGATGACCTTGGCAGTTTTCTTTTTGAGACAGGGTTTTACTGTGTTGCCTAGTCTGATCTTGAACTCCTGGGCTCAAGTGTTCCACTTGCCTCAGATTCCCAAGGAGCTGGGAATACAGGAGCTCACCACTGCACCAGGTTCACCTTGGCAGTTTTGAGTAGTGGTTAGGTATATTGCACAATGTTCCTCTATTGGAGTTTTTCTGATGATTTTCTCACAATTCGAACGGTGTTGTGGATTTTGGGGAAAGATCACAAATTTAAAGTGCCCTTTTCATCACATCATATCAAGGGTACATATTACCAACATGATGTATGACTGTCGATATTGACCTCAAACACCTGGCTGAAATAGTGCATGTCAGGTTTCTCCACTGTAAAGTTACTTCTTTCTGCCTCTCCTTACTGTATTCTAGGGAGAGAAGTCACTATGCACAGCCCACACTTGAGTGGGGAGTTATGCTCTCCCTCCTTTAAGACAGAGTATCTATGTGTTATATTTGGAATTCTTCTGCATGAGAGATTGTCTCTTCTTCTCACTTGTTAGTTTATTAAATCATGTATTTGTATCAGTATGGAATCTTGGATATTTACTTTATACTTTGAGCCATAATCCAATGCTACTTTATTTTATTGCTCAAATTGTCTCAGCTTTGGCCATTAAGAGCTCTTTTGGTTGGCTCCTAATGACATACCCCCATCGATGTGTGTGTGTGTTTTTGTTGGTGATGGTTTTTTCTTAGTTTTTTGTTTTGTTTTGCTTTTTGTTATTTGTGAGCACATCCTTACTTTTTGGTGTAATTAGATGATCTGGGCCCATGTGGTATATTTCTCACCCCAGTCCTAGAGTCAGTCATTTCTCCAAGGATCCCTAGTTCCTTTTATTGAAGAATGATATTAGAAACCAGGATCTGAGAACTGGATGTGCTTGTTGCTACTGGGGCACTTACTGCTCATTTTGTAAATAAAATTTAATTAGAACACAGCCACGTCCATTTGTTTATGCATGGTCTATGGCTCTCATATTGCAATGGCAGAGCTGGGTAGATATGACAGATTCCTTATGGTCTGCAGAGCCTGTCATTACACTTTCTGGCCTTGGAATAGAAAAAAAATAAACAAAAGTAGTGACTGCACGTTTAGGCTCTAATGATTTTCTTTAGTAAGGAGACTTCATCAGGAGTAGAAGCTGCAGT
Organism: Homo sapiens; assembly: GCF_000001405.40. Lineage (NCBI taxonomy): Eukaryota > Metazoa > Chordata > Mammalia > Primates > Hominidae > Homo > Homo sapiens. The sequence goes on along the minus strand of NC_000004.12, from coordinate 146,119,011 downwards.
TACAGTCATCAGCTGATTAAGTTTACAATAATCTACTCTGCTAAGATCCATCCATGTCCTGCCCTAGTCAAATCAGAAAGCTATATGGGGATACAAAGCTACTATATGCTTCCAACACTTAATTTATCACTAATCTTTGCAGTTTCCTCATGAATTTTAGATTGGTTTGATTAATTCTTTGGGAAGAACCTAGTGAAAGCCCTGGAATATCACTGCCCCCCTCCCAAGATCTAGATAAATTCGTCTCCATTTAAATGTATGTTCTCACCCTCCTTGACCTAGCACCCCATAATCCATTACCCAATCATATTCCACAGATATTTTTGCTAACATAAAGTAGGAAAAAATATTCTTTTTTTTTAGAAAGCCTTTTCCTTTGATATTTGACTTTGTAACTGCCCCACGACCACCATATACACAGGCATGTTGGCATTTTAATTATGGCACTGTGGAAAATGAAGGAAATTAGGAATGTGGAAGTAAAGAATTGACATGTCCTTGTAGAGTAAGTCCTCAGAGAGGTTCTTACAGGGTTTTCAAATAAGACAAGAACAGCCTCTTCACAGTTGATGCTCATCAGGACATAGACAGACTTTTTCCACTTTATGCTGTTAAAATTCACTAGAATTTGCAAAGACTAGCTTCTTTGTAGGGATTCATGAACTGTGACCTATGGATATATGTTCCTCCGTGACCCTCAGAGGGGCAGCAGCAATTGGAGGATCAAAACCTTATGAGGCCTCTGAATCCTTCCATATATCCCCATTTCAGTGATCAGGGTTCCACATTTTTATGTTCAGTGTTCTACTGACAAGCCTGAGAATTCAACAGATCAAAGCAAAATTCAGAATTAACCATTGCATTTGGTTTGCAGCTATTTTGGCCCTGCTGCAAGAGATTATTTTAGCATAGTTATATATGACTCCCTTTTTTTCTAACTGTGCTTTGGGCTGAGAATTTAGTGATTTGAGTTTGTTATTTTCTTTATTTAAGCTACTCCTGACTGTTAGTATTAATTACTTCACCCCATAGCCTCCTTGTGTGACTCTTTCCACCTATGCTATTCAGTGGCAGTGGCTACTCAGACCCCTAAAATGTCATTGTCTTACCCCTGCATGTCATAGACTAACAAATTCTCATTCTTAAATACTACTACTGAAATTTTACTGCCCTCATCCCCAACTTTCCCAACAATTACTCCCAGAATCCCTCCTTCTCCCCCTTCCCTGAGATGCTGGAATCACTCCTGGTTCTTATATCTGAACTAGCCAGGAATATTAGACATAAATTGGCTGTTTTCATTAGGTCACACTAAACCTAGAATAGGCTGGTGGCTTTCAAAAGAGACCCCCAAAGACAGTGGCTCAACCAATATAGGCTTATTTCTCTCTCACATAACAACCCACAAGAACACAGACCCACAAACATAGGAAGGTGGTTCTGCTACATAAAATCATCCAGAGAGCCTTGTTCCATCTTTCTAGGTGCCCTGTCATCTCCTCAAATGTTGCTCTTATTCACTGAAGCAAGCTGACTCCCCAATACCATGTACATACTGAACCCAGAAGAGGGGAGAAAAGAAGGAAGGATTGTGCATAGGAGTTCCTTTTGAAGAAGTGACATGGAGGTTAGACACATCACTTCTGCTCACATTTCCCTGATGAGAATTTAGTCACATGGCCATGCCTGGCCACAAGGAAGGTTGGAAAATTTAGTCTCTAAAATTAGAGCAATTATTTCCCCTTTTCCTTTTAGGAACAGAGCCTCCTGTTTTCACCAAACCTAACAATGATCAGCCACACTGACTCTGATTGAGTTAAGTAGAAAAGAAGTTTATTAAAAGATGACCAAGGAGCTCACAGAAACACCAGGAAATTTTGAGAAGGTTCAGAAAACAGGTAGAAGAAGAGAGACTCTAGGTATCTAGAACCCAAGTACAAATCATGCCACAAGAACATGAGCAATGGGCACTGCTGCTAATAGCACTAGACACTGGACATCAGAGCTTGCACTTGCCACCAGCAGAGGAAACCAGTGAATGTTACTTTATAGGGCAAAGGGGACTTTGCACATGTAATCTTGGAAGAGTATCCCGGATTACTTAGGGCTCAGTGTAACCACAAGGGTCCTTATAAGAGGGATGCAGGCGATCAGAGGGAGAAGTAGGAGAGGTGATGACCGAAGCAGAGATTGAAGTGATGCAGCCACAGGCCAAGGAATTCTGGCAGTCACTAGAAGCTGAAAAGGGCAGGCCCCAGCTCTCCTGAAGCTCTCAGAGGAAGCAATCCTGTCAGTTCCTTGATTTTAGCACTAATGTCAGACTTCTGACCTCCAGAATTGTAAGATAATAAATTTGTGTTCCTCACCACAATCAAGCTAATTAACATTTCCATCACCTCACATAGTTACCATTCTTTTTTATTTTTTATTTTTATTTCTTGGTATGGTAAAGACACTTGGGATCTACCCTCTTAGCAAATTACAGATATACAATACAACATGATCATTGTGTTGGTTTCAGCTTCAAAGGGTCAGGTAACCTGTTACAGCAGCAATAGAAAAATGAACACAGCAGCTTTTGCCTGGAGACTCTCCATTGGCCAAGCCAAGATTGTCTCAGAATTCTGCTGCACTCTGAGGCTCTTCCCACCATTCTTTGTTTCTCATTATCCTTTTACAGTTGTTAGACCTGTCTCCCAATCTAATGGCTCTCTCCAACTCCCACTCCCTTTCTCTTTATCCTCCAGAGCCATTTTCCCTAATGAATTTCTTTCCCTAATAAATCTCGAATCCCATCTTGGCATCTGCTTCTTGGATGTTCTCAACTAAATAATGCTACCAATCCTACTCTCTCTTGTGCCCCAGGAAACTGGAGGCTTTAGCTGCCTTCTACCCCACCACCCCACTCCTCAGAATAGACTCTCTACCACTCCTCTTCATCGGTTCACTAGCTTCCAATGCAAAGTCCTGGGGTGGTGCCTGACTGGCCAAGCCTAGGTCACATGCCCCCTCTCCAGGGCAGGAGGCTGGAAAAACAAGTCTCTGGCCTATTTGACCTCCATAGTGGAGGTCTCTAACCCTCATGGAGACTCATACAGTGAGGACATCCCTAAACATAAAAAGTGGGTTCATGTGCTACCAGGTACCCCCAATGTCTATGACAATATCCCTCCCTCAAATATTGTGAATCCCATCCTGTGTGAACAAGAAACATGTAGTCTTCTTTTGCAAGAACTTCTGAAGATTTGTCAGGGAATGCTTACACCAGCTCCGTGCTTCCTCTTGTCATCTCCCAACCTTATCTCTCTGTTAATCGGTTGCCCCCTGTGGACACCAGCTCCTCTCTTTATTCCAACATGGCTGACACCAGCCATAGAGAGTGACAAAACTTTACTGAGGGTTTGAGAATAACATGAGGAGTCATACCACATGCCTTAGTCCATTTTGCGTTGTTATCAAGAAATGCCTGAGGCTGGGTAACTTACAGAGAAAAAAGATTTATTTGGCTTACTATTCTGATGGGCTGGAAGGTTCAGGATTAGGCATCTGCCATTAGGACCTTGGGCTGCTTCCACTCACGACACGAGAGGAAGGAAGCTAGTGTATGCAGAGATCATATGGAAAGGAAGCAAAAGAGAGGTGAGGGTGCCGGGCTCTTTGTAACAACCAGCTGGATCGGGAACTAATGAGATGAGAACTCACTCACCCCTGAGGGAGAGTATTAATCAGTTCATATGGGATCTTCCTCCATGACCCAAACCCCTCTCATAAAGTCCCACCTCCAACACTGGGATCAAATTTCAACATGAAGTTTTTTGGGGTACAAACATCCAAACCACAGCACCACCAAAAGGGAGATAGAAAATTCTGTATCACTGCTCCTAAAGCAGATTGGTCATAACCCCATCGAAGGAATCCCTTGGAATTAAACTCTGCTCTTAAGCTCCTGCCTGCCACTGTGGTGCTAAAGTCCATTTCTCCTCCTCTCCATGAGCCCCCTGTTTTATCACCACTCTGCCCATCTCCACTCTTCCCTGGCCTGCTTCTTTCCTGAGGAAGCCATAAAATATATTAGAGAAAAAAAAAATCTCTGATGAGCAGCTTAGCTTTGCTCCATCTTAATCTGTTTCTTCCAGAATAGAAGCATGGCCCTATCTTTGTTTAACTAAAGAGCTTATATCGGTGTTTTTCAAATCAAAAGGATAGTCTCCCTGAAAATGAATTCTGCCTCAATCTCTAGAGTCAGAGGTGCAAATTCTAGGTAGATTTAAAAATAGCAGTGTCCCTAGGATGGTTAATTTCAGGTGCCAACTTGACTGGATTAAGGAATACTTAGAGAACTAGTAAAGCATTCTTTCTGGGTGTGTCTGTGAGATGGTTTCCAGAGGAGACTGGAGTGTGTGTCAGTAAACTGAGTGGGGAAGACCTGTCCTCAATGTGGGGGCATCATCCAAATGGCTGGGGGCACAGATAAGAACAAAAAAGGCAACAACAGCACATACACAAAAAGAGATTTTTTTTTTTCTCTCTCTCTCTCCTGGAGCAGGGACACTCTTCTCCTCCTGCGGTTGGACTCCAGGCTCTATGACCTTCAAACTCCAGGACTTACACCAGTTGCCCCTGGGCACTCAGGACTTCTGCTTCAGACTGACAGTTGCAGGACAGTGCAGCATTTTATTTTAAAGATACCCCACAACGTAGGTGGCCAGTCCTGCTGCAGGTGCGGTTTCAAGCCTTTGGAGTTTGACCTTCTAGTCCAAGGTCATTACAGCTGCAGGCAGAGGCTCCCGCGGGGAAAAGAGCATTTCCTGGGACGCTGGAACTAAATGAATGGCCCACTCTCCAGTTCAGCCCTTGCCTCCTTCCCGACACATAAAGTTCAAGAGCCACGGTCCTGAGTGCATAGGAACAGCCCCATCACCCTTCTCCCTCTGGGCAAGCTAGGAGCAGCGGTGCGAGGCTCCATTTCTTCTTCTCTGCCTCCTGGACCTCAGCCACCTCTGCTCAGGCACAGGCCAGCTGCCCAGGCGTCCTCATCTGGCGACCAGCTCTGACCGCAGCCCTGGTCTGCTCTCGGGGTCGGGCCCACACCCCTCTTCTTCCTCCTCTTCCTCCCAAGGCCTGGGCTCGGGTCCCTCTTCTCACCTTTCCCTTTCTTGCGTTGCAACCGTAACTTGGGAAAACCCTTCTTGATCTTCCTCTCTCACCTCCTTTCAAACACATGCTTGCAGGCTTTTTCCCGATCTCATCCTTAGGGCAGATACGCTCCCTTGATTCTGAGGTCTTTGAACTTGCTGTGAAGCCACACTACCTGCGTCCCAGGGTCTCCAGCTTGCAGATGGACTGTGGTGGGACTTCTCAGTCACCAAGGTCGTGTGAGCCAATTCCCCTAATACATCCCCTCTCATCTATCTATATCAGTAGAGATACCAATATCAGTACAGATATAGCTCCTATTGGTTCTGTCTCCCCAGACAGCCCTCACAAACACGGTTCCTGAACCCACCTCACACTGCTCCACCCCACACCCAGACAAACGCACACATAGAGGTAGGCAGGTAAATACATAGATCAATAGATTTATGTAAACTGTGAGCATCACGCCTGAAGAGAACTCCCTATTTCCACACCGTGTTGCCACAGCACTCCTACTTCCCACATCTGCCTCCAAATTGGCATTCTTCCTTCCATCTCTGCTCATAGGTCAGGCGACCCACCATGAGGTCACACCCCTTGCCGAGGACCACAGTTTCACAGACACTGTGCCTTCCAGCCACCCCGCTGTCCTGCGGCAGCCATGGGAATGTGGTGTTTCAGCAGTCCTCGCGGTGTTCCTCATGCTGACCCTGCTGAGTTCCAGCCATCTCACCGGATCCAGTGGCTTGGGAGTTTGGGTTCATAAGGATTTGAGCTCTGCTAACATCCCTGACAGGAAAGAAGCAGAGTAGCTTTTAGGGACAAACCATTCCAAGGAGAAGGATCACTGCACAAGGACCCTCTCACTCTCTCCCCAGAATCTCCCCTCTCTCTACAGTGCTCTAAATTCTGTCCTCATCACCCCTGCAGTGTCTCTTCCCCATTTCTCCTCTACCATAGACATAGACAAAGCATCACCCAAAAAGGGAGAGGGAAATATGACTGGGAATTCTTTAGAGGTGAGTGGAGTTAAGAACCTGAGCTGGATTCTTCTCTTTTACAAAGCAAAACTAACTAAATACATAAAAATTTAAATTTATTTTCCTTTCTTCCTTGGTCCAGTGAAGACTGGACTCTTCAAAGTGGACTTTGGTAAAAACAAAAGAGAAAGTTAAAAAAATTAAATTCTAAAGGCTAAATTTACACTATAGAGATTTTTAATAACTGAATTCTGGTAACAAGTTGGTTGACTCAAGCTAAGATTCTTTTCCTTCCACTTCTGCTTTCTTATTGTTGTTTTTGGTTTTATTTTTGCATTTGTGCTGTCACACACAGGATTTCTCCTCCTTTCATTTATTTCCACCAGCAGACCTGCACCAATACAAAAATGTGCCCTGTTAATAATAATAGCTGCTGTTTATTGATTATTTACCACATCCAGGTACTTCATGTAAGAATGCTATACTGTAGCTAATTAAGATAATCACAGAAAATTATCAATAGGTAACTTCGGTTACTATTTTCTACATGCTAGCTTTTATTCTCACTTCATCCTTACCATCATGCTAGGAGGATAGGTATTATTATCACCATTTTAGAGATGAGAAAAGTGAAGTAAATACTATTAATTTCATTTAGAAGATAAGTAGATGAGGCTTAATCACACAGTTATTAAGTGGCAAAGACCGGATTTGAATCAAGATATCTGATTTTTAAAATTCACCTTGTTTCAAAGCATTTTACTTCACCTAAGAAGTTAATACACCTCACAACCAGATAACTCCTTCTTTTCAATTAGACTGTGTCTGTATCTGGGATCAGTTGCGAAGCAGAAGTATGACGTGACTAAGGCCACCGCTGGGTTAGGATACCCCCATCCAAGGTCAGGTTCTTAACTTCACTTAGCTCTGAAGACTTACGATTAGTTTTTCCTCTCCCATTTTTTGGGTAGCCCTTTCTCTTCTTTTCTGTGGAAAAATTTGTAACTTACCAGAACAGTTCACAATATGACAACATTGTAGTGGTGACATCACAGAGACAGAAGGAGGAAGAATGGCAACCCTTGGACTCCTGGGGATGTGGGAGCTCCTTGACCACATGTGGTACCTCTCTTTCCTGATCCCAGATTGAGAGCTGTACTAGCCTGGCATGCAGACAGCAGCTTTAGAATCAGATCTGCCTTCTGGCGGCTTCCCACCTAGGAGCCATGGGACCTTTGTGAAGTCACCAATTGTGCTGTGGATGCTTCATTTGTGAAGGAGAACAGGACTGCCTTGTAAGTTGCAATATGCGTTAGAAATAGCAAATAAACAGTACTTAACTCATAGGAGGCCTGTGATAAATGGGAGCTTTTATCATAGACTGACTTTCCTGCTCCTGTTTTGCTTCTTCTTTATGTTTAGGTGAAATTACGGATGGTGCTACTAAAACATATCAATAATTTGAATTTCACTTTTGTGGATGCTTTAAACATCATAGTCATTAGAAGGTGGATCTGGCTGATTGTACTTTAAGTTTTCAGTTTGAGCTGGAGCTTTGTATTATAACAGGAGGGTACTGGACAAGGTGAGTTGCTGATAGCCTCCCCCCACCTGCCAACAGACCTATCATTAGATGGAATGTAATGGACTTTGGCCAGTTGTTCTCCACCCCAGCTCTGACTTAGCGGCTCTGGCAAGAATGGATATATGAGCCTAAATACAGAGCTTGTTGTGCTACTTTTGGCTTTCCTTGTCATTATTTCTTCCTCTAAATTCAACAAATCATTACTTCCTCTTTTATTATGTTTTAGTATGAGTGTTTTAATACCACAGATATTCAAAATAAGCCTGTGGGAGACACTGGGTTATGAGGTGATCATACATTGTTCCTTTAATTTTCAGAACAACACAATAAGATAGGGACCCTGTCCCAGAGATGACTACATTGAAGTTCAGAGAGTTTAAGTAACTTGCCCAAAGTCACATCGCTAGTGAATAGCAAAACGAGGATTCAAGCCTAGGCCTGCCTATTTTCAAAGTTTATGGAAGGAATTAAAACATTTCTTAGTCTAATTTTCTCGGAGTTTTGTTCTGCTTTGTTTTGTTTTGTTTGGCTTACTTTCTTCATCAGCCTAATACCTGCTTCAAGTCTAAGTGAAGCTTTCACCTCTGCCTGGAAGTCTTCCCTGTCCCTGTAGGCTGTCAGGTGGCCTTCTCCCAGCCCCCATAGCATCCAGCATAGAAGCTGATCACAGCACTTACCACCCAGTGAAAAGTGTGGGCACAGTCCTGTCGGCCCCTTCCTCCTAGACTGTGCACCCTTGGGCAGCATGCTTTGCTTCCACAACACTTGCTACTTAGCAGGGGCTCAGGGCAAATGTGTGGACTTGAGCTGCCAAATTGAAGCCATAGGTCAATATTAGAACTAAACACTAGTGCTAAAGTGAAAACTTTAAGATGCACATAGACCAGTAATCCCCAAATGTGTTTGCTGAGGAGTGTGTGTGTGTGTGTGTGTGTGTGTGTGTGTGTGTGTGAAGAGACTGTGTACCACTGGCTTTTTCTCTCCTGTCATACTTTCACTCCTGATGGACTAGGCCTATGGAGTGTTCATTTTTCTCCCTGAACATTAGACATCTCTCTGCTGCCTTTAAATAAAATTCCTCATTTTACCTCTCCTCTTCTTTTCTTTATTTCCTTTGCTTCAGACAAGATATGAGCCCTTAACTCACCATAATTAACCTCACAATGGGCTACTGTTTGTTTCATATTGGAGACCACAAGATGGATCAGATAATAGTCCAATATTTTTGGACTACAATTTCCAATATTATTCCAATATTGCTGGAATATTATTCCAGTATCATCTACTATTTTCCCGATATTATTATTGGAAAATAATAGCATAGCTATTATATAGAATATTTACCCTGTGCCAGGGACTGTTTCAAGCACTTTACTTACATTAACTCATTTAATCTTCACAACAACTTTATGAGATTCATACTATTAGTATCAACATTTTACAGATGAGGAAACTGAGGTACAGATGGGAAACTTGCTCAAGTTCACACAGCAATTAAGTGATCAAGTCCAAGAGCAAAACCAGGCAGGCTGGCTCCAGAGCTCACGATAGTCCACCACTGCTTTCCACCATCACTACGGAATCAAGTCCATGAGGATACTCACCTTATGTCAGTTGCCTAAGTTGGAAATTATAGAATCTTCAAATTGGAAGGGACGTTATCATCCAAGATTTCAACTTTCTACTCACTGCAAAATCCCTTCTGGAACTTCCCAGATTGATGAATTTTCATCAGCTCTGCTTGAGTACTCCCAGTGACTTGGAAAAAAAACACTGTAATATGGATATGAAATATAAACTGTTCATGGATAAATTATTGCATAATAAAAACATGCCTAATGGCTACACTCCCCTAATATGTTCATTTGGTAATTATTTTTTATTTGCAAACTTGTTTTGATAGAACTGTTTCTTTTAAAAAGTTTAATTTGTCTTGAGATACATTTTCCTTTTATATCTTCTTATTAATGGGCTTATTTTCAAAGAGGAAGGTACAGCAAAGGTAAAAGAAAAAACTCATTTTCTCATGTTGTTTTGGGGTAAAAAATAAAGGCTAACAGTGGGTGAGTGATCTTTTTAATATTTTTAGTTAATTTCCCACACATACTTTAAAAAGTTACTATGGTACTGTTTTCTCCTACTATTAAAAATCTGTTTGAAATGAACTACTGGAAAAGTTAGGACATCATAAATCATCTTAAATAGAATAATTTATTTGATGTTTAATCCCTAATTAAGATGAAAATATCAATTGCAGCTGTTCGTTAGGTATGTTCTTAGTTTGTGTTTGGGCCACAGCAGGGGAAGAAAACCCAGAATTTCATAATTTTAAAGAGATTTCTAAATGCTCTGTGTTACACAAAACTTGCAAGTATGGCATTGTGGGAGACAACAGCAGTGTCATAGCTGACATTTGGGTTCTGGATTCAGACTGCCTGGGTTTAAAGCCCTTCAGTCCCCATCTTGATACAATGTTAAAAACATTCAAAGTTTTTAGCACAATGCCTAGCACTTTAGATGCCCAGTGAAATGCTGATATTATTTTTCCTTGTCCATTGAGATCTGTTTTGAAGTATAGGCAAAGCTTGGGACTGAGAATAAAGAATCAGCATCAAAGTCTTATAGTTCATCGTTTTAAAACTGTTTTCTCCAATTTATCCAAAAATAAAATTGAGGGAGTAAGATAGCCCGTGGTTAACATATCAAAGCACCAATAGACAGATTAGAGACTAAGAAGGTACATGAGCACTACAGGCTAAGATGTGGCCAGAACGCATGTCAGGTAAGAAGGGATACCCAGAAATCCTATCTTGGAGGCATCAGGTGAGCATGAGCAAAAGGATATCCCAGGCCAAAGGAACCTTGAATTAAGCAAGCTCTTTACAAGTCCTTCCTTGTGAGGAAGGAACGGCCCTGGGCCAGGCTTCCAAGGACTTCCATTTTAGTCCTGGGTCTGCCTTCTGTCACATTTCAGGCAGGCCATTTAAATTCTCTGAGCCTCAGTAACATTTTTTTTCCTGCCTACCTTAGGGTTATTGAGATACTGTGTGGGAAAGGCCATTGAAACAAAGTTTCAGAGCACTATCTATAAAACACCACATTTTATCACTAATAATCCCATCTTCTAATGTAATTACAGACTTCCCAGGATTTAGCAACCAGGGCCTGGAAGGCAGACAAAGGTAACTGGCCCCATGTGATAAAAACAGGTACAAACTTTCTTTTCTTACCTCACAAGCCTAGCTTAGTGCTGGACACTCAGCAAATGCTAACAAAGTGCCACGCATTGGTTTGAAAGGGTTCACTTCAACCTTGCCTTCTTCAGGAAGCACTTACAGAGAGCACTTTTCAGTGGGTAACAATGTGACGTCAAATGCTCAGTTTAAAACCTCCTTCCAAATAAAAGGAAATTCATCCTAGAAATGGCTAGAATGACAGAATGAAAACAGAGCAGTATCTACCTGGGCTTTAGTGCCAGGAAGTGACAGTCATTGGCTATGTGTTCAATTACATGGCCGAAGTTAATAGGTAATCAAATATTATGCAATAATAGATTAGTTGCCTTTCCTTGTTGCTAATTATCTAAAATATCTCTATATTGCATATTTAAACATAAAAATTTCCCTAAGGTGAATGATACACTATGCCATTTTTAGTGATTAAATGTGGCATTTTCTGCATCTTAATGAAACCATTATTTTTGTTCAGCTGAGTGATTTTATTAATTAAAAGAATGTCAGGAGAGTGGCAGCATGGTCATAGAGTTCTCAGAGAGTCGTAGCATTATAGAGCCATAAAGGACCTGACCAAACCCAGCCAGGGACTCTCAGTTTACCTGTAATTCTCCACCTGGAAGTCAAAAAGCTGGGTTCTGATATCATCAGTACTATGTGACCCCGGGCAAGTCATTCCAACTTTCTTTGACTGAGTTTATTCTTCAGACAAGGGATCTGTAATGCCATGATACTTTAAATTAAGCTTTTCATGTTGACATATGTTTATATATTGTTACACTAATAATGATGTGTCCCAACAAAGTATGGTTTTCTTTCTCTTTCTGACAACAAACACAGGGACTAGCTGTATTTGAATTCTCTGTTATTGGGAAAAAACATGGCTTTTCTTAATAGGCTGTAAATAACCTGAGGGTGCAGTTTGGGGTTCATAATTTTGTGTCCCCCATGGTGCCTTTAACATACTACTAGAAAGAAATAGAATTTCATTGTTGCGTGTTTCAATGTATTTCGGACCAAAGCATCCTGCTCTGAAACATCATTAAGGGAAAAAAATCCTAGCATATTGTGGGCCTCCAATGAAATGAATGTTAATTGTGTTGCCCAATACCAATTTATTAACGTTTATGAGCATACAACTGTGCGTGCACAAACACAGTTCATATATAGTTCTTGAAAAAAGCATTTGGGGTTTTCTACCACATGATGCTTTCAGTCAGTACCTCCTACCATTAATTTGTGTTCAGAGCAGTAGTTCCCAAAGCTACCCCTTCAGCAACATGTATGTTGACATGGATGTTGAAATGGATGATGTAAATACAGCCATTCAGAATAATCTGGAATCCTATTTTATGATTTGGAATGCCCAGAATGTCCAAGACATGACATACTTACAATTTCTCAGAAAAGTCACACCTGAAAAAGGTAAACACTCAACATAGACACTTAGACTTTCCAGGCATCTTAGCTACAAGACCAATGGTGTCAGTATCTTGAGTTCTGTGTTCTATAGGAGCTTTTTTTTTTTTTTTTTGAGATGGAGTTTTGCTCTGTTGCCCAGGCTGGAGTGCAGTGGCAAGATCTCGGCTCACTGCAACCTCTGCCTCTTGGGTTCAAGCGATTCTTCTGCCTCAGCCTCCCGAGTAGCTGGGACTACAGGTGCTCACCACCATGCCAAGCTAATTTTTGTATTTTTAGTAGAGATGGGGTTTCACCATGCTGGCCAGGTTGGTCTCAAACTCCTGGCCTTGTGATCCACCCACCTCGGCCTCCAAAGTGCTGGGATTACAGGAATGAGCCACCATGCCGGGCCCACAGGTCCACCCACTACTCCAGGAGTGTGTCGCTTCCTGCACTGGTGACAACACAGGGAGCCCATGATGTGCAAGTTTCACAACACATGTGGTTCGTTTTCCTCCCCTAATGACTCAAGAAGAGAGTTTTAGAATTCAGGCTGAGTCTCAGTAATTCAATTGTAGAAAAAGCAGGCAAAGCTGTAGCTCTGTCTTAATTAGTTTCATATGTGAATGTATTAATTGTTTCATTAGGAAATGTATTAGGTAAATTGAATGTGAATGTGGTGGATAAGGACACAAAAGAAATCCCTTGAAGGTTCATGATTGTTCCATGTGTAGGCCCGGGAGCATCTTCATTAAGGCAGGCAGTTTTGGGCCACCCGATCATGACCATGGATCTACGTGCTGGAACTTGAAAGTATGTCCACGCTCAAGATTTCTGTCTCTTCTAAAGCAAGAAAGGACTGGTTTTGCATGCCCTGCCTATGCACATCTTTATGAAAATGTAACCTTTTCACTCACTTTCTGAACTCCACAAAAGAGTCAGCTTTCTCCTGTTGGTGATGAAACCAGCTGTTGAAATACTTCAATTGGGTTGCAGTTGCTTCTCCTGTGAGCTGCATGGCCATCTCTTCTTTTGTTTCAAAAACTTGGCTGGCACTTTCAGCAGCCACTGTGAAGTTGGTAAATATCTAAATGACTTCTTCATTTTCTGACCCTTGAACAGAGAAGTAGAAGATTTTCTGTGTTCATAACTAGCATGTCTGGATTGTGTAATTTCATCTTTGCAAATATATCACCAATTCAAGGAACAGCTTTAGCTTGTTTGGTTTTTGAATAGTGTTGACCATTATTTCCTAAAGAAAAATCACCCAAGCCTTCCCTGAAATGTTAGTATTGTGCTAACTGAGGCATTGGCTAAAAAAGAAGTGTGTGTATGGAGTAGGGGGTGGGTGTGGATGGAGACAGGGTAGGAGGGGTTCCCTGCTTTTATAAATCCGGCAAGCCTGCCTTTGACAGTCTTTCATGTTGGCTTTATTCTTCCCTTTGGGAATTTTCCGAAGTCACTTTTGGCCTTTGTTTATTTTAAAGGAAGTAGAGAAACAGCCACAAGAGGAGGAGAGGAATATAGTTGCCTACAAATCGACTAATGTGTTTTTTCTCTCTCTATGTTACACAACAGATATATAACAGCGCTTCCCCTGCATTGAATGGTAGAGATCAGAGTTTCTAAATTCCAAAAAAAAAAAAAAAAAAAAAAAGTCAAAACTGGTACATTTTAGAGATGAGGAATAAGCATAGGTGGGAAAATGTCTGCAGGCATAGGCAGCCTTGGGCAGGTCTGATCTGACCCATTCTAATCAGTTATTGGGAAGAGAGTAATTATTAAGGCAGGGGAGGTGACAGTCACCTCCACCCCCAAATCCTGGGGGCGCCATGTAGCCCAGGCCATCCTAAATGGTAGGTCACTGACTTTCAAGAACGCCTGGGTAAAGCACATTACAAGAAGTGCCATCCTCTTTGAGCAATACATATGCTATAGCTGGGCTGTGTGCCAGGCCAAGGGGACCTGCCTGTTGGTGGTGAGGATGCTTTCCATGAGGGGGTTGTGTGGACTAGCGCCCTGGAGGAGGCAGCCCCCCTGATTTTCAGCGTGAGAGAAAGATAATCCTAATCCCATCAGTGGCCCTCACTTGTAGTGCTATATGAGCCAGGCCCTGTGTTGAATTTTTCACATTGATTATTTTTAATGATCCTTAAACATAGAGAACTATTATTATTCTCTTGAGAAAATTGAGGCCCAGGGAGATAAAGCCACTTACTCAGGGTGCATGATGAGGTGGCAGAGTAAAACTCAATTCCATGTTTTTCTCACCAGAAGACCCTTGCTCTTATCCCCCACATCTTATGTTTGTTGACACCACTTGTGGTTGGTACCTGAGCTTATTCACTTCCCGTGGCCTTGTTCCTCCGTTCCTTTATTTCTCTGTTGGCTGTTTCCCTCTCTCTCTCTCTCTCTCTCTCTCTCTCTCTCTTTCTCTCTCTCTCTCTCTGTCTCTCTCTCTCTCTCTCTTTCTCTCTCTCTCTCTCTCTCTGTCTCTCTCTCTCTCTTCTTTCTTGACGGAGTCTCACTCTGTCTTCCAGACTGGAGTGCAGTGGCGCGAGCTCGGTTCACTGCAAGCTCCGCCTCACGGGTTCAAGCCATTCTCCCTCCTCAGCCTCCCGAGTAGCTGGGACCACAGGTGCCTGCCACCATGCCCGGCTAATTTTTTATATTTTTTTAGTAGAGACAGGGTTTCACCCTGTTAGCCAGGATAGTCTCCATCTCCTGACGTCGTTATCCGCCCACCTCTGCCTTCCAAAGTGCTGGGATTACAGGCTTGAGCCACCGCGCCTGGTCTGTTGCCTGTTTCTTAAATCTTCCATCCTGGGGGATGGGAGGTGGAGAGAATGAAAAGGAGCTACTGCCATCCCCACCCCCAACCCCCTCACCTCCACCCACCCCGACCGCCATTTACATTTCTATTTCATTTTCACACACATGTCCATTTAAGTCTTCATTGCCCCCAAGCAAGAATATTTCAATGTCAAGACCTGCCACAGCATAAGGACTTTGCCCACAGCACTACATTTAGAAGTGATCATGCAAATTATTCAAGTGGCCCAAAGCCTTGATTGTGTAGACAACTTCAGTGGAAAATGCTCCATTCTGATCTCAGTCCCCATCTTTCTCAATTCACTGTTGAGTCTTCACAAAGTATCCTACTCAATCATCTCTTTGACAGTCCAGATGGAACAGATAAGGGAGGAGACTCTTTTCAAGACAATTCTTAAAAATATACGCAGAATAATATGGGGAATAGGCACTCTCCTGTATTGTTCTCAAGTAGGCAGGATGGAAGGATCTCTCTAGCAATTTGATGATATATTTTAAAACTCTGAACAATATTTACGTTCTCTGATCAAATGATACTGCATGTAGAAATTTATCCTAATTCAATAATCGTAGGCATGTGCAAATATTTGCATGCACAGAAATGTTCATCATGGAATTGGATTATAATAGTGAAAAACTGGGACCGAAGTGTCAGTGATAGGCGCTTGGCTCAGTAAATGATGACTCATCCATACATTATAACATTATACAGTTATAAAAAGGGTTTCATAAGGAATTTAACGATTTAAAGAAATGATCCTGAAATATTAAGCAAATATTTCAAGAAAGTTCTGTTCATAACGGCACTCACTAGTCACATGTGGTTATTTAAATTTTAATTGATTATAATTAAATAAAATTAAATATTTAGTTTCTCAGTGACAGAAGGCACATTTCCATACTCAATAATTATATTGGACAGTGCAGATGTATAACATTTCCATTATTTGCAGAATTGTGGGCACTAAATAGAATATGATTTCATTTTTTCCAATATATGTATACACATAGAAAAATATTAGAAGAAAATATGCCAAATAATAATGATGATCTTTAGTTGGTGGGATTGGATGAGAGGTAGGCACACTTTTTCTATAAAGGGACTAATAGTATTTTGCTTTATTTTATTTTATTTATGTGTTTTGAGACAAAGTCTTGCTCTGTCACCCAAGCTGGAACACAGTAGCATGATCACAGCTCACTTCAGCCTTGACCTCCCAGGCTCAAGCAATCCTCCTCCCTCAGCCTCCCGAGTGGCTGGGAACACAGGTATGTACCACCACACCCAGCTAGTTTATTTTTATTTTTTATATTCTTTAGAAACAGGGTCTCCCTGTGTTGCCCAGGATGGTTTCAAACTCCTGGGCTCAAAAGATCCTCCCATTTCGGCCTCCCTAAGTGCTGGGATTTTAGGGATGAGCCACAGCACCCAGCCCATAGTAAGTATTTTAGACTTTGTGAGCCATGCAGTCTGTGTCACAGCTACTTCATCTGCCATTTCAGCAAGAAAGTAGCCATGGGTAGCACATAAGTGAATGGGCGTGATTGCATTCCAATAAAACCTTAAAGACAAAGATAGGTTGTGGGCTGAATTTGGCCCACACGCCATAATTTGCTGACCTTCCAGATTAGATAATTAAGAGTAAGGTTTTTTTTTTCTGTGTACTTACTTATATTTAAATTTTAAAACTAAGTAATGTGTATCCTTTATTTTTAAAATAAAACTCAGCCTTTCTAAACACCAATTAACATTCAAGCTAAGAGCCAAATTAAAAATGCAAACCTATTTACAATAGCTGCAAAAAAATGAAATACCTAGGAATATATCCAACTAAGGAGGTGAAAGATCTGTACAAGGAGAACTACAAAATACTGCTGAAAGAAATCACAGATAACACAAATAAATGGAAAAACATTCCATGCTCATGGATTGGAAGAATCAATATTATTAAAATAGTCATACTTATCAAAGCACTTTACAGATTCAATGCTATTCCTATCAATCTACCAATGTCATTTTTCACAGAACTAGAAAAAATATTTTAAAATTCATATGGAACCAAAAAGCTAAAATCACCAAAGCAATCCTAAGCAAAAAGGACAAAGTTGGAGGCATCACATTCCCAAACTTCAAACTATGCTATAAGTCTGCAGTAACCAAAACAGCATGATACTAGTACAAAAACAGACAAATAGAACAGTGGAACAGAATAGAGAACCCAAAGATAAAGCTGCATGTATACAACCATCTGATCTTTGAAAAAGTAGAGAAAAATAAGCAATGGGGAAAGGACTTTCTGTTCAATAAATGGTGATGGAATAACTGGCTAACCATATGAAGAAGAATGGAACTGGACTCTTACCTTTCACCATATACAAAAATGAACTCAAGATGGATTAAAGATTTAAATGTAAGACCTCAAATTACAAGAATCTTAGAAGAAAACCTAGGAAACACCACTCTGGACATGGGCCTTAGGGAAGAAATTTATGACTAAGTCCTCAAAAGCAATTGCAACCAACACAAAAACTGTCAAATGGGACATAATTAAAGAGCTTCTGCTCAACAATAAAAACAATCAACAGAGTAAACAGATACAGAATGGGAGAAAATATTCACAAACTGTGCATCTGACAGGGGTCTAACATCCAGAATCTACAAGGAACTTAATTCAACAAGCAAGAAACAAGTAACTCCATTAAAAAATGGGCAAAAGACATAAACAGACACTTCTCAAAAGAAGACATACAAACATATTTAAAAAATGCTCAACATCACTAATCATCAGGGAAATGCAAATCAAAACCACAAGGTTATACCATCTCACACCAGTCAGAATGGCTACTATTAAAAAGTCAAAAAACAACAGATCCTGGTGAGACTGCAGAGGAAGGGGACTGCTTATGCACTGTTGGTGGGAATGTAAGTTAGTTCACCCACTGTGGAAAGCAGTTTGGAGATTTCTCAAAGAACTTACAACAGAACTGCCATTCAACCCAGTAGTCCCATTACTGGTTATATATCCAAAAGAGAATAAATCATTCTACCAAAAGGACACACGCACTCATGTGTTCATTGCGACACTATTCATAGCAACAGAGATGAAATCAGCCTGGATATTCATCAGTGGTGGAATGGATAAAGAAAATGTGGCACATGTACACAATGAAATACTATGCAGCCATAAAAAAGAAAAAAATCATGTCCTTTGAAGCAACATGGGTGTAGCTGGAGGCCATTATCCTAAGTGAATTATTGCAGGAACAGAAAACTAAATACTGCATGTTCTCACTTACATGTGGGACCTAAATATTGGATACTCATGGACATAAAGATGGCAACAATAGACACTGGGGACTACTAGAATGGGGAGGGAGGTGGGCCAGGGTTGAAAAACTATTGGACACTATGCTCAGTATCTGGGTGACGGCATCAATTGTAGTCCAAACCTCAGCATCATGCAGTATACCCAGGTAAAACCTGCACATGTACCCGTTAATCTAAAATAAAAGCTGAAATTATAAAATAAAATAAAACTCACAGGAAAACATATATATGTGTATATACTTTATATATAATACATATATATATATAATGTGTACATATATACTTTGTATGTTTTATATCTATCTGTTTCTAGACCTGAAAGATCTGGGTGCAGATACATAGAATTTTCGCAAGGCAAAGCTGAGCTATTAAGTTACTAAAACTCCCATACATGCAGAAGTCCAGGTAGCTCCTTCTCAACCCTGCTGAGGATCTGTCCTGCCGCTCACACTTTCCATGTCCCACTGCACAAAGAGCACCAGCACTAATGCTCCCCAAGATGTTATTCCTCTTAGTTTACTAATTCAACTGCTTCAGAGCACAGTACCTGGGTGTTTGTCTCTGAGCTTGCCAAGATGGAAATGTACATCTTAGAATATAATTCCCTGGAGAAGGCAACCTCTGCACCCTTCACCCCACGTGTTGCCAGCAGGGTGTCCTGTGCAAGAGTCTTTTCAGGGTACATTTCATGATGACGTCTGACAGAGGCTTCAGTGAATCTCTGACTGCACGGGGAGCTCTAGTGGGCACTGTGGTCAGCACATGGATGAATGCAGGACTGCTGGTGTTCTGGAAGGACTTCTGGACTGACAGGCCTCTGATTGGTTCTGTATCCTGGTCTGAATCCTCACCTGAAGAAGCAGAGGCTTGCATTCCACTCATTCTGTGGTTTTCAAACTGTGCTTCTTGAGTTCTGGGAGAAGAGGGGAAACAGCTGAATTTTAGGGTCCAGGCCCTCACTCTGCTTCAATCAGAGCAGTTCCCCACATATATCCACTCTAGATATTGACTTTCTGAGTTGGACTTTGACCAAATAAAGGGTTCTTCTGCTGCTGGAGGAATAAGGGTGGGGGAAAAGTGGTGAGAAAGGAGGATTAAAAAACACGGGATAATTGTCATAAACTGGTAGGCTATAGCCATGTTTCATTAGTTCAAAATGGTGTTTTAAATTTTTTATAATTTGAAACCAAGGTTTAAAAACTAGATTTCACATCTAAAATTAGAAAAGAAACCAAAAACCAAAAAACAACCGTGTCTCTCTGACTTCTCTTAAAAAGTCAGAAAATCTGGCCACATTCATCTCATAATCCCTCACACTGGCCCTTTGCTTGTGCTGAGAAGCAGTCACTCCCTTCAGGAGGACATGTACCCTCAGTGCACCCTCTCATGACAACCCCTTCTTGCACACCACCCGGACTCCCCCATTCATGCACATTTCCTGCCTTGGCTCTTGTAGGCATTTGGATTCAAGACCCTGAGGCTAGACAATTGCAAAGGCCCTTGCCTGTTCCCATAGCCTACTGGATTTCTGTTACATGCATGGCAATTAATACTAAAAATAAAGCTACAATCCTTCCCTCAAAGTCACCCTAAGTTATGAACATCTTAGTCACAAAAATCCTGCTCATGTTAAGTGCTGGGGTCAGGAGCTGATTTTCTCATGAACAAAGTACGTGAAGCCCCCAGCCATACAAACAGGTTTTCCTTCCAAGGAGTGCCATGTGGAGCTGCAGGGGAACCGCTGGAGTTATTCTCCAAATCTTTTTCTTCTTCTTGTTCCTTCCCCACTTCTGCCTGCAGGGTAAAATTGTACTTTTTGGCCCCCTTGAAGTAGTCCTGGACAGGGAGTTTGAGCAAAACTAACATGAGTCATTTCTGGACATTAGTATTTTATATGATCTGAAACCCTGGGCTCACACTTCCCTCTAGAACAGAGACTGGCAAAGTTCAAGATGGTGGCTGTACCATCAGAAATCCTACTCCTAAGTGACTGATGAACAGAGATCTTTGCTAACTCATAATAGACATCTATTGTGAGCAAGAAGTAAAACTGTGCTGTTTGAAGCCATTGAGGCTTAGAGTTATTTGTTACTACAGCATAATTTAGTCTATCCTGACTACTTAGGTGTTCTGACTGAAAAATACCATTTTCAAGCCCCCAGACTCCATTTTATACTAGCCAAACTTGCCTCTTCTTTCTTTGAAGTCTCTTTCCTTAAATCTAAGCATAATTTTAGAATATTGTTAAGCATTACCTGCCATCATTTTCTCATCTCTTGGCATTGCTCTACACTTGAACTTTACCACCATTTCTCCCGTTATATAATAGATTGGAGGTCACATGTGTTTCCTACTTTGAATAATTCATCTCCACAGAATCTCAGTATTTCAGTTAGAACATTTATTTCTTTCATTTTAATATTTTATTATTTTTGTCCTAAATGTATGACCTTAACTGGTTGCCATGCATTTCATTTCTTCTTGCCTTAAATATTTTAAAAGTTTCAAAGCACAAGTATTACTCATAGAGGGCATAACAAAAAATGCTTGGCTTTAGTTCTGTGTTATTTAATTATAACTGTGTGTCACTCAAGGGATTATTTTTCTTATCTTGATTTCTTTCTGCTTTGGCTCTAGTCTTTGTCTTCCTTGGAATATTTTAATCCCTGGCATTCGGCCAGAGTTTCTGTTGCTGGAGGGTGGACTGCACAGCAGTAGGACCTCTGGGCCTCTCTCGACATTAGGGTACCAAGTCTTTTAAAAGTCCCAGAGTTGGTGTTTTTGCACAGTCATGAAGCAAAGGCTGAGGAAAATTTAAAAATTGAGAGTCATGTTTCTTTCATCTGTTACTACTGCACAGAGTATTAGAATAGGTCATTTTTTAATGATAAGAACTAACATATATTCTATATTCCATCACATATGACCAGTAATAGTTTAAGGGCTTTATGTGAATTACCACCACAACTCACGGGAGAGATCCTATTAGTTCCTCATCTCACAGAGAAGACAGCTGAGGGGGTAATTTATCAGTTACTCAGTTCATCTAACCCTTTGGAGGCAGGGAGGGCCCAGCTATAAGGGGCCATCAGGGGGGCATATAGATACAGAAGGTGAGTTGTGGAGGCGGGAAGGCCTCACTCATCTCCACATTCACTCATTTCATTGTTCAAGAGTTGCTTTTCCACTCTGCCGGGGTGAGTGTGGGGTGGCAAATCTGCCGCTCTCCAGCTAGGTGACCTGTTGTCAGCTTTAAATGACTGCACTAAAGAAAAGTTAAAATTACCAACATCATATTTCTCATGATGGCCTTTCCCCCTAAATTCAAACATGCTCGCTGGGTTCAAGACTCAGCCCCTTCAGGGTTTTCCCAAAGGATATACTCACATTAAGCCTATCATGTGTTGGGAATCACGTGTGTAGATCTGACTGGCCCCAGGAGGGGTCCCTTTCTACCCTCTCACCAGCATTTCATTCTCTCTGTCTAGCACCTTCCCGAAGCACCCCCAGCTCCCACCCCCAATCCCTTGTCACCATGGGGAGGCACTGGGATGTGTGGTCCACTTCTTTCTCAGGGTGTAGCCTAATTTTTTGTAAGTGTCTCATGGGCTTAGCAAAACCCTCCTCAGATGGGATTCTCATACCAGCTGCAACAGAAATAACATTTTCTCTGTATCATTATACTCAGGAACTGACTTTTTAACTGAATTATCACCTGAACCTTGACTTTAGAGGCAATACCTAAGAATTATACACATTTGCCCTTAGTTAATTTTAAGAAGATGCCTGAAATAGGAATCCTATAACTCAAACTTAAAGTCTAATAATCTAAAGATAATGAAAAATCATTAATGAAGTATCAGTGACTCAGTTGAGGTCAACTTTGTAGAGACTGAAGATTACAACACTAAAACCAGTGGGGATTCCAAGGTCCAGATTACTGAAATGTTATACCTTTGAACGCCAAGTATCCTGAGTTACCACACAATAAGACAGACGTTCCTCTCTACACACCACAGACATCTCTTACTATTTAAGGCTCCAACTTACAAGGAAAGAATCAGTAGTTAATTTCCTGAAGCCAAGGAATAATTTCCTTTTAAGTTCCTTTATATTTCCTCTTCATTTCTTAACCTTGTAAATCTCTTATCTCCATTTCTTCTTTATTCCAAGGCTGTTAGAGTGTTTCCTTTTCCCACCATTTCTATACTATTATATTATATATCCCACCATTTCTAATGCTAGAGCCATAGCAGCTGACTTCCTTTATCTCCATCTAAGTCCCCATCAAAAGCCATTCATCTACAGGTCAAGTGCAATCTGTTCCTTCGTGATGTTATGGCTTGGTAGGAATCTAGCTATAGCTCTGTGTAGTACAATAAATGGATCGCAGCACAGCCATCCAGTCATTCTTGCTCTCTGCTGGCTGGTTTAAAAATTGACAAGGCTGTACTGATTGAGGAGATTGAAGGCAATGAACTGAATCAACTAGTTTTACTGCACTATAATGTGAGTCAAATGTCTGAATGTGGCCTGCACCTTCTCTTCTTTTTTTATAACCTTCCTTAACATCTGTATATAAAACCAACTTCTTTCTTTGCTTCATGCCTCTCTCCTCACTATTTCCAAAAAAAAGTTCTACCAAATCCCAAACACAATTTTTTATATAATAGTGTGGATCCCTTAAAACATGCCCTTTAGAAAGTGAAAATACTAATCCAAAATAAGACTTGAAAACATATAATTTCAACTTAGTCTTGTTTTTGTGAACTAGACAGTAAAACATCAGGTATGCTATCAGAACCTCAGATATAAATAAAGATATCAAGCTATAGTATTTTAATGCTCTATTTTTGCAGTATTTAGCTCACAATTTCATTTTACCGATGCTAGCCTTAACTTTGAAAAGATGACCTCGGACCACAGTTTCTCTGTCACCATTTAGTGATCCCAGTCAGCTACTGAATCTTAGCTTGGTTTGTGTTCAGTTATCTTCCCGTAAGTCTACTATTCCTCCTGGTCATTTGTTCTCAAGGTCTCTCATACTTGCCACACCAGCTGTTTGTGGGTTAAAAACCCTGGTGAACATAGGCACACTATTTTTGGCTCACATAACTACCTATGCTTGTGCAAAATGTTCATATGAAAATAACCCAATTTTAGAATAGTGTTTAAAATCACCTTTAACAAGCAACCAAGCTTAATTGCTCTACAGCGCCATCTAGTGACACTGAATTTGCATCCCAATCCATCATAAACCCATTGGAGACTGTTTCCTGAAGTTTTTTGGGCCCTAAATGGACAGATCTTCTACATTCTCACAAGTTCCCATTATGCTTAATAAATAGAGTATATCTGACTATAGTCAATGGAAGCAGATTTTTTTCTACTACCAAAGGGTACAATACCTTTTCTTATTTCAAAAATGTATTAAAATTCTTCATTCTTGCTGATCTTTTTCTCTCAAGTTGGATAAATTTCTGCCAGAAATCTAAGAAATTTCTTGGTTTTCATGTCAGATCATATGTATCACTTATGAGTACTAACTGTGTACCAGGTGCTGACTTAAGCACTTTAACATCTATTAACTGAATTGATTTTCACAATGGCCTATCAAAATTGTTGCTCTTAGTACACACATTTTGCATTTGTGCAACAAGGGACAAAGATGCCTCAAGTTACACTGCTAGTAAATACTCTCTGGATAAGTATTCCTTTTACTTTATTAATTCCCCTTTGCAAATCTTATTTCTGGGTAATAAAAAAGGCTGTTCCTAAGTTTTTTAGTAATTCATGAAATCAAACACTATTGGCCTAAAAAGTTAAATGCATCTTGTCTCTCTGAGGTCATGTTGGAGAGAATTAGAGCTCTCTATAGCCATGATGGAGGCTATCATGAGAGATATTTTGTAACTTTGAATGAAGGTCATCTCCAGCCTCGAAGAGTTAGCCACCTGCAGCTGTAGGTGTACCCAAAATTGTAATACACAGCTGAAGACAAAAGGAAACTTTCAAGATTCACCAAAGCAGTAAGGTTTATAATGTGAGGGAGACAGGCCATGAAAGTGATTTTAAAAATCTAAGAAAATTAAAATCATGTTGATTGTATAATACCCTGCCCAAACAGCAATAAGTTGGTTGTAGCAGAACTTGGAAAACAGGACAAGAATTTATGTTTATCCAGAACTACCCAAGGGTTATGGGTCTAGAACCCATAGACGTTTTCCTTAAACAAAGAAGTATGCTCTGTTTTTGGACAAGGAGATTCATTACATTTTCCCTGGCTTGAATGATATGTTTTTCAAGACTGTCTACCTTTCTTTGAATGAATGTCATGCTGACTTAGCAACTGTGCCAGTTACCAATTTCTTGCCTCTCAACTTCAAATCCATCCCTTATTACCTACTCTGTGAGGATGGAGCTGGACCCTGTAAATATTTCTCCTTTGGTATCTGGCATGATGCTCTGTTTGTCAGTGGAGGGTGCAAGAAAGACAGAAGAGGAGGAAGGGGTATATCTTTCTGATTCTGGTCTGTTCTCTTCTCTAGGTTCCTTCTACGTGTGGGGCTTCTCCACTGCCAGGTTCCTGCAGCAAGTAGCAGTCACCAGCACCCAGTGGCCAGCAGCTTCCTCCACCACCTCCTGCTTGACACTGGAGTAAATTCCAAAACATGGCACCACCCTGTGAATAGCTTCCTTGACACCCAAGAAGGTGGGTTTCCAGCAAGTTCTACTGGTGAGGCATTTCAGTGGCTTGTCAGCCATCCTTGAGCCACAGCTGCACTCTCTGCAATAAGATCTGTTTCTTGCTGAGGGCTTTTATCTCAGCCCTAGGAGTAATCTTATATCTGCTATCCTTGTATTCTGTAGAGTAATTTATATTTCTTACTAGTCAATCCATTATTATCCGAATTCTCTATTATAGTTAATAATTCTTTATATTAAACATTCCCTGTTTGAATTACTGTGTGGTTTTTCTCTCCTTTTTGATTGATTTTTCTCTTTTGATTGATTTTTCTCTTTTTTATAGTAAAAATTCCCTGTTTGAAATACTATGTGGGTTTTCTCTGTCACAGTGCTGTTTCATCACGGCTGATAGAGCAGGTATCTTTGTGAAATTCACTCAACTTCCCAAAAACCAAGATTCTTTAAAAAAGAAGTCCCTGAATATGGGGTATAAGTAATCTGTTCATAGTAATATTTACCACTATAACTACGGAATTGGCATACCAGTTTTTACATCAATCCTTTGTAAGTTTAGTTATTTGCTGTTATCTCTCAGCCCAGTCAAATTTGGATGTGCAAACAGAACCAATTCTAGACCTGAAAATCTGAGTACAGACTTGGGACAGGACACTACCATTGAGCTAGACCTCTGTTGGCAGCCATCTGGCTTCTCTAACACCTCTGCTTTACCTCTTGAAATTGCTACGCTTAATGCTACTTTGCTACATTAGGAAAGATATAAATGTACCCAAATGGAAAATATTAGTGATCCAAGAAAGAGCCTTATCTTCTGGTTCATTTTCTTTGTGGTCAGCAGAAGAGGTTAGGATAATATGGTGGTTACTGACAATGAACTTGACCTACTAATAGGTCACAAGCCAGTAGCCATCAATGTGCCATGAAAACAAGTCTTGGGCCTCACTGGACGCTTACAATTTCATTTGATGGACTAGAATTACTCTTCTGCACAAGGTAGAAATATAATCTTAATATTCAACTCCCCAAAGCTTACCAAATTTGGATCACAAAGAGCAAGAAATTAGATGTTGGTCAAAAAGACATTTCTACTTTGAATTTGCAGTATAAAGTTGTTTTTAATCTGCTGTTGCTAGTTTCAAATGAAAGAGTCGAAAATAGACCTTGTCCATATTAGGTCAAGAACTTGATCTCCAAACCACTTTTTTAAACAACTGCCCAGCCTTGCTTACATCAAAGGCACTCTATGCAGATCCAAAGAAAAGCATTTAGAATAGTGTATATTGCTTTACAATAATTATAGAATTTATTCACACAGAGATACAATGATAAAAGAAAGCACTTGTCCATGGAAAGGGATGATTTCTTTCTGCTCCTCTTTCTTGTATATCACCCATCATTGCTAATAAAATCACAGACCTTTAAAACGAAAAAGAACTCATGAACCTACCCTTGATTTCACACATAAATAGAAGGACCTTTAGGTGTTTACCCACCTTACACTTTTAACCAAAGCAATGAAATGCAGAATGCTCTTCAAAACTGTGCAGTACTTATTTTTCTCCTATACATGGTTAGTAAGCTCATTCTCAAACCTGTGAAAACTGCATAAACTGTGCTCCTCTTGTGTGTTCACTAATGGAAAGTGGGATGTTTAATTAAGTACATATGTTCATCCTAATTAGCATTGCTGTTTCTTACCTTTTTAAATACAGGAAACTGCACAACATATATATTGATTTATGTTTTAAATGAGATTTGACTGTTTATTATGTCTATTTGTTACTCAGTTTTAATCTTTTAGGGAACTTCTGCAGATCGATAACCTTATTTATTACATGTTGGTCCTTGTTAGTTTCATTCCCTTTATTTCCATGTTATTGAGAGGTATCCCACTGAAAAATCCTATGTATTATCTATACTATGGACTTTGATTCTCCAAAATCCATCACTTACTTGTGTAGTTAAATGAGAATGGGCTTCACTCATAAAGTTAGATTGTGGGAAATTTCAGAGACTAGGAACTCTTCTGTGCAACTACGGCCTTTTCTGTTCTTTACTTTGATACCTCCTTTCAGGGCCATTGCATGCATACATAGTTGTCCATGTAAATCGTGCTTTCTGGAGTTGTGCAGTGCACAACCTGCATAGCAGTCCTTGGTTATTTAGACTCTTTTCTGCCTGCTCTCTACATATCTTTCTCCTCTCCTCCTTAGTTATAAGAAGCTCTGAGCTTCAGTCTAGAGACAGCATAAAATTGAAAGCAACCAATTTGATCAGCTTGATTTTCAGTTAGCATTTTGTCCCCAAAGTAGCGGAGACTTTTTTATTTTTTATTTTTATTTTATCATTATTATTTTATTTATTTATTTATTTACTTTTTGAGACAGAGTTTCTCTCTTGTTGCCCAGGCTGGAGTGCAATGGAGCAATTTTGACTCACCGCAACCTCTGCCTCCCTAGAGGCAGATTCCCCTGCCTCAGCCTCCTGAGTAGCTGGGATTACAGGCATGCGCTACCATACCTGGCTAATTTTATATTTTTAGTAGAGACGGGGTTTCTCCAATGTTGGTCAGGCTGGTCTTGAGCTCCCGACCTCAGGTGATCCGCCTTCCTTGGCCTCCCAAAGTGCTGGGATTACCAGTGTGAACCATCAGGCTCAGCCTTTTATTTTTATTTTTTACCTTTATTGCTGCTAATGTTGTGACTTTTGAACCTTTCTTTAACAAATTCTCTAGCATGAAAAAAAGAACAAAAAGGGGTAGATACTTGAATTGATGATCTTTTCTGCTAATAGTTCAAGTGGCAGTTTAAAAAAATGAGAACAATTGATTCAGATGAAGTTTCTGGATTTTCCTGAGCTTTCTGATGTCTCCACAGCAAGGATAATTTAAAACTGACCACACAAAACTGTCCTCATTATATTGTTATGAAAGACTACATAAAAATAAATACAGCCAGGTGCAGTAGTACATACCTGTAATAAGCTACTCAGGAAGCTGAAGCAGCATTGACTGAGTTCAGGAGTTTGAGATCAGCCTGGGCAACATAGCAAGACTCCAGCTCAAAAAAAGAAAGAAAGAAAAAGAAAAAGAACACATACACCATGAGAATTCAATCAGCAAGTACTGTCTCAACACAAAAACTTTAACTGATTTCTAGTTTTGCTACAATATAGTTCTTTTAAGCCTGTAAGTGAAAAGATGCTTCACACTTACATGACATTAAAGAGACCATTTTCCCAACCTCCAAAAGTTTAGCCTCTGCTCTAAAGCACTTGTGAAGTACTGCTTATGTGTTTGTGCATGCACACACACATTTAAATACCTGAGACAAGGTAGGGGTTAAAAAAAAAAGAAAGAAAGGTCACAATAAGGGAAACAGGAAAATTATTCTGTCTCATTACAACCACTCAGAGCTTTCTTTTAGTTTAGACAAAGACATGGAGTTTAAATCAATGTTACTAAACAGTACTTGATGTAAGAAAGGGAACTAGCATTGTTTTGTATGCTGGGTGCCACATGCTTTACATGAGCGCTGTTGAATTTCACAATATTCCCAAGAGGTAGGTATAGATGAAAATACATAAATAGGAGCAACTTAAGGAGGTTAGGTAACTTGCCCAAGGACCTATATCTAGTGAATAATGGGAACTCAGTTGGGACCTAGATCTCTCTAACTCTCAGGGACATTTTGCCTTTTAAACATTTGTTTGCTTATTTGGTGTTCATTATGAAAACTGCAAACACAAGGAACAGAAATTATATATCAAATTACCATGTACCCACTATCCCTTTAGTAGATGTTATTACTTTGCCATATTTACCTCAGATCCTTTTAACTTGAGAATAAAATATTACAGACAAAATTAAAGTCACCTATCCTGTTACTGCCCTTCCTCCTTCTCTAAATCAGCCACTAGCCTGAATTGAGGTTCATCCTTTCCATCCATATTGTCATATTTTTAACATATGTTTCATTCATATGAGTATATCCATAAGAAACTAAGACCTACTGCTTAGTTACTTTCTCACTTTAATGGTATCATGTTCTGTGTATACTTTCTGTAGTTTGATTTTCATACTCAAATTTTATTTCTAAGATTTATTCATGCTGACAGAGCCACAATATGTGGTTCTTGTTTGCTCTTTTAACTACTGTGTATTACTTTATTGTTTGATGATTTTACAATTTCTTTCTCCATTTCCTAATGGTGGTTATCTAAATTTTTTTCATGTTGCTATTATAAATAATGCAACAGTGAATATTCTTTCTACACATCTCTTTGTGTACGTGCACAAGAATTTCTCTAGGAAATGTTTCTAGAACTTCTGGGTCTTAGTGTATGTGGATTGCTGTGGACCAAATTATGTGTTCCCCTTCATGTCATATATTGAATCCTTAACCCCCAACATGACTGTATTTGGAGATAGAACCTGTAAGGAGGTAATTAAGATAAAATGATTTGGTCATAACAGTGGAACCCTACCAAAGACTAGTGTCTTTATAAGAGAAGACATCAGATACCATGCATGTTCTCTCTCTCTGAGTACACTCAGAAAAAAGGCCATATAAGGACAAAATGGCCACTTCCAAGCCAGAAAGAAGGCCCTCACCAGAAACCAAACCCCACTGGAACCTTGATCTTCAACTTCCAACCTCTAGAAATTAACTATTTAACTATGAAAAAAATATTTTCTGTTGTTTGAGACACCCAGCCTATGGTATTCTGCTATGGCGGCTGGAGCAGGCTAAAATATGCATCTTCACACTTTTTTTAATTGCCAACTTGTGTCTCCAAATGAATTGATTCCCACTCCACCAGCAATGAAGATGGTTCTTGTGATCTCCAGTCCTCACCAGTGCTTGGCATCCCATGACCTTGATGCTCTGCCAGGGCAAAGGCTTCAATTCCTTGAATTACATCCCCAAGTCAAGATATGCAGGAATGTTACTGCATAATGTGTTGTAATTTTAGCTAAACTATAATCCTGAGATGTGTTTTGAAGGATTTGTGTTTCCGGCCTCTTATACACACCAACTCTTCACAGTTTAGCTCCTTTAAAATAAAAATAACAAACCATGTAACTTGATTTAGCTACCAGATATGTCTCTTTAGAATTTTTATTATACACTTATGACAGGGGTGTTTTAAACTGCAATTAACTCTGTTAGCTAATTAATTTTTCTTTCCAAACTGTACAACTATTAGTTGTTTTGGGGTTTTGCTTTGTTTTGTTTTTCCTCCAGTCTTTGCCAAATGTGGTCTGCAAAAATAACTGTAACGTATTTTCTCTGGTGAAAGGTAGGGTCTCCTTAAATTTTTCTTAATGTTAATGTGTGTGATATTAATATTTATTTAATATTTATGCAAATATTATTAAAATACTGCAAATAACCAGTAAGAAATCTCCCTAAAGTGAAAGCAGCTTTGAAACTGGCTCTCTATCCATATACAGGCATACCTCACTTTACTGCACTTTGCAGATACTGCATTTTTTACAAATTGAAGGTTCGTGGCAATCCAGCACTGAGAAAGTCTATCCATACCATTTTTCCAACAGCATGTGCACGCTTCACATCTTTGTGTCACATTTTGGTAATTCTCACAATATTTCAAAAATTTTTTCATTATTGTTATATCTGTCATGGTGATCTGTGATCTCAGTGATCTTTGATGTTTCTATTTTAATTGTTTTGGGTCACCACAAACCGCACCGATTTAGGACAGCGAAATTACTTGATAAATATGTGTGTGTGTTCTGACTGCTCCATGCACCTGTCATTGCCTGTCTCTTGCCCTTTCCTAGGGCTTCCCTATTCCCTGAGACACAGAAATATTGAAATTAGGCCAACTCATAACTGTAAAATGGCCTATCAACGTTCAAATGAAAGGAAGAGTTGCACATCTCTCACTTAAAATCAAAAGCTAGAGATGATCAAGCTTAATGAGGAAGACAGGTTGAAAGCCAAGATAGGTTGAAAGCCAGTTAGCCAAGTTGGGAAGGCAAAAGAAAAGTTCTTGAAGGAAATTAAAAGTGCCACGCCAGTGAACACATGAATGATAAAAAAGCAAAACAGCCCTTTTGCTGATATGGAGAAAGTTTAGTGGTCTGTATAGAAGACCAACCAACTACACCATTCCCTTAAGCCAAAACCTAATCCAGAGCAAAGCCCTAAACTCTTCAATTCTATGAAGGCTGAGAGAGGTGGGGAAGCTGCAGAAGAAAAGTTTGAAGCTAGAAAAGATTGGTTCATGATGTTTAAAGAAAGAAGCTGTCTCCATAACATGAAAGTACCAGGCGAAGCAGCAAGTGCTGATGGAGAAGCGGCAGCAAGTTGTCCAGAAGATCTAGCTAAGATAATTGATGAAGATGGATACACTAAACAATAAATTTTCAATTCAGACAAAAACAGCCTTCTATTGGAAGAAGATGCCACCTAAGACTTTCATAGCTACAGAAGAGAAGTCAATGCCTGGCTTCAAAGCTTCAAAGGACAGACTGACTCACTTGTTAAGGGTTAATGCGGGTGACTTGAAGTTGAAGCCAGTGCTCATTTACCATTCTGAAAATTTTAGGGCCCTTACAAATTATGCTATATCTACTCTGCCTGTGCTCTGTCAATAGAACAACAAAGCTTTGATGAGAGCACCCCTGTTCATAGTATGACTTACTGAATATTTTAGCCCACTGTTGGGAGTTACTGCTCAGAAAAAAAGATTTCTTCCAAAATATTACTGCTCATTGACAATGTACCTGGTCATCCAAGAGCGCCGATTGAGATGCACAGAGAGACTGATGTTGTCTTCATGTCTGCTAACACAATACCCATTCTACAGCCAATGGATCAAGAAGTAATTTTGACTTTCACATCTTATTTTTTAAGACACATATTTCGTAAGGCTAAAGCTGCCATAAATAATGATTCCTCTAATGGATCTGGGCAAAGTAAATTGAAAATCTTCTGGATGCCATCAAGAACATTCATGATTTATGGGGGGAGGTCAAAATATCAACATTAACAGGAGTTTGGATGAAGTTAATTCCAATGCTCATGGATGATTTTGAGGGGTTCAAGACTTCAGTGGAGGAAGTCACTACAGATGGGGTGGAAATTGCAAGAGAACTAGAATTAGAAGTGGAGCTTGAAGATGTGATTGAAATGCAAGAAACTCATGATAAAACTTGAATGGATGAGGAGTTACTTTTTAAGAATGTGCAAAGAAATTGGTTTCTTTCCTTGTGAAGATGTTGTGAACATTGTTGAAATGACAGCAAAAGATTTTGAATATTACATCAACTTAGTTGATAAAGCAGTGTCAGGATTTGAGAGGATTGACTCCCATTTTGAAAGAGGTTCTATTGTGGGTAAAATGCTGTCTAACAGCATTGCTATAGATACATCTTTCATGAAAGAAAAGGTCAATTGATGTGGTAAACTTCACTGTTACCTTATTTTAAGAAATTGCCAGCAGCCATCAACATCCAGGCAAGACCCTCCACCAGCTAAAAGATTGCAACTCACTGAAGTTTCAGTTGATCATTAGCATCTTTTAGCAATAAAGTATTTTTAAATTAAATTATGTACCTTTTTCTTAGATACAATGCTATTGCGTCTATTGCATATTTAATATACTATGGTATACTGTAAACATAACTTTTAAGAATTTATTTTTATTGGCACATAGTATTTGTACATATTTATGGGGTACATGTGATATTTCATTACATGCATAGAATGTGTAATAATTAAGTCAGCATATTTGGGGTATCCATCACCGCAAGTATTTATCATTCCTATGTGTTGGGAAAATTTTAAGTTCTCTCCTCTAGCTATTTTGAAATATACAACACATTGTTTTTAGCCATAGTCACCCTACTCTGCTGTGAAACATTAGAAATTATTCCTTTTACCTAACTGTATATTTGTATCATTAACCAACCTCTTTTCATCCCCAACCCCTCCCACACACCCTTCCTAGTCTCTGATATATATCATTCTATTCTCTATCTTCATGAGATTCACTATTTTTTAGCTCCCACATATGAGTGAGAACATGCAATATTTGTGTTTCCATGCCTGGCTTATTTAACCTAACATTATGACCTCCAGTTCCATCCATGTTGCTTCAAATTATATGATTTCTTTCTTTCTTATGACTGCATAGTATTGCACTGTGTATACATGCCACATTTTTTAGTCCATTCATCCATTGATAGACACTTAGGTTGATTCCATATCTTTGGTACTGTGAATAGTGCTACAATACCCATGGGGGTGCAAGAATCCATTTGATAAACTGATTTCCTTTCCTTTGGATAAATACCTAATAGTGGGATGGCTAGATTTTTTAATAGCTCTATTTTTAGTTTTTTGAGAATCCATACTGTTTTCCTTCATGGCCGTACCACTTTATATTACCACCAATAGTGTATGAGTTCCCTTTTTTCCACATCCTTGCCAGCACCTGTTATTTTTTGTCTTTTTAAAAATAGCCATTGTGAGGTGAGATGATAAGTCATTATAGTTTTGATTTGCATTTTCCTGATGATTAGTGATGTTGAACATTTTTTCATATACCTGTTGGGGCTATCTGTATGTCTTCTTTTGAAAAATGTCTATGCAGATCCTTTGCCCACTTTTTAATGGTATTATTTGTCCTTTTTTTGTTGCTGGGTTATTTGAATCCCTTGTATATTCTAAACATTAGTCCCTTGTTGGATGAATAGTTTGCAAATATTTTATCCTATTCAACAGGTTGTCTCTTCACTCTGTTTATTGTTTCCTCAGTTGTGCAGAAGGTTTTGAATTTGATATGGTTCCATTTGTCTAATTTTGTTTTTGTTGTCTGTGCTTTTGAGGTCTTAGCTATAAAAATCTTTGCCTAGACCAATGTCCTGAAGTGTTTCCCCTATGTTTCCTTTCTAGCAGTTTTGTAGTTTTTGGTGTTATATTTAAGTCTATTCCATCTTGAGTTAATTTTTGTATATGGTGAGAGCTATGAGTCCAATTTTAGTCTTTCCAGATGATGTAATCTTATATCTATAAAAACCTAAAGACTTTACCAAAAAACTCTTAGATTGGATCAATAAAATCAGGAAAGCTATAGAATACAAAATCAATATACATAAATTGTTAGCATTTCTATATACCAATAATGAACTAGCTCAGAAATAAATCAAGAAGAGAATCCCATTTACAATAGCTACTGAAATTGAAGAGGACACAAACAAATGGAAAGATATCCCATGCTCAGGTATTGGAATAATTAATATCGTTAAAATTTATCATACTACCCAAAGCAATCTGCAGATTCAGTGGAATCCCTATCAAAACACCAATGTCATTTTTCACAGTCATAGGAAAAACAATCCTAAAATTTGTATGGAACCAAAAAAGAGCCTGAATAGCCAAAGCAATGCTGAGCAAAAATAACACATCTGGAAGCATCACAATACCTGAGTTCAGAATACATTACAGGGCTATAGTAACCAAAGCAACATGGTACTGGTATGAAAACAGACACATAGACAGACCAATAGAACAGAATAGAGAACCCAGAAATAAATTCATATGTTTATAGCCAACTGATTTTTGACAAAAGTGCCAAGAACATTAGGAAAGAGTATCCTCTTCAATAAATGGTGCTGAGAAAACTGGATATCCATATGCAGAAGAGTGTAAACAGAACTTTTATTTGCACTGGGAAATAAAATAAAAAAAAATCATGTGACTCACTTCATCACGATATTTGCTTTATTGTAGTGGTCTGGAAACAAACCTACAATATCTGCAGTATATTATTACTGGGAAGAAAGCTCTTACTAGCAGTTCTCATTGTTGTGCTCAGTCCAATATTATACACTATTCAAGTCCACCAGGATCCTTTCTGTGGTGTCATTTCAAGCCAGCTCATGTAGATTTCTCATCTTTACCTTTACAACTACTCACTTCATTCACTGCAAATTAAATGCCTTTAGTCAAGGGGTTAAAACCCATGATGGCTAGACTTCAGGAAAGGTTTCACTGATACCACCTCCTGGGATCTCTGATATCTAAACCAATGTAGCCATGGATTATTACAGGAGCTCAATTCAACTAACCTTTCCTGCCACTCCAGCCTCCCTCCTTGAAATGAGTTTAGTGATAATTTATGGTACAACCTACCACAGTTTCAGAGGTCAAAATGGCAAAATAACCAGTCACAAGGCTGTAAGTATCCAGATATTTCAGCTTTTAAAGTCTTAGAAAAAGATCTCTCAATAAGGTAGGACAAGTTCTTCTTTATTTAAAAACATTTATAACAAAATAGTGTAAACTAAGATAGTAAGTCTTATTTTCACCTGTTTCTGCAATGACAGAGGCTTACAAAGCCTCTCTTTTGTAGAGAGGCACACATTAACTTATTAACCCAGCGATTCTCCCAGTGTGTTCAATGAACTCCTGGAGGCCCTGAGAACCTTTTGGGGGACTATCAGGTCAAAACTGTCTTTATAATAATACTAAGGCATTATTTGCCTTTTTCATTGTGTTTGAATATGCATTGATGGTGCAAAGCAATGGCAGGTGAAACTGCTAGTGTCTTGCCACAAATCAAGGCAGTGGCTCCAGGCTGTGCTAGCTGTCATTGCATTCTTCAAGCCAAACACTCACATGACAGAAAATGTCAGTTTCATTGAAGAATGTCCTCGATGAAGACATACAAATTATTAATTTTATTAAATCTAGACACTTGAATACAGGTTTCTAAAAACATTCCTTGTGAGAAATGGAAAGTACGCATAAAGCGTTCTCATTTCAAAGCACAGTGGTTGTCTCAGGAAAGACACTAGAGTGACTGAAGGCAGCCAAACTAGCCGCTTTTATCATAGGACACTATTTCTACTTGGACAAAGTGACTCAGACAAACTGTACCTTTTCTGACTGATATGTTTGGTAGATTCTTTTTTTAAATGAATGAAGCGATCTTGTCACTTGAAGGAAAACAACCTAGAGCTTTTGCTGCCAATGGTAAAATCTGGGCTTTCAAAAGAAAACTAAAAATTTTCAAAAACCTAGATTTGCCACCATCAGTCCAACAACTTCCAAATACTTAATTATTTTTTAATGAGCTTGGTGGTGACACTAATGAATATCGTTCTAATATTGTATAGTGAGGTATGTCAACATTTCAAATGTTTTCATAATTTAGTATACCAATATTTTCCAAATGACCTATGTTAAAATTATTTCAAAACAGATTTTAATGCAATAAAACAGGAACTGCTTATTGCTAAGATTTTGGATTCTGTATTACAGCTAACCTTTAAGAAACCACCACTTGTCAGTCCTTGGTGTGGTATCAAAGAAGAATATCCACAAATATCTAAGAAGGCTACTAAGATGCTCTCCTGTTTTCCAACTACATAGCTGAGTAAACCTGAATTTTCTTCATACTTTAACCCAAAGAATGTATAACAACAGATTGAATGCAGAAGCATATCTAAGACTCTTGTCTTTTATTAAACCAGAGAATTCTTTTGTGTTTTTTGAAAATAAAGCCTTTTTTTTTTTTTTTTTTTTTTTGAGACAGAGTCTTACTCTGTTGACCAGGCTAGAGCGCAGTGGCACCATCTTGGCTCACTACAACCTCTGCCTCCCAGGTTCAAGCGATTCTGGTGCCTCAGCCTTCCACATAGCTGGGACTAAGGCACATGCCACCACGCCCGGCTGATTTTTGTATTTTTAGTAGAGACAAAGTTTGGCCATGTTTGGAGGCTAGTCTCGAACTTCTGACCTCAAGTGATCTGCCCACCTTGACCTCCCAAAGTGCTGGGATTACAGGCGCAAGCCACCGCACCTGGACGTAAAATAAAACTATTTTTTACGAAAAATGTTATGTATGTTAACAAGTAATGGATGTATCATTTTATTTTTGATGAAATTAATAAATAGATAATTTAAATTTTGTTTTAATTTCCAATAGGTAAATATCAATAGATAATTCATGTCAACAAAAATTCTTTGGTTTCCTCAATAATTTTTCAAAGTGTAAAGCAGTCCTGAGACCAAAAAACTTGAAAGCCCCCTCTATGAAAATGTTAGAGATCCATGCAGTTAATAGCTGATCTGAAGAGTCAGATAAAATCTCACCATCCATTTGTGAGGTTCTATACTGGGTCAAGGTTCTCAGTATTAAGCAACAGAAATTAACTTTGGCTACTTTAGAATAAAAAAAGTATTGGTAAGATAGTTGCTAGCTCATAGAATCAGAAGGTGAGCAGGAGCCAGGAATGCAAAGCACAGCCAAGGGCCAGTCTCAGTCACAGGAAGAGCCTTTCGATGATGCCCTGTTCCTGGCATTGTGATTGTTGAACAGAGCTGCTGCTGCTGGCAATGGTGTGTCTGTGCACTCTTTTCCACCCCACTGGGCTTTCAACTCCGTAGCTCCACCACAGTCACTGCCAATAATCTCTGATCCTCCTGCACCAAGAGTTGGCATTGGTGGGGTAAGGGGGGGTGGGGCCGTGGGGAGGGGGATCATCAGATTGGCTGAGCCTCATTTACATGTCCTCATCCCAGTCACCAGGGACCTGGCAAAGGTAACATCTGTTCTCTTCAGGTTCCAAAGTGGGAGGAGAGAGACTGCCTTTTACTTTTTCTTGGATACCCCCCAAATAGACAGAGGGTTTGAAATACTACTGGGCAGCCAGAAGAGATAATTATCTAAATCTTAACTTATGAAGAACAGAAGAAAAAGGGAAGTAATTGAAGTGTGTGATTTCTACATTTATCAGTCCTGTGTGAAAAAATTAATAACCACATCTGTAGTTTCCTACGATGTCATTAGATGTTATGCATGTAACATACTCTTGTGGATTGCCCATTCTTCCCAAGGGAATACTATTGAGACATTCCTGGCTTCTTTTGTTGATTTGTTTAATTTTAAAAATATCCTCCTTGATAATATAACACAATCAGGTTATTTGTTATAATAGTTATAATGTACAAAGGAGG
This sequence comes from Homo sapiens, assembly GCF_000001405.40. Taxonomy (NCBI): domain Eukaryota; kingdom Metazoa; phylum Chordata; class Mammalia; order Primates; family Hominidae; genus Homo; species Homo sapiens. Next base: position 146,080,816 of record NC_000004.12, on the reverse strand, counting down.
GCCATCCAGAATATTAAGCAGCTTACAGAAAAATGTAAAAAAGACTTTCTTTTTGCCAGGTCTTCACAGCCAAAGCAAAGCTCAATTCTGTTAGGTTGGTGCAAAAGTAATTGTGGTTTTTGTCATTACTTTTAAGTATTATCTAAATTTATTGGATAAGGATTGTTTCCTGAGTTATGTGGGTAATTGTTTCAAATCGTTTCCTTTGCTTTGGTTGGTGTAATGGTTAATTTTATGGGTCAACTTGACTAGGCTATGATTCCCAGATGTTTGATCAAACACCAGTCTAGGCTGGGTACATGGCTCAAGCCTATAATCTCAACACTTTGGGAGGCCGAGGCAGGAGGACTGCTTGAGACCAGGAGTTTGAGACCAGCCTGGACAACATAGCAAGACCCTATCTTTACCAACAACTTTTAAAAATTGGCCAAGTGTGGTGGTGCATGCCTATAGTCCCATCTACTTGGGAGGCTGAGGTGGGAGGATAGTTTGAGCCCAGGAGTTTAAGACTGCAGTGAGCTATAATTGCACCACTGAACTTCAGTCCCTGGGGCAACAGAGCAAGACCTGTCTCAAAACAAACAAACAAACAAACAAACAAACAAACAACAACAAATGAAACACAGCCTAGATGCTGCTTTGAAAGAATATTTTTAGATGTGATTAACATTTAAATCAGTAGACTTTGAGTAAAGCAGCTTACCCTCCACAATGTGGATGGAACTCACCTAATCAGTTGAAGGCTTTAAGAGAACAAAAACTGAGGTTTTTTGAGGAAGAAGAAATTCTGCCTCCACACCATCTTCAGACTCCAGCTGCAGCATCCACTCTTCCTTAGGTCTCCAGCTTGTTGACCTGCCCTGCAGATTTTGGACTTGCCGGCCTCCACAATTGCATGAGCTAATTTCTTAAATCTCTCTATACATATATTTTATATACATATCCTACTGCTTTTGTTATTTGGAGAACACTGATTTATACAGTTGGGAAGTTTTGACTTGCCATGATTTTTTTTTAACATGGAAAACTCTTTGTAAGAAGTGGTTGCTTACTAGGATTAACTGAAGAAAATGATTTCCCAAGAAAACTATCTAGTGTTGCCCTCTCCAATACAGTTGCCACTAGCCACATGTGGCCTGTTGAGCACTTAAAATGCAGCTATGCTACATGTTGAAATGATATTTTTGAATATACTGAGTTCAATAAAATAGATTATTAATATTAATTTTAAGTTTAAAAAAACTTTTTCATAACATTTTTACTAGAAAATTTAAAATTCGATATGGATCTCATTATATTTATGTTGAACAGCACTGGTCTAGCATAACTCACAAACTCTGCAACTGTAGGACTTTAGAGCTCTACAAAGACCTCCTTGGTTTCCTCCCTGCAAATGGTTGCAACCTAATCATTTTGGGTGCAGACAATGATTCCTTCACCCTCACTGAGGTATTTGAGATGTGGCTGATGTAAGACCAAGGATGGGTATGGCCAATTAGAGAACAACCAGATAAAATTGTCAAGGAACACAGAAGACCGGAGCCAGGTGTCTGAAGAATGGCAAATGTGTACCAGTGGTTGTCCTAACAGACAATGTCAGAATGATGCCACTCAATCTGTAGTTATAAACCAAAACACTACTCTTGATCATTTGCAGATAAAATAACCCTAAGAAGAGCCACCTTTATTTGCTTACTTTATTGTCTTCATGTCTTCATCTGTAATGTGAAGATTTATTCTCTGCCTAAAATTACTAAATGAATTTGAACTGGCTTGTTACACCCCATAGATATCTTTTTATTGGCTTTGGGGGTTGAATGAAACTATTTGGAATCACGAAGACACAACTCCAGTGAATGAGCTTGAGAATTTTTAAAACAGATTTCTCCATGTGGATGTTTCAGCTACATTCTCATGCAACCTACAGTTGTGGTAACATTTTTGGGTAGAATTAAGAACAGGGAGTTTTTTAGTGAACTCTAAGCTAATATGGGTATCAGCCATGTCCATTGCCTTCTTATGCAGGCTGGGATAGAGAGGATGATGTGTTCTTTCCCATTTTAAAATGTTATGGTTCTGTTTTACTAGGGAAAAATTCCTTAAACATTCTAGAAATTTCTAACATAGACTCGGTTATTTTCCTTATAATGCTTAAATTTTGTTATTGCATCATTGTCTTCATTTTTTTAATCCTTGGAAAAGTAGACACATTTTCACACTAACGTCAAGCAGAGTGATAAAGAGACCAGACCAAGGCTGGAAATGTGAGTTCTAGCTCCAGCTCTAGGAAAATTACTGAGCTTTTCTGTGATTTATATTTCTTATTCTGTTAAGTGAAAAGGTCAACTATATGGTCTTTTGGGTCCCTTCCTTTTGCCTCTAATGTTTGATGAGATTGGAAGGAATTCAGGAGACCAGCTTTGGAAGTCTGCATCATACAGCCTATTCAGTAATTGAAAACCTTAGACAAATTGACTTTTGAAGTCCCTCTTAGTTCAACGATAACTTAGGCCTTTTCTACTCAGGAAAATCAAACATATGTCATTTTTCACATTCACAGGTGTGGCAGAGGATGTCTTAAGGCTTTATAATCATTACGGACAGAAGCACATGGTTCAGCTGTACAGATAAAATTTGTTGATTTGAAATGACCGCATTTTTCATTTCAGGTCAATTAGACTGCGGTTGCATGGATGCCATCTGGATTTTCCAGAAGGATCCAGAGAAAACGTAGCTGGATACCAGACATCCTGCTAAGAAGAAATGCCTTAGGGGCTGGGCCCAGCAAAGTGTCTACCGGGAGTAGTTGACAAGCCCAGTTGGAGAGAGATTCTAAATCATTAATTTTAAGCCACTGGAAATTAAAAGGTCAAAACTGGGCAAGTGGCAACAAAGAGACTTTCAACCTGAAAACTGGTCATCATTTCAAAAGCCCCATTTGGAAGCAAACCCTGGGATTATCAAGGAGAGAGCCAAGCAGGATGAGCTGCAATGGTGGTGGAGACAGAGGGTGGATGTCTTGACTTAAAAACATAGAGCTACATAAACACCCCTTGGTCTTCTGCTTACCAATAAAGAAATAGAGAACGACCTTGCTTAACATAGTTTCTCAAGTGTTCTGAAATTTAATGATTCTAGAAAGAGCTGAAATTTGTGACTAGAAGGTGTAAACAAGTGCAGAGAGTCACTACTGAGGTTTATCATCTTTATGTAGGTATATAATACTTTGACTAAAATTGCCAGAAAGCTCAGGGATACCTATATCTTAATCCACTAATTTATCTTAACCCATTTCTTCCATGTACAGAAAGTATCCATGATAAGCAGCTCTTTGGGGACACTTGAAAATCCTGTATCAACTAGAACTTCGACTCCACAGAATGAATTTAGGAATGTAGTGTCAGCCTTTCCTACAAACGTCGAGGATTTGTGTAGTTTCATGTCAAAGGCTTTACATTATTTTAACATTTCCTTGAATTTTGTTTTTTACCTCAACTAATGGAAGTGAGGAAGGGTTGAGAATTTATCTATTTGGTGAACTAAGAAGCTCTGTAGGTAAAGGAAATACAGTATGAGCACTTCGTGGTGTTATTTCACAGTGCGAGAAAAGCATTTGCCTTTACACAACACTCAGAGGAAAAGGAGAGGCATGTGAATCATGCAACTCTGCTGCAAAATAAATACGACATTGGCAACAAAATTAAACATAAAAGTTAATATTAATTGCTTAATGTCAAGGTAAGACTTTTTTTTCCAACAAGGTGCTGCAGCAGTACAATATGTTTAAATAGTCTCATTAACATCACATCACAATAATAACCAGCAGCATAGAAGAGAGACTGGAGACCATATTAATAAAAAAGTGAAGATGGCATGAAGCTGGAGGGATCATAAATGCGGAAAGAATTGAATTAAAATTCATAAAATCATGACAGATTGGAGCAAAGAATGAGATCAATAAAATGAGTTTAATAATGATAAATATAGAACAGTTATCAGAAGACAGTAATGATTCACTGTGTAAATTAAATAGAGGGAATGTGTTAGGAAGTAGTACAACAAGGAAAAATATGATCGTATATAGGGTGATTATTTAAAAAGACTTTATCAAAATAAATTGGGTACTTAGGGCTCGCATGAGCTCTTTGTTTGTTTGAGGCCTATTACTTCACACATACATCCTCTCAGTTCAGACTTGGACTTGGTTCAGATTTTCACAGTGGGGTTGGGAAGGCTGTACAGACAAGGTGGTATGGTGTGGAGAGATGAAGGGTGGTGTTAGACAATGATTAGTTGGGAAGAAAAGAGAAAAACTGGGGCACCCATGAGCTTACAGGTAGGGAGTACACCTGAGGAATGCTTATATCAGAAGAGGTAAGTCTGACACTGCCTCTCTCCCATGTAGTTACAAAAGTTGCCACCTTGGCCTTCCCCGGCATGGGTCAGCAGTTTGTAAAGGAAATCTAATATGCTGAGTTATCTGTCTGACATTCTAAATGAAGACTTTCCAGTGAAATTGTTTTGTCCGGTTTTGGTCCATTAATAATCAGCCAATTGATGAGAAATTCCTGGCTGACTCTCTTTTCATCCTAGCACTGTTTATTTAACTCAGTGAATTTCAAATCCGCCGATAGCTGATTCAGCGGAGACCTGTTTTTCAAATACTGATTCCTGGGCCACAAACCCAAACCTACTGAATCAGAAATGTTTAGGGATTGGGCCCGTGCATTTTTTTTTTTTTTTTGTCTGCCCAGATGATTCCAATGTGGCCAGGTTTGGAAATGAATTGAGCTGATATTCATAACTTTCATTCAGAGTTCTTGGAAATCTAATTTGTGAGGTTGCTAAAGCATTGTATTAGATTTATATTTATCTTATACATGAATTTGGTAGAACTTATAAAAATATCCCTCTTGCCTTATTAAAAGTCTATGAGAGTAGTTAAACAAATTATTTGAATGAATAGAAGCATCAGCATAGGCACTATCTATTAATTAATTTACTGATTGATGAGGATAGGCAGTGATGATAAACAGCTGAAATATGGAGCAGAATTTATCACTTTCATCACCTTTAATGACTGTTGACGTCAATCATTTCACTCAGCATGAAATGGACCTTAGAATTTACTGCTTGTTTCTTGAGTACTGAGATGCTGAATACTCAAGGATCTAGGGAACTGTAATAAATATAAAGGATTTTTCATAGGCTGATTTCTTATAGCTAGTTTCGCTTAAAAGCTCTCATGAAACTGCAACCAAATATTGGCTTTAAAGTACGAAGAACTGATGGGGGAAAAAAATCTGTGACAATGACACATAAAAGTTAGGGCAAATCACTTTGACTTACATATAACTACATTTCTCTTTCCACAAAATGAGGGTAATAGCAGTTGGGAACTCTCAACTTCACAAGTTGAATTAATAGGGTAATAACTATAAGCTCACCTGAGCTATGCTGAGCCAAGAGCTCTTAGGAGAAATATGTCAGATTAAATTGGTAGTACATTTTAAAGAAGAGATGTAAGAGTGTCAAAAGTCATTACTAAGTATCTACTACATGTCATTTTTTTTTTCTTATTTAGATAGGGTCTCCCTCTGTCATCCAGTCTGGAGTGTAATGGTACAATCATAGCTCACTGCAGCTTTGACCTCCTGGGCTCAAGTGATCCTCCCGCCTCAGCCTCCCGAGTAGCTGGCATCACAGGCATGCACCACCATGCCCAGCTAATTTTTAAATTATCTGTAGAGATGGGATCTCCCTAAGTTGCCTAGACTGTTCTCAAACTCCTGGGCTCAAGTGATCCTCCTTCCTGCCTTGGCATCCCAAACTGCTGGGATTACAAGCATGAGCCACTGTGCCCAGCCATGTGCCATGCATTCTATAAAGCACTGTCTCATAATATATTTAGTTTTCTGAAATACTTATTAATAAAAACCCTGTATTTAGACATTCAGGGTCTTTTTAAATTGAATTCAGCACTTTGGGAGGCTGAGGCGGGAGGATCACTTGAGTCACTGCATTCCAGCCTGGGTGACAGAGTAAGAGCTTCTCTCAAAATATAAGATAAAATAAAATGGGAACCAAATTTGTCGGGGGAACATACATTATTTTATTTAAGTTCCTGTTAAGAAATGTCTATAGGGATCAAGCCAGTTTGGCTGGAGCCAGATGAGCTAGTCTTGAGGTCCTTGGGGATGCAAAGTCCTTTTCTGAGATAAAAACCCTTGTATTATCTTGTTGGGAAGAGGGGCAAAGCTAAATCAAAGGGTCTTATTAGTGTTAGTAAAAGTGTATTCAGGCCAGGCGAGGTGGCTCATGCCTGTAATCCCAGCACTTTGGGAGGCCGAGGTGGGCGGATCATGAGGTCAGGAGATCGAGACCATCCTGGCTAACATGGTGAAAACCTGTCTCTACTAAAAATACAAAAAATTAGCTGGGCATGGTGGTGGGTGTCTGTAGTCCCAGCTACTCAGGAGGCTGAGGAGGAGAATGGTGTGAACCCGGGAGGTGGAGTTTGCAGTGAACCAAGATTGCGCCACTGCACTCCAGCCTGGGAGACAGAGCAAGACTCCGTCTCAAAAAAAAAAAGTGTATTCAGAAGGCAGTAGATTCAAGGAACAATGGGCAAGTTGATTCACAGAAATAAAAGCAGGAGCAGAAGTTTTCCTTGACCATTCTGGGCTAGAGTGAGGGAGATGAGACAGACAATAATTAATAAACATGATGCACTAGTAAAATGTGTTAAAATGCTAAGTGCTATGGTAAAAAAATAAAGCAGAGCAAGGGACTTTAGGGGTGTGTGTGTGTGTGTGTGTGTGTGAAGGAGTGAATTACAAATTCAATAAAGTGGTCTGTTTGAGCTTCACTGAGAAAGTGACATTTGAGCAAAGACTTAAGGAGGTGAGGGAGTTAGCCTGGTGAATATCTGGGAGAAGAGCACTCCAGGCAGAGGGAACAGCCAGTGCAATGGTTCTCGGGTGGAAACATGGCTAGAGTGAACTAGGAATAGCAAGGAGGCCAGTGTGGTCAGAAGAGAGCCAGTGAAAGGAAGCTAACAGGAAATGATGCCAGAGAAGTAGCATGAAGTAGGTGATGCAGAACTTTGCAAACCATCGAAATGAGTTTGGCTTTTAATTCATGAGATTAAGCCATTGGAGTGAGCAGAGCGGAAGAGGAACATCTGGCTTAGATTTTAAAAGAATCCTATTAGAGTTTCTGTCATGAGAACAAACTGAAGGGAAAACAGTGGAGACCAGCTAGGAGGCTACTGGAAGCAATAGATGATAGTGGCTTGCAGCAGGATGGTATGGATGTAGGGATGTGTGAAATGGTTGGAAATCCAGATTCTTATTGAAGGTAGAACCAATAGGTCTTCCTGACTAATTGGGTGTGGGATGCAAGAGAAAGAGAACAAGAAAACGCTTGCTCCAAGTGTTTGTCCTGATCTACTGGAAGGAGGTGTTGCCATCAACTGGGATGGGAGAAGGCTGTGGGTAGAGCACATCTAGAGATGGGGAACATCAGGAGCTCAGCTTGGGTCATGTTGAGTTTGAATTGTCTATTGATCATCCAAGTGGAGATGTCAACAGTTATAGATTTCTGGACTGTAAAAGAAAGCTCTAGGCTGAATATATAATTTGGGAGTTCCTTGCCTTACAGATTAGGATTACCAGATAAAATATAGGAATGTAACAAAGTTCAATTTTCAGATAAACAACAAATAATTTTTTAGGATAAATATGTCCCAAATATATATTAGGTAATGGATTTAATTCCCTGATATAACTATTAGTAATTATTGTGGTTATTATTAATAATTAATACAAATAATTATTCATAACATAATTAATATTGTGTATCATATGTAATATTTGGGATACTTTTATAGTAAAACATTTTTTGTTGCTTATCTGAAATTCAAACTTCACTGACCATCCTGTAGCTATATTTGCTAAATTGGGCAGCTCTAACATAGTTGGCATTTAAAGCAATGAGTAAATGTGATTACCAAGGAAGTGAGTGAGATGGGGAATTAAAAAAGATCAATTGCTCAGCCCTGGATCACTCCAACATTGAAGGCCAAAACTGATAATGGAGCAGCCGGGAACTAGGAAAAAAACTCCAGAAAGTGTGTTGTCTTAGAAGATAGTTAAAGAAGGTATATTGAAAATGAAGGAGTAATCAACTGGATCAAATGCCACTGATTGGTCAAGTAACATGGGGATTGAGAAATGACCACTGGATTTAGCAACATGAGCATGACTCAACAAGAGAAGTTTCAATGACTGTGAACAAAAATAAAGAAAAATCTAATTAGTGTGGCTTGAGGAAAAAATAGGAAGAGAAGACTTGGAGACAGTGAACATAAAACAACTCTTTTGAGAAGTTCTTGCTGAAAAGAAAAGAGGGCTGGTGGGAGAAGTGAGATCAAGAGAAGACTCGAGGAAGAAAAAAAAAAAAGATGGGGCCAGTAACAGCCTGTTTGAGTTCTGCACTTGTCTCCAGACCAGTGGTTCTCAAATTTTCCTTTCTTTAATTTTGCGTGTGTGTATTTCATTTTATATTACTTTACGTTATTTTTATTGTGGCAGAAAAGAGGGCTGGTGGGAGAAGTGAGATCAAGAGAAGACTTGAGGAAGAAAAAAAAAAAAAGATGGGGCCAATAACAGCCTGTTTGAGTGCTAGACTTGTCTCCAGATCCGTGGTTCTCAAATTTTACTTTCTTTGATTTGTGTGCTTGTGTTTCATTTTATATTACTTTATGTTGTTTTTATTGTGGTAAGAACACTTATGAGATCTACCCTCAACAATTTTGTAGGTGCACAATACAGTGTTGTTAACTCTAGGCACAATGTTGTACAGCTAGAACTTACTCATCTCGCACAGTGAAATTTTATACGCATCGAACAGCAACTTCCCATATCCCCTTCCTCCCAGTCCCTGGCAACCACCATCCTACTCTACACTTCTAGGAGTTTGACTATTTTTGATACATTATTTAAGTTGAATCATTCAGTATTTGTTCTTCAGCGCCCGCTTTATTTCACTTAACATACTGTCCTCCAGGTTCATCCACGTTTTGGCTTATGTCAGGATTTCCTTCTTTATCTAAAGAGCTAAATACTATTCCATTGTATGTATATACTGCAAAGAAGAAGTGGTTCTGATACTTCAGTGTATGCCAGAAGGATTGTGATAACACAAATTGCTGTGTTCCAGCCTTAGAATTTCTGATTTAGTAGGTCTGGGATGAGACCCAAAAACTTGTATTTCAAAAAAATTCCTAGGATATAACGGATGCTGTCATTTAGGGATCACATTGTGAGAACCATCTAGATTTTGCCCTGCAAATAATGTAAACTCAAAATACCTGTTACCACCCGTAAAACAGGATGGGACCAATGCCAAGATGCTCAAAATACCCGACTTTCACATAGAGGGTCTCTCCTGGCTGGGGTCTGGCCCAAAAGTGGACCCTAATTGTGAATGAGAAGTATAAATATTATCCTAAAAAAAAAAGTTAAAAGTCTTGCTTAAATATGACAAGACTGTGAAAAATAACAGAAGCATTACATTAGAATTTCTAAAGTCTTTTCCATTGAAATCAAGAATAAGAAAACCATGCTGCTTTTACCAGCATTATTCAACATTGTTTGGAATGTTTAGATAATTAAACTAAAAGAAAACAATTGGCACGTGTATTGTACAAAAAAGGTAAAATTATATATCTTTGTGTGTAATAGAGAAGAGAGAAAGCCTAAGATTTCAATAAGATAAATACTATTACAATTAAAATAACTTAATAAAGTATCTCAAATCAAGATATAAACAGTACATGAAAATCATTGGTCTTTCTCAATATAAGCAATAACTAGACGTGGATATAGATTTATTTTTTAAATAACTCATAAAAGCATTATATGTTACTTAGAAATACATGTAAAACCATTATGTATTATTTAGGAATGCAAACATATTTTTAAAATGTTCAAATGTACAGGAATCATACACACTGGCTTCTAGATACTAGTCACATCTCTAGAAAGGGGGAGGATGAAAGAATGTCATCACATTCTATAACTATGCCAAAATGTTAAAATCTAGTAAGTATGAGAGGAGGGTACAAGTTGCCTTGAATATTATGTTTTATACTCATCTGTATATTTGAAATTAATAATACAATTTTACATTTGAAATATCTTCTTTAAAATCATAATAAAAACAACAATAATGGCTAAGAAATGTTTTTAATAGTTAAGTAAATGACCCATATAAAAAAAACTATAAAGTCATTTTTAAAGACAGAAAACAAGATCTAAACAAGAGGAGAGACTTGCCAGTACTCCAGAAAGGATAGTGTTAATGTTAATCCTTAGAAAAATTAATATATAACTGTGATGCAATTCCTGTTAGAATCACATTGAATTGTGTCTTGGTCCCTTTGGGCTGCTATAACAAAATACTACAGACTGGATAGCTACTAAACAACATAAATTGATTTTTCATAGTTCTGAAGGCTGGGAAGTCCAAGATCAAGGCACAGACAGACCAGTGTCTGGTGAGAGCCCATTTCATGGTTTATCTACGGCGCCTTCTTGCTGTGTCCTCAGTGGGGGAAGGGACAAACAAGCTCCCTTGGACCTCTTTTATAAGAGCACGAATCCTTTTTGGGAGCTCTGCCTTTGCAACCTAATTACCTCCCAAAGGCTCTATCTTTTAATACTATCACTTTGGGGGTTAGGATTCCAACATATGAATTTGGAGAGGTCACAAACATTCAAACCATAGCAAGTCATTTTACAAAACTACATGAAATGAATGTAAAGTTTAAATGAAAAAATAAATCAGCATCCAAGAATAGGCAAGAAAATTATGAAAATAAAAGACAGAAAAGGAAGAATTGTCCTACCAAATATTCACCCATATTATAAAGTCACTGTAATCAAAACAACATTAAGAGATGAATAAAAAATGTATCAGTGGATCAGAAATTGATCCCAAAATAAATGCAATTATATATAAGAATTTGAAATATGGAAAGGGTGCTATTTCAATTCAGTAGGAAAAGATTGATTTATTTTTTAAATATAAACTGGACATCAATCTAGAAGAAAACAAAACTAAATCCACTATCTCATGTTATCCATAAAAGTAAGGTTCTGCTGGTTTAGAAATTTAAATATAAGGAATAAAGAATAGGAACAGCAATGCACAAGAGAGAAGTAAATATTTGTTTTATAATATTATGAAAATACACTTAATGTCATTAGACCTCAGGAATAAGCAAGCTGAATAAACTGTGGTTTTACCAATAACTTGGACTGTGATGTTGTTTTAAAAAAATTGAGCCAGAGCCTCACTTACTGAGACAGAGAGATGAAAAAAACACATTGCTTAACTGTGATTTTTTTTATCAATCAAAAAATACACTACACATGAATATGCCAATTTTTACAAGTCCATATGAGCATAAGAAAAGATATGGACCAAGGTACATCAAGCTGTTACCATTGCTTAGTTACGGGGTGAGGATGGAAGGGACTGGAAGAAGGTTATTAATGTTGTTTTTATGTATATTTGGATCTATATCACTTTGTAAGATAAGCAGACTTGTTGATGTAATTAAAAATAATCATTTAAAATATTTAGATATATTGAGAAAATAAAAACAAAGGAAGAAATGAGTTGGTCTTAAGGGAGTATAATGACCATTATCCTCGAGTGGTGGTCGAAGAAAGGAGAGGATGGGGAGAGATTAAATAAACTAGTTATTTACTGAGAACTTGTTAAGCACAGACAGAATTCCTGGGGCCCAGAAGGATACACGAAAAGGCACAGACCTTACTTTCTATTTGCATAAAATCTGATGGTGGATGAAATTAAAACACTTGAAACCATTTAAATATAATGATGCCAGCCCCTCCAAAACTGTCAGCTTATTCATCTTTTATATAACGGTACTTTCCTTTTCAGTCGATGAAAATGTGAAATTTTCTTAACATGTTATAGGGCTGAAAAATTGACTTGTAAGTTTTAGAATAAGGAGTTTTGGAAATAGCAAAACTTGAGGAGACCTGAAGAAATAGATTAAAACCTGACTGGGGATCTCTTGGAATGTTCTTGAGCAGATGCACTGTGTATGCACTCACTTTGTGGAACAGTAATTTGCTAAAATATAAATAATTATATTTCTGTAAGTTGACTTTTCCCCCCAGTTTTAATAATTTAAGTGTTCTGGGCATTAAAAATGTGAAGGAATATTAAATTTTGCCTTGAATTTTAGTAGCGTAATCAGAACCATCACTGCAGGAGAGAAGTCAGTTTCTTTGTGTGGCTGCTTGCACAGAAGCTGTGCTCCCATTAGGATCAGGCATAAGAAAGGGTAATTGTCCCTCTGGGTGCTTCTCCCTCTAGGAAGCAGAGGTCAAGATAGCACTAATAACACACAGCTGGGTGCAGTGGCTCACGCCTGTAATCCCCGCACACTGGGAGGCCGAGGCGGGCAGATCACAAAGTCAAGAGATGGAGACCATCCCGGCCAACATGGTGAAACCCCGTCTCTACTAAAAATACAAAAATTAGCTGGGAGGGTGTGGTGGTGCACACCTGTAGTTTCAGCTACTCAGGAGGCTGAGGCAGGAGAATCGCTTGAACCCAGGAGGCGGAGGTTGCAGTGAGCTAGGATCACACCACTGCACTCCTGCCTGGCATCAGAGCAAGACTCCATTGAGAAAGAAAGAGATAGAGAGAGAGAGAGAAGAAAGAAAGAAGGAAGGAAGGAAGGAGGGAAGGAAGGAAGGAAGATGAAAGAAAGAAAGAAAGAAAGAAAGAAAGAAAGAAAGAAAGAAAGAAAGAAAGAAAGAGAGAAAGAGAGAGAGGGAAGGAGGGAGGGAAAGAGAAAAGAAAGAGAAAGAAAAAGAAAGAAAGAGAAAAAAAGAAAGAAAGAAAGAAAAGAAAGAGAAAGAAAGAAAGAAAAAGAAAGAGAAAGAACGAAAGAAAGGGAAAGGAAAGGAAAGGAGGGAGGGAAGGAAGGAAGGAAGGAAAGAAGGGAGGGAGGGAGGAAACCAAAGGAGCAACAGCAGGCAGGGAACACTTTAGACTGTGAGAAGGAAGGAGAGAAGGGTGAGAAGAGCCTACCCTCACCCTCTCACTGTGGTACAGCTCTCGGAAAGTCAGCCTACTCAAGAAGAAACTACAGAGCAAGGAGTTCCTGTGAGAGGAGTCCTGCGTTGGGCAGGAATGGCCAGGCTCTAGTATCCCCACCATGCTCAATCTTTTAAGAGAACATGGTTTCAGTGTTTATGAGTATGTGTGCATGTTGCACAGGGTCCAGAAGGTTCTGCAGCTGGAGGCTGTAAGCTAACCACACTCCTCGCAACAGGCTTTCTCTTGAAGGGAGTTCTGAATGGCACAAATCCAGGACCACTGCAGTTCACTCTGTGTGAGCTACCTCTCCATGCATGATCGGGGGCTGCTCCTCCACAGTTACTGTGAGCTTTGCTTCCTGAGGATAAGCTCAGAAGAGGGAGGTCAGATGAACCTCAGCCCCCATCACTGCGATTAGTTTTGGAGTTGCAAGCGGCACACATTTTCTCTCTTCTCCACTGTTTATTCCAACTACCCTTTACCCTTGGCTATTACCTCTGCAAGTCTTGGAGGCTTACTTGGTGATGTGTTCCAGATCACATTACTGCAGGGGCTGAGCCCTAGTAATCTCTGGCCAAAGTTGCTATACAAGGGGGTCCCTTCACACTGCAAGTGGGCATGGGACTACTAAGAGGCACCCAAGTAGGTTACCTGAGCTCTATATGTACGCAATGACTCTGTCCATTATATAAAAATGTTCTTACCTCCTCTTGCTGATCGAGATCGATTACTCCTGCCAGGATGGTCATTTCTAACTTGCTGGTCTCTGGACACAAAGAGCCCAAGGTGCCCTGGAAGGCTGCCTTAATTTTGTGTTTAATGGAACTCTGGCTTTTCTGCCTGGCTAGAGTGCACCCACTTTGAGGACCAGGAGCTCTAACCCCACAGCCCCCACAGTTGTGCAGCCATGAAGTGAAATGACCCCTGTGAGTCATTGGAATGGATGAGAAGATGGTAGAAAAGAAGGTATTCGTGCCCCGTGGTTCCTGGGTCCATGCATACTTCTCAATGGCGACACAGCTCCATACCTGAGGACAGACCTCCACAAGTCTCTGGTTCAGTGCATAAACTGCATCCTGGAGAATGATACCCACTCTTACAGAGTATTGTGTCTGTGCTGGTGCTGAAGTTGGGCCATTAGAAGGTTATTCCAGTGCTCTTTGAGGCTGGCTGCTTCTGGATGATGTGGCTTGTGGTAGAACAAGTTGGCCCCATGGTCAAGGGTTTCCTTTAGTGTGAAGTAGGTATCCTGTTAGATGTTATGTTATGTGGGATTCCATGCCTGTGGAACAGACGTTCCATAAACTCTCAGATAGGAAGCTTAGCAGGCTGAGCCTCCGAAGGCAAGAAATGCAAACTTTTACCAGTATAGCTACCTATTCTAATAAGAATTAATCACTGGCCCTCCCATGATAAAAGGGACCTAATGTAGTCAACTTGTCACCAAATGACAATTTGGTTTCCTCAAGAGATAGCGCCATATTGCAGGATCAGTATTGGTATCTATTGTTGGAAGATTGGACATTTGGAGGCAGCCATAGCTAGATCATGGGAGTTCATGCTGTTGGACCCATCTCTGCTTCCATGGCAGCTTCATTCATGTGCAGGTCATGCTAATTCTGGGGTAGCCAATGACAAAGCCTGGATAATATTGGCTGTCCAAGTCATTTTTGTCTACTTGCTTATTCAGTGCCTCTTCCTTGGAAAATTCTTTCTGGCAGGGTCATCACTTTCTTCATGTTTCTGAGAACCACCCAGCCGTAAATTTGCCTATCTCCTAAGATCCTCGACAGAGTGTTAAATCCAATGTTCCACAGTGTCCCGAGACTAAAACGTCTTGCTTTTCCAGTCTTATATCCTGGCCTCTTTGATCAAACACCCTCAACATCAAATCCCGGGAGTACTTCCCTTGGCTTCTGCCAGTCCGTGGTGGCTAATTCTTCCAGCCTTTTTGGGATGTAATCTTTCTCTTCCCTTATCAGGCACAGCATGTCCTCAGAAGTGGGGTGCTGGGGTTTAACCATGTTTATCCATCTGGCACTAAGAGAAGAGGTAGTAAACCAAGGAGACTCTTGTTGTGTTGAAGAAAATAGGCCTCTGCAGTGTCCTCCTTTCTGGGCAAAGCTCTAAACTTGTGGGAGATGGGACACTTCTGTAGCCTCTAATGGCTTGGGAGTTTGCAGGGTCACTGTCTTCAGGGGTTCTTCACCCAGATGTCTGTATTCCATGTTTCAGGGTCCCTGCTTTTCTCAGCTAGGGCCCTGACCTTAGCATAGCAGACCTGCCTTGGCTGATCATTCATTGTCTTTGTAGTTCTGCAACTCTATTAAATGTTGACTTCATACCTCAGCTATGCCCACTTTGCACTTCTGAAGACAAGGGATGCTTTGAAAGCTACGAAGAAGGACCTTTGTCTTTCATACTTATTTTTTAAACACAGGTTTATTAAGATAAAATCTACATATAGTAAAATTTAGATGTATAGTTTGATCAGTTTTTGAAAAATGTATATATTAGTGTAACAACCACCACAGTTGAGATAAGGAACATAAGCATCACCCCAAAAAATTCCTTCATGATGCTCCTTTTTAATTAATCTTCTTGCCAACCCCAGCCCCTGGCAACCATGGTTCTGATTTCTGTCTCTGTGACTTTTTAAAAGTATCACATAAATGGAATCATTCATGAGGTCTTTTGCACCTGCCTCTTTTCATTTTAACACATTTGAGAGTCATTCATGTTGCTGCATGCATCAGTAGTTCATTCCCTTTTGTTTTTAATAGTATAGATGCATCACAATTTGTTTATCCATTCCTCATTAGGTGGACATTTGGGTTGTTCCAGGTTTGGGTAATTATGAATAAAACTTGTATAAACTTTCACATTCAGGTCTTTGTGTGAAGTTATGCTTTCATTTATCCTGAGTAAATAGCCAGGAATGGGATTGTTGGGTTACATGATAATGTGTATGTTTCAGATAATTTAAAAACACTGCCAAACTGACAAAATAGCTGTACCATTTTGCATTCCCACCAGTGATCTATGAGAGTTACATTTGTTACACATCTTCGTCAGGACTTTGTGCTATCTGTAGTTTAAATTTTTGCCATCAAAACTATAATACATATATGGTGATATTTTATTCGATTTTGCATTTTTCTAATAATTCATGATATTGAGCATCTTTCCATGTGCCTATTTGCCATCCATATCTCTTGTTTGGGAGCTATTGAAGCCTCCTCCCAATATTTGGCATCTGTCAGGTCTTCCCATTTTTTAAAATGGCTTTTGGTTTTTCACACATAGTTTTTAGTGTTCATTTGTCATAATCCCTTTGCAGGGCATAAAACAAATTAGTAAAATCCCATCAAGTCCATTGTCTTTGTACACACTGTTCCCCTCATAATTTTTGAAGGCCTGATGTCCCGAATCACCACCAATGAAAGTTTTAGCAATTAGGCCACCATCTTGTGCCAAAGATTATCCATGCCCCACATTCCATTCCAGAGGAGATCTACCTTACTAGCCAGAAAGTGAGTGATCCTGTCCCCAAACCTCTTTGACTACCTGCCTTCTTGGATTAATCCTGGTTCCAGTTCGGTTGTCTGGGAAGCTGATGCCAAGATGGAATTAGAAGGGCAAAAGATTTATTGGACAAAACAGCTGTGAAAGGTAAAGGGATGAGGGAGCAGAAGTAGGCTCTGACATCTGTGAAAGGAAATGAGGAAGGAAGAAGGGTTGGATAAGAAGAGGCTCCAACTGAAGTGCAGTCTGAGAAAATCAGCCAGTACAATGGGGAACCTCAGAGTAAATATTGGCCATTAGAAGAGTCCCACGTTGGGCAAAAATGATGAGCTCTAGTACCCCTGCCTGCTCAGTTATTGACTGGGAACAGCCCATGGGGAGCATGACCTCGGTGTGCACCCTATGGCAAATCCCAAAGGTACTACAGCTGGAGACTGAAGGCTGACTGAACTCATGGAAGATTTACTTTGGAAGGGGCATTTAGATAGCTCAGCTCCATGGCTGCTGCAACTCCACTGGTGGGGAGGATTAAATAGGTAGTGATGGTGGGGGACAGAGTTGAGAGGGAAGGAGACTCAGTGGATGGAGATCAAAGAGAGACTTTGGGGGGAGAGTATAGCAATGTCCAGCAAGAATGTGGTTAGACTCTACTCCAAGTGTTGCACAGTGAAAGCCTTCCCCTCCATCTCCCCACTGAGTCCCCTGTTGTTCCAATATTGCTCTGTCAGGAGGTTAACAGAAAGATCAGTTCTGCTTCAGACTTAAAGGAGGAAAACCTTACAGTTTCACATGAGAATAACTTTGACCCCATTTTACAGTTTAAAAAAACCACAAAAGTACCAAACCCTTAAAATCATGTCTTTAAATAAAACAGTATTCTAGTCTTTTCCATGTCTGACTCATCCTTCACCCAGCTACCAAATATATCTTCCTAAAATATTTCTCTGCACACATGTCTCTTGAATAACCTGTTAACAGGGCTCAAAGCCCCCATCTAACTCTCCAAACTTTTCTACTATTCTTCAATACAACCGTCTGCTCCCAGTCTTCTTTTTAGAAACACAATCACATGTTTCCTCTGCCCTGCCTTTGCTTACAGCATCAGTCTTTCACCCAAGGACCACTACCCAGAGCCAGCCAATAGACATGGTATGTTTGGCTCATATAGTGTTTTGATTTTTACAAATTCTTGTCAACATTTAAACATCACCAATTTCACAACAAAATTTAGATTTCTCACTTTTCCTGAAAAATTGGAAGTCCTGGTAAGACTGGGCCCTCCCCTGGCAGCATTCATTGTTGGGCGCAGGAGCCCTGTGCAAATGGAACACGTGCTCCCCACAACCACCCCAGCCTGACTCATGTGATGCATGGCTCTAGTAAGCTTTTAAATTTTTTTTCTTTTTTCTTTCTTTGGAGACAGGGTCTCACTCTGTTTCCCAGGCTGGAGTGCAGTGGCACGATTATAGCTCACTAGAGCCTCAAACTCCTGGGCTCAAGCAATCATCCTTCTCAGCCTTCTAAGTAGCTGGGACTATAAGCATGAGCCACCCTGCCCTGCAGCACTAGTAAGCTTTTGAGTTTGCAACCCCAGCTCTCATTGTCTCCCTGCCTAGAATACACTTCCCGTTTCTCTCCTCTCCCTTCCAAGGCCACCTCCTTTTCTAATCTGGTTCCCTACTCCTCCATTACTGTTCCTCCCTCTGAATGCACTCATTATTTACATGGCTCCTCTTGCACTTGAGGCTCCTCAGGATTCCATTTGTCTTTGTGTCCTGATTTCTCAAATTCTTTGAGGATGGACCCAGTGTCAAGCACTTAATGCCCCACACTTAGTAGGGGAACAATAAAGGTGTGTTGTAGTGCTGCCTTTGACACACATGTACATTGTGCTTTTAGAAGTTGCTATAAATGCAACCTGAAACAGCATGAGCAGAAAAGGAGGGCTTCTTGGCTCGTGAGCTAGATATGCAAGGAAGTAGCTGGGGACAACCAGAACCAGAAACCTGAATGCTGTCAGTTCTAGATTTCTCTCCCACTCTCAAGTTCGTTCTTTATTTCTTCCCCAGATTTCTGTGCCTGAGTCATTGTTGCCTACTATCTACTGCAGACAGGATTTTTCACACAGAAGACATACCTGCTGACAGCTCTGGGGTTGCTTTCACAAAGCTCCATTCCTCTATTCAATTCAAAAACTTTCAAGACAGGACTCAGACTGGCTTGATGGAATCATATGCCAACCCCTATGTATAGGAGATGGGATGCTACCACAGTTAAACACAAATGCAAAAGGAGCAAATCTGTAAAACAAAGGGGATATACTTCCTAGAAGAAAGGAGAGGCTGGGCACGTTGCCTCACATCTGTAATCCCACCACTTTGGGAGGCTGAAGAGGACTGATTGCTTGAGCCTAGGCGTTTGAGACCTGCCTGGGCAACATAGGATGATCCTGTTTCTACCAAAATAAATAAATAAATAAATAAATAAATAAATAAATAAATAAATAAATTATCTGGGTGTGGTAGTGCACACCTGTGGTCCCACATACCCAGAAAGCTGAGGGAGAAGGATCACTTAAGTCTAGGAGGTCAAGGCTGCAGTGAGCTATAATGATGCCACTGAGCCCCAGCCTAGGTGACAGAGTTAGACCGTGTCTCAAAAAAAGAAGAAAGAAAGAAAGAAGGAAAGAAGAAAGAAAGAAAGAAAGAAAGAAAGAAAGAAAGAAAGAAAGAAAGAAAGAAAGAAAGAAAGAAAGAAAGAAAGAAAGGAAAGAAAGAAAAAGAAAGGAAGAAAGAGAAAGAAAGAGAGAAAAAGAAAGAAAGAAACAAAGGAGAGAGAAAGAGAAAGAAGAAAAGAAAAGCCAAGAAAGGAAGGAAGAAGGAGGAAGGAAGGAAAGAGAAAAGGAAAGAGAAATATAGGTAGAACACGTTAGAAGATGTTCACAGGGTTAGAACAAATTGAAAATAATTTTTTTGTTTTTTCTGTATGAGCAATTTATACCACTTACATATCAGTTAAATTAAGTATGATTCATGACTTTCTTTTTTATTGTAGTTTGGAGAACTATTCTTTCTATTTATTTCTGATTTTATTTTAATTTTAGCAAAGAAATTCATGTACTTAGTTTACAAAAGTCAATCATTATAAGTCTTTAATTTAAAAGAGAAAAAAGCATCCCCTCTCTATCCTGATTTCTGCTCCCAGAGGAAACATTTTCAAATCTTTCAGCCATCACTTCTATATTTACCTTCATATTCTTAAATAACATTATTACATTGCTATGCCT
This sequence comes from Homo sapiens, assembly GCF_000001405.40. Taxonomy (NCBI): domain Eukaryota; kingdom Metazoa; phylum Chordata; class Mammalia; order Primates; family Hominidae; genus Homo; species Homo sapiens. Next base: position 146,060,856 of record NC_000004.12, on the reverse strand, counting down.
CTATCTTTAAGCTTTTAGACATAATGTATTAGCTTTCTAATCTGGAAGTTGAGTCTCCAGCTTTCTTTCTACTCCATCCCCCTTGCACACTATACAGATGGTTCCCAACTTATGATGGTTTGACTTTAAATTGTTCTGCTTTATGATGGTGTGAAAGCAATACACATTTCAGTAGAAACCACACTTCGAGTACCTATATGATCATTCTGTTTTTCACATTCAGTACAGTATTCAATAGATTACATGAGAAATTCACCACTTTATTATAAAATAAGCTTTGTGTTAGGTAATTTTCCCAACTGTAGGCTAATGTAGGTGTTCTGAGCACATTTAAGGCAGGTCAGGCTACAATAAGCTATGACGCCTGGTAGGTTAGTGTATTAAATGCATTTTTGACTTACAATATTTTCTGCTTAACGATGGTTTTATTGGGACGTAACCCTATCATAAATCAAGGAGCATCTGTACTCCTTACATGGTCCCAATAGGGTTACTACACAATTTTGGTTGAAGTCATTCTTATGACCATGAAAATATTGTTAACAGTTGGGGCATGTGATCATGTTTTATCTTTTCTTGTCTAATTGTTTTGTTTCCTACAGAAAACCACCCCACTGCTTTTCTATGTGACTCTCATGTATCAGCTCCAAGCTCTACAAAACTGTATCGGTCTCCTTCACATGAACAAATGCATCAGGCAATCTCTCAGTGTCATTCTTTACCCTTGACTACCTTCCTCCTGCACCTGCTGTCCTCTTGCTAGGTTGGATGCACAGCTATGGCCCCAGGACTTCCTGTCACCATCACCCTGGGAATTCCCCTTGCCTCTCTTCCGTGTTGGATGCCCTGTTTCCTCTTTCTTGGGTTATTATGTCATGTTGGTGGAGCACATCCTCCAGGAGCTTCCGGAAAAAGAAATTGAAGGGAAATTTGTGGAGACCTTGCATGCTGTAAAATGCAATTTCTACCTTCAAACTTGATTGATAATCTAGATATGAAGAGAATTATAGATTAGAAATATTTTCCAGCAAATTTTTAAATTTTTAAAGGCACTGCTCTTTTGTTTCGTTACTTGAAGTATAAGAATATACCTCAGGAAGTGAAGGAATGGGCTGCTGAGGGAAGAGCACTCCAGATCATGGATGTCCAGTGCAAAGAGCCTGGGGTGGGGCAGAAGCAAGCCTGGCATTGTGGAAGAACAGATGGTCTGGGTAAGCTGGACCAGGGTTTGTGAGGGGGAGAGAGGTGAGATGTGGATTGCAAGAAGTAGTCTGTGGCCGATTATATCAGGCTTTGGAGGTTTTTTATAAGGATCTGGCTTTTATCCTAAATAAGCTAGGGAGCCAATGAAGGGTTTTGAGCAGAGAAGTGTCATGATCTAAATCATATGTTTAAAGCATCAGACTGGCTGCTGTGTTGAGAATAAACTGGTGGGCTAAGGCAGCAGGAGGGAGACCAGCTAGGAGGTGATTGCAGGAAGTCAAGCAAGTGATAATGGGCTTGTACCCAGCTAGTGGGGTTCCAGTTAGTGATGTTGAAAGTGTTGAAAAGTGTTCCGTTTCTGCTTTTTTTTAAATGTGAAACCAACAGGACATGCCAGTGATTATAAAGCATATGATGATGATATAGGATAAAGGAAGAGAGGAGTTAATTAAATATGACACTGATGTTTTTATCCTGAACAAATGGAAGGAAGGAATTGCTGAAATAGAGACGTCTCTGAAGAGCAGAAGCTGTTTTGAACATTGCAGTTTGAAATACCTATTAGACCTCTGCTTGGAGATCCCAAACAGGTAGTAGCTGGATATGGGAGTCTGGGGCTAAGAGGAGGGGTGTTGGCTAGATATATAAGCTTTGAAGTCATCAGCCTATAAATATTGACAAAACAAGTGAGGTGGCAGAGGAATTAGTGAACATAGAAAAAAAAGAGGTCTGAGGATTGAGATCAGAGGCATGCCCATATATTAAAGATTAAGGAACAGAGGAAGAATCCACAAAGGAGATTGAGAAGGAGTAGTCAGGGAGGTAGAAAGCAAGCCAAGAGACTGTCTCAAGTAGAAGGGAATGATCAACTGCTGACTGATTAAGTAAGATAAGGACTGAGACTTAGCAACATGGAGGTCATCAGTGATTTTTGACTAGCTCAACCTGTGAGAGTGAAAACATGACTGAAGTGAGTTCAAAGGGAAGTGGAGGAGTGGTCTTAGAGACAGTGAATGCAGTCAGTCCTTTAAATTTTGTCCTGAAGGGGAGTCGAGATATGATATAAGGAAAAGATTTTCATTTTTCCAATGGAAGATAATATAGCACATTTACTTGCTGGTGAGAATGATCCAAGAGAGGAGGAAAAAACTGATAAAAGACAGGGAAAGAAGGGACAAAGTACAATTACTAAAACTTTCAAGGAAGGGGAAGAAACTAAGACTATAAGTAGAGGGATTGTCTTAGCTCAGGGGATGGAACATGTGTGTACTGTAGCACGCAGGGTGCACTAACAGATGCAAGTGAATGTGGTGATGGGAATGAGGAGGGGCATTTTCAGGTTGCTTTAATTTTCTTAGTGAATTTGGAGGTAAGGGCATGAACTTGAAATGAGGGTGGAAAAGGAGATATTGTAGGAAAAGATACAAAATAGTCATTTAGGAGGGTGGGAGAGGAACTAAACAAGGAGAATGGGGCAGTAAATAGACTAGGAAGATGTAGTGGGATTGCTGAATAGCACAAAAGTCTCACCGGAGGTGAGTGATAACGAGTTTAAATCAGGACCGCCTGGTTTGGATGTGTATTTTCTCCTGCCATATTAAGCTGCAGGCATGTGCAAACATCATGTGTGGGGAATTGAATTAAGCCAGGACTGGGTCCTTTTCAAGAAAATACAATGAAAGGAGAGAAGGGCAAGAGAGTTGAAAGTGTATGCAAGGGAATTTATACTGATGGACTGTAGAATCTACACAGGGTAAGGACGCGAGGTGAGTGCGGGACAGTGAAAAGGTGGTGGCATCAGATTAACTAATTTTCAGTCCCAAAGGACCAGAAATATTTTAGGAATTGGGATGTTAGTGGGAATAAACTATTAGGTTGGTGCAAAAGTAATTTTCTTGTTTGTTTGGTTTTTTGTTTGTTTGTTTGTTTTGCCCTTACTTTTGCACCAACCTAACAGGAAAAATCAGTGGTTATGGTCAGAAAGTGGGAAGCTTGAAGTTGAGATTATCAAGTTAATATCAGTGCAGTCATTGGTAATGATAAGTTCTAGGATCTAAGCAATGGGAAGAAAGAAGTTGGCTGAAGAAATGATGGAAATTAATTATATAATTGAAGAAAAAGAAGTCAAGGCACTGAGAGCATGTTCAGTTGGCAGAAATTCCATGACAGCATCTACAAGGGCATATTGGAGAGAGTGAGGGTAAGCTTGGAGTTTTCGCTCGTTGAACTTGTTCTCGTGAGCCTATGAATCTGGAGAATCTTATCCTTCTGTTCTAGGGAAGTTTTAAAATCCTTTCTTTTATAATTTCTCCCCTCTGTTTTCTACATTTTGTCTTTCTTAAAGTCCTGTTAGTAAATGATGGTCTCCTAGTTCAATTACCTGATTTACTTGACTCTTCCATTTTTCCATCCCTTTGTCTTTTTACTTAGTTTCTTGAAGACTTACCTTCCAGCCCTTTTATTGAATCTGTTATTTCTGTTACCCTATTTTCATTTACCAAGAATGATTTCTTATGCTCTACATACTCCTTTTTTCATGTAACCACACATTCTTATTTTGCAGATGTAACATTTTATCTTTTTTTTGAGGTCAATAATATGTTTAAGTGTTCTTTTCACTGCACTTTTTGTTACTCCAAGTTGCCTTTATTCATTTATTTGTTTATTTTAATCTTTAATATTTTATGTTGGAGACTTTCCTCACATGTCTGGTGATACTTGATTGTTCACACTTAAGAGTGAGGCACTTAAAAAGCAAATGGGAAGCTTTGTGTGTATTTGCAGTGTTTGTCAATTGCTACTGTTTACTGGAGAGCAATCAGTCAGGCACCTGGTCATTTCACTGGGAGACTTAAAAATGTCAGTATATAAGTCTTTTCTCCAATCAGTTGGTTTTGTCAAAGGGGACTCTTCCAATTCCCTGCCTAGGGAATATAAATCTAGTTGCCAGTGCCCTAACTGCAAGTGAGGGAAAAAGGGTGGGAGTCTCACTAATTAGTATATGGCATGTAGACTTGACCTTGATCATCCTTTTTCAGCCTTACTCCTATCCTCTACAAAACATGGTATCATTGGGTCTGAAAATCCCTGGCTCTATTTCCCTAGAAATTAAACCAGTTGCCTGCTGGGCTGGTTGGTGTACAGAAGAGGAGAAGGATTCTGAGGGGTCATCTCCAATCCCATTTTTTTTCAGCCCCAGCCTGCATCCCTTTCTACAGAAGTAACAACAATTTCCAGTTTCTGAGCCTTTCCAGGGTTGTACAGTAGGTATTCATTTGCTTTTTGATATTTTCCACAGCAAAGCAAACTTTCTTGCTGCTCTGTTAACTTCGTTACCACTCACCCGTCTGCCTTCTGTCTTCCAACATTTTGTTGCTAGCTCTTGTCTGCTGTTGCCTCTTCTGTTCTCTTTATCCTTCCAGGTTTTATAAGATTGTTTTTATTCCTTTTCAGTCATTTCAGAGAGGCTTCAGGATGGAGTTGTGATAAACGCATGTGTTCAGTCTACAATGTTTAACAGGGAGTGCCTCTTGATTTTTTCATGTGAATTACTGAGGAGTAGGTAGTAGACTATCTTGATGCCCTTCCTCATGTCCCTTTGACTCTGAGTTGACCTGCAGCTGCAGTGAACACTTCCTAAGGATGCTGATGTCTTCCCCTATCAAGCACTTGCCTCATTCTGCTTCTCCGAGGATTTCCTCCAGTACACCAAGAGCTTGCCCGACACTCACAAGGTATCCTGGAACTGCTGGGGACTGAAAACCCCTCAACCCATGAAGAATGAGGATCAGTGGATTAATAGCAACTGTCCCATACCTTGGTGGGACTATTATAAGGCATTCTGGTTGGTTCCTCAGAGGTCCCAAATGGGATTGAACCAAAGTTGCCCACAGTAAAAACTCATTCACCAACTCAATTTTCATTTCACCCCTCTCAATTTGCACACTCACTCACTTGTTCTACCTGGGATACTCTCCAAGATAAACTCCTGTATCCAAAGCTTTGTCTCAAGGTCTCATTTGGGAGGAACTCAAACTAAGATAATAGGTACTGGAAGTGACTACAGAAAGTATATTATCAATGGTATGGAGGCAACAAAAACCCCATTAATGGTGGTGAGTAAGGTGGTGACAAACCCTGGCACTTTGAAGAATTTCATTACCCACAATTGACCCATGGTGTACTTGGATGAGGTAAAAATGAAAGGAGACGCTAACCTTATGCAATAGTGCTAACTCCTGAAAGATATAGGGCTGTGATAATCACAGGAATTGAAGAGTTGTCTTGTTCTTGTTAACTCCCCTAGAAGAATTGGGAAAAAAGAAAGATAGGTTTACAACATCCAACTACCCATTCAGAGCATAGCAATGAAAGCCAGAAGGTCTCCTTGGGAGAATCTGAAGAGACCCCCATTTCCTGCAACCAGAGGGCAGGCTGTTCTAAAAAAATGACATTCAGGGGTTCACTGCAAGAGGAATTGAACTACAGAGCAGACTGAAGACACAGTCCAGGCAGGCCTCTCATGCAAAAGTCAAAGCCCTAGAGGAAGGAAATGGTCCTTAAAAACTACTGGGATGCAGGCAGGCATCTGGATAGATGTGCTAGATAACCTTGAACCCCTAGATTCCCTGAACAACCCAGGCTAGCAGGAGTATCCTGCACCCTGTTACTTGAACAGAACAGCTTCCCTTTGCCTAGAGACTCTACACAGTCCTCCTCTGAAGCAGACACCTCCAAGATTACTTCAAGGTCTGCTACTTCCTGCCCTCATTGCCTCTATTCCAAAAACTGGAAACAAGTCTCAGCATGCCCTGAGCAGGGTAGCACATTTCTTGCTGTGAGAGATATGACAGATTGTATTTTCTAAAGAAGGCTGCAACCATGTCTCTCATCCCAAATGCTCTTCTACAATGCAATCTTGTCACTCCTCTACCAAGAGATGAAACCTAATTTCAATGCCCTTGAATCTAAGCTGGACTTTACTTGCTTTGACCTGTAATGTACAGAAGTGACACTGTGTGATTCTTACAGCTGAGTCATAAAAGGTGATGCAGCTTCTGCCTTGTTCCTGGGGACATATGCCTCTGTGAGATTGAGCTACTAAATAACAAGACCACCTACCTTGAGGCTGCCATGCTGGAAGAAAGCAAAGCCACATGAAGAGCAAGTAAGCTGGTTGCTTTAGCAAGATCCTTCATATTGATAGTGAATGTGCACTTCTGTCTTTCTCTTGTGAATGCAAACCACTTTTTCAATAGTCTCACGTTAAGTGCCAAAGATTGTTGTTTTTGTTGAATGCATTCTCTTTATCATTCACTACCTGGCCCTAGGAATTTGTTCAATGATCCTCATTTCTGTTACAATATAGTCTTCAGTGACCTTGATCATCTTCACATTCTATAGAACATCATCCTGGCCCATTATATTAATGACAGAATAATAATTGAACTTGGTTTTTAGGAAGGAGCAAGTATACTGGTTTTAAATACTTCATGCTGAAGGAATGAGAGATAAGCCCTACAAAGTTTTGGAAGTCTGCCACATCAGGGAATATTTTAGGGGCCCAAAGATCCAGGGGTATGTTGAGACACCCTACTCAAAAGAATACTTTACATTTCCTACCACTAAGACAGAGGCACAGCACTTGGTGAGCTGCTTTGAATTCCTGAGGCAAAAAAATAACAATAATAAATACTACCCATGAGAATAATGCTCTGATCTATTGTATCAGAAGACTATTGACTTTGCGGGGGTCTGAGAGAGTATCTGAATAGCCTTTTAAAGACTTAAAAAGGCATTGGCTTAGGAATTGCACCTTGCATGGCTAGGTCATTGTCCTCGAGGATACAGCATATTTGTTGAACCAGTGATCACTATATGCAATCACTGTGCTGTTTTCCCAGCATTTGGAATACACAGGAATGATAATTAAAGGATACAAGTAGGACTGACTTAAACACACTCCCTTTCACCCATTAGTGGAAATTATGTTTTTAATTCTTACAACTTTAGGCTCTTCCTGATTAAAAGCCTTGGTCTCAAGGTGTGTGTACAGACGGAGACAGTAAGTGTTCCACTGCATCAATGCAGTGCCATCTGAGGATTTGGGCATCTCCATACTGACAGGTCAGCAGGCAAAAATGGGAGTACTATACTGGCAGGGACACCTGACTGATTATCTTGAAGAGTCGGAGTTGCTGCTACATAATGGGCCCAGGGAGGAAGATGTCTAGAACTTGGGGGAATCACTCAGGCCCCCCTTAGTGCTTCTTTGTCTGGCGATAATAGCAGAGAAGCAATTGAAGTAGCCATGTCCTCACAAGGGCAAGGTAATCAAGGCCCAGCCACTCAGAGATGAAGGTCTGGTCATACACTGAGCAAGCAATGATGACTAGTGGAAGTGCTAGCCAAGGATTCGGGAAATCTAGAAGAAGTGGAATTGGAGAGAGATGATGAGTATAGATTATAGCCTTGGGACCAGCTGCAGCAGTGAAGATTGTGACTTGTTCCACATATTCTTCTATTTTCAGTCATTTTTGGAGATTGCAGCCAGCTACAACTCTGAAATGTCAGTAACAGAGCAAACTAAGGGTGGGCATGAGAGGATCTGCTGAGAGCAAGGAATGAACATGGTAGTCACTAATGATACACTGCCCATGTTCCCCGGCTCACCTGTTAGCTCCCCGGCAGCTTGCAAACATGTCTATACACACTGCCATCTTCCTACCACGAGTGCCATAACTCTCTGCTTCTCTGCTGAGGCCCTTCTCAGCTCACAGTGCGAGTAGCCTGCAAGTGCTAAGGGCATAATGCCTCCAAGGTCAACTTTAATCAACGAGGTTCAAGAGTCAGAAGAGTGAATTCCTTCTGAGATACATTCTTTCTGGTTTCTCAGAGGCTCCCCAGAGGAAGTAGGCCCCAGTTGCTTAGGAAAAATGGAACCTACTTATTAAGGCACCCCCTTTTTACTTTTCTCCTTTCTTTCTCTCCCTTTCCCCACTCCATTCCGTGAAGTTCCTGGGATCACCAAATAAACTATCTGTAATCAAATCTTTATCTCACTCTGCATTCTGGGGAACCCAAACAAAGATGGTAAGTTTGCCTATCTACATTTATGTCTTATTTGCTACAAGTATTACTGGTAATTTTCTTGACAAAAGTAATATGATATCTGCTGATAGGCCAAAATAATACATATTTATAGTGATAACTGCAGCAAAAATGTGAAAACCAATTTTAAAAAGTTATTTTCACTAGTTTAAGAAAAATGAAGAAATTGAACTTTTAAAAAATGCAGTAATACCTCCTAACACATTATGAAGAGGAATATTTTCATAACTGTAGAAATGGTTGGTAAGGCTGTCAACTATCCAAGGATTATATTGAAATAGCTGTCATTGGCCAACTACTATGACTAATGAAATCAACATTTTCACCATGCAGGCAAAATAAACGTCATGAGTCAAATTTAAGAGGTATTTCTTTTTTTCTTTAAAAGTTGTTGAACTATCCAGGTTACTCAACCCTCAGTTTTTCATTTTACAACAGAGTTTTCACATACACAAATACACATACACACACATTTGCATTCAGACATATTCAGACATACATGCACACATCTTTTAGCATTTTAAATATTTTCAAAGTGTAGCTCTACAGACTCATGCATTTTAACTTTGGTAATGCATGCAGTATTCCCTTTGGAATGCAGCTTATGAAGAAATCCACGCTGGGGGCAAGTATATAGTAATTCTTTCTTTATCTCCTGCATATATTAGGAAACCCTCCAGGAGGGTTATTACTAAGACAAATTTAGAAAGACCTCCACATTCACAGAGACAAAAATATCAGCGGCATCCTGAAAAAGCCAATGAGTGATCAAAAATCAGAAATAAACAAGCTTTGCTCATTTTAAGCCATATAAATATTTGTTGAATAAATCCTGTTTTGTTTTCACTTTTGATGGGATGTTAGTTTGTGAAATCAAATGATACCCAGATTCTTTCTTCCCATAGGTTTATAAATACCCAAATATGGCATATTTGACTCCATATACAGGCTTTGTTGAACATGGATTGTTTTTGTCTACCTTTCTCCATTTCAATCACATGGTTCTAGTGTGAACTTCTAATTATGGACCCCTGATCTCTCTGTTCCAGTCAAAGGGCAGGAATGTGGTTAATTACCATGCATCATGCACTGTCTTTAGTGATTATTCTAAGAGGCTATGAAAGGTAAACCAATCAGAGGCCTTCACCAGGATTCTGAAGTGGAGCTCCACAAGGAAGAAGAGCTTTCTTTGTTAATGATGATGTCTGGAAGCAGCCATGTAACTCCACCCCATGGAGACAGCTGGTATAGAAGAATGAAGCCAAATTGTAGGGACAGGTGATACCAAGTGTAAGGTCCTCAGTTCTAGAGTTGGAGAATCCCACTGCCCAACTCTGTGCACCCTGTCTTCTGGGGTTTGGTTGTTCCCTTCACAAGCTTTCTGGGAGCACCTATTGTATCTCTCCCCGTATTCCTCCATGGAGCTCAAAGTAAGCCACCTTGGGTTTCCACTGTTTACAACCAAGAGCTCTGATATATGTGCTGCATTTACTTTTGCTGTTTTATCAAATACTTACAAACTCAACTGCTTAATTAGGCAAAGCATTCTATTGCTTTTCCTTTTTGATATCTCAGTAATTGATTTCTAAGGAAGAGAGGGCATCTTGCTGGGATTGTTTTCACCTATTGCTCTTTTGCCCAGCCTCACCCAGCTCAGATATTGACTAAAGCCGTTCAACTCAGCTGGTCTGGCTACAGAGTACAGGGGTAGGTGCGCACCATGGCTCAGGTGCAATAACGACTGTAGCTTCCCAAATTGTAATGTCAGGTTACCAATGTCGAGACGAATTGGGATTGCCTAAGTGATTCCCTGGGTACACTCACCTTTTTACCCAATGATAAAAACGAGAGATCTCAACAAAATAGCTCTTATCTATTATGCTGCAGACTGACAATTCTTTTTTTTGTTTGTTTGTTTTTTTGAAGACAGAGTCTCACTCTGTTGCCCAGGCTGTAGTGCAGTGGTGCAATCTCCACTCACTGCAACCTCAGCCTCCTGGGCTCAAGTGATTCTCCCACCTCAGCCTCCCGAGTAGCTGGAACTGCAGGCACGCACCGCCAGGCCCAGCTTATTTTTGTTTTTCGTATTTTCTGTAAGATGGGGTTTCACTACATTGCCGAGGCTGGTCTTGAACTCCTGGGCTCAAGCGATCTGCCCACCTTGGCCTCCCAAAGTACTGGGATTACAGGCATGAGGCACTGCACCCAACCAACAATTCTTAAAACTATTTTTAGTTACAATTCTGAAGACAGGGCTCAATGTTGGTTTTAAGGGTTTTATTTTATATTTTGCTAACTACTTACCCTTTTAAAAATCATTTTAGAACCATTTCGAGGATGTAGAAATGTCAACTGTTATTTATTTGTCATCTTCTCCAAATTTTAGGTTTAAAAGAGGCAATATGTGATTGGCCTAGCTTGGGTCACGTGGCCCCTCTTCACTAGGAGGTGCAGGGCACACCCAAAAAGGTTATCCACTGGGGAGTGTAATGCTCTAAGGGAAATCGGATGCTGTTGGTAAGGGGAATAGACACTAAGCAGTAAAATAACCACAAATGCCCACTACAGTGAGCATATGAGATTATTTTCACTAGAGCTAAGCAGAACATAACTGGATATTAACCGCTTCCTAAAATATGACATTCACCTGCAATATGCAAAGAGCTGAGACTACTTCTCTTGAACTTCCCACTTTCGTTTCTCTTTTCTTTTCTTTTTTTTCTCTTTTTTTTTTTTTTTTGAGATGGAGTTTTGCTCTTGTCCTCCAGGCTGGAGTCCAATGGCACAATCTGCAACCTCCGCCTCCCAGGTTCAAGCGATTCTCCTGCATCAGCCTCCCAAGTAGCTGGGATTACAGGCACCCACCAACATGCCTGGCTAATTTTTGTATTTTTAGTAGAGACAAGGTTTCACCATGTTGGCAAGGCTGGTCTCGACCTCCTGACCTCAAGTGATTCTCCTGCCTTGGCCTCCCAAGGCACTGGGTTTACAGATGTGAGCCACCGTGCCCGGCCCCACACTTTCATTTTTCACTTCATTTAGCCTAAGGCAGGATTCCTGGTTTCTTTTTTCCCCCCTTATTATTTTTTTTCAGAAAAAAAAAATTTTTTTCTCAAAATTTCAGAAGAAAGCCTTTCTTTAAAATATTACCTTACTAGATTTATCTTGTCCAATGTGGAAAGCTATGCATTATATACTGCTAAGTAAAAACAAACAAGCAGCAGAATAGTATAAAATCTCATTTTGATTATTTTAAAACATTATTTAGACAATTTTTTTTGGAGACAGATACTCATTATGTTGCTCAAGCTGGAGTGCAGTGGCTATTCACAGACATGACCATAACACACTACAGCTTCAAACTCCTGGCCTCAAGAGATCCTCCTGCCTCAGACTCCCAAGTAGCTAGACAAAACATGTTAAATTGCAAATATAACTGAATATATACTAAAAAGTCTTCCTCATAGATACTCACCAAACATGTAATGCTGGTGTGATAAGCAGAATAATGCCCCCTCAAATATGTCCACATCTTAATCTCTAGAATCTTTAGATATGTTACCTTACATGGCAAAAGGAACTTTGTGGATATGGTTAAACTAAGAATCTTGAGATGGGCAGCTCAGCGTAGATTATTCAGCTGGGCTCAATGTAATGACAAGCGTCCCTGTAAGTGAAAAAGAGAGGCAGAAGAGTCAGTTTCAGGGTGGTATAGTAGGAGAAAGATTTGACTGCCATTACCAGGTTTGAAGATGGAAGGAAGCCACAAGCAGAGGAATGCAGGCAACTGTAGGGGCTAGAAAAGGCAAGGAAACAGATTCTGCCTTAGAGCCCCTAGAAGGGAACTCATTTCTGCCAGTACCTTGAGTTTTGCCCAGTGAGACCCATTTCTGATTTCTGACCTCTAGGACTAAATAATTTGTTGTGTGTGTTGTTTTTTAAGCCACCAAGTTTGTGGTAATTTATTATAGCACCAATGGCAAATGGATGCACATGGTTAATCTTGGGTAGTGGGTTTTTTGGGGGAGGGATGTAGAAGGAGAGACCAAAGGACATTAATACTTCCAAGCTGAAAATTTTTGCAAGTGTGTGCTATTTGTGAGGTCCATTCCAAGATGGCTGAATAGGAACAGCTCAGGTTTGCAGCTCCCACCGTGATTGACGCAGAAGAGGTGATTGCTGCATTTCCAACTGAGGTAGCTGGTTCATCTCATTGGGACTGGTTGGACAGTGGGTGCAGCCCACGGAGGGCAAGCCAAAGCAGCGCAGGACATTGCCTCACCTGGGAAGCGCAAGGATCTGGGGGATTTCCCTTTCCTAGCCAAGGGAAGCCATGACAGACTGTACCAGGAAAATTGGGACACTGCCACCCAAATACTATGCTTTCCCAACAGTCTTAGCAAACAGCACACCAGGAGATTATATCCCGCACTTGGCTCAGCAGGCCCCACACCCACAGAGCCTTGCTCACTGCTAGCGCAGCAGTCCAAGATCGAACTGCAAGGAGACAGCCTGACTTGGGGAGGAGCGTCTGCCATTGCTGAGGCTTGAGTAGATAAAAAAAGCAACCAGGAAGCTCAAACTGGGTGGAGCCCACCGCAGCTCAACCAGGCCTGCCTGCCTCTGTAGACTCCACCTCTGGGGGCAGGACATAGCTGAACAAAAGGCAGCAGAAAGTTCTGCAGTCTTAAACGTCCCTGTCTGACAGCTCTGAAGAGAGCAGTGATTCTCCCAGCGTGGTATTTGAGCTCTGAGAACGGAAAGACTACCTCCTTAAGTGTGTACCTGACCCCCAAGTAGCCTAACTGGGAGACACCTCCCAGTAGGGCCAACTGACGTCTCATACAGTCGGATGCCCCTCTGAGATGAAGCTTCCAGAGGAAGGATCAGGCAGCAATATTTGCTGTTCTGCAATATTTGCTGTTCCGCAATATTTGCTGTTCCGCAGCCTCTGCTGGTGATACCCTGGAAAACAGGGTCTGGAGTGGAACTCCAGCAAACTCCAATGGACCTGCAGCTGAGGGACCTGACTGTTAGAAGGAAAGCTAACAAAGAGAAAGGAATAGCATCAACATCAACGAAAAGGACATCCACACCAAAACCCCATCTGTCGGTCAACATCTTCAAAGACCAAAGGTAGATAAAACTGCAAAGACGGGGAGAAACCAGAGCAGAAAAGCTGAAAATTCTAAAAACCAGAGCACCTCTTCTCCTCCAAAGGATCGCAGCTCCTCGCCGGCAACGGAACAAACCTGAATGGAGAATGACTTTGCGAGTTGACAGAAGTAGGCTTCAGAAGGTCGGTAATAACAAACTTCTCCAAGCTAAAGGAGGATATTTGAACACATCGCAAGGAAGCTAAAAATCTTGAAAAAAGATTAGATGAATGGGTAACTAGAATAATCAGTGTAGAGAAGACCTTAAATGACCTGATGGAGCTGAAAACCATGGCACGAGAACTACGTGATGCATGCACAAGCTTCAGTAGCTGATTCGATCAAGTGGAAGAAAGGGTATCACTGATTAAAGATCAAATTAATGAAATGAAGTAAGAAGAGAAGTTTAGAGAAAAAAAGAGTAAAAAGAAATCAACAAAGCCTCCAAGAAATATGGGACTATATGCAAAGACCAAATCTATGTTTGATTGGTGTACCTGAAAGTGATGGGGAGAATGGAACCAAGCTGGAAAACACTCTTCAGGATATTATCCAGGAGAACTTCCCCAGCCTACCAAGGCAGGCCAACATTCAAACACAGGAAATACAGAGAACACCACGAACATACTCCTCGAGAAGAGCAATTCCAAGACATGTAATTGTCAGATTCACCAAGGTTGAAATGAAGGAAAAAATGTTAAGGGCAGTCAGAAAGGTCGGGTTACCCACAAAGGGAAGCCCATCAGACTAACAGCAAATCTCTCGGCAGAAACTCTACAAGCCACAGGAGAGTGGAGGCCAATATTCAACATTCATAAAGAAAACAATTTTCAATCCAGAATTTAATATCCAGCCAAACTAAGCTTCATAAGTGAAGGAGAAATAAAATCTTTTACTGACAAGCAAATGCTAAGAGATTTTGTCACCACCAGGCCTGCCCTGCAAGAGCTCCTGAAGGAAGCACTAAACATGGAAAGGAAAAACTGCTACCAGCCACTGCAAAAACATGCCAAATTGTAAAGACCATCGATGCTAGGAAGAAACTGCATCAACTAACGGGCAAAATAACCAGCAAACATCATAATGACAGGATCAAATTCACACATAATGATATTAACCTTAAATGTAAATGGGCTAAATGCCCCAATTAAAAGACACAGACTGGCAAACTGGATCAAGAGTCAAGACCCATCAGTGTGCTGTATTCAGAGACCCATCTCACATGCAGAGACACACTTAGGCTCAAAATAAAGGGATGGAGGAATATCTCTGGAAAGCAAAAAAAAAAAAAAAGGCAGGGGTTGCAATCCTAGTCTCTGATAAAACAGACTTTAAACCAACAAAGATCAAAAGAGACAAAGAAGGCCATAAAACAATGGTGAAGGGATCAATACAACAAGAAGAGCTAACTATCCTAAATACATATGCACCCAATACAAGAGCATCCAGATTCATAAAGCAAGTCCTTAGAGACCTACAAAAAGACTTAGACTCCCACACAATAATAATGGGAGACTTTAACACACCACTGTCAATATTAGACAGATCAATGAGACAGAAGGTTAGCAAGGATATCCAGGACTTTAACTCAGCTCTGCACTAATCAGACCTAATAGACATCTACAGAACTCTCCACCCCAAATCAACAGAATATACATTCTTCTCAGCACCACACCACACTTATTCCAAAATTGACCACATAGTTGGAGGTAAAGCACTCCTCAGCAAATATAAAAGAATAGAAATCACAACAAACTGTCTCTCAGACCACAGTGCAATCAAATTAGAACTCAGGATTAAGAAACTCACTCAAAACTGCACAACTGTATGGAAACTGAACAACCTGCTCCTGAATAACTACTGGGTAAATAACTAAATGAAGGCAGAAATAAAGATGTTCTTTAAAACCAATGAGAACAAAGACACAACATACCAGAATCTCTGGAACACACTTAAAGCAGGGTGTAGAGGGAAATTTGTAACACCAAATGCCCACAAGAGAAAGCAGGAAAGATCTAAAATTGACACCCTAACATCACAATTCAAAGAACTAGAGAAGCAAGAGCAAACAAATTAAAAAACTAGCAGAAGGCAAGAAATAACTAAGATCAGAGCAGAACTGAAGGAGATAGAGACACAAAAAAACCCTTCAAAAATCAATGAATCCAGGAGCTGGTTTTTTGAAAAGATCAACAAAATCGATAGACTGCTAGCAAGACTAATAAAGAAGAAAAGAGAGAAGAATCAAATAGACATAATAAAAAATGATAAAAGGGATATCACCACCGATCCCATAGAAATACAAACTACCACCAGAGAACACTACAAACACCTCTATGCAAATAAACTAGAAAATCTAGAAGAAATGCATTAATTCCTGGATATATACACCCTCCCAAGACTAAACCAGGAAGAAGTTGAATCTCCCAACAGACCAATAACAGGCTCTGAAATTGAGGCAATAATTAATAGCCTACCAACAATAAAAGTCCAGGACCAGACGGATTACAGCCAAATTCTACCAGAGGTACAAAGAGGAGCTGGTATCATTTCTTCTGAAACTATTCCAATCAATAGAACAAGAGGGAATCCTCCCTAACTCATTTTGTGAGGCCAGCATCATCCTGATACCAAAGCCTGGTAGAGACACAACAAAAAAAGAGAATTTTAGACCAATATCCCTGATGAACATTGATGCAAAAATCCTCAATAAAATACTGGCAAACCGAATCCAGCAGCACATCAAAAAGTTTATCCACCAAGATCAAGTTGGCTTCATCTCTGGGATGCAAGGCTGGTTCAATGCAAACCAATAAGCAAATCAATAAACATAATCCATCACATAAACAGAATCAAAGACAAAAACCACATGATTATCTCAATAGATGCAGAAAAGGCCTTTGACAAAATTCAACAGCACTTCATGATAAAAACTCTCAATAAACTAGGTATTGATGGGACGTATCTCAAAACAATAAGAGCTATTTATGACATACCCACAGCCAATATCATACTGAATGGGCAAAAACTGGAAGCATTCCCTTAGAAAACTGGCACAAGACAGGGATGCCCTCTCTCACCACTTCTATTCAACATAATTTTGGAAGTTTTGGCCAGGGCAATCAGGCAAGAGAAAAAAATAAAAGGTATTCAATTAGGAAAAGAGGAAGTCAAATTGTCCCTGTTTGCAGATGACATGATTGTATATTTAGAAAACCCCATCGTCTCAGCCCAAAATCTCCTTAAGCTGATAAGCAACTTCAGCAAAGTCTCAGAATACAAAATCAATGTGCAAAAATCACAAGCATTTATATACACCAATAACAGACGAACAGAGCCAAATCATAAGTAAACTACCATTCACAATTGCTACAAAGAGAATAAAATACCTAGGAATCCAACTTACAAGGGATGTGAAGGACTTCTTCAAAGAGAACAACAAACCACTGCTCCATGAAATAAAAGAGGACACAAACAAATGGAAGAACATTCCATGCTCATGGATAGGAAGAATCAATATTGTGAAAATAGCCATACTGCCCAAGGTTATTTGTAGATTCAATGCCATCCTATCAAGCTACCAATTACTTTCTTCACAGAATTTGAAAAAAACTACTTTAAAATTCATATGGAACCAAAAAAGAGCCCACATTGCCAAAACAATCCTAAGCCAAAAGAACAAAACTGGAGGCATCACTCTACCTGATTTCAAACTACACTACAAGGCTACAGTAACCCAAACAGCATGGTACTGGTACCAAAACAGAGATATAGACCAATGGAACAGAACAGAAGTCTCAGAAATACCACCACACATCTGCAACCATCTCATCTTCGACAAACCTGACAAAAACAAGAAATGGGGAAAGGATTCCCTATTTAATAAATAGTGCTGGGAAAACTGGCTAACCATATGTAGAAAGCTGAAACTGGATCCCTTCCTTACACCTTACACAAAAATTAATTCCAGATGGATTAAAGACTTAAATCTTAGGCATAAAACCATAAAAACTCTAGAAGAAAACCTAGGCCATACCATTCAGGACATAGGCATGGGCAAGGACGTCGTGACTAAAACACCAAAAGCAATGGCAATAAAAGCCAAAATAGACAAATGGGATCTAATCAAACTAAAGAGCTTTTGCACAGCAAAAGAAACTACCATCAGAGTGAACAGGCAAGCTACAGAATGGGAAAAAATTTTTGCAATCTACCCATGTGACAAAGGGCTAATAGCCAGAATCTACAAAGAACTTAAATTTACAAGAAAAAATCAAACAACTCCATCAAAAAGTGAACAAAGGATATGAACGGACACTTTTCAAAAGAAGACATTTATGCAGCCAACAGACACATGAAAAAATGCTCATCATCACTGGTCATCAGAGAAATGCAAATCAAAACCACAATGAGATATCATCTCACACTAGTTAGAATGGCGATCACTAAAACCTCAAGAAACAACAAGTGCTGGAGAGGATGTGGAGAAATAGGAACGCTTTTACACTATTGGTGAGAGTGTAAACTAGTTCAACCATTGTGGAAGACAGTGTGGCGATTCCTCAAGGGTCTAGAACTAGAAATACCATTTGACCCAGCCATCCTGTTACTGGGTATATACCCAAAGGATTATAAATCATGCTGCTATAAAGACACATGCACACGTATGTTTATTGCAGCACTATTCACAATAGCAAAGACTTGGAACCAACCCAAATGCCCATCAATTATAGACTGGATTAAGAAAATGTGGCACATATACACCATGGAATACTATGCAGCCATAAAAAAGGATGAATTCATGTCCTTTGTAGGGACCTGGATGAAGTTGGAAACCATCATTCTGAGCAAACTATCGCAAGGACAGAAAACCAAACACCACATGTTCTCACTCATAGGTGGGAACTGAACAATGAGAACACTTGGACACAGGGTGGGGAACATCACACACCAGGGCCTGTCATGGGGTGGGGGAGTGGGGGAGGGATAGCATTAGGAGAAATATCTAATGTAAATGACGAGTTAATGGGTGCAGCAAACCAACATGGCACATGTATATATATGTAAAAAACCTGCACGTTGTGCACATGTACCCTAGAACTTAAAGTATAATAAATTTGTTTAAAAGTTTACTACCAGCAACAACAAAAGAATGTACTATTTGTAAGTTAGACAGTAGTATGTATAGTTTTTGATGATACCATATAAATAGGTTAACAACTTATTTTCAGAAGGGTGTACTGAATTTGTTGAAATTATCAGTTTCCCTATGAGAGAGGGTTTGCAACTTAATGTTCATAGATATTTTTAAATACATGTATAGATTTGCATTACTTAAGAAATGTCTCTGTGTGGATGTGAATATGTATCTGTATATATATGTGTGCATGTATACACACCATATTTATTTATTTGACCAAGATCAGGATTTAATTTTCTCATGTAACTTGAAGACCAAGAGTCAAGAGGAAGGAGACCCAGGGCTTGTTAGAGATTTCAGGTTTATCCATTTCTCAGTATTTTTCTAACTCTCTGTTCTGACATCTGAACACACGGTTTCCATTCTCAGGGTTGTCTCATGGCTGCAAGATGGCCATAGGAGCTCCAGCTGTGGCACCTGTGTTCTGGGCAAGAAGAAGAAGAAGAAGAAAGAATGGGTGCAAAAGAGCACATTGTGGCTCTTTAAAAGGAATCAACCCCTTTTAAGAAGCATTTTAAATTAGCATTGGCAATAATCTAACCACATAGCCACCTCTGTCCACAAGGCAGGCTACGAAATGTAGATTTTTAGTATGGTACATTGCCTCCCCTAACAAAATCAGGTTTCTCTTAGTGAGGAAGAAGGGGAGAAATTGATTGGGGTAAGCAACTACAAGCCTGTGTACAGGCTTCAGTGACAACCAAATTATAAAGAGGGGGATTTTGTAACTATATATTTAAAGATCAACATTATGCCACAATAAACAGTCCTTAACTGTTCAAGGCAATATAAATAGACATACCACAAACATTTTATAAGTCTTCAAAGCTAACTCGTTAAAAAAGAGAGAAAGAAAACAGCCATAAAAATTAAAAACCTAAAAACAATCAGTTTCAGTATGATTGGGTTTGTAGGACAACTCAGTAAATTTAGTTTTAAAAAAAATTCTAGTTTAAGAAGAACTTCAGAAGGGATATAAACTACCCCCTCTTTGAAATTGTATGCATAATTTATGTGGTTGACTATTTTTCTGATTAGATTTCACATAGATCCTCAAAGGAGTAGGTGACCCAGAAAAGGTTAATAACATGGATCTAGGTGTTGTGCCCATTTGGAAAACGCCACACAGCTAGTCTAACTGAACTCAGAGAGGAATTGGGAGTTTGGATGTCACACATATTCTCAGGCCAACAGAAATTCAAGGATGTGACATTGCCTAAGGTAGTTAAGAAAAGTTGAGGGCACAGCCAGAGTCCAGGGACTGGTCAAAGACATGCATTAAACAGCAAAATGCAAAGGCTTTTGGCCTCTGAAGGAGTTGGAATGAACTTTGTGTGCTGGCAAGCCCCACACAGACCCAGCTACGGGGCTGTCCTTGGAATAAGTGAAATCCTAGAGAGGGCAGTGTTTCATTTTGAGTCTGAGAAGCAAGAAAAGAACAATATGGCCCATATGTGTTGACATATCTACCAACACAGATATTTGGCATTTAGTATTAAAACTGTTTATCAAGCCCCTAATGTTGATGATTAACAAACAGAAGCCTAATGTACTGTGTTACTCTATTGATACATGGGGGGAAGAGGACTCTAATCCATCCATCTCATGAATTTACCAACACTGGTTTAAGAGGACTTAGAGATACCTGGGGACTAGAACAAAGTAAATATGATTATTTCATCAAAAGCGTCCCAAAACAAAAAATTAAAGTGGTGTCGTTGTGACACAGTGGTTACCTGGATTTTAAGATACCTGGGATTGTATTTGCCAGGGAAAAAGTGCCACCTTAGGGCTCCATCTTAGGGTGTTAGCCCCTCCTGCTGTCCCCTGCCCCTCTGTGGAAAGGATAAACTATTGTCTAGTTCCAAGATCTCCAAAGTAGGGTGTGAGTGTGCACCTCGCAGGATTGTCAACATCATCATTGTGGTGTGGGAAGAAAATATTCAAACGTTTAAAATGTTATCTTAAAAATTAGGGAAATATGCACTACAAATATCCACTAAATGAAGTGACAGCAGTGCCATTGCTAGGTGGAGATGTCAGATGGTCAGGCCTCACTTATTGGAGGGGACACTTCTCCAGAGGAGCAGGAGCTTCACAGCATGGAAGTGTTGACTGTGGAGTTCCCACTTCCGCTCTTCCAGTGTATTGCGACAGATGGTCTTTTGTTTATGCCAGGTTAAGGGGATGTATAGATCCTAGTATCTAATTTATGTAAACCAACCCTCACAAAATATACAAATGACTTTAAAAGAGTACAGAAAAGAGAAAACGCCTTCTGATTAAAGATTTCACTAAAGCAAGCAACATCAAACAGAACAATGGCAAAGCTGACCTTTGTGCCTGGACAAGGTCTCTTCGCTACTCACAAGACAATGACAATCTAATTAGATCTAACAAGAAGATGCTCTCACCAAACTGCAAATGTCAAGAATAATACCAGAATACGGAAATGTATCTACAGTCATACACCTAGATTTCACTTTAGGTGTGTTTATGTTGTGTCTGTGGCATGTCTTTTGCAATTATGACAGCCATTAAAACTAATAAGAAACAAACAACTGAAAAGCAGGCCTTTGAATTGCTGTGTCACAAATGTGAAACTACAATTTTCAAAAAAAAAGAAGGATCTTCAACCACACTGCACTGGTTTAAAATGGCATTTTTAAAGAAAAAAAGTATGCCATGAATAAAAATTAATAAGTATTTTCAAATATTATTTATTTCAAATTTAGCACATCCTTTAAGCATACCTATTTTGTGTATGTTTGATATATATAATATATTGATACAGCAACACATGTGTAAGACAAAAATATAAATATAATACATAATTCTGAGTTGCTGCTCAAAATTTTATTTACTATTGGCTTATAAAATCAAAAACGTTTAGAAACCACTGCTAACAATAATCATGGGTGGTAGTGATTTATTCATTAAATGATCTAATCCTTGTCAATTTAGTAATCCTTCTGGATGACTTAATGCCTTAACCCAATTAAAATATAATCTTTCCTTTCTCCAAACTCTCACAACAGTGTAACTTGAAAATTTCTGTAACTTTTTACTAATTATACTTCACACACTTTTCTTGCGTTGTAACTACTTGAGTAGACATATGGTTCTCCCTGTTGACTTGAGGGAAAGCTCACTGAAGGCAGGAATAGGATTTGAGTCATTTCTGCTTAATTATTTACCTCCCATAGCACTTATCGCCTAGGAGATGATCAGCAAAAATTTATTTGGAAGTTAAGAGAAAATGAGTATGTATCTAGAAGTCCTTCAGGACTAATGATCGTAATGGGAAATTTCATTATTTGGCAAATTATTGAGGTCAACCACTCAGCACTGTGTCTTACCCAGAGTGTTATCTGCATAGGAGATGATTTTTTCTCATCCTCTAATCTTACTCAAAAGTATGCTCATTTCTGCTCAGAAACAAAGTGGTAATACATTTAGATACTTGTGGCTTGGAGATACCTAACTCATTTTTATATGTTTCCATATTAAATTATTGCATCAGGCACAATGTTCCATAGTTGTTCTCAGTTTGATTCTCACACATATGTTAAGAAAACCAAATGTAGTATCACATTTAGCTAACTCATATATAGATACAGATATAGATTTTTAAATAACCTGCAATGGCAGATAACCTCACTCTTCAAAATCATCCTAATATTTCAATCACTTATAAGCTATGCGGTAAGTCCTAATGAACTCCTCGAGAGTAGGGACTAGGTGGAATCTTGCCTTACGTGCTGGCCTGATAATGTCTTATTTGCCTTCAGCCACGTGTCTGATTCCGATGTGTATTGTATCTGATTCTTTCCGGCTTTGGTGTGTGTGTCAAAATTATTTTAACATAATCTCTCTGGTTGGCATAGGTATATAGGGTCCCCTTAATTCCTTAGTAATTTCCCAACTCATAAACCCATCAAAAATTAAAATTAAAAATTTTCCATTTGTCTTTGCAAGAAAGTCATTGATAATTTGATCATCATTTTTAGGCAATTTGTGCCATACTAAATTATAAAAAATCACTAAATAATGAAAAATAAGTAATATGTGCATCTCAATAAAGAGATCTGCTCTTTTATAATTTCTGCACCAATTTGCCCGTACTTGGTGATGACACATAGCAACTTATTTTTTACTTTCTAAACAAAGGATACGGCTGGGCACAGTGGCTCACACTTGTAATCCCAGCACTTTTGGAGGCCAAGATGGTCAGATCACCAGAGGTCAGGAGTTCAAGACCAGCCTGGCCAACACGGTGAAACCCGGTCTCTACTAAAAACACAAAAATTAGTTGGGTGTGGTGGTGGGTGCCTGTAATCCCAGCTACTCAGGAGGCTGAGACAGGATAATTCCTTGAATCCAGGAAGTGGAAGTTGCAGTGAGCCGAGATTGTGCCATTGCACTCCAGCCTGGGTGACAACAGTGAAACTCTGTCTCAAAAAAAAAAAAAGGAAGGAAGGAAGGAAAAAAGGAAGGAAGGAAGGAAGGGAAGGAAGGATACTATGGAAAGAAATCAAGCTGCCCTTCTATGAACATAATTCAGTTGCCTTCCAGTCATAGGCTGCATGCTTCAAATTGTTTTTCAGAAATAAGAAATGGGTTGAGCTGAACCATCCATAGCCTTACACTGAGAGTTCCCACCATAGCCTCTAGTACATATGAAGTGACTTGGTTAATGTAGAAACCAATGAGAATGAGATGAAAAGTCCTATTCTCGTGCAGGCCAATTGGGTTACGCAGAGACACAGCAGCACAGACACAGCACTAACTACAGTCGACCCTCTGGAAAACAGATGTTTCTGTTCACGTGGAAATGACACAAGTCTAGTGCTTGTCCAAAAGTCATTCAGCAAAACAAAAATGTCTCTGCAAAACTGGGAAGAGCTTTTTAAAATGACTAATTTTGAGGGTGCTCTTTAGCAGAGGATCTTAATGAAGGAAGAATTCTATCAACCAAGATGACTGAGTAGGAATGGATCTATAACTCCCTTTTTTAAGGCTAGAAGGGACCTTAATTAAGTTCCTTCTATTTACAGAGGAGGGAACTCAAGCCCAGAGATACCAAAAGAAAGTGGTAAAAATGAAGGATATTGAACAAAAATACTAGGATTTTTTTTCTATCTTGTTCAGTTAGTGTCAACATGCTGCAAGTTTTTCATAACGGTTAATTTTATTGTAATAAAAAGAATACATCCCCATTGTACCTATGCAGAAGAAAATTTAAATTATCCATAATCTCACAATTTATTCATTTGCTTATTTGAGCAACAAATAAACAAAAGTGCAAACCTTACTATGAGCATGTTCCAAGACTCACTATCCAGAAATGAAAGCCTCTGACTGATTCCCTTCCAATCCTTTACTCAATGATTAATATTATAAATAATGTTGCATCTAATATTCTTTGGCCACATACCTGATTATCTTTGGAAAACTTCCCTAGAATTCTGATTGTTTAGATCAAAAGTCTTAAATATTTTTAAGGTTCTACATACACAATTGTTCTACATCTCAATTGCTTTCTTGAGAGAGTGTAATGGTGTTACTTCTACCAGCTACAAGAATGTCTTTCAGTCATACAGCAAGGCCCATCCTTTAAAGCAATGAGTATTAGCTTAAAAAAGTCATTGTCAACTGAGTCTAAATGGTTTTTCTTTTAATTTGCATTGCTTACTTGACAACGTAGGTGAAACTTTTTTAAAAATTTTGCTCTTTCTTCATAAATTATCTATGCATGCTCTTTGTCATTTTCCTATGGAACTGTTAATATTTTTTCTTAGCATTCTAGTCTTAATGTTTCTCAGCAAAGGATTTTTCTTTTTTATTTTTCCCTAAGTTATTGGGGTAAAGGTGTTATTTGGTTACATGAGTAAGTTCTTTAGTGGTGATCTGTGAGATTTTGGTGCATCCATCACCTATGTATACACTGCACCAAATTTGTAGTCTTTTATCCCTCTCCCCCCACACTCTTCCCCCCCCAAGTCCCCAGAGACCATTGTATCATTCTTATGGCTTTGCGTCCTCATAGCTTAGCTCCCACATATCAGTGAGAACGTATGATGTTTGATTTTCCATTACTGAGCTACATCACTTAGAATAATAGTCTCCAATCTCATCCAGATCACTGCAAATGCTGTTAATTCATTCCTTTTTATGGCTGCATAGTATTCCATCATATATATGTACATATATATCACAGTTTCTTTTTATATATATACAGTTTCTATATATATAGTTTCTATATATACAGTAAATATATATATAGTATATATAGTGTATATATATACAGTATATAAGAAACTGTGGTGTATATATACCACATATATACTGTATATATACACTATATATACTATATATATACATTATATATACTGTATATATATACATTGTATATACTGTATATATATACATTGTATATAGTGTATATATATACATTGTATATAGTGTATATATATACATTGTATATAGTGTATATATATACATTGTATATAGTGTATATATATACATTGTATATAGTGTATATATATACATTGTATATAGTGTATATATGTATATATACATATATACAGTATATGTATACATATACTGTATATATGTGTGTGTGTGTGTATATATATATATATACATGCTATATATATACCACAGTTTCTTTATCCACTCATTGATTGGTGGGCATTTGGGTTGGTTCCACGAATTTGCAGTTGTGAATTGTGCTGTTATAAACATGCATGTGCATGTATCTTTTTCGAATAATAACTTCTTTTCCTCTGGGTAGATACCCAGTACTGGGATTGCTGGATCAAATGGTAGTTCTACTTTTCGTTCTTTAAGGAATCTGCACACTGTTTTCCATAATGGCTGTACTAGTTTACATTCCCACCCGCAGTGTAGAAGTGTTCCCTGTTCACCATATCCACGCCAACATCTACTGTTTCTTGATTCTTTGATTATGGCCATTCTTGCAGGAGTAAGGTGGTATCGCATTATGGTTTCAATTTGCATTTCCCTGATCATTAGTGATGTTGAACATTTTTTCATAAGTTTGTTGGCTATTTGTATATCTTCTTTTGAGAATTGTCTATTCATGTCCTTAGCTCACTTTTTGATTAGATTATTTGTTTTTTTCTTACTGATTTGTTTGAGTTTGTTGTAGATTCTGGATATTAGTCCTTTGTCAGATGTATAGATTGTGAAGATTTTCTCCCATTCTGTGGGTTGTCTGTTTACTCTGCTGACTGTTCCTTTTGCCATGCAAAAGCTCTTTAGTTTAATTAGGTCCCAGCTATTTACCTTTGTTTTTATTACATTTGCTTTCGGGTTCTTGGTCATGAAATCCTTGCCTAAGCCATTGTCTAGAAGGGTTTTTCCAATGTTTCTTTTAGAATTTTTATAGTTTCAGGTTTTAGGTTTAAGCCCTTAATCCATCTTGAGTTGATTTTTGTATAAGATGAGAGATAAGGATCCAGTTTCATTCTCCTACATGTGGCTAGCCAATTATCCCAGCACCATTTTTTGAAAAGGGTGTCCTTTCCCCACTTTATGTTTTTGTTTGCTTTGTCAAAGATCAGTTGACTGGAAGTATTTGGGTTTATTTCTGGGTTCTCTATTCTGTTCCATTGGTCTATGTGCCTGTTTTTATACAAGTACCATACTGTTTTGGTGATGATGGCCTTACAGTATAGTTTGAAATCAGGTAGTGTGATGCCTCCAAATTTGTTCTTTTTGCTTAGTCTTGCTTTGGCTAAGCGAGCTCTTTTTTGGTTCCAGATGAATTTTATAATTGTTTTTTCTAATTCTGTGAAGAATGATGGTGGTATTCTGATGGGGATTCTATTGAATTTGTAGATTGCTTTTGGCAGTGTGGTCATTTTCACAATATTGACTCTATCCACCCATGAGCATGGGAAGTGTTTTCATTTGTTTTTGTCATCTATGATTTCTTTCAGCAATGTTTTGTAGTTTTCCTTGTAGAGGTCTTTTGACTCCTTTGTCAGGTACATTCCTAAGTTTTTTTTTTTTTTTTTCTTGCTATTGTAAAGGGAGTTGAGTTCTTGATTTGATTCTCTGCTTGGTTGCTGTTGTTGTATAGAAGAGCTACTGATTTGTGTACATTAATCTTGTATCCAGAAACTTGGCTGAATTCTTTTATCAGTTCTATGAAGGAATCCTTAGGGGTTTCAAGGTAAACAATCATATCATCAGCAAACAGTGACAGTTTGACTTTCTCTTTACAGATTTGGATGCCCTTTATTTCTTTGTCTTGTCTCATTGCTCTTGTTAGGACTTCCAGTACCTACGTTGAAGAGGAGTGTGAGAGTGGCCATCCTTGTCTTGTTCCAGTTCTCAGAGGAAATGCTTTCAACTTTTCCCCATTCAGTATTATGTTGACTATGGGTTTGTCATAGATGGCTTTTATTACATTAAGGTATGTCCCTTGTATGCCAATTTTGCTGAGAGTTTTAATCATAAAGGTTGCTGGATTTTGTCAAATGCTTTTTCTGCATCTGTTGAGATGTTCATGTGATTTTTGTTTTTAATTCTCTTTACATGGTGTATCACATTTATTGACTTGCGTATGTTAAACCATCCCTGCATCCCTGGTATGAAACCCACTTGATCATGATTCCCAGGTCACTGGAGTTGTGTACCAAGGAGGATTATGCCTGCCTCTGCTAAGTCATGCAGGTTGTCAGGGAAGTGGGGAAAACCCAGCAGTCACTGGCCTCACCCAGATCCCATGCAAATTGAAGGGCCGGTCTCACTCTCACTGTGACCTCAACAGCAGCCGGGAGTCTGTTTCCAGGTCAGGGCAAGACGGACTTGGAAATTTGCCCAAGGCTATCTGCTTCCCAGCTGCGAGAGAAAAGGGCTTTAGTTCTCTCCCACCTGTGAAGTCTGCACACCGGATTCACACCCTCCCTTGAGTTCTGGCCAGGAGGCTTCTTGCCCTGTTCAAACTTACAAAGTTCAGCTAGAGAATTCCTTCTCCCCATGGAGTTTTACCCTCTGCTCCTCTAGCCACCCTCCCAGTGGATCCCTATGGTACCAGAGAGGAATGGGCTGCTTGGAGACCCAGAGAGCTCCCAGGGCCTTGCTGCTTCTTCTACCCCTGCATTTTGCTGGGCTCTCTAACTTGACTCAGCTCCAGTTAAGTTGGAAACTTCTCCCACAAACAGACCTTCAGCTTCTCCAGTGGGGGTGTGTGTTCAGGAGAGGAGGGTCTTCCTTTTCCACTTCCGCAGTTGGGGCACTCACAGTATTTGGGGTGTCTCTTAGGTCCTGCGGGAGCAGTCTGCTTCCTTCAGAGGGTTTGTGGGTCCTCTTGGGATTGCAGGTTTATTCTTGCAGTTGATCTGGAGCTAAAATTCACAATGCACGCCTCCACATGCTGCTCTGTTCAGAGCTGCAATCTAGTCCTCTCAGTGAAGGATTTTTCTGACTGCATTCTGAGATCTAGCCTCCTGGCCGGGGCAGCAGGAGGCGGGGTATAGAAAGGCCTGGGAGTCAAGAGCCAGGCTTGCTCTCTTAGTCCTTCCAATCACCACGATGTGACCCGGGCCAACTCTTCCGGTATCCCTGGGCTTCAGTTCCCTCCTCTGTAAAGAGAAGGGTCTTAATTAAGGTCCCTTCCAGTCCTACAAAAGGAAGTTGTAGATCTGTAGTTTCAAAGCTTCTTTCACGATTATGATTTGTGATCAGCTTTGAGGGAAGTAGTGCTAGTGGGTAAACATCAAAGTGTAAGCTTGTTTGCCCAGTTCTAAGCTAGCACCATCACTGACCACAGAGAAAATCACTTCAATGCTCTTAGTTTCCTGATCTGTAAATGCAAACCTTGTTTTCAGATCTGTTGTAAAAATTATGTGAAATAATTAATAAAAATAAAAGTGTATAGATTACAACATACCACAGGCAGGCCAGGCACAGTGGTGCATACCTGTAATCCCAGCACTTTGAGAGGCTGAGGCAGCTGGATCACTTGAGCTCAGGAGCTTGAGACCAGCCTGGCCAACACGGTGGAACCCATCTCTACTAAAAATACAAAAATTAGCCAGGCATAGTGACAGGCACCTGTAGTCCCAGCTACTGAGGAGGCTGAGGCAAAGAATCGCTTGAACTTGAGAGGCAGAGGTGGCAGTCAGCTGAGATTGTGCCATTGCACTCCAGCCTGGGCAACAGAGATTCCGTCTCAAAAATATACATACACATATATATATGTGTGTGAGTGTGTGTGTGTGTGTGTATATATAGTGTATATATACGTGTATATATGTATAAGTGTATATATAATAGACATTTACACATATGTGCACACACACTGTGAAGTTGCATTTTAAAAGAATTTTATTTTCATAAATCTTAATGCATAAAAAAAGTAAAAAAAAAAAATTCTTACCCTGTTGCATGTACTCTCCCTTTCAAACTAGACTCTCTCTATCCTTCAGTGCTCCACAGAGAATGAGACTACAGAGAAATGTAAATAGAAGCAAAAGAAGCTAAATCTTCGTGTTTGAGTTTCTGGGATATATGCAATTTTCTAAGGCAATTCTGTACATGATTTTCTCCTTGTGTGTGCTGACTTGACAGCTTAATTCACACACATAACACACACATACACACACACACATACCTCACACACATACATATACCTTATATACATATACCTTACATAAGTGCTTCACACCTACTATATATATAATCCCTTTTACGGGCATATGGGAATAAAAGCAGAAAATGTGATTCAAAAAATGGAAACCACTCTCATTTTATTTAATTCTTTTAAATTTTGCCATTTAAAACTCATAAATTTCACAAACTATATTTTTAAAATAGACTATTTTTAAAACCTTTAATACTAGTCTAATATATGATCTATTTATATTGCTTTATAGTTTGTCAGCAAATTGTACTTTACACCCACAGGTAAGTGTAGCACTGTTCTGAGCACCAAGAATACATAAGATGGAACAGACACTACCTTATGATCAAGAGGAGACAAGACATATAAACATGTAATTCTCCAAATGTGTACATAAATGCAGTTCTGTAATTAAAGAGTGAATATGAGAGGAGGGAGATTTTCTGGTGGGTTGGTGATGATGGCTATTTTCTTCCCCATGCTATCCTGGCATTTTTTTTCCCCTTCCTTGGGACTGGAATTATAGAATGCAGGGGCAGTTGTTTAGCTTATACATCATGGGCATAAACAAATGGTCATTAATTTAAACATTATGTTAAAGCTAGCCAGAAATAGCTCTTCACAAAAGAGATCAAGTTTATCACTCTCCAAAAAGAAAATGGTAGCTGAGAAAAAAGTTCTGAACTATGTTCAGTTTACACAAAAAACATACTCAGAGTTTTAGAATACGTGGATATTTTAGGGGAAGAAAAGCAGATGCAGCCAAACCCCTATCCTTAATCAAAGGGACAGAGGGTGGAATGTGATCTCTGTTCTAAGCCCATTTTCATTCTTACCCACTTGTGACATGTTGTTGTTGTTTTTTCCCAGCAAACACTCTTATATACGTTACATAACATTCCTAATCACGTTACATATATTAACTGATTTGACTCTCATAATAACCTTATAGGATAAGAACTACTAGTATCATTCCCATTTTATAGATGTAGAAACTGAGGTCCTGAGAGATTCAGTAACTCTCCCAAGCAACTGGGATTCAGCCCCAGGAAGTCTGGCTTCTTAGCCTACATTCTTACTATAAAATTTGCACTGTCTCCTTAGCTTAAGGGTGAACTCTATGCATTTGAACAGCCGAGGGGATGTGGATAGAGTGAGAAAAGAAAGGAAAGGCTTTGAAAGTTATCCTGTTTTTTGAGAATATGAAAAGACAAGAGAAAAAGAAGGAGAGAGCCTGGGATAGCTGTGAGAAGACAATGGAAAAAGTGGAAGAACAGGAAGTGGAAGAAAAAAGCAAAGAGAAATTGACCTTTGCCCTGCTGGGCTCCTTGACGACCAAATCTAATGGCTCAGGGCTGGAGCAGCTAGAACCGGGTGTCTGTGTTTTCAAGCAGCGCATTTAACTTCACGGGGTTTCCCCAGGCTGTCTCTGCAGCAACCCCCACGAGGGCTTCTTTTCACAGCAATTATGAAAGTGATGGTGGGAGGAAGTACTGCTCACTTATTTAGGTTAAAAAGCCACCCAAATAAATGCATTAACCCAGTAGTAAGATTAAATTCCTAGCCCCAAAGGGAAATTTTCAGGAGGTGTCCTTTACCATGTGTAAATTGGAAACAATTTCCTCTCTTGGGCAAGATAACTGCTGTGGGAGGTGGAAATAAATGTAGTGTTTTGTGAAAACTTGGGTTTCTCTGATGAGTTCTGTGAAACACTAACATCTAACAGGAGTTGTTCAAACAGTACATCCTATAACATCTTTTTTTTTTTCCTGTGACCTCAGATCTTAACTTTGGCTTTGCTCTTAAATGACTGTAGGATGGGAATGAGACAGCAGGTTCTTGACAGCTATAGGGAAATGTGTCCCTAAAGAACTTGGTATCAGGAAGGAAAATGAGGTTGTCCTCCAAGAGCTAAACAACAAAATCAATACATATTGTATGGAGCAGAGATGTGCAAAGTCGTCATGTTGAACCTAGTAATCTGATTGAGGAAAATAAAACAACTAAAGGAATAATAGTCAATTTAAGGTACGGTTCGACACCATGAAAGAAGAAAAAGGAGAAGTAAAAGCAGGTATTCCATACATACATTGAGAGTTTGCTAAGCACTGTGCTAAGAGCATGAACAAATTCTGCTCCTGCCTTTATGGGGTTCCAGAGCAAGCTGATGAGTCAATCTAAGAACAGCTCAGGGAAAAAAAATTGCATCTTGGTCAAAGATACCCATCTCCTGGCCAAGAGCAGTGCTTGCCCTTTTGTAGACATTGTTATTCTTCTTCCCATATTTCCACCTCAGGCTCCAGATGAGAGAACTTCCCCCCATCCAACTTGCAGACCATTTTAGGGAACATGTGAACTGACGCATGCTGTCTCTCTGTCCCTCCTTTCATTCTTCTCTCACCAGGGTAAGAGTAGCTAATCTGACTCAAGACAGCATACCAACCACTTGGCTTTACATATCAGAAGGTGGGGTGATGGAGTCGGGGCATTGCTTGTGCACACTCTTTCACCTTCTTTGATTGGCCTGCCCAGTCTCGGGGCCCTCGTACCTCAGCTCCTCAGCAGGCTTCCTTTTGCTTTCCTTCTGCTCCAGTTTCTCATAGTGCATGCAGGCAAGCAAGTCACGTTGGCTCTGCCCTATCTTCAGTCTGGATGAGATATCAAAGGCCAGCATTTTAGCTCAAGCCCAAGTGGAAGTCTCTAGCTCTGAGCACTGGAGCTTTGGGGGCAGAGCCTATCACTCTTATGTCAAAAAGTTCCCTGGGTCTGTTCTTCTCACTGAGAAACTACTGAGGTAAAAGGTAAAGGTTGGTAACCTCACTTCAAGCCATTCTTACCTGATAAAATTAAACCTGTATAGTCACCTACCATCCCCTTTTTAAAATCAACATTCACCAAGCAAACTTTTAATTGCGTTATGAGTTCCCATGGGCTGGTCAGGCTGTGTCACATTTATTGTCATCATAGGTTAATCAGGAGACATTTTGGTTGTCCACACCTCCACTGGATAACATGACCCATATCTGAGATACCAACTCTCAGCTTGTTGACAAACGTGGGTGTCTGAACCTGCAGAGCTAAAGACACGGTTAAAGTCACCAAGTTAATGGAATCCTATGAGTCTTGTGCATGAACAACCAGCTAGTCTTTCCCTTTAATTCCTCAAAACCAATAGCTGCTCTTCTTTGATATGTAAAACTTCCACAAGAACAATCTTGTAAGGTCTTTGAGAGGATTAAAAATAATGCAGGAGAGCACCTAATAGGGTGCCTGACACCCAGTAGACAATAACCATGAAAATTCCTGCTGTTGGTGTTATTTATTGGTACTTTGGAGATAAATATATATGTGTGTGTGTGTGTGTTTGTGTGTGAAATTACTCTTAAAAGGAGTAATAAATAATTACTGTCTATAAGAAGTAGAAGAAATTCTTTCCCAATGTATCTAAAGACAGTGAGGTAGCAGTTAGGCCACAATATTTCTAAAGGCGTAACATTCCCTACCCTTTTATAACTCTTGCAATTACTTGGTCTGAATGGCTCTGTCCAGCCCAACTCCCTAGCTGACCATTCATCTTCCAAATTATACCCAGGTGTCATCTGCTTTAAAGTGCCATGCATTCATGATTTGCCTCAATATCTAATTCTAGCCCTGTGAAGTATGGTTTTAAATCCTGCATGTGAAGGTGTTCATGGTCTGTATGGGTGCACAAGATCAGGGAACCCTCCCAGCTACCTTTTCATTAACTCCTCAGAGGCATTCATTAATGCTCCCAGCAGCAGGGCCTTTAAGTCCTTATGATAAATAACCACAGTAAGAAGTGTACACGCAGTGCACACACATGTGCATATGCATGCACATACACACACATATACACCTATAGAACTGAAACAAAAACCTTACAAAACAATACTTACCCTTAAAATGTAGATTAATTCAAAAGTCTATTTTTTAAATACTAAGACCCACTAAATTGATTTCAAAACCTATTAAAGGCTGAAGCCTGGCTATTTGAAAGGACACTGTAATGAGGACTCTAAACAGAGATCACAAGACCTTGTGTTGTGGACTGAGTCTAGTTTGTGACCATATTTTCATCTTGCAAGTCCTGAGAGTGCTGTATATCTATTGTGATATTTTGCTGTTATTATTGTTGTTTTTGATGTTGTGGCTGACAGATGATTATGAGACGTGGGTTAACTATTGTTTCACATTAGAAACTTATAAAAGTTGGTTTTTAGGAAAAGTATTTTTATTACCCACAACAAAGACTTCTGAGAAACTGGGTATTTTGAGCCTGTCCATAATATGGAGGGAGGAGGAGGAGGAGTGATGATGATGATGATGCTGATGATGGTGATGATTATGCTTTTAGTGTATGAAAGAATCATTGTAAAAGTACAGATACTGCCCACACACCTGGCACCAGATTCAGACCCATGGGAGAGGAGGGATGACACTCTTGCCCACCCAACACTCATTCTCCACAGGTCCACTGACTTGTCACATGGCAGAACGGAGAGCTACCTCAGGCTTCGGGAGGCAGACCCAGGTTATAAACCTGATGACACCATTTCCTATCCCTGCAACCTCAAGCACAGTATCTAATCTCTCTGAGCTTTGGTTCCCTCATCTGTGAAATGGACATAATACCAAATCCATGGACTGTTTGAGAGGATCGAGTGAGATTGCACCATCTGGACATTCATAGATTCATTGTGAGGATCACCTGCCACAGACAATGCAGTGCATTCTCTCCTAAATTCCTTTCAATATTTTGAAGTTTTAACATATGGGTCAGAAACTCAACGGCACTATGAAAGAGAATGAATCTCTATCATATTCCCCTTTTGATCTCAGGAGCTTGGCATTGGATTTATCATAGTCCTTGATTCATGGCACATCCCCATCATTGGTTCATTTATAACCTGCTTTTGCCTATTTGTTTAATTGTTTTTAATAATATCATAAGCACCTAGGTACCCACCACTTCTAACCAAAGGTAAGACCTTGATGATAGCCATTATCATGATGAGTCATGTGATTCCCACACTCTTTTCTTTCTACCCACCTACCTTATCCCCTTGCCTCTCTACTCCCAAAGTAGCCTTCATGTCTTCTCTTTAATTCTTGCAGACTCTATAAAACCTGCTGCCTTGGATGGAGTCCAGTTCAGACCCACACTGAGCTAAACTTTGGCTACATCCTAGGTCACTCCATTAACTATTTAGCCTGGTTCTTTTTTCCTTGGCAGACACATGGGTGGAGGTAGCAAGTATGTTGTGGGGAACAGGGTACTCTAAATGCCCTTACAACCTGAGTTTTTTTAAATCATGCCTTTTCTTCTTGTAGGGCAGCAGGATGGTCTTACTTTTCTTATTTCTCTGGCTGTGTGTTCATTCTATGCCAACCTCAGGAAAACAACATATGGGAGGTGGTGAGGGGAAGAATTCAGCACATGGTATCTTGGTTTAGTTCTCAGAAGCTCAGTAGAAGCTATTCCAAGGAACACTGTCCTTGGCTGAAGTAGGCTCTGTATGTCTACACTGTACTACCAGCTTCTAAAGCCATCATTTCAGCTGAGTGAACTAAGATAGTCAAAAGCTGGCATGGAAACACTTTGTGATGTGATCCTTTTGCTTAAAGGGACAGGAAACCCCTCAGCAGAGATTGCAGAACATTTTATCACCACAAGAGTAAAAACAGAACACCTCTGCTTCTTCACTCTTCTCTTCTCTCGTCCCACTTCTGTTGCTCCTGGGGTTGAAGAATGATTACATAATATCTCTTCTTGGACAGCTAGCTCTTAATTATCCACATTGTGGCATTTTTTGTAATCCTAAATTAAGTTTCTCTGTTACCCTGTACATTACCACAGCACCATCTCCTTTTCTGACCTAGATAGCATATTCTCAAAAACCAGGTGAATACAAACTCTTTATAAAATTAGCTAAGTCAAGTGTGCAAACATACACATTTCAAAGTTGTTCATAAATTTAGGATTATCAGAGCCACCACTCTCCTCTCTCAAGATACTAATAAAATTTTTATTTGAAGACTATTAAACTGTTCCTTAGCTTTTTCTTTTCTAAGATAAATCATCATGGTTTTTTTTATCTGTAGCAAGAATAAGAACCGCTCCACCTCCATTCCACCTCTAGCCCACAGATTACAGGTTCCAATAAACCCTGCTGAAGAACCTGCATTAGTAGACGAAAAATGAATTTCAAAACTTCTGCCAAGAGCTGGGCATAGTGGCTCATGCATATAATCCCAGCATTTTGGGAGGCCGAGGCGGGAGGATTGCTTGAGGCCAGAAGTTTGAGACCAGTCTTAGCAATGTAGTGATACCCCATATAGACAAAAAATGTTAAAAATTAACTGGATGCAGTGGCATGTGCCTATAGTCCTAGCTACTTGGGAGGCTGAGGTTGGATGATCACTTAAGCCCAGGAGGTCAAGGTTACATTGAGCTATAATTGTGCCACTACACTCCAGCCTGGGCAACAGAGCAAGACTGTCTCAAAACAAACAAACAAATAAACGAAAACCTTGTGCCAAGTGTCATCAGAGTTAGATGACACTTTTGTTTAACAAGATACCATTGAGATTCAAAAGTAAGTCCAGACCTGATTTGGAAAGACCTTGAGAATTAAATTTGTCAATATATTTACATAATGAAGTGAGGAAATACAGATAGTGTGTTCTAAAATGAAGGAGAAGAAAAGGAGGTTTCTGGGGGGAGAGAGAAAGAATGGGAAAGAGAGAGAAATTGAGAGAGAAAATGGCAGCAGGCCAGGCCCTGCAGAGAAAGACAACCAATATGAGATACTCCATGGTACAAATCACTGAAGAATTTCAGATGGTGATGTCTAATATGGAACTTCATTTTAAGTTGTACTCTGTTCTCAGCTATGCTAAAATCTCCATGCATCACTCTGAAACTCTTACTGAGCGTGACAGGCTTACACTTAAGTGACTATACCCAATACCCTATGGTAGTGGTGCTCTGGGGAATGAGGGGGAAAGGAGAGTGGGCACATTAGGGATAGAGCAGGATAGGAAGAGTGCTGCAGCCAGAGGATAGTATGGCTATGGGGACAGGCGGCAGGGGAAAGACAACAATCAGTGTCTGTCACAGAGGGGAGACTATGTCTTCCCTTCACTCAACAATCATTTTTTGAGTATTGAGTATGGACCTGGAATGATGCTAAATATTCAGGAGAAACAAGACATTGGCCCTGCACTTCCAAGCTCAATACCTAGCAGATAAATGAGAAAGCAATTAATATAGCTCTGGGGGATACGTACAATAAAATAATTTGCAAATACACATGATACATT
The DNA here is from genome assembly GCF_000001405.40 of Homo sapiens. Lineage (NCBI taxonomy): Eukaryota > Metazoa > Chordata > Mammalia > Primates > Hominidae > Homo > Homo sapiens. The sequence continues at coordinate 146,024,186 of NC_000004.12, read as the reverse complement.
AATAACCTGGAGGCGTGGAGGGAAGATCCCAGATGAGGTGATCATTTGGTCATGTTTCATTCAATTAAGAATGCTTTGAGGAGAAGGTGCAGAGCAAGATGACAAAATAGAAGCCTCCACCAATATCTCCCCTCCCCCAAGGACAACAATTTAACAACTATCTACACACAAAAAACACCTTCATAAGAACCAACAATCAGGTGAGCATTCACAGTACCTGGTTTTAACTTCATATCACTGAATGAGGTAGTGAGGCGAATAGGAGACAGTCTTGAATTGCTGACACCTCTCCTCCCCCAGCCCCAGCAGTGGCCATGTGGTGTGGAGAGGAAATCTGTGTGCTTGGGAGAAGGAGAGCACAGCAATTGTGAGACATTGCATTGAACACAGTAGTGCTCTGTCACAACAGAAAGCAAAACTGAGCTGAACTCCTCTGACACCTGCCCACAGAGGAAGTATTTAAACCAGTCCTAAGCAGAGGAGCATCGCCCATCCCAGTGGTCAGAACTTGAGTTCCAGCAAGGCTTTCCACCGTGAGCTAAAGTGCTCTGGAGTCCTAAATAAACTCAAAAGGCAGTCTGGGCCACAAGGACTGCAACTCATAGGCAAGTCCTAGGGCTGAACTGGGCTCTGAGCCAGTGAACTGAGGGGCATGTGACCTAGGGAGACACCTTTCAGGTGTCTGCACAGCTCACAGCTCCAAAAGAGACCCCTCCCTTCTGTTTGAGGGGAGGAGAACAAAGAATGGAGAGGACTTTGTCTTGCATCTTGATACCAGCTCAGCCACATTAGGATAGAGCACAAGTCAGAGTTATGAGGCCTCCATCCAGGCCTTAGTTTCAGGACATTTCTAGACACACCCTGGGCCAGAAGAGAACCTGCTGCCTTGAAGGGAAGGACCGAGTCCTGGAAGGATTCATCACCTGCTGACTAAAGAACCCTTGGGCCCTGAACAATTAGCAGTAATACCCAGGTAGTATGCCGTAGGCCTTGGGTGAGACTCTGAGACTTGCTGGCTTCAGGTAAGACTCAGTACATTTCCAGCTGTGGTGGCTATGGGCAGAAACTCCTCCTGCTTGAGAAAAGTGAAGGAAAGGTAAAGAGGACTTTGTCTTGCACCTGAAGTACCAGCTTGGCCACAGTAGAGTAGATCACCAAGTGGGTTCTTGGGGTCCCTGATTCTAGGCCTTGGCTTTTGAATAACATATCTGGACCTTCCCTGGACCAGAGGGAGCCCACAGCCCTGAAGAGTCACAGGCCAGGCAGCATTCACCACAAAGTGACTGAAGAACCCTTAGGCCTTAAGGGAGATATTGGCAGTAGCCTGGGGGTACTCCCTTTGGGCCTGTGGTGGTAGCCATGAGGTGAGGCTCCTCTGCCTGTGGAAAGTGGGGGAAGAGTGGGAAGGACTGCATCTTGTGAGTTGAGTGGCAGCTCAGCTATTGTGCAATATAGCACCAGATAGACTTCTAAGGTTTTTGATGTCAGGCCCTGGTTCCTGGATGGCACCTCTGGACCTGCTTGGGGCCTAAGGAAACTCAGCATCCTGAAGGGAAAGACACCAGCCTATCTCCTTTGCCACCTGCTGACTGTACATCATCAGGGCCTTGAGTGGACATAGGTGGCAGCTAGGTAGTAGTTACAGTGAGCCTTGGGCAAAATCAAGTGCTGTGCTGGTTTCAGGTCTGACCTAGTACAGTCCCAGTGGTGGTTGTCATGGGGGTGTTTGTGTCACCCCAGCCCCAGCCCCAGGTGTCTCAGAACAGAGAGAAAGAGTCTCTATTTGTTTGAGTGAAAGGAAGAAAACAAGGGTCTCTGCCTGGTAATCCAGAGTGTTCTTCCCGATCTTATCTAAGACCATCAAGGCAGTACCTTTACAAGTCTGAAAGAAACACAATGTCACTGGGTGTGGGGTGCCCTGTAATGCAGATATGGGTTAGATCAGAACACCTACATTCTTTCAAATAGCTGGAAAACCTTCCCAAGAAAGACAGGAACAAATAAGCTCAGAGTGCAAAGACTACAATTAATACCTAACTTTTCTATGCACAGACATAGATGAACATCCACAAGCATCAAGACCATCCATGGTGAGGTCATGATCTCACCAAATAAACTAAATAAAACACCACACCAAGGACCAATCCTGGAGAAATAGAGATATGTGACCTTTCAGACAGAGAATCCAAATTCGCTGTGTTGAGGAAACTCAAAAGAAATTAAAGATAATACAGAGAAGGAATTCAGAATTCTATCAGATAAATTTAACAAAGAGATTAAGGTAATTAGAAAGAATAAAGCAGAAATTCTGGAGTGGAAAAATGCAATTGACACACTGAAGAATGCCTCAGAGTCTTTTAATAACAGAAACAATCAAGCAGAAGAAAGAATTACTGAGCTTAAAGACGGGCTATTTGAAAATACACAGTCAGAAGAGACAAAAGAAAAAAGAACAAAAAATAATAAGGCAAACCCACAGCATTTAGAAAATAGCATCAAAAAGGAAAATCTAAGAGTTATTTGCCTTAAAGAAGAGGTAGAGAAAGAGACAGGGGTATACATTTTATTCAAAGGGATAAGAACAGAGAAAGTCCCAAACCTAGAGAAAGACATCAATGTCCAAGAACAAGAAGGTTATAGGACACTCACTAGATTTAACCCAAAGAAGATGACCACAAAGCATTTAATAATGAAACTTCCAATTGTCAAGGTTAAAGAAAGGATCCTAAAAGCAGCAAAAGGAAAGAAACAAATAACATACAATAAAGCTCCAATATATCTGGCAGCAGACTTTTCAATGAAAACCTTACAGGCCAGGAGAGAGTGGCATGACATATTTATAGTTCTGAAGGAAAAACATTTTACCCTAGAATGGTATATCTGGCCAAAAAAAAACAAAAAAACAAAAAACAAAAAAACAATAAAACAACAACAAAAAAAAACCCTTCAAACATGAGGGAAATAAAGATGTCCCTAGACAAACAAAGGCTGAGGGATTTCATCATTATAGGACCTGTCCTATAAGAAATGCTAAAGGAAATACTTCACTGAGAAAGAAAAGGACATAATGAATAATGAGTGCAAAACTCACTGGTAATAGTAAGTACACTGAAAACACACAGACAATTATAACACTGCGTGTTTATAACTGTGGTGTGTAAATTACTCTTATCTAAGTAGAAAGACAAAACAATGAATCAATCAAATATAATAGCCACAACTTTTCAAGATGTAGACAATACAATAAGATATAAATAGAAACAATAAAAAGTTAAAAAGCAGGGAGACAAAGTTAAAGCATAGAGTTTTTATTAGTTTTCTTTTTCCTTGTTTGTTTATGTAAACAGTGTTAAGTTTTTGTCAGCTTAAAATAATGGGTTATAAGACAGTATTTACAAGCCTTGTAGTAAGCTCAAATAAAATAATACAATAAATACACAAAAAATGAAAAGCAAAAAATTAAATTATACCATCATAGAAAATCACCTTCCCTAAAAGAAAGACAGAATGGAAGGAAAGAAGGAGAAGACCACAAAACAACCAGAAAATAAACAACAAAATGGCTAGAGTAAGCCCTTACTTATTGATAATAACATTGACTATAAACGAATTAAACTCTCTAATCAAAAGACATAGAGTGGTTGAAAAGATTTTAAAAACAAGGTCCAATGATCTGTTATCTACAAAAAACAGACTTCACCTGTAAGACACATGTAGACTGAAAATAAAGGTATAGAAAAAGGTATTCCATTCCGAAGAAAACCACAAAAATGCAGGACCAGCTATACTTACATCAGAAAAAATAGATTTCAAGACAAAAACTATAAGAAGAGACAAAGAAGGTTATTATATAATAATAAAGAGGTCAATTCAGCAAGGGGATATAAGGATTGTAAATATATATGCACCCAATACTGGAGCATCCAGATATATAAAGCAAATATTATTAGAACTAAAGAGAGAGAGACTCCCATACAATAATAGCTGGAGACTTCAATACCCCACTTTCAGTATTGGACAGATCTTCCAGACAGAAAATCAACAAAGAAACTTCAAACTTTATCTGCACTATAGACCAAATGGGCCTAATAGATATTTACAGAACATTTTATGCAACAGCTGCAGAATACACATTCTTCTCCTCAACACATGGATCATTGTCAAGGATATATCATATGTTAGGTCACAAAACAAGTCTTAAAACATTCAAAAACTTTGAAATCATATCAAGCATCTTCTCTGACTGCAATGGAATAAAACTAGAAATCAATAACATGAGGAATTCTGGAAACTATACAAGCTATGGAAATTAAATATGTTTCTGAATGACCAATGGGTCAATAAGACAAATTTTTAAAGGAAATTGAAAAATTTCTTGAAACAGATGATAATGGAAACACAACATACCAAAACTTATGGGATACAGCTAAAGCAGTACTAAGGGAGGAGTTTATAGCTATAAGTGCCTACATCAGAAAAGAAGAAAAAAGTCAAATAAATAACCTAATGATGCGTCTTAAAAAACTAGGAAAGCAAATGCAAACCAAACCTAAAGTGAGTAGAAGAAAAGAATTGAAACACAGAAAACAATACAAAAGATCAACAAAACAAAAAGTTGGTTTTTTGAAAAGGTAAACTAAAGTGGCAAATGTTTAGTCAGACTAAGAAGAGAGAAGACTATATGAAAACTATGAAATGTGGATGAAAGAAATTAAAGAGGACACAAATAATGGAACAATATTCCATGTTTATAAATTGGAAGAGACAATATTGTTAAAATGTCCATACTATCCAAAGCAATCTACAGATTTAATGCAACCCTATGAAAATACCAATGACATTTTTCGCAGAAATAGAAAATATAATCCTAAAATGTATGTGGAACCACAAAAGACCCAGAATAGCCAAAGCCATATGAAGCAAAAAGAACAAAATGGAAGGAATCACATTAACTGACTTTAAATCATAGTACAGAGGTATAGTAACCGAAACAGCAGGGTACTGGCATAAAAACAGACACGTAGATCAGTGGAACAGAATTAAGAACCCAGAGATAAATCTATATAACTACAGTGAACTCACTAGACAAAGATGCCAAGAACATACTTTGAGGAAAGGACAGTCTCTTCAATAAATGGTGCTGTAAAAACTGAATATTCATATGCAAAAGAATGAAACTAGACTTAATCTCTTGCCATATCAAATAAAAATGAATTAAAGACTTAAATCTAAAACCTCCAATTATGAAACTATTAAGAAAACATTGGGGAAACTCTCCAGGACAGTGGAGTGGGCCAAGATTTCTTAAGGAATACCCCCACAAGCACAGACAACCAAAGCAAAAATGGACAAATGGAATCACATCAAGTTAAAAAACTTCTGCACAGCAAAGGAAACAATCAACAAAGTAAAGAGACAACCCACAGAATGGGAGAAAATATTTGCAAACTACCCATTTGACAAGGGATTAATAACCAGAATAGATAAGGAGCTCAAACAACTCTATGGGAAAAATTCCAATAATCTGATTTTAAAACAGGCAAAAAATCTAAATAGACATTTCTCAAAAGAATATATACAAGTGGCAAATAGTTTTCAATGATGTCTCAACATCAATGATCATCAGAGAAATGCAAATCAAAATTACAGTGAGATACCATCTCACCCCAGTTAGAATGGCTTTCATCCAAAAGTAGGCAATAACAAATGTTGGTGAAGATGTGAAGAAAACGGAACCCTCATAAACTGTCAGTGGTAATGTAAATTAGCACAACCACTGTGGAGAACAGCTTGGAGGTTCCTCAAAAACTGAAAATAGAGATACCATACTATCTGGTAATTCCAGTCCTGGGTATATACCCAAAAGAAAGGAAATCAATATATTGAAGAGATATTTGCACTCCCATGTTTATTGCAGCACTGTTCACAATAGCCAAGATTTGGGAGCAACCGAAATGCCCATCAGCAGATGAATAGATAAAGGAAATGTCGTACATATACACAATGGAATACTATTCAGCCATAAAGAAGAATGAGATCCTGTCATTTGCAATGACATGGATGGAAGTAGAGGTCATTATGTTAAGTGAAATAAGCCAGGCACAGAAAGACAAACTTCACATGTTCTCAATTATTTGTGAGAGCTGAAAATTCAAGTAATTGAGCTCCTGCAGTTCCAGAATAGAAGGATGGTTGCCAGATGCCGGGAAGGACAGTGGGGCAGGAATTGGGGGAAGGGGAGAAAGCGAGGATGGTTAATGGGTACAAAAAAATAGAAAGAATAAATACAACTTAGTATTTTCTAGCACAATGAGGTGACTATAGTAAAAAATAATTTAATTGTACATTTAAAAATAACTAAAAGAGTATAATTGGATTGTTTGTAACAAAGGATAAATGCTTGAGGTGGTGGACATCCCATTTACACTGATGTGATTATTACGCATTGCATGCCTGTATCACTTGTAACCAATAAATATCTACACCTACTATATACCCACAAAAGTTAAAAATGAAAAACAAAGAATGCTTTGACTACAATAACAGAAAAAACAAGCAGCCAGATTCATGGCCAGAATTTTCCATTCCCCAGGTTAAACAGAGTCTAATTTTTTCTTATAACAAGAAACTCAGAGATGGGTAGTTACTGGTTCTGGCTCAGGAGCTCCTGATCACATCATAATCTCTAGCTCTTTCCGTCCGGCTGTGTTGCCTTCCTTCATGCTTGATCATCAAGCTCACTTGAAAAGTTTCTGCATTGGATCCATTCATGTTCAATTCAGGAAGAAGGAGGAAAGGGCAACGCCAACAGCTCTCCTGTTGTAACTGTCTCTGTTATTAGAAAGCAGAAACTTGGCCAGGCGCAGTGGCTCATGCCTGTAATCCCAGCACTTTGAGAGGCCGAGGTGGGCAGATCACCTGAGGTCGGGAGTTCGAGACCGGCCTGACCAATATGGAGAAACCCTGTCTCTACTAAAAATACAAAATTAGCCAGGTGTGGTGGCACATGCCTGTAATCCCAGCTACTCGGGAGGCTGAGGCAGGAGAATCACTTGAACCTGGGAGGCGGAGGTTGTGGTGAGCCGAAATCGTACCATTGCACTCCAGCCTGGGCAAAAAGAGCAAAACTCCATCTCAAAAAAAAAAAAAAAGAAAGAAAAAAGAAAGCAGAAACTTTCCCCAGAGCCCCAAGTAGATATTCCCCCTTGTTATATTGGCTAGAACTAAGTTCCTGGTCAACCATGACAGCAAAAAAGGCTGCAAAAGGGTCTTGGTTTCTTTCTCTGTCTCTCTCTCTCTCTCTCTCTCTCTCTCTCTCTCTCTCTCTCTCTCTGTCTCTGTCTCTGTCTCTCAGTGGAAATGAACAGAGGAGGAGTTGGGAACTATTGTTCCCATCCACAGTATCTGCCATAACTTGGATTATGACGAATGAGAAGGGAACTGCCAAAGAGACAAGAAGGGCATTCAAACTGAAGAAATGGCATGTGAGAAGACATTGAATTGGGAAACAGAACAGCATACTCGAATTGCTTGCAAAAAGTTCTGTAAGGAGCATTAAATGTAAGCAGGGAAATGGGAAACTGTGGGAGAATAAACAGGGCTGATGCCTGGCAATATTTTGGGCCCTGCCAATGAGTTTGGATTCTATATCTCTTCATATCCCTAGCACCTAACAGGTCCTTGATTAAAACAGATACCCAATAAGTATTAATGATGGTTGAGACCACAGTAGAAAACAGACAAACCTCCATTGTCTGTTTAACATTAATTGATTAAAAAGTGAAGTTTGAGTCAAACCTCTTGCTTATGGCTAATACTGTGGCCTCCATTTTGTTTTTATGATTAACCCTCAATTTGCATCAACAGAAAAGAAATCTCACTATGTCAGAGGATTGCCAGTGTTCCAGTATCTTAGTCCCAGTATAGAACAAGTCCAGTGTACCTCTGAGCATTGCCCAAATCCCCTCAGTTCCCTTCTTACCATTTTTTTGCACCCCTCTTGTCTTTAAGTATGGTCACTTCAAACATCCAGTGCCTACAGTTTTTCTTTGGAGGACTAACATTTGCAACTGGAACCATATTGCCTGTAAACCCAGTGAGCTGAAGTCCCTGAAAACTCCCACCCCTAGGTCAGCTCTTAACCAATGACTAACAGATATAACAGTATGAGACCCAGCTCTCTTGCTCTGGATTAGAACAGCTCCAAGGCATCACTAACAACACTTAACATCACTTTCCATGTGGGATTGAGCAAAAGCTGCTCTCTGTAAGGCTTAACTAAGATCCCATCCTTGCCTGGCATCTTCCCCTACCCTTTTTGACTCTCCTATTCCATTGCCAGGGTTTCCTGGTAGAGCTTCCTTAATAAATCACTTGTTCTGAATTCTTGTCTCAGTGAAGAATTGTTACTGGGTAATTGACCCCAAGATCCCCTGGCTATTTTGTATTATTATCCAGTAATACTTTTTAGACTTTGAAATTAGCAGGGTTCTGTTGCTGGACACAGAAGCTATGCTAGGTGTGTTAAGCAGAAGGAATTTAACATGGCAATTAGGCCCTTAAAGATTGTTAGGCAGTCTGGTTCTACACTGATCTCCAGGAATGACTCCCAGAAGGACACCTCCAAACTAGCCCACTGTGAGAGACCACCTCCCACATTCCTGAAAATGGAACTGGATAGAACTGCTGACCACAAGATCATACCACTGTAACTGTGATCTGAGGCTCAGGAAACCACTAATGCTCTTTAATATTCATAAAACTACACCCTGGGTACTGGAATACTACAGAAAAACACGATGTGTCCTGCACCTGTCAGGAGCAAAATAGCCAAGCAACCAGAATAAAGCTCTACCACTTTCCACTTTCCAAGTCTCAGGACGTAACCAGAAGCACCTAATTCACAACCAGGAACCCAGCTCTCAAGGTTTGTAACCTCCCAAGGTTCCCTCTCAGGAACAGTGTTTCTGTTTTCCAACCTGTGTGGTACAAAAAGATACAAGAGAAGGAATTTGAAATGAATGCCGAGTTACAGCCGCCATATCTACTTATAGCTTCCTTCAAAGAGCAGCTTTGAATAGTCACTTTATGAATAAGGGATTTACAACAAATAACAAATAACATGCAGCAAAATAAAGTTCCTAAGAAATCATCATTCTTTCATGAATAAAGGTATCTTCCTTGCCTTCATTATCATTTCTTTATATTTGGTAAGATGGAAATGGATTTATTTTGACCAGAATTCTTTGTTCATCATATACTTACCAAGTCAAATAAGAAATCATTGAGACCCAGCAATTTCGCTTTTAGGATAGGGGTCTCAATGACTTCTTATTTGACTTGGTAAGTATATGATGAACAAAGAAATCTGGTCAAAATAGATCCATTTCCATCTTGCCAAATATAAAGAAATGATAGTGAAAGCAAGGAAGATAACTTTATTCATGAAAGAACGATATATATACACAAAGACTTGCTTGCAAATATTCAAAACAGCATTATTCATAATAACCCAAGTAAAAGCAGTCCGTTAACTGATGGGTGGATAAACAAAATATGTTTTATCCACACAATAGAGTACTACTTAATAGGAGCAAAAATGAGCAAGCTATTGATACATACCACAACGTGGATGAACCTCAAAAATATTTTCATTGAAAAAAGTCAGAAACAAAACATTACCTATTGTATGATTCCATCTATGTGAAATGATCCCAGCACTTTGGGAAGCTGAGGTGAGAGGATCACTTGAGGCCAGGAGTTTGAGAACAACCTGAGCAATGTGGTAAGACCCTTGAAGACCCTTGTCTCTAGCAAATAATAATAAGATTAAAAAAAGAAATGTCCAGAAAAGGCAAATCTATAGAGACAGGAAGTCTATTCATGGTTGCCCAGGATGCCAGTGTGGGGGTAATAATATAGGTTAAACAGGTATGTAAATGGGTATGAGAGATCTTCCCTGGGGTGATGGAAATGTTCTAAAGCAGGATTATGCTGAGGGCTGTAAAACTCAGTAAATTTACTAAACGTCTTTGAATGGTATACTTCAAATAGAAGAACTTTGCAATATGAAAATTATACTTAAAGTTTTAAAAACAGAAGTTAGTGGTTTTGGGGATCCTGTATATTTACCAAAACCACAGAGGCAACATATGCTTAATAGTTGGGAGATTCTGATCCCTCCCAATCAAATATTTATTAGGGGCTTATATTTGTTAGTAAACACATATTTTTCCAGATGTGATATAAATTAAAGTGAAATAAAAAACTTTGGCTGGGCGCAGTAGCTCATGCCTGTAATTCCAACACTTTGGTAGGCTGGCATGGGAGGATCACTTGAGCCCAGAATCTGAGACCACCCTAGGCAACATACTGGGACCCCACCCCTACAAAAATGTTTTTAAAAATTAGCAGGGTGTGGTGGTGCGTGCTTGTACTCCCAGCTACCAGGAGGCTGAGGCAGGAGGATTTCTTGAGCCTGGGAGGTAGAAGCTGCAGTGAGCTATGATCATGCCACTGCACTCCAGTCTAGGCAACAAAGTGAGACCCGGTCTCAAAAATAACAACAAACTTTGTCTCCTCTTACTGACACTAGCCCCATTCAGATGGCCCTACCCATAACATTGTGTTTGTGTATGTGCATGTGTGGGCATACAACCGTCTGTGTGGGCTCGCTTGAGGGTAATTATTTTCTCTTCATCATCATGTGTTTACACAAAGATGTGAGCTGCAGCAAAAGCAGCATAGAACAGGTTGAGTTTAGTAAGAGCACTTTAATGGTAATCTTAAATTATTGAGTTGAAATTTAGCAACGTGGATACAGAAGTAAAAAGAGTGTTGACCGACATCAGTTTTTTAGTTTGGGGCTGTTTCCAGAAAGCTTTTCTGGGGCATTCCTCCTGAAAAGTCCTCTTTAAAAGATAGTTTCCTTATCAAATAAGCTCGGGAAACCCTTCTAGAGATTCAAAAAAACATTACCCATTGCAGGTTCTGAGAAGTCTTGCAGTGTACAAACAAGCAAGCAGGCTTCAACCCAGAATTTCCCAAACTAATTTACAATAGTATTATTATGTTATAATAATAGATAATACTTACTTGGCACATACAACATGCCAGTCATTGTGTTAAGCACTGTTCATATGTTTACTACCTTCTTTAGTCCTCATAGCAATGCTATAAGGTAAGTACACTTATCGCCACTTTAAAGATGTGGACATAGAAGCTGTGAGAGGTAAAGCCTCTGTGCAGGCCAGGGAAGGCTGGCTGCAGTGCCCATGCATGAGCTTACCACTACACCACCACCAGTTCTTTGGAACTTCATTTAAAAAAAAGTTATCCTGGCGAGGAGCGGTGGCTCACACACTTTCTGAGGTCAAGGTGGGTGGATCACTTGAGGTCTCAAAAAAAAAAATTATCCCATGAGTATGCTTTAGGAAATATTGGTTTAAGAAACTTGGATTGCAAATGTATCAGTAAAAAGAAACAGTGTATGAAAATGGAGAGGACTGTTCTCCATGTTCCTTTGTAGAAAACTGCTATGAGGGAAGAAGATAATTTCTGACCCAGTATCAGTGAACTGGGCTGCAGTGAATGTTCTGATCAACTGTGAACCACATAGAGTAGGATATGATGATTAGCTGGAAATTTATACAGTTTTTAATCACAAAAAAAAGGTTTTGGTTAATTTGTTCAGCAGCAATTGAAAAAAAAAATTGGGGGCCTTTGAGTTCTTAAGACTGGAAAATAATAATAATGACTTCTTAAAAACTCTCTGACACATTTCTTGGAAACTTCAAATGATTGATCACAAATTATTCCAAAATACAATTTAAACTTGATGTATTCCTTTGAATTCACATATGATCTGCTTGGCCCCTGGACCCGGCTTTAACCTAGCGAATTCTGTTGAAGAAGGGTAATAATAAAAATGTATCAGAGACCACGTCTAGGGTTTAAGTGTGAACATCTATTTGATCTGTCTTTCAATTCATTTTCTCATGACTTCTAATTGCATCTGAGAGTGAGGGGAATGGGCCTGACAGAGTATGCCTACCCAACTGCAGAGTTTGGCATCAACATTACATGAACTGGCATGATTGCAAAGTACTCAGGATTTTCTTAGAGTTGATAAAAGTCCCAGAAAATCAGGATTGAAACCACGAGACTATTCATCACAGTAATAGCCATTTCTGCAAAAAATCCATATTGACCTAAATGCCAACAAAAGGAAAGTAATTAACTAAATGATAGTACATTCAAGTTCATGGGATATTATGTAACCATTAAAAATCAAGATTGGAATATTATTTAACAATGTGTAAAATGTTCATAATAAGATTTTACATAATAAACCTGAGATATAAAACTATATGTACAGGGCCATGCACAGTGGTTCATGCCTGCAATTCCAGCATTTTGGGAGGCCAAGGTGGAAGAATCATTTGAGGTCAGGAGTCCAAGACCAGCCTGGGTAACATAAAAAGACCCCATCTCTTAAAAAAAACAAAAAACAAAAAACTTAGCCAGGCATGATGGCTTACACCTATAGTCCCAGCTATTTGGGAGGCTGAGAGGCAGAAGGATCTCTTGTGCCCAGGAAGCTTGGGGTTACAGCGAGCCATGATCAATCTGCACTCTACTCTGGGCAAAAGAGCAAGTCCCTGTCTCTAAAACAAACAAACAAAACCTATTAGTATAGTATGTCTTCACTCTATAAAACAAATCTTAACATGTCTAATATACATACAAAAGAGAATTTCATCAAAATATTAAGGGTGGTTTGGAACACTGGGAAACAATGGAATTACTACGACATATTTCTTTTCCTGTTAATCGTTGCCTTTGGTCGTCCTCAATTTTTAAAATAGTAAAATTGTTCTATTTTTATGACAACCATTACATTTTATTTTTTAAAAAATCAAAACAAACAGATATCAATCTGGATGTCTGAGAGATATAAAGTTAGTATATTTTCTAAAATGCTAAAGTAAAGGTATCTGGTTTAATATACTTTTTCCTGAGGCCTGTGGAACAATATGGTTCTGGATTTAATTTCTAACTCCACTGCTTACTATCCAAGTAACATTGAGAAAGGTTTATTTTCTCTTGTCTCAGTTTATTGATCTGTCAATTGCGACTGATAATAGGATCTTCCTTATAGGGCGGATGTGAGGATCAAATGAATCTTTACAGGTGCAGCACCTACAATTGTGTCACACATAGTAAGTCCTTGAAACACGATGGTTGCTGCATTACTTCTCTGTTATAGTTCTATAAAGTCTTCACAACTGTGACAGGACATAGCAGTCTGTCACGATCTGAAAGATATATACAACTTGTAGATAAAATGCAGAATTTTTGTTTTTAACCCAAAAGCAGCCTTGCAACTTGAGTCTTCTGTGTGATGAAGTCTACCCCGTTCCACAGAGGAGAACAAAGCAAGTGGCATCATTCAGTAGGGTATCTAAGGAGGTCTTTTGCCTAGAGCTAGTAGAAATATTCTTTGTAAGACAGAGGGAAAGTATAGACACCATTATGATTTATAATAAATGCTTTCTAAAAATTTACTGTGGACCAAATTTTGGAGAAATTTTGAATTCAATAAGTTAATTTAGGATGAAAAGAAACATTGCAGGATACCTATTATAGCATAGTTTCTTATAGTGCAAAATTGGAAACAATCTAAATGTACATCAATAGCTTTATAAATGAGGGCAGAGCTTCCACCTGATGTGCTTTGTCCATTGGTGGGCTGAGACTGGGGTGCAGGTGTGCTGAGACTGGTCATTTCTCTTCTCAGAACAACTACCAGAGGTCTTATTCAGTAAGAATTTGTCCTTGGTTTATCCCACTGTGCTATAAATACACAATTTTCATACAAATTTGTGTGTGTGGCATGACCTGAAAGGGTGGGAGCACAAGTTAGGGTTCCTGGGTAGAAACAACAAAAATCAAATCTGAACAACTTATTAGAGGTTCTGAAAGACTTACAGATCAACAGGTAAGATCAACAGAGATCTGAAGCACCAGTTTGAAAATTGAGCTAGTTCTGAGAGCCAGGGAAGCAGAAACCATAGCCAATAACCGGTAGTAAGACTGGTTTAATCAGGACATGCCTGCCTGGGATGAGAGACTTTCTGATACTTTCCAGTGTTTTTCTTTGGGTCACTCATTTAATTTCAAAATTCCAGCCAAGAACATCTGATTGAACTCTCTGACAGTGTCTAGGGCAGGGAGAAGAAGGATTGTCCCCTTTGATTACCTGAGTGAGAGGCAGACATGGGATTTAATGTCCCACCAAGAGTAAATGCAAGAAAACTAAAGTGCTGATCAAAACCAAGAAATTCCAGCAGAGCCACCATGCTCTGCAGACTCTCCCAAGGGCCTAAGGATGGCCTGCCGGGTACCTGCTGCTACCAGCAAAACCACCCCTGCAATTGGTGGAGCCATTACACCTGGCCTGCAGAGCCTCAAGAACTGAGAGCTGGCCTGCCAGGCAGCCCATAGACCCAGAAAAGCTACAAAACTGCCTCCACAAGCAGCTACAGTCTAGGCCACTGAGGCACTCACAGACACTGATGACATTGATTGCAGCCAAACAAATCACATGGAGACTACACTAATTTGCCCACCCAGGACCAAAGCTAAAGCACCCTACTCAACCAATACTACAGAACTCATATGGAAAAGACTTTCATGTAAATGTAGCTACTTAAGCTAATCCATAAAGTTGGAAGAGGGGATTGTTCCACTGCATGTGCAGATATCAATGTAGGGACACAGGAAGCATTAAAGAGCAAGGAAACATGACCCCTCCAAAGGAAAACAATAATTCCCCAGTAACAAACCACAAAGAAAAGAAAATCTGTAAAATGCCTAAAAAGGAATTCAAAATAATGATCTTAAGGACACTCAACAAGACACAAAATAATACATAGACAATTGAACAAAACAAAAAAAATCATAATCTGAATGATAAACTCAATAAGGAGGTATATATCATAAAAGAAACCAAACAAAAATCTTGGAAATGAAGAATTCAATGAATGAAATACAAATATAATTGAGAGCTTCAACCATAGACTAGATCAAGCAGAAGAATTTCTGAACTTCATCTGAAGACAGGTCTTTTGAAATAACCCATTCATGCAAAAAGAAAAAAGAATAAAAAAGAGTGAAGAAGGCCTACAGGATTTATGGGACATCATTAAGCAAATAAATTTTTGCATTATGAAAGTTCCAGAAAAAGAGATAGGAAAAAGTATAGAAAGCCTATTCAAGAAAATTATAGCTGGCCAGGGGTGGTGGCTCATGCCTGTAATCGCAGCACTTTGGGAGGCTGAGGCAGGTGAATTACCTTAGGTCAGGAGTTCGAGACCTGCCTGGCCAACAAGATGAAACCCCATCTTTATTAAAAATACAAAAATTAGCCATGTGGGGTGGTGCATGCCTGCAATCCCAACTACTTGGGTGGCTGAGGCAGGAGAATCACTTGAACCCAAGAGGTGGAGGTTGCAGTGAGCTGAGATTCTACCAATGCACTTCAGCCTGGGCAATGGAGTGAGACTCCAACAAAAGAAGAAGGAAGGAAGGAAAGAAGGAAGGAAGGAAGGAGAAAGGGAAAGGAAGGGAAGGGAGGGAGGAAAGAAGGAAGGAAGGAAGGAGAAAGGGAAAGGAAGGGAAGGGAGGGAGGAAGGAAGGAAGGAATAAAGAGAAAGAAAGAAGAAAGGAGAGAGAGAGAGGGAGGTAGGGAAGAAAGGAAGGAAGGAAGAAAGAGAGGGAGGGAGGGAGGGAAGGAAGGAAGGGGAAAGGGAAGAGAAGGGAGGAAGGAAGGAAGGAAAGAAGGAAGGAAGAAAGAAAAAGAAGAAAGAAAGAGAAAGAAAGAAAGAAAAGAAAAGAAAAGAAAAGAAAGAGAGAGGGAGGGAGGGAAGAAAGGAAGGAAGAAAGAGAGAGAGGGAGGGAGGGAGGGAAGAAAGGAAGGAAGGAATAAATAAAGAGAGAGGGAGGGAGGGAAGGAAGGAAGGAAGGAAGGATGGAAGGAAAAAACTTCCTAAGTCATGGGAGAAATATGGACTTCTACATTCAAGAAGTTCAAAACTCTAAAATAGATTCAGCCCAAAAGTGTCCTCTTTGAGGCACAATTTAGTTAAACTTTTAAAAGTCCAGACAGAGAGACAATTTTAACAACAAGAGAAAAGCATCGAGTCACATGTAAAGGAATCCCAATTATACTAAAAGAAGATTTCCCAGCAGAAAGGTTACAGTCCAGGAGAAAATGGGATAATATGTTCAAATCACTGAAAGAAAAAAAAAATTCTACCAAGAATGCCATACACAGGCCGGGCGCGGTGGCTCATGCCTGTAATCCCAGCACTTTGGGAGGCCAAGGCAGGCATATCACAAGGTCAGGAGATCAAGATCATCCTGGCTAACACGGTGAAACCCCGTCTCTACTAAAAAATACAAAAAATTAGCCAGGCGTGGTGGCGGGCACCTGTAGTCCCAGCTACTCAGGAGGCTGAGGCAGGAGAATGGCAGGCACCTGTAGTCCCAACTACTCAGGAGGCTGAGGCAGGAGAATGGCGTGAACCTGGGAGGCGGAGCTTGCAGTGAGCCAAGATCGCACCACTGCACTCCCGCCTGGGCGACAGAGTGAGACTCCATCTTAAAAAAAAAAAAAATGCTATACACAGCAAAGCTATCCCCAAGAAAAGAGGGAAAAATAAAGCCTTTCCCAGATAAGCAAAAACTGATAAAATTCATCACCACTAGACCAGCTCTACAAAAAATGCTTTAAAAAGTCCTACATTTGGGAGCAAAAGAATATATACCATTAAGATAAAACACATGAAAGTATAAAACTCACTAGTAGAGAAGAGATACAAAAGAGAATGAGAAAGAAAGCAAACCTCATTACTGTGGAAAACCACCAAATCATGAAGATAAACAATAAAAGAGGAAGAGGTTGGGCACAGTGGCTCACGCCTGTAATCCCAGCACTTTGGGAGGCTGAGGTGGGCAGATACCTGAGGTTCGGAGTTCGACACCAGCCTGACCAACATGGACAAACCCCGTCTCTACTAAAAAAACAAAATACAAAATTAGCCGGGCGTGGTGGCTCATACCTGTATTCCCAGCTACTTTGGAGGCTGAAGCAGGAGAATGGCTTGAACCCAGGAGGCAGAGGTTGCTGTAAGCTGAGATCGCACCATTGCACTCCAGCCTGGGCAACAAGAGCAAAACTCCATCTCAAAATAAATAAATAAATAAAAGAGGAAGAAACACAGAATACACAACACAATCAAAAAATAACTAACAAAATGACAAGAGTAACTC
The DNA here is from genome assembly GCF_000001405.40 of Homo sapiens. Classification (NCBI taxonomy): domain Eukaryota; kingdom Metazoa; phylum Chordata; class Mammalia; order Primates; family Hominidae; genus Homo; species Homo sapiens. The sequence goes on along the minus strand of NC_000004.12, from coordinate 146,006,852 downwards.
TTTACCTATCAATAATAACCTTGAATATAAACAGATTAAATCCCCCAATTAAAGTATATAAACTAGCTGCATGATTAAAGAAACATGACCTAACTACATGCTGCCTACAGGAAACTCACTACACCTGTAAAGACATACATAGAACAAAAATGAAAATATGGCAAAAGATATCCCATGCAAACAGAAACCAAAGGCAAACAGGAGTAGTTATCTTTATGTCAAATACAACAGGCTTCAAGTAAAAAATTATAGAAAGAGACGAAGATGATTATTATATAATGATAAATGGATCAATTCAGCAAGAAGATATAATAATTGTAAATGTATGTGCATCCAACTCCAGAACACTTAGGTATATAAGGCAAATATTAGATTTAAAAGGAGAGATTACTTCAATACAATAAGAGTTGGAGACTTCAATACTCCACTTTCAGTACTGTACAGATCACCTAAACAAAAATCAACAAGGAAATATGAGATTTTAACTGGGCTATAGACCAAATAGATGTATCAGACATTTACAGAACATTTCATCCAACAGATGCAGAATACATATTCTTCTCATTAACACCTGGAACATTCTTTAGGATAGACCATATCTTAGGCCACAAAACAAGTCTCGGCAAACTTTTAAAAATGAAAATCATATCAGTATCTTTTCTGACCACAAAAGAATAAAATTAGAAATCAGTAAAAATAACAACTTTGGAAACTAGACAAATAAATGGAAATTAAACAATATGCTCTTGAGTGATCAATGGGTTAATGAAGAAAGTAAGAAGGAAACGGAAAATTTCTTGAAACAAATGAAAATAGAAACACAACATAACAAAACCTGTGGAATACAACAGAAGCAGTACTAAGAAGGATGTTTATAAAAATGAACACCCACATCAAAGAGGTAAAAGGATTTCAAATAAACAACCTAGCAATACACCTAAAAGAATTAGAAGAGCAAAAACAAACCAAACCTTTGCAAAATTAGCAGAAGAAAAATAATGATTAGAGGAGAAATAAGCAAAACTGAGACTAAAAAAAGTTGTTTTTTGAAAAGATAAACAAAATGAACAATTAGCTAGACTAAGAAAAATTGATTCAAATAAATGAAATAAAAAATGAAAAAGGAAACATTATAACTGATGCCACAGAAATATAAAGGAACATCAGAGACTCTTATGAACAACTATATGCAAACAAATCAGAAAACCTAGAGGAAATGAGTAAATTCCTAGACACATACAACCTACCAAGATTGAACCAGGAATAAAAAATTTGAATAGACTAATACCAGTAATTAGATTTAATCAGTAATAAAAAGTCTCTCAACAAAGAAAAGCCCAAGATCAGATGGCTTTACTGCCAAATTCTACCCAGGCTTTTAAAGAATAACTAACACCTATTCTTAAACTGTTTTAAAAAAAGCAAAGTAAAGGGAATTTTTCCAAACTCCATTTTACAAGGACAGCATTACCCTGATACCAAAACCAGATAAGGATACAAAAAAAAAAAAAGAGAGAGAGAGAACTACAGGCCAATATTCCTGATGAACATGTTTTTAAAAATACTCAACAAAACACTAGAAAACCAAATCCGATAGAACATCAAAAAGATTATACACCATGATCAAGTAGGATTTATACCAGGGATGCAAAAGTGAAGTAGCATATGCAAAACATGATATATTCTATCAACAGAATGAAAGGCAAAAACCATATTATCATCTCAATAGACACAGAAAACCCATTTGATAAAATTCAGTATCCCTTCTGTCTTAGTCCATTTACATTGCTATAAAGGAATACCCGAGGCTGGGTAATTTATAAAGAAAAGAGGCTTATTTTGTGCATGGTTTCACAGGCTCTACAAGAAGCATGGCACCAGCATCTTCTTCCAGTGAGGGCTTTAGAAAGCTTTCACTCACAGCAGAAGGGGAAGTGGGGCTGGCATCACATGATGTGAGGAAGGAAAAAGAAAGAATGAAGGGAGGCATGACACCTTCTTTTAAACATTACCAGCTCTCCTGTGATTTAACAGCAAGAACTCACTTGTTCCTAGAGGGAGGACATTAAGCCATTCATGAGAGATCTGCCCTCATGACCCAAAGACCTTCCACTGGGCCCCATCCCCAACACCGGGGATCAAATTTCAACATGAGATTTGAAGGTGACAAATATCAAAACTATATCATTTGATGAAAGTTCAGAACAACTTAGATATAAAAGAAATGTACCTCAACCACAATGAAGACCACAAATGACAATCTCACACCTAACATCAGACTGAAGTTGAAAGCTTTTCCTCTGAGAAGTGGAACAAGACAAAGATAGCCACTTTCACCACTCTTATTCAACATAGTACTAGAATCGAATTCAGAACAATGAAGCAAGAGAAAAAAATAAAGGCCACCCATTTGGAAAAGAGGAAGTCAAATTGTCTTTTTTTGCAGATGATATAATCTTAAATATCAGAAAACCTAAGGACTTCACCAAAGAACCCTTAGAACTGATCGACAAATTCAGTAAATTTATAGGATACAAAATCAACATACACAAATCAGTAGTATTTCTAGGCCGGGTGCAGTGGCTCATGCCTGTAATCCCAGCACTTTGGGAGGCCAAGCGGGGTGGATCACCTGAGGTCAGGAGTTTGAGACCAACCCAACCAACAAAGTGAAATACCATCTCTACTAAAAATACAAAAATTAGCTGGATGTGGTGGTAGGCACCTGTAGTCCCAGCTATTTGGGAGGCTGAGACAAGAGAACTGCTTGAACTCAGGAGGCAGAGGATGCAGTGAGCAGAGATTGTGCCACTGCACTCCAGCCTGGGCAACAAAGTAAGACTCTGTCTTGAAAAAAAAAAAAAAGATCAGTAGTATTTATACACCAATGACAAACCAACTGAAAAAAAATCAATAAAGCAATCTTATTTACAACAGCTACAAGACTAAATAAAATACTACAAGTAAATTTAACCAAAAAGGTGAATGATATCTACAAGAAAACTGTAGAAGATGGCCGAATAGGAACAGCTCCAGTCTACAGCCCCCAGCATAAGCGACGCAGAAGACAGGTGATTTCTGCATTTCCAACTGAGGTACCGGTTTCATCTCATTGGGGTGCGCCAGACAGTGGGTGCAGGACAGTGGGTGCAGCACACCGTGTGCGAGCTGAAGCAGGGCAAGGCATTGCCTCACTCGGGAAGCCCAAGGGGTCAGGGAATTCCCTTTCCTAGTCAAAGAAAGAGGTGACAGACGGCACCTGGAAAAACTGGTCACTCCCACCCTAATACTGCGCTTTCCCAACCTGGCTCAGAGGGTCCTACGCCCATAGAGTCTCGCTCATTGCTAGCAGAGCAGTCTGAGATCAAACTGCAAGGTAGCAGCAAGGCTGGGGGAGGAGTGCCTGCCATTGCCGAGACTTGATTAGGTAAACAAAGTGGCGGGGAAGCTCGAACTGGGTGGAGCCCACCACAGCTCAAGGATGCCTGCCTGCCTCTGTTGGCTCCACCTCTGGGGACATGGCACAGACATACAAAAAGACAGCAGTAACCTCTGCAGACTTAAATGTCCCTGTCTGACAGCTTTGAAGAGAGTAGTGGTTCTCCCAGCACGCAGCTTGAGATCTGAGAACAGGCAGACTGCCTCCTCAAGTCGGTCCCTGACCCCCGAGTAGCCTAACTGGGAGGCACCCCCCAGTAGGGGCGGACTGACACCTCACACGGCAGGGTACTGCTCTGAGACAAAAATTCCAGAGGAACGATCAGGCAGCAGCATTTGAGGTTCACCAATATCCACTGTTCTGCAGCCACCGCTGCTGATACCCAGGCAAACAGGGTCTGGAGTGGACCTCTAGCAAACTCCAACAGACCTGCAGCTGAGGGTCCTGTCTGTTAGAAGGAAAACTAACAAACAAGAAGGACATCCACACCAAAAACCCATCTGAACGTCACCATCATCAAAGACCAAAGGTAGATAAAACCACAAAGATGGAGAAAAAATAGAGCAGGAAAACTGGAAACTCTAAAATCAGAGTGCCTCTCCTCCTCCAAAGGAACACAGCTCCTCACCAGCAATGGAACAAAGCTGGACAGAGAATGACTTTGACAAGTTGAGAGAAGAAGGATTCAGACGATCAAACTACTCTTAGCTACAGGAGGAAGTTCGAACCAATGGCAAAGAAGTTAAAAACTTTGAAAAAAAATTAGACAAACGGATAACTAGAATAACCAATGCAGAGAAGTCCTTAAAGGACCTGATGGTGCTGAAAACCAAGGCACGAGAACTACGTGACAAATGCCTCAGTAGCTAATGTGATCAACTGGAAGAAAGGGTATCAGTGATGGAAGACGAAATGAATGAAATGAAGCGAGAAGAGAAGTTTAGAGAAAAAATAATAAAAAGAAATGAACAAAGCCTCCAAGAAATATGGGACTATGTGAAAAGACCAAATTTACATCTGATTGGTGTAACTGAAAGTGACGGGGAGAATGAAACCAAGTTGGAAAACACTGCAGGATGTTATCCAGGAGAACTTCCCCAATCTAGCAAGGCAGACCGACATTCAAATTCAGCAAATACAGAGAATGCCGCAAAGATACTCCTCAAGAAAAGCAACTCCAAGACAGATAATTGTCAGATTCACCAAAGCTGAAATGAAGGAAAAAATGTTAAGGGCAGTCAGAGACAAAGGTCGGGTTACCCACAAAGGGAAGCCTATCAGACTAACAGCTGATCTCTCGGCAGAAACTCTATAAGCCAGAATAGAGTGGGGACCAATATTCAACATTCTTAAAGAAAAGAATTTTCAACCCAGAATTTAATATCCAGCCAAACTAAGCTTCATAAGTGAAGGAGAAATAAAATACTTTACAGACAAGCAAATGCTGAGAGATTTTGTCACCACCAGGCCTGCCCTAAAAGAGCTCCTGAAGGAAGCACTAAACATGGAAAGGAAAAACTGGTACCAGCCACTGCAAAAACATGCCAAATTATAAAGACCATCAAGGCTAGGAAGAAACTGCATCAACTAACGAGCAAAATAGCCAGCTGACGTCATAATGACAGGATCAAATTCACACATAACGATATTAACTTTGAATGTAAATGGGCTAAATGCTCCAATTAAAAGACACAGACTGGCAAATTGGATAAAGAGTCAAGACCCATCAGTGTGCTGTATTCAGGAAACCCATCTCACGTGCAGAGACACACATAGGCTCAAAATAAAAGGATGGAGGAAGATCTACCAAGCAAATGGAAAACAGAAAAAGGCAGGGGTTGCAATCCTAGTCTCTGATAAAACAGACTTTAACCAACAAAGATCAAAAGAGACAAAGAAGGCCATTACATAATGGTCAAGGGATCAATTCAACAAGAAGAGCTAAGTATCCTAAATATATATGCACCCAATACAGGAGCACTCAGATTCATAAAGCAAGTCCTGAGTGACCTACAAAGAGACTTAGACTCCCACACATTAATAATGGGAGACTTTAACACCCCACTGTCAATATTAGACAGATCAACGAGACAGAAAGATAATAAGGATACCCAGGAATTGAACTCAACTCTGCACCAAGTGGACCTAATAGACATCTACAGAACTCTCCACCCCAAATCAACAGAATATACATTCTTTTCAGCACCACACCACACCTATTCCAAAATTGACTACATAGTTGGAAGTAAAGCACACCTCAGCAAATGTAAAAGAACAGAAATTATAACAAACTGTCTCTCAGACCACAGTGCAATCAAACTAGAACTCAGGATTAAGAAACTCACTCAAAACCACTCAACTACAAGGAGACTGAACAACCTGCTCCTGAATGACTACTGGGTACATAATGAAATGAAGGCAGAAATAAAGATGTTCTTTGAAACAAATGAGAACAAAGACACAACATACCAGAATCTCTGGGACACATTCAAAGCAGTGTGTAGAGGGAAATTTATAGCACTAAATGCCCACAAGAGAAAGCAGGAAAGATCTAAAATTGACACCGTAACATCACAATTAAAAGAACTAGAAAAGCAAGAGCAAACACATTCAAAAGCTAGCAGAAGGCAAGACATAACTAAGATCAGAGCAGAACTGAAGGAAATAGAGACACAAAAAACCCTTCAAAAAATTAATGAATACAGGAGCTGGTTTTTTGAAAAGATCAACAAAATTGATAGACTGCTAGCAAGACTAACAAAGAAGAAAAGAGAGAAGAATCAAATAGACGCAATAACAAACGATAAAGGGGATATCACCACTCATCCCACAGAAATACAAACTACCATCAGAGAATACTATAAACAACTCTATGCAAATAAACTAGAAAATCTAGAAGAAATGGATAAATTCCTCAACACATACATCCTCCCAAGACTAAACCAGGAAGAAGTTGAATCTCTGAATAGACCAATAACAGGCTCGGAAATTGAGGCAATAATCAATAGCTTAACAACAAAAAAAGTCCAGGACCAGATGGATTCACAGCCGAATACTACCAGAGTTACAAGGAGGAGCAGGTACCATTCCTTCTGAAACTATTCCAATCAATAGAAAAAGAGGGAATCCTCCCTAACTCATTTTATGAGGCCAGCATCATACTGATACCAAAGCCTGGTAGAGACACAACAAAAAAAGAGAATTTTAGATCAATATCCTTGATGAACACTGATGCAAAAATCCTCAATAAAATACTGGCAAACTGAATCCAGCAGCACATCAAAAAGCTTATCCACCATGATCAAGTGAGCTTCATCCCTGGGATGCAAGGCTGGTTCAACATATGAAAATCAATAAATGTAATCCTTCATATAAACAGAACCAAAGACAAAAAACACATGATTATCTCAATAGATGAAGAAAAGGCCTTTGACAAAATTCAACAACCCTTCATGCTAAAAACTCTAATTAATTAGGTATTGATGGGACGTATCTCAAAATAATAGGAGCTATTTATGACAAACCCAGAGCCAATATCATACTGAATGGGCAAAAACTCGAAGCATTCCCTTTGAAAACTGGCACAAGACAGGGATGCCCTCTCTCACCACTCCTATTCAACATAGTGTTGGAAGTTCTGGCCAGGGCAATCAGGCAGGAGAAGGAAATAAAGGGTATTCAATTAGGAAAAGAGGAAGTCAAATTGTCCCTGTTTGCAGATGACATGATTGTATATCTAGCAAACCCCATCATCTCAGCCCAAAATCTCCTTAAGCTGATAAGCAACTTCAGCAAAGTCTCAGGATACAAAATCAATGTACAAAAATCACAAGCATTCTTATACAACAATAACAGACAAACAGAGAGCCAAATCATGAGTGAACTCCCATTCACGATTGCTTCAAAGAGAATAAAATACCTAGGAATCCAACTTACAAGGGATGTGAAGGACCTCTTCAAGGAGAACTACAAACCACTGCTCAATGAAATAAAAGAGGATACAAACAAATGGAAGAACATTCCATGCTCATGGGTAGGAAGAATCAATATCGTGAAAATGGCCATACTGCCCAAGGTAATTTATAGATTCAAATGCCATCCCCATCAAGCTACCAATGACTTGCTTCACAGAATTGGAAAAAACCACTTTAAAGTTCATATGGAACCAAAAAAGAGCCTGCATCGCCAAGTCAATCCTAAGCCAAAAGAACAAAGCTGGAGGCATCACACTACCTGACTTCAAACTATACTACAAGGCTACAATAACCCAAACAGCATGGCACTGGTACCAAAACAGAGATATAGACCAATGGAACAGAACAGAGCCCTCAGAAATAATGCCGCATATCTACAACTATCTGATCTTTGACAAACCTGACAAAAACAAGCAATGGGGAAAGGATTCCCTATTTAATAAATGGTGCTGGGAAAACTGGCTAGCCATATGTAGAAAGGTGAAACTGGATCCCTTCCTTACACCTTATACAAAAATTAATTCAAGATGGATTAAAGACTTAAACGTTAGACCTAAAGCCATAAAAACCCTAGAAGAAAACCTAGGCAATACCATTCAGGACATAGGCATGGGCAAGGACTTCATGTCTAAAACACCAAAAGCAATGGCAACAATGCCAAAATTGACAAACGGGATCTAATTAAACTAAACAGCTTCTGCACAGCAAAAGAGACTACCATCAGAGTGAACAGGCAACCTACAGAATGGGAGAAAATTTTTGCAACCTACTCATCTGACAAAGGGCTAATATCCAGAATCTACAATGAACTCAAACAAATTTACAAGAAAAAAACAAACAATCCCATCAACAAGTGGGCAAAGGATATGAACAGACACTTCTCAAAAGAAGATATTTATGCAGTCAAAACACACATGAAAAAATGCTCGTCATCACTAGCCATCAGAGAAATGAAAATCAAAACCACAATGAGATACCATCTCACACCAGTTAGAATGGCAATCATTAAAAAGTCAGGAAACAACAGGTGCCAGAGAGGATGTGGAGAAATAGGAACACTTTTACACTGTTGGTGGGACTGTAAACTAGTTCAACCATTGTTGAAGTCGGTGTGGCGATTCCTCAGGGATCTAGAACTAGAAATACCATTTGACCCAGCCATCCCGTTACTGGGTATATACCCAAGGGATTATAAATCATGCTGCTATAAAGACACATGTAGATGTACGTTTATTGTGGCACTATTCACAATAGCAAGGACTTGGAACCAACCCAAATGTCCAACAACAATAGACTGGATTAAGAAAATGTGGCACATATACACCATGGAATACTATGCAGCCATAAAAAAATGATGAGTTCATGTCCTTTGTAGGGACATGGATGAAACTGGAAACCATCATTCTCAGCAAACTATCGCAAGGACAAAAAAACAAACACCGCATGTTCTCACTCATAGGTGGGAATTGAACAATGAGAACACATGGACACAAGAAGGGGAACATCACACACCAGGGACTGTTGTGGGGTGGGGGAAGGGGGGAGGGATAGCATTAGGATATATACCTAATGCTAAATGACGAGTTAATGGGTGCAACACACCAACATGGCACATGTATAGATATGTAACAAACCTGCACGTTGTGCGCATGTACCCTAAAACTTAAAGTATAATAATAATAAAATTTAAAAAAGAAAAAGAAAACTGTAAAACACTGACGAAAGAAATTGAAGAGGACACAAAAAAATGAAAAGCCATCTCATGTTCATGGATTGGAAGAATTAATATTGTTAAAATGATGATTCTACCCAAAGCAATCTACAGATTTAACACAATACCTAGGAAAGTAGGAATACCATTTTTCATATAAATAGGAAAAACAATCCTAAAATTTATATGGAACCAAAAATAAACATGAATAACCAAAGGACTCCTGAACAAAAAGAACAAAGCTGGAGGCATCACCCTATTGAACTCCAATATATGCTACAAAGGTATAGTAACAAAAACAACATGGTACTTGCATAAAAATAGACACATAGACCAATGGAGTGGAATAGAGACCCTAGAAATAAATTCACATATTTATAGCCTACTGATTTTTGACAAAGACACCAAGAACATACACTAGGGAAAGAACAGTCTCTTCAATAAATGGTTCTTGGAAAACTGGATATCCATACACAGAAGAATGAAACTGGACCCTTATCTCTCACTACATAAAAAAGTCAACTCAAAATGGATTAAAGACTAAAATGTAAGACTCAAAACTATAAAACTACTAGAAGAAGATATGGAGGAAATGCTTTTAGGACATTGGGCTGGGCAAAGATTTTCTAGATAAGGCAACAAATAGGCAAAAATAGACAAATGGGATGATGTCAAACTAGAAAACTTCTGCACAGGAAAGGAAACAATCTATTGAGCCAAGAGACACCTGCAGAATGGGAAAAATATTTGCAAGCTATTCATTTGATAAGGGATTAATATCCATAATACACACAGAACTAGGACAACTCAGTAGCAATAATAAATAATAATAACCTGACTAAAAATGGGTAAAGGATCTGAATAAACATTTCTCAAAAGAAGACATTCAGATGGCCAAAAAAAATGTGAAAAATTGCTCAATATCACTAGTCATCAAGGAAATGCAAATCAAAACCACAACGAGATATCACCTCACCCCAACTAGAATGGCTATTATCAAAACAACAAAAAATAACAAATGTTGGTGAAGATGCAGAGAAAGGAGAGCCCTAATACACCATTGGTGAAAATGTAAATTGGTACAGCCATTATGGAAAACAGTAGAGAGGTTCCTCAAAAAACTAAACATAGAATTACCGTATGATCCAACAATCTCACTACTGGGTATATAATCCAAAGGAAAGGAAATTAGTATGTTAAAGAAAAACCTACACTGCCACATTTATTGCAGCACTATTCACAATAGCCAGGATATGGAATATTCCTAAATGTCCATCAACAGATGAATGGAGAAAGAAAATGGTATATCTACACAATAGAATACTATTTGGCCATAAAAAGAATGAAATCCTGTTATTCATGGTAACATGAATGAGCCTAGAGAACATCATGTTAAGTGAAATAAGCCAGGCATAGAGAGATAAATACCATTTATTCTTATTCATGTGTAGAAGCTAAAAGAGTAGGTCTCATAGAATTAGAGAGTAGAATAGTGGTTACTGAGGCTGGGAAGGGGGAAGGCTTGGTGGGGCACTTGGGATAGGTTGATTAATTGATATAAAATTACAGCTAGATAGGAGGAATAAGTTTTAGTGTTCTATAGCACTGCAGAGTGACTATAGTTAACAATAATTTATTATATAGTTTCAAATACCTAGAAGAAAGTATTTTGAATGTTCCCAACACAAAGAAATGATAAATGTTTGAGTTGAGGGATATGCCAATTACCCTGATTTGATCATTATACATTATATACATATATCAAAATACTAATATTACACTGTACCCCCTAAATTTGTACAATTATTATGTGTCAATTAAAAATCTTAATTTTTTAAAGTGGGAAGTTTTGCATCATTGTGAGCAGTGTTTTAGGACAGTTTAATGAAGGACTTGCTGTGTTTCAATTATGAATAGCACAATATTCTGGATTTACATTGATATGTTTAATAAATTGAATAAAATATTACCTTTATATTTAACAAATTAAGAGTAAGGAATGGAAACTGGGTGGCCAAAAAAGTGACAAGTGCCCATGATAATGGAGGACTAGTTAAAGAATAGCACAGCCATAAAGTGAGACATTATGAAAGTGTTTTTAAAAGGGTAAGGTGGAGATTTCCAGTTTCTGATTCAGCATATAAGGAGTTTAGAAGTTGCCACTCAGACTTAACAACAAGTAAAAAGCTGAACAAATTGAAAAACCAGCAACTCTTTTTAGTATCAGTAATATTCTATATACACAAATTAGAAGACAGAGCTTAGCCAGGTATGGTTGCACATACTTCTAGTCCCAGCTACTTGGGACACTGAGGAAGGAGAATCACTTGAGCCCAGGAGTTCTAGGTGGCAGTGGGCTATGGTTGTACCACTGTATTCCAGCCTAGGGTGACACAGTGGACCTGTCTCAAACAAACAAACAATAACAAAGATAGTCAGAGTGGATTAAAAAAAACAAACAAGTCCCAACTATATGCTGTCTACAAGAAACCTACTTTAAATATAAAGAAATATATAAATTAAAAGTAAAGGGCTGAAGAAAGATAAACCATGTTAACACTAATTAAAAGAAATTAGGAATAGCTATATTAATTTTAGACAGAGCAGACTTCAGAGCAAGGAAACTTAGCAGGAAGAAAAAGGGGCATTAAATAATAATAAAAGGATCAATACATGAAGAAGACATAACAATCCTTAATGTGTATGAGCCTAACAGTGTCAAAATACAGGAGGCAAAAACTGATAGAACTGCAAGGAGAAATAGATGAATCCACAATTGTAGTTGGAGACTTCAATACCCCTGTATTAGAAATGAACAGATCCAGCGGGCAGAAAATCAGCAAGGACATAGTTAAACTCAACAGCACCATCAATCAACTGTATATAATTAACATCTCTAGAAGTTCCTCCAACAACAACATATTACACATTCTTTTCAAGCTCACATGCAACATTTACCAAGATAGACATATTCTGAGCCATAAAATACACCTTAACAAACTTAAAAGAATAGAAATCATACAGTGTCTGCTCTCAGGCAATAGTGGAATTAAACTAAAAATTCTCAACAGAAACATACTTGAAAATCCCCAAACAGTTGAAGATTAAACAACACAATTCTAAATAATGCATGGGCCAAAGAAGGAATCTCAAGAGAAAAATATAAATTTTTAAAGTAAATTACAATGAAAATATAACTTACAAAAAATTTGTGGGAATGAGTGAAAGCAGTGCTTAGAGGGAAATTTATAGCATGGAATGCATATATTAGAACAGAAGAAAATCTAAAATCATCAACATAAGCTTTAACCTTAGGAAACTAGAAAAAGAAGAGCAAATTAAAAATTAAAACCAAAGTAAGCAAAAGAACAGAAATAATAAAAAATGAAGCAAAAATAAATGAAATTAAAGATAGAAAATTAATAAAGAAAAGCAACAAAGCCAAAAGCTAGTTATTTGAAAAGATCAATAAAATTGACGACCACTCACCAGGCTAAGAAAAAAAAGACACAAACTACTAATGTCAGAAATAATAAAGAAGACATCACTACAGATCCCATTGATATTAAAAGAATAATAAGGTAATATTATGAACAATTCTATGCCCACAAATTTCATATCCTAGATGAAATGGACCAAATCATTGAAAGACACAACTTGTCAAAACTCACACAAAAAAATAGATGATATGAAAAGGTCTATATTCATTAAAGAAATTGAAACAATCATTAATAATTTTTGCAATACAGAAAGCACCAGGACCATATGGATTCACTGGCGAATTCTACCAAACATTTAAGAAAGAAATTGTGCCAATTCTCTACAATCTCTTCCAAATGATAGAAGCTGAGGCAATATTTCCTAATTTATTCTATGAAGCCAAAATTACCCTAATATCAAAACTCAACACAGATATTACAGGAAAAGACCAATATATCTCTTAAACATAAAATCAAAAATACTCAACAGAATATTTGCAAATGGAATCCAAAAATGAATTTTTTAAAATGATAAACTATGACCTAATGGGATTTGTCCAAGTCATACAAGACTGGTTCAACATTTGAAAATCACTTAATGTAATCCACCACATCAATAGACTAGAGAAAAAAAAGAACATAATCATATCAATAGATGCAGTAAAAGAAATTGACAAAATCCAACACCCACTTATTTAAAAAAAAAAAAAACCTCTCTGCAAACTAAGAATAAAGGGAAACTTTCACAACTTGATAAAGACCATCTACAAAAACTCTAAAGCTAATATTATACTTAATGGTGAGAAATTTGAAGCTTTCCTGCCAAAATCAGGAACAGGGCAAAGATGTCTCCTCTCACCACTGCTTATCAACATTGCTCTAGAAGTCCTATCTAATACAATAAGACATAAAAAGGAATAAAGGAGTATACAGACTGGTAAGGAAGAAATAAATTGTCTTTCTTCACAAATGATATGATCATCTATGTAGAAAATTCAAAATAATTGACCAAAAACCCCACAAAAATCCTCAAATAAGTGATTATAGCAAAGTTGCAAGATATTTCTAGAGAATGGCAAATTCAAACAATGACATAGGTTGCCTGTCAACCTCTACAAACCTGTTAGAATAGCCAAAATTCAAAACACTAAAACACTGACAACAACAAATGCTGGTGAAGATGTGGCACAACAAGCATATTTATTCATTGGAATAAATGGAAATACAAAATGGAAAAGCCACTTAGGAAGACGGTTTGATAGTTTCTTACAAAACTAAATAAACTAAATATACTGGGATTATAGGCTCACACCTGTAATCCCAGCACTTTGGGAGGCCGAGGAGGGCAGATCACTTGAGCTCAGGAGTTTGAGACGAGCCTGGCCAAAATGGTGAAAGCCTGTCTCTACTAAAAATACAAAAATTAGCCAGGCATGGTGGCAGGTGCCTGTAGTCCCAGCTACTCAGGAGGCTGAGGCAGGAGAACCGCTTGAACCTGAGAGCCGGAGGTTGCAGTGAGCTGAGATCACACCACTGCACTCCAGCCTGGGCGACAGAGCAAGACTCTGTCTCAAAACAAAACCAAAACAAAACAACAACAACAAAAACTAAATATACTCTTACTATAAGCAGTCATACTTGTTGGTATTTACCCACATGAATTAAGACATTTATACACAAAAACCTGCAAACTGATATTTATAGCAGTTTTGTTTCTAATCGCCAAAACTTGGAAACAACCAAGATGTCCTTCAGTAAATGAGTGAGTAAATAAACCGTGGTACATACAGACATGGAATATTATACAGCAGTGAAAAGAAACTAACTATTAAGCCGGAAAAAGACACGGATAACCCCTAAATGCATATTACAAAATGAGAGAAGCCAATCTGAAAAGGCTACATACAGTATGATACCAAGTATATGACGTTCCAGAAAAGGCAAAAAAAACTAAAGAGACAGTAAAAAGATTAGTGAGGAGGGTGGGATAAATAGGCAGAGCACAGAGACTTCTTAGGGCAGCTAAACTACCTGTGTGATACACCAGTGGTAGACTCATGTCATTATACATTTGTCCGAATGTGTAGAACGCACAACACCAAGGGTGAACGCTAACAAATACTATGGACTTTAGGTGATGATAATGTTGTGTCGATGTAGGTTCAATGATTGTAACAAATGTACCACTATGTTGTGGTATGTCAGTTTTGAGAAAAATTGGGAGTGGAGTGGGGAAGGGACAGGGTCTATTATGGGAACTCTCATACTTTCCACTCAATTTTGCTGTGAACCTAAAATTTCTTTTAAAAATAAAGTGTTTTAATTTTTTAAAAAAGGATTTGGTGGTTCATGGCTCAGTATCCACAACATATGATTGCATGGAGGGAAAAGCATGTTACCAAACAGTAGCTATAGAATGAGCCATTTATATGTGCAAGGATGTCTAGAAGTTAGTAACCAAATGCTTAACTGGTTATCTCTGAAGAGCAGGATTTAAGGGTGGGAGGTGAGATTTGTTGGATGATGAGCTTCTGCTTTCTGCTTTCTATTTTCTTTCCTTTTTTTTTTTTTTTTTTTTTTTTTTGCGATGGTATCTCCCTCTGTCGCCCAGGCTGGAGTGCAGTGGCGCGATCTCGGCTCACTGCAAGCTCCGCCTCCCGGGTTCACGCCATTCTCTTGCCTCAGCCTCCCGAGTAGCTAGGATTACAGGCACGTGCCACCGCACCCGGCTAATTTTTTGTATTTTTAGTAGAGACGGGGTTTCACCGTGTTAGCCAGGATGGTCTCGATCTCCTGACCTTGTGATCCGCCCGTCTCGGCCTCCCAAAGTGCTGGAATTACAGGCGTGAGCCACCGCGCCTGGCCTTCGCTTTGTATTTTCAACACTTCATCATTATTTGAGCTTCTGTTTTATTAGGCATACATTACAGTCATCATTAAAAATTTCATTTGGAATAATCAAAAGAATGAAAAACAAACTGATGAATAAATAAAGGAGTCTTTCCAGGCATGCCTCTCTGGGACTTCTGATTGGTTTTTCTTGCTGCCAAGAAGAAATAATGCCTCACAGCTTGTGAAAGTTAAGCCACATGATCCATACAAATTGATTCCCCTAGTGCCTTGTGTTCATTCCTTCAGCCAGTTTTAATTCCTTCTCACCCTTTTCTTGAGGCCCCATCTTCTCTTCCCTCCAGTTCATCCCCCAAGTTGAGTAGAAGCCTACCTAGGCTTCTAAGTCCTACATTCAAGTCACCCTCTTTTCAGCATCCCCTCTGTCTTCCATCTGCCACCTCCACCCTCAACCCATTCCACCCCCATTATACAAGATGGTTGCATTTCACGCAAAGAATGCATTTCTGGATACCTCATATAATTCAAAACTTACATAATTCAAGCCTACTTTTCCCACAGGACTGAATATAAAGTGTGTGCAGGAGGGAGAATGCAATCTTGGAGTGCATAAATCTGCAAACCTTGTAACATATATTTGCTTTAAGGCTGCTTTTTATTTTCCCTGTATTTTCTCTAATATTTTGAAGTGCTTTCTCTTAAATTAACAGTACAGAACACTGTGGTGGTGATTTGGCCTTCTCAATAGAGATTTAGCACATCTAAGTTCTGTTCTAAAGTCCCCGAGTTTCTTGAGCGTTTGAGTGTTTTACAGTTCTAACACTTAAAGAACTCCTGGATGACCTTGTTACAGCATTATAGGTAGGATATAAAGAGGATCTTAAATTATAACAGCAGCAAATGTTACAATAACTGAAGCGAAGCCATCAGATCGCTCACAGACATTCTCATGCCTGTAAACAGCTGTGGTTCACCAGGCATTGACAGAGGGTGAAGGTGGCTAAGGGGCGCTGCTGAGTGGCCACAGGGCCCACAAAGCTTCTCACCACTCATCCTACCAGCTCTGATAGTGTGTGGTTCTTGATGAAGGCTTTTGAATTGAGAGTGGAGGATTCAAGTTATCTCCAGTTTTGAACATAAAGTGAGACTGATAATATTTTATATAGCAGCAGTTCAAATATACATAACTCCAATAAAAAATGTCATATGTGGAGAAAGATGTCTCCTTTCTTAGCTTGGCATTCAAGGCTCTTCTGCCTTCTACCTACATCTCCAACTTTATCTCCTTGCCATGCCCCTCCTCAACCAGACTGATACTTGTTTTTACCCACTGTTGTGTGTTTTACCAGTTTTAAATGGTTGCATTTATAACATGAAGCTACTACAAATAAGCATAAATAAAATGAAATCATCCATAATTGGATCACACAGAGGTAATTATTGTTAATATTTGGATGTATTTCCTTGCAGACATTCCCTATCTACATGTACAAATAAATTAGAGCATGCATTTAAGGATATTTGTGTGCATAATTTTCTGAACCAAAGAGTTAAAAAAAAATACTGTGCTGCAGCATTCTTCTTCCATCTTACAATGATGTCTTTAATTATTCTTCATTGTCACTTTTAGAGCCTTGTCTAGGCTTCCACTATATTGGTGTTTTATAGCAAATTGAAATCATCCTGTATTTTCTAACATTTACACTATTTAAAAGTTTGGGCTATTGTAAATAATGTTGAAATTAATATTCTTTTTTTTTCCTTTTGAGATAGGTCTTGCTCTTTCACCCAGGTTAGAGTGCGGTGGGGCACAATCACAGCTCACTGCAGCCTTGACCTCCTGGGCTCAGGTGACTCCCCCCACCTCAACCTCCCAAGTAGCTGGGACTACAGGTGTGTGCCACCATGCCTGACTAATTTTTTCTATTTTTTGTAGAGACAGGGTCTCACTATGTTGCCTGGAGTGATCTCAAATTTCTGGCCTCAAGCAATCCTCCTGCCTTGGCCTCCCAAAGTGCTGGCACTACAGGTATAAGCCAGCATGCCCCACTTGAAATTAATATTCTTGTTAAATCTTTGCAGTCTGTATGATGGTGTCTTTAAAATAAATTCCTGTAAGTGGAATTTCTGGGACAGAGGGAATGAAAAATCTCAAGGCTTTAAATATGCATTGTCAAATTGCCCTAGGAAGTGGGAAATCATTTGTTCTCCCTTCTGTAATATCTGCAAGTCATTGCGTACTCATATAATGGGACCTTCTAATTCATCTTTCTTCTAAATTCAGATTGATATAATAAAACCCCCCAAAGACACCCATATTAATTTTATTTTAAAAATAACTTTCCTATTAGTGCAGCTTGCTAGGGAGTCTTAAGTGGACTTTACTCTGCCTTTTTTAGAATATAAACTCTGAGAATGCACAAGAGTATGTATGTGTAAATCCCTCTTGGTACAGGACCACATAGAAACAGGCTCTTAAATGTCAAAAAGCATTATTAAGTGGGCTGATAAATGTCTTTTACTTGCGGGCCTGATGTAAGTTGTTTGTCTTTCCTTGGTCTCCTGTTGATGGCCTTGTTCTTAGTAATGGATGGCGTGCTTGAGTTCTTTTGTGTGTGTATGTGTGTGTATGTATTGTTTTGCCTTGACTGTTTAATTTTCAATTGATGGATATATGCTTCTAGCCTTTTGATGAGTGCATTTTATAAAATATTTAAAATCAATGTATTAATCTGTGGTACTTCAGGGACTGGATATATTAGTGTCCTTGTGGGGACTGAGTCTATTCTGGTGAAAGGTTAAAAATGGCACCTGGTTATTTCTCAAATTATCCAGTACTGAGTGACAGTGGCAAGGTCACTGGTAAATACACACACAATGGGACCATAGTGAGATAATTGTCTCTTCCTACAAACCTGTTGCTGTGTCTTCTGTTTGAGGTTGTTGCCATTTAAAAATGAGCCTCACTCAAAGTTCTTTCCCTTTCAGGCGTGTAACTCATGTCTATTTTGCTTTGTAACAGACTTCCAGGTGTATCAGCAGTTCTCCTCTACCTCCCTCTCCTGGTCTATCTGGCAATCTATTAAGGAATAGCCCACCTATTAAAGAATAGATCCACCTATTTATCTCAGTCATCCACTTAGAAAATGGCCAGTGAGTTAACAAACACATACCAAAAGTCCAGGAAAAAGACACAAAAAATAGTCACAATTACTGTAAAAACACATTAGCAAGTATTATGCTCCTCCTTTGAACACTTCCAAATCCTTCCTTCAAGTGCCAGAGGGAAGTCCCTCTGGGATGCCATTCTCTATATTGGGGCTACTTTCTCTAGGTGTTGGCTGCTGAGGCAGGCTCTTATTAGCAGGTGATTATTACTCTTCTGGGGAGGGAGGAAGGAGCATAATAACTTCACAGCTGTAAGAGGACTCTGAAAGGGAAAGAATTAAATGAATGACCCTTTCTCTCAGGCTCATTCAAATGTAAGAGGTCACTACCTAGAAAGGAGTACTATTCCCCTCCTCACCTGCATCATGATTAATGAAGTTCTTCCCATCAATTGCAGCTTCTAGCCAGCCTACCTTTGAGTTATTATAAATATTCTATTCATTTCCTTGGACGTTTTGTAGATTAAGCCTTGTAGCTGCGATAGGTGGCAGTGAAAAAGAAATCTGATTTTCTGCACAGAGATAGCTATAACATGATTGAAGTTTTGTTATAGCTATAGATAGCTATAACATGATACAAATCCCGACACTGGCCACGGCATTGGCTATGGCCCTATCTGTATGTAAACAGGTCAACATCCCCGAGGTAACCCAGAGGCCCTGGAGGTTCAACTTTCTACCTATTCTGAAATCCTAAACCAATTTTCAAGAGAAGGTGATGACAGGTAAACCATTAAACAAACCTATCTTCCAATCTTTGACAAATGTACCAAGAACATTAATTGGGAAAGGGACAGTTTCTTCAATAATGGTGTGGGAAAACTGAATGTCCATATGCAGAAAGAAAACTTATTCCAAGTTAAAGGACTCAACAGTGGGTAATTCCTGCAGTGAGATGGTGGAGAAAGCAAACACAGCTGATACTCTCAGATGGCAAATGGTGCAGATGCCACCCCAGCCAGGGACTTAGGTAGGCCCTCGCAGATGAACCTGACTTCCCAGAAACAACAAAGTCTTGGACAATTCATTGCCTACAAACAATCTTCTCTCAGACAAGACTCATATTCCACTCTATTTCTTTTTCAGAAATGACTCACCATATTCAAGGATTTTGATGAAGGACCAGTGGTCCAATAGAAACTGGAATGTGCATTACACTTGGGTTGCATCTTACAGCTGCAGCCAAATGTCAGGTGCTAAAGAGCATGTGACATGGATTCACCTTCTGTCTTGTTGAACTGACTCTGCTTCTGGACCTGGGCTGCCAAGATGGAGCCATCTTTTGCAAAATATATCACCACCAGAGTGCTTTGTTCTAATAATGTATTACTCTAATATATCTGCTGCTTTAATGATATATTAATGTAATACATTATCAGAGCAAGGACAACTGATGATATATTATGGGAAGAATGGTGCCATTCAAAAAACGAAAGATTCAGAAAAGATTCATTAGAATTACAGTATAATAGCCAACATATGGGACTCTGGAAAATATAATCTTAGTCTATTTTTTGCAGCTAGATAAACACCTCCGTGGCTCCACCTCCCCACCCCCATCACTCCTCATTCAGGCACTGAATTCCATAAAACATTGGTTGTTACATATTTAATAAACCTTTTATACATACAAACAATGTCTCCCATGAACCTTGGGTCGCTGCAGGATCATCGTATCCAGTTACACTGTTTTTACTAGAAAGTCCTCCTTATTTACCCCTAACCATAGGAAACCAAGTAACATTGACCTCTGGACAGTCAGAATAGCATATCATCTCTCATTACAATAATCTGAACTCCAGCCATTGTTTAACATTAATTATTGCCAAGGCTATAGCATTTTCTCACTGCTTGACAGTTGATCTTCATCCTATCATTAACCTTAGGTCAATTTAATCCCAACCTCCATTTTCAGCACTATACAAACAATTTATTTTTGAATTTTTTCAACCTCACGAAGATAAACAATGTCAGACTGCTCCAATTGTTTTATCCATTATGATGATTAAACATTTTTAAAGACATTCAGACATCAAAATTTAGAAAGTACCAGACAATGAGAGTTCCAGAAATAAGATATCATGGTGGTTTATTTTCCTGTAGAAGAATTATATAAGGAAGGATTTAGAGAGAGCATAAGTTCAGGAATTAAAATATATTTTATTTTAGGATCACTTCCTCTGTATAAGCCAAGAACATTTATAGTCAGCATCTACCATACAAAACTATCCACTATGGTATAGAATACTACATATTTAGTATTCTAAAAGCCATGAGCAAAAATGAGAGCAAAATTCAGATGATTTTATCTGCCTCTAAGATTTTTCTTTCTTCATGGAAATCAGAAGTGTGATCATATAGGAGAAGGGAAGTTAGAATTCCTGCTGAGAAATTTATTTGGTGTTTTCTATTCTTCTTGATCTCATGCTTATATGAAATGCCAGAAATAACAGTTTGACACAGCAAGGGTCACTGAAACAATAGTGTTTAATGCATTTAACTGAAGAGTAAGTAAACATTATAAATATAATCACAGCCAACGCAAGTTAAAGAAATGCTTTGCAGAATTTTTGTTGGGCTCTTCTCTGCTAAGTAGAAAACTCAGGAAAGCATTAATTTGAAAATTTCCAGAGAATAGCCTTTTCATATACAAAAGGTGTTTTTATATTTATATGTAAAATGTTATGTAAGAACAATAGTTAAAGTCAAATAAGTAAGCAAAATAAACATAAAAGGAAAAACCATATAGCTTTATACATTAATAAATCCTTCTTTGAATTTTAGTTATTTGCATGGCTTACCAAGCAATTAAGATAAAGTATAACCTTCTCTGTTACATACAACTTTGCATGGTAACAGAATAATAACATTAAGTATAGATTTTTAACAATTTTCCAGGCTAAACACTGGCGCTTCCTCTGTCTCTTCCTGCATCCACCACAAAGGAAAAACTGAAACGCCTTGCCCTTGGCAGGAAAAAATGAAGACATTTACCTTTTTCAAAACTATTTACTTGAGCAAAATTGAAAGATATGGCATATTGATTTTGAGAAATTTTTTTCTCTCCTAACTTTCCACTGTTTTCCTGTTGCTTCCACACAACTCTCAATGCAGAATGTAGGGCTGAGGGTACTTTGCATGTGCAGGTGGCATTAGGGTATGGTATATCTTATTATCTTGACCTTGAACAATAGGAGATGAATGGAGCAATTCAGATTTGTCTCTGCCTCAGTGATTCCCTGGGAAAGCTTTGTGGTCCCTTTTTGCACCTTTGATTATCAGAAAAGTCAAGGAAAGCAGGCTCCTCTTGGCCTAATGTGTGCACCAGTGCCAGAAGCTTTCTTTTCCAGGAAAATGTGAGGTCCAGGGACAGGGCGGAAGTTCCTCTTTGTTGTTGAACTTAGGAATTGACAATAAAAGCAGGCGGGCAATAGGAAGTCGCCTCTCCCTCCCTGCAGGTTAGCATTCTGCATCATGACCCAGCAGCCAGATCCGTCTGGAGTTCTATGAGAGCTCTAGGACAAAGAGACACAGGGACTTCCTGGAACCCTGAAGAGCCTGGAATAAGGAAATACACCACAAATACCCCTTAGCCTTGGGAGGAAATGATTTTATATTGTAGGGCCTCAAAAGGACTAGAGACTAGAAGGATCATCTGATCACTGTACCATCAATTCCTAGATAATACAAATTTTAGTAGGAAATCCTGGGAAATGAGTTAGAATTATAATGTGAACATTGAGTATAAATTAAAGTACCTCAATTTAACTTTAAGTTGACTTTTTTGCATGGGCCTACTTAGAAACTTTGTTTCAAAATCCAGACAGACAAAATCTTTGTCTTTTTTTCCCTATTCCTCCTCTCAGTTCTCCCTAGACCCCAAAACTCTTAACTTGTAACAATCAGTTATGGGAATCCTTTTTTTAATTTTAATTTTTAATTATTATTGGTACATAATAGTGGCATACATTTATATTATATGTGATGTTTTGATATAGGCATACCGTCTCTAATGATCGAATCAGGGTAATTGGAGTATCCATCACCTCTAGCATTTATCATTTTTTTGTGTTAGGAGTATTCTAATTCCACTCTTTTAGTTATTTTTATTATTGTTATTATTTTATTTGTTTGTTCATTTAGAGACACCGTCACCCAGGCTGGAGTGTGGTGCCTCACTGCAGCATTGAACTCCCAGACTCAAGCAATTCTCCTGCCTCAGCCTCCCAAGTAGCTAGGACTACAGGCGCATACCAACATGCCTGGCTAAGTTTTTAATTTTTTATAGAGATGTTATAGAGATGGAGTCTCACTGTGTTGCCCAAGCTGGTCTTGAACTCCTGGCCTCAAGCAATCCATCTGCCTCAGCCTCCCAAAATGCAGCAGTTACGGGCGTGAGGCACTACACCTGGCCTCTTTTAGTTATTTTAAAATATACAATAAATTAATGTTAACTCTAGCCACCCTGTTGTGCCACCAAATACTAGAAAAGGCAGGGGAGTCTTGATGAGAAAAGAAGGTATATATGTATGAGATCTTCAGCAACCTCTTGTAAAACATTCTTTAGCTAGATCATGCAAACCCATCAAATATAGCTGGCATTGACAGATGTTGTTAAAGATGGGCTTGGATCTCAGAAACCTAACAAAACCCCTCAATTCAATTAATACTGAATTTTAAAAGTTATTTTAAGTGATTTCACAGTCAACACTGAATTCTACTCAGTGATGAATTTCCACACTGTGTTAAAAGCATCTAAATTCAACATGTCAAAGAAAAAAATATGATTACTATGCATACACATCTGCACACCCTCAAAGTATGGAAATTTCTACATAGATTTCTCTAGTTCGTGACAAACTACAGGTGGCAGTCCACCTGAGCTTGCTTACAATGAGGAAGCAGAATCTTGGCATTCACCAGTCCCCACAGTTGCCTTTGGAACAACAGTCCTGAGGTAAACAAAGAATGATCTACATCTTGATTCTTGCAACAAGAATATATGATGACAAATTCTCTTCGAGATCAGGACCACTTTTGGGCAAGTCAATAAAGTAACATCCAGAATCCTGCTGTACTAGCCCCTGAAGGACCAACATGTGACCTCACCCTTGGAAGACTTTGTAAGTTAAAATTCTATAGCAATGGCTGAATTTAAAGTAGAATGTCATAAAACATGTGGGAGTGTGTGTGGGGAAAGGGGAGGAGTTCTTAAGCCTATGGCATTAAAGATATGTCATGCTACACGGTCTTCTCTCCAACTACTGACAAAGAGCCAGTGTTAAGGAAAGAAATGGGCCTCTTAAGCACTGGGTGAGGGGATGAGTTCTGGCTGCAGATGACATTGAGTTGAGCCAGACCAAGAAAATTCTGGGACGATCAAATTTTACTCGAGTGTAGAAAATAAAACCTCAACCTCTCATCGGTGCCCTTTCTTCAAGTTTGCCTTCAGTCATCATGTCCTAAAGCTCACATTATAAACCTGGCCAACTTGGACACAAAACTCCATTTTCAAGAAATTTATGTTCAGTTGTACAAATTGCTTGCACACTTTTTAACCTGCTTTCACAAATGTTGTTCTATACGTTCAAACACAAGCCTGATATGCCATAGACTGTAAGGCAGGTTAAACAGGAAAACATAAAAGAACATGATGTAAAAAGCAAATAAAGTGTAAACTAATCTCTCAACAAGCTTTCATTGAGCACCAACTATATAACCAGCTCAAATAAGTCTTAAACCAAATTCAAAATGAAGTTATGGACACATTAAAGCTCTTGATTACACTTTTCCAAATTGCCTTCTAAGAGGATTCTGACAACTGACGCTTGACAAGCAACATAAGATCTCTTCGCTATATATCTTGCATTAAGTAAAAACCTTAGTTAAAAGAGTGTGTCACATAAATTGTATATTACATGAATCCAATATCTTGTCATTTTAAATCTCTGACATTTTGGTTGGCAGATCTAGTTTATAGGTCACTTGAGGATACAGCCTCACAACTTAAAACAATAGTCACAAGTTAGATAAACGTGAAGATTTTGGTCATTCTCACATATAAGCCAAGTTGCCTATGAGTGTCTCTCACTTACCTCCAATATCTATTGATTTGAAAAATTCCCCACACATCCATGATTCTTATGCAATTATAATACTTATGTCCCCTCCCATATTAAGAGACTCTAGCTCCACCTATACCCTGTGAAGTGAGCGCATGTGCCCATGTTTTTATTAGGCAACCAAACTCTGTGGCCAAACCTGATAGGACAAAGAGAAAATACCCAAGCTGAGCCCATTAGATTCCTCCTGCAGAATTTTGTAGTTGGAGTACTTTAAGAATAAGTCTATTAGCAGTGGGAAACAGTCAAATTTTGAGTCCAAAGTTGGTAGCATGAAAAGTTCATGCTGAAATTCTGAAGGAGGAGAAGTTAAGGGTCACGGATAGGAAGAGCTGTAGAAAGATGAACCAAACAGATATACAGAGTAGACATCACCAGAACTCAAAATATTGGCTGCCTGCTGACTGCCTAGTTCTTGAGAAATCTTTTCTATACCTCCTGCCGTCAGGTTCTAGGAGATCTACATCCTTAACGCACATGCCATTTTTTGATTGAATCAATTAGAAGAGACTCTCTTCAAGTATGTATCTTCCTACCCCAGTTTTAAGATGCACTTCTCCCTCCTCTTTCCTACCACTTTACAACATTTCTAAAATCAGGATTTACCATACAGTCAATATGCATATTAAATGTAATGGAGTTTTTTTCTTTTGAAAAGTTATTAGATTGATGGAATGTGGGTGAGGGTATCTCAGAAGCAGAGACTATATGACACAAATGAGAGAAACCAATAGGGTCAGCTACATGCTATTTACTCCCATGTGCTCAGGTTAAAGGAGCTCCATGTGCTTCTAGGCAGAAATATCTAGACCTTTTATACATCACAAATTGCCAGGGTAAATTTAAGGAACCATGGAGAGAGAAAGCTTCTTTTTTTTTTTGAGACGGAGTCTTGCTCTGTCACCCAGGCTGGAGTGCAGTGGCGCGATCTCAGCTCACTGCAACCTCTGCCTCCTGGGTTCACGCCATTCTCTTGCCTCAGCCTCCCGAGTAGCTGGGACTACAGGCACCCGCCACCACGCCCGGCTAATTTTTTTTGTATTTTTAGTACAGACGGGGGTTCACCGTGTTAGCCAGGATGGTCTCGATCTCCTGACCTCGTGATCTACCTGCTTCGGCCTCCCAAAGTTCTGGGATTACAGGCATGAGCCACCGCGCCCGGTGAGACAAAACTTCTTATATTTGCTTGAGCTTAACATTGTCAACCTGATAAACCCACTTGTCAGCAAAACATCTGTACAGATGTCCCATTTTAAACAGAGTTAGGCATTACCATCACCTTCCCTAATAATATAATTAATTTTTAAAACTTTTTTTGAGAATTTTGAGAAACAGAATTTTTTTGTGCCCTCCAACCACAGAAAGCAGTAAAATGAAGAATTAAAGTTTACTAACTTTGACTGTCACCAGAATTTGACCTGAATGTTTGTGGCTTTCTCCATAGGTGGACACAGAATCTGAATTAGAAATCTAGTGCCAATCCCTTATTCCAAAAGCCACACCCTCTCATGCCCCTTTCTCTATCCCCCCACCTTCCCCTCTGTCATTGCACTGAGAATTCGAGGAGCATGCTTTAATCTAAGGGATCCCAGAAGGGAACACACAGAGAGGACTGTCAGAAGCACGGAGAACACCCCACAGAAGATCATTCTTAAGGAGAACCACATGTGTCCGGCATCTGTTTGCCATCTCTGTTGTACAGGATTTTCTAAGTTCTAATTTCTAATGGGAGAAAATGGGCCTGTGACTGCACTCAGGGAAGTCACCTGGTAAGTATTTTCATTGTGTCTCCACCTGTGTTCATCTGCTTGTTGTGCTTCCTAATTTCCAAAATCCTCTAAAAATGTGTAATGAGATAATATAATTAATATGCCCCCAAAGAGCCAAAACCTCATCAAAATAACAAAAAAAAAACTTTAAAAAGTAGCCCAGAACTCATCAAAATAAACATTTATGCAGTATTGGTAGAATTGTGCAAATCCTTTTGCTCATTTCTATTTGAGCCAAAGTCTGATGTTTACTTATGTAACAAAAAGGCTTATTAAATTGTACTAGACATATGTTTGCTGCTCTACTGGATTGAGATAATCTCACACACACACACACAAACACACACACTATTCAATCGCTTAAATTAAAAAATATGTTTATTATATATATAATATGTATATGATTATGTCAATCCATTAGGGCAGCAAACATATCGGTCTATCTATCATCTATCTATCTCTCTCTCTATCTATGATATACATTATGTATATCAATACTATCTATTTATGTATCTGTCTATTGATAATGCTCCTTCATTTGCTTGCTCACTGTACAAAGGCCTGCAGACCTAGAACAGAAATGGAATCACCCATACCAAAGTGAAGGAGAAGCTCACATTCTGCTTCACAACCCACCTAAAAGCTTAATCAGGCAAAATATTAATACATAGCTCAGGCCAATCATCTAGGATCACCACCTTTGCAAAGAAGATAAAAGAAACTTTAAAAGCACTTTCCCCTGCTGGAACTTTCCTCTAAAATATGTATGACCTGGGATCATATGAAAATGGTTGTTCCAGATATCTTTGGAGATCAAAAATATTCCAAGGAAAGAGTGAATCACTTCTGGATCCCTAACTAGTGCCTTCCAGTGTGTGTCTATACTTTTCTTGGTAGAATTTAGGTTGGTGCCACAGTTCCTGCTGAGAGTCAGAGTTGAGCCACATGCAAGCAGAGATCTCGGGACACTGTGATAAGTGCTATTTTGGGATTATGAATGGAGCCTTCACAAGGGGGAAGTCATGAAAGGCTTCGGGGGAGATGAGTATTGAAAACTCCAACTCAAATCCTTCCAGGAAAAGGGAACGTGTGAAGTTGCCAGATGTTGGGGGCTTCCTGGTGAGCAGCAGAGGGAAGACCACACCTAAAGGATGCCCTTTGCACATTTCTGAAACCTCTGTGTTGGTCATACAAAATATTCTGGAGGCTAGATTCAGTTTGTTGGCCTTCCAATTTGCATCTCCTGCTTTTAAGGTAACATAGGTGTTTTACACAGAAGGGACAACATAGGTGAAAACACAAAGTTAAGGGAGGGCAGGTATGTCTGAGGAAGGTTGAAAAGTTTGCATAGCTGATTGTTTTACAGGACAGACAGAAGATAAGATGACTACAGTTTGGTTGGGATTAAGGAAGGCTTTGAAGCTACTAATGCCAGACTTTATCCTGAATGCCATGGAGAGCCAAACGATATCTCTAAGCAAGATAATAATGTGAAAAGATTCACTTTTAGTAAGTTCATTGCTAGCACACAGGCTGGATGGAGAAAGGCCGGTTAGTGACATCAGGGACAAAGACAGAGGCCACCGCAGTGGTAGTGGGAGTGATGAAGACGTGTTAACACTGAGAGGTATTTCTGAGGCAGAGTAGATAAAGCTTAGATGTGGGAGTAATAGAGAAAGAGACATTAAGAATGATCCCTTGGTTTTCTTGATTTTCATGGTTATCTTTGGTAAGTGATTAGATATAAGTAACATTTATCAAAATTGAGAGTCAGAAAAAGAGCAATTTGGAAGGGTGGCCATTTCTGTTTGAGATATACTAAATTTTAGATACCTGGGGTTTAACCAGGTGGCAACATTTTTTCTTTCTTTTCCTTTAAAGAAAAAACTCTGAAACATCCTCAAACATTTAGAAAGGCTGTAAGTGAGATACAAGGTGGGAAAGAAAACTTTTTGCCCCCTGACCCCTACTTACTATGTCTAAATAAGTTACTGATCTGATGCCCAATCACCACTCCCTAATTCTTTTTTTTTCTTCTTTTTTTTTTTTTTTTTTTTTTTTTTTGAGACAGTGTCTCGCTCTGTCGCCCAGGCTGGAGTGCAGTGGCACGATCAGCTCACTGCAACCTCCACCTCCCGGATTCAAGCAATTCTCCTGCCTCAGCCTTCTGAGTAGCTGGGACTACAGGTGAGTGCCACCACACCCAGCTAGTTTTTTGCATTTTTAGTAGAGACTGGGTTTCACCATGTTAGACAGGATGGTCTCGATCTCCTGACCTCATGATCCACCCACCTTGGCCTCCCAAAGTGCTGGGATTATAGGTGTAGGCCACCCTACCCAGCCCCTAATTCTTTAGTATTTATTTCCTACAAGTGGTAATATTCTCCCACATAATCAGAGCATAGCCATAACATCAGGAAATTAACTAGATACATTGCTACCAACAAATTCCCAAACCTCAGTCAAGTTTTGCCAAATGTCTCACTGATCTTTTGTAGCAAAAATATTCCCATTCAGAATCATGGGCTGAGTTCAGGTATTAAGTCTCCTTAGCCTCCTTCAGGCTGGAATAGTTCCTTAGTCTTTCCTTCACTCTTTTGAAAATTACTGGGCAGTTATTCTGTTATATGTCCCTCATTTTGGGTTTGTCTGATGTTTCCCCATTAATGGATTTGGGTTATGCCTCTTTGGCAGGAAAATCAAAGAAGTGATGCTGCGTTCTTCTTATTGCGCCTTATCGGGTGGCACACGATTTCAATTTATCCCATTACTGATGATGTTCCCTTTGATCATTTGATTAAAGTTGTGTCTGCCAGTTTTCTTCACTTTAAAGTTATTCGTTTCCCCTATGTAATTAATAAGTAAATTTGCTACTTTTCATCACACTTTCAATTTATTCATTAGTTTATATCAGAATGGACTTATAATTTATCTATTCAATTGTTTATAATCCATTACTATCATTATTTAAGTGCTTAAACTGTCCCAGATTTAGCCAAGATCCCCTTCCAGTTGGTTCCCAAGTCCTTTTGACATGCTCCTCTCATTCTTTGAGCACTTCCTTGATTTCTGGCATAAATAAGACATTTTGGACTTATCTTGTACTTAGCTTACCAGCCCTGAAATTGATCATTTCTCTAAGAAGCCTTGGTTTCTTTCAGTGAAGAATATAATATTTAGAAGGCACATTCTGGGAGCTAGATGTGCTCATATAATTACAGTGTCACTGCTCCAGGCCAGTGACACTGAACAGTGACATTGAATGGTGAAAAACCTGGCTTTCTGGTTACTTGTTGGTCAACCCATTAGATGTAACCAATACCCCCACTCTACTGTTGCTCCCTTCCCTGCACAGAGAGGCCTTCTCATCCTACTCACTTCCTGGCACTTCCCATGGGACTGCTCCCATACGGGTGCCCTCCTCACCCTGCTCAGTCTCTGACATCCTATCTGGCGTCTGGGCACAGCAGGTCCTGCCCCATGCGCCAACCCCACCTTGAGTTCAGACGCTCATCTTGTACTGTCCTGCCTAACAGCTGCAGGGTTGAGTTGCTTAGGAAGGCAAAGAAGAAAAAAGAAGAGAATGCAAAAGAAAGAAATGGTGGGGAAGGGAAGAGAAAGAAGGAAACTAAGGAATGTCCACTAGACATGTTGAGAAGCACCCCGTCCTTGGGGTTGAGACAGAGCTGAGTGCTAACAGGCTCTATCACTTATTTGTTGTGTGACCTTGAGTAAGATACTGTATTTCATCAGGTCTAAGTTATACACTACACTTTTGAAATTAAACTTTTAAAAAGTTAATTGTAGATTCACATATAGTTTTAACAAATAATAGAGTAATCCTGTATACCCTTACCAGAGTACATTTTACCCAATGATAACATCTTGCAAACGAGAAAACAATATCACAACCAGGATGTTCACATTGAGACAATCACAATACAGAGCATTTCCATCACCGCAAAGGTCCCTTCTGTTGCCCTTTTATAGCCGCATATGGTTCCCTTTTGTTCTGACCCCTTCCTTAATACCTGGCAACCTCCATGGAGGTTGTAATCTCTGTACAGAAGAGACACTGTAATCTCTTCTCCATTTCCATAATTTTGTCTACTTATAATGTTATATAAGTGGAATCATACGGTATGTAACTTTGGGATTGGCCTTTTTCACTGAGCATAATTCATCTAAGTTTCATCCTGGTTGTTGTATGTATCAATAATTAATTCCTTTTTAGTCCATGGTAAGGATACGTTCTATGATATGAATATACCACTGTTTAACTGTGCACCCGTCGAAGGACATCTGGATTGATTCTAGTTTGTGTCTATTACAGTTAAAGCTGTTACAAATATTTGCATACAGGGTTTCATGTGAACAAAAGTGTTCATTTTCCTACGATTAATGTCCAGGAGTGCAATTTCTGGATCATGTTACAGTGCATTTTAGGTTTATTTTAAGAGACTGCCAAACTGTTTTCCAGAGTAGCTACACTATTTTAAATTCCCACCAGCAATATATGAGAGATTGTTTCACTGCATCCTCACCAGCATTTGATGTTTTTTTTTGTTTTGTTTTTGTCTTTTTTTTTCATATTAGCCATTCTGATAGGTTTCTAGTGGTACTGTAATGTGTTTAAAAGTTTTATTTCCCTAATGGCTAATGATGTTGAACATCTTTTCATGTGCTTATTTGCCACCTGTATATTTTCTTCAGTGAAATATCTCTTCATGTATTTTGCCCATGTACAGTTGAATTGGTTTTTTTGTTTTGTTTTGTTTTTCCTGTTGAATTTTAAGAGTTCTTTATATATTCTAGACACTAATCCTTTGTTGGATATATGGTTTGCAAATATTTTCTCACATCCGATAAGTTTTCTTTAGATCCTTATAACAGGGTTATTTGCAATGCAAAAGCTTTCGTTTTGATCAAATCCAGTTTACCGTTTATTGATTTTTTTTACTCTTATGGATCATGCTTATGACATCAAATCTAAGAACCCTTTGGATAACCCTAAATCTTGAAGATTTTACCTTATGGGTTTTTTCCTTTTTCTTTTTCTTTTTCTTTTTTTCTTTTTTTTTTTTTTTTTTTTTGAGATGAAGTCTTGCTCTGTTGCCCAGGCTGGAATGCAGTGGCGCAATCTCAACTCATTGCAACCTCCACCTTCTGGGTTCAAGCAATTCTCCTGCCTCAGCCTCCTGAGAAGTCGGGATTACAGGTGTCCACCACCACACCTTGCTAATTTTTGTATTTTTAGTAGACATGGGATTTTGCCATGTTGGCCAGGCTGGTCTCAATCTCCTGACCTCAGGTGAACCACCGGCCTTGGCCTCCCAAAGTGCTGAGATTACAGGCATGAGCCACCACACCCAGCCCTTATGGATTTTTTTTCTAAAAGTCTTATAGTTTTACATTTAAGACTGTAATCCTTTTTGTCTTATATAAAAATTATCCTTATATATCTTATATAAAAAATCCTTAATTTTTATATAAGATGTAAGGTGGAATTTGAAGTTAAGTTTTTTTTGCAAATAAATGCCCAATAGTTCCACCTCCTTTTATTGGAAAGGCTATCATTCCTTCACTGAGCTGCTTTTGCACCTTTGTTAAATATCAGTTGGGCATACTTTTATGGGTCTACTTCTGGATCCCTATTCTGTTCCACTCATCTATGTGTCTATCTCTCCAGCAATGTCACAATCTTTACTACTATGTAGAAAGCTTTGAAATTGGAAATTGGGTAGACCTATTCATCCTATTTTTTCTTTTTCTTTTTTCAAAATTGTTCTAACTATCCTGGTTCTTTTGCCTTTCCATACAAATTTTTAAATAATCTTGCTTATAACCTACAAAAAATATTGCTAGGATTTTGATAGGAATTAAATTAAAGCTGTGCGTCAGTTTTGGCTAAATTGACATTTTTACTGTGTTTGAATCTTTCAATCTATAAACACAGTAAGTCTCTCCATTTATTTAGTTTTTTTTTATTAGAATTGTGTAGTTATCACCAATGTCCTGTTCATGTTTGTTAGATTTATAACAAAATATTTTTTTAGCAATTGTAAATGGTATTGTATTTTTAATTTCATTGTTTATGTGTTTATTGATAGTATATAGAGATACAATTGATTTTTATATGTTTATCTCATATCTTTCAGCCTGGCTAGATTCATTTATTAGTTCTAGGAAGGTTTTATTATTCTTACTCTTAAGATTTTCTATGTAGATAATCTTGTCATCTGAAAGCAGAGGCAGTTGTATTTCTTCCTTTCTGATCTTTATGCTTTTTATTTCTTTGCTATATTGCATTGATTAAAAATTCCAGCACTATGTTGAATAAGAGTGATAAAAGGAGACATTCTTGGCTTATTCCCAGCTTAAGGGGAAAGCATTTAGTCTTTCACCATTAAACAGGATGTTAGCTATAGAATTTTTTTGTATGATTTTTATCAAGTTGAAGAAATTCACCTCTATTCTACTTCTTGAGAGTCTTTATCATAAAAAGTATTAAATTTTATGAAACATCTTTTCTATAATTGATATGATCATATGATGGATTACATTGATTGATTTTCAAATATTAAACCAGCCTCAAATCTCTAGAATAATCTATATTTGGTCATAGCATATAATTCTTCTGAGATATTACTAAATTCTACTCACTAGCATTTCACTAAGGATTTTTGCATTTATATTCATGTGAAACGTTTATTTATAGTTTCCTTTTGATACCAAAACCTACTTTCATCTGGTTTTGGTATCAGGGTAATTTTAACTTCATAAAAAGAATTGGATAGTGGTTCCTTGTCTTCTATTTTCTGGAAAAGATTTGTGGAATTGACATTAGTGTTTCATCTAATGTTTGATAGAATTCTACAGTGAAACTATCTGTGCCTAGAGATTTCTTTCTTGGGAGTTTTAAAATTATTAATTAAAGTTTTTAATAGTTACAGGATGAGTCATGGTAGTTTGTATTGTGGTAGTTGTGTATTTCCTGCAGAAGTGATCTATTTCATCTAAGTTTACAATTTTATATGTGTGGAGTTGTTCACAGTATTCCCTTATTCTCCTTTTGATATCTGCGGGCTCTTTAGTAATATCTCATTTTAATTCTTATATTTATAATTTTTGTCTTCTCATTTTTTTCTCTGTCAGTCTTACTAGAAGCTTGTTAACCTTATGGATTTTTTTTAAAGAATCAGCTCTGTTTATTATTTTTATCCATTTTTCTGTTTTCAATTCCATTGATTTCTGCTTCTATTATTTCCTCCCTTCTGATTGCTTTCAGTTTTTCTCTTCTTTTTCTAGGTTCTTGAGGTAGAAGCTTAAATGACTGATTTGTGACATTTTCTTTTTTTCTAAAGTATGCATTTAGTGCTATAAATTTTTCTCTCAGTACTGCTTTAGCTGTGTGCCACAAATTTTGCTATGTTGTATTTTAATTTTCTTTCAGTTAAAAGTATTTTTAAATTTCCATTGAGACCTACTATTTGCCCCGTGGATTATTTAGCAATGTGTTGTTTCATTTAAAAATGTTTGAATGTCTTCTTGTTATTGTTCTGTTATTGATTTCTAGTTGAACTCTATTGCGGTTGAAAAAACAAACTTTGTTTGGTTTCAATTTTTTTTGTTAGTTGGTGGAGATTTGTTTCAGGGCCAGAACATGATCCATCCTGGTGTATCTTCCATTGGCACTTGAAAATAAAGTGTATTCTGCTATTCTTTGGTGAAATATTTATAAAATTTTATATAAATTTTTATTAGATCCTGTTGGTTGATGTTATTGTTGAATTCTTCTACATCCTTGTTGATTTCCTGTCTAATTGTTTCAGTAATTTCTGAGAGAGGTTTCTAGTTATATTTGAAGATTTGTCTATTTTTCCTTTTAGTTCTACAAGCTTTTGTTTTATGCACTTTGCAGTTCTGTTGTTTGGTACATGTTTGCTTAGGAGTGCTGTATCTTTTTAGTGGATTGACCCTTTTAACATTATATAATGTCCCTTTCTATCTTTGGTAGATCATGTTACCCTCCCAGGTTGAACCTCCCAGGTTCAAGTGATTCTTGTACCTCAGCCTCCCAAGTAGCTGGGATCACAGGTGTGTGCCAAGATGCCCAGCTAATTTTTATATTTTTAGCAGAGACAGGTTGTTGCCATGTTGGTCAAGCTGGTCTTGAGCTCCTGGCCTCAAGTGATCCCCCCGCCTCAGCCTCCCAAAGTGCTGGGATTACAGGCATGAACCATCATGCCCAGCCTAGAATGTATTTTTCTTTTTAATTTTTTAAGAGACAGGGTCTTGCTCTGTTGCCCAAATTGTAGTATAATGGCATGATCATAGCTTACTGCTGCCTTAAACTCCTAGGTTCAAGTAATCTCCTGCCTCAGCCTTCCGAGTAGCTAGGACTACAAGTGCATACCACTACACCTGGCTAATTTATTTTATTTTGTTTTTGTAAGATATGGTCTCTCTATGTTGCCCAGGCTGGTCTCAAATTCCTGGCTTCAAACAATCTTCTTGCCTTGTTCTCCCAAAGTTCTGGGATTGCAGGCATGATCCACCATGCCTGGCCTTTCTAATGTACTTTTTTTTTTTTTAGTGGGTATTCTAGGCACTTCTTTATATCTACATAACATCACAGTTTTCTGGTATCATCATTTTACCAGTTCAGAGTGAAATGTAAAAACTTCATTTCCATTTAGATCTCTTTACTCTCTCCTGTTTATAATTATCTTGAGTATTTCCCTACATACTGTTAGAATCACATTAGACAGTGTTATCGTTGTTTTAACCATGAAACATAATTCAGAAACCCAAGAATAGAAGGAAAGCCTATTGTATTTACCCATATTTTTGCCTACCATGCTCTTTCTTCCTGATGGTCCAAGGTGTCTTCTTTTATCGTTGCCTTTCTGATTAGAGAAATTCTGTTAGACATTCTTCTGAGGTGGGTTAGCTCTGTTTGTTTTATAATATCCAGAGGTCTTAGTTGTACCTAGAAGGATGAAAGGGAAAATTATTTCTCTTCCATGTCCCTGGAAGTAGAAGTCTAAAGATATAAATTTTAACTTCTGTAAAGTTAGGAGTTGTCTTTCAATTACTATTGGCAATCACAACGTAGTTGTTTTTGTCTCTATATGTGCACATTTAATCATAGCTACTGATATTTTATCATATTAATTGAGTTGGGTACATTGCTGGAGAAAAGTCTTAGCCTTTAGGAGAAAAAAAAAATCACAGACATAGGAGTTTCACTCACAGAAACTCTCATAGGAAGGAGGATTTCTCCTGCGCCAAAAAGAGATTCTCCCAGAGCACAGGAAAGGCAAGAAAGAAATGGAAATGATTAAATATTATCTGGAATAGTTCTCCATGAACCCCACATAATCCACCCAGTATATTAGTTCTTGGTGAGTTTCATGGACTTGTATATTAACTGCTAAAGATAAGATTGCTAGAAAGTGTCCTAATATGATTGCTATTTTTGGCGTCATAACTGGACAACAGCATCTCCTTTCACATTGCGATCAACAAATCATTTAAAGATCATTTGAGGAAGAAATATGAGCCACTGTAGTCAAAAACCTTCCATTGATACTTTCTGGTAAGATCAATAGTGTCAGCATCAAAACTTACAGAATAGGTGCCAGTGCCCTGGAAGAAAATTTAGAAACCATAGTGGAGCTCTCACTTTAAAAATACCACTTTACCAATTCTGTGGATAGCACAGAGGACAACTTTGTGTAGAAAATCATGGGTATTAACAACTCTGCTTTGAAAAGTGATTCAGAAAATTCAGATACTGATTATGATAAAGCTTCTTTATATATATGCACAAGAGTAATCCATGATAAAAATTATGTCTAGGCCAGGCACAGTGGCTCATGCCTGTAATACCAGCACTTTGGGAGGCCAAGACAGGTGGATCCCTTGGGCCTAAGAGTTTGAGACTAGCCTGGGCAACATGGCAAGACCCCATATTTACAAAAAAATACAAAAATTAACTGGATGTAGTAGCCTGTGCCTGTGGTCCCAGCTACTTTGTAGGCTGAGGTGGAAGGATTGCTTGAGCCCATGAGGTCAAGACTGCAGTGAGCCATGATTGCACCACTGCCCTCTAGCCTGGGCAACAGAATGAGACCCTGTCTCAAAAAATAAAATAAATAAAATAAAATAAAATAAAATGGGAACCAAATTCCTCAGGGAAACATACATTATTTTATGTAAGTCTCTGTGAAGAAATATCTATAGGACTCATGCAATTTGCCTGGAGCCAGATGTACTGGGAATTAGCTAGTCTTGAGGTCCTTGGACTATGTTACTGCACTCCGGCATGAGCAATAGAGCAGGACCCTGTCACAAAATAAATAAATTAATTAATGAATTAAATGTCTGACTACATATCAAAGAACTCTCCCAATAGATATTTAAAAATTCTAAGTGGTAAGAAAGTATTGTACTATTGTTTAATTGGCATCACTATTTTCCTTAGCAGTACATAAAGTAATGATATATTTTGTAATCAATATCATCTCTTTTTTTTACCATTTTAACCATTTTTTTCTTTGTCATCTGTACTCTTGGTATTTTTATAATATTTAGTTCTGGTAAAATATACATAACATAAAATTTGGCATCTTAATCATTCATTTTTAAGTGTTGTTAATTGGCTTTATGTGCATTCATGTTGTTGTGCAACTCTTCCCACTTTGATCTCCAGAACTTTTTCATCTTCCCAAACTAAAACTCTATATTCATTAAACAATCATTGCTTTTTACCCTCTCTTCATGTCCCCTAGAATGACCATTCTACTTTCTATCTATGTGAATTTGACTACTCTAAGCACTTCATATAATTGGAATCATACAATATTTGTCATTTTGTCTGATATTTCACTTAGCATAATGTCTTTAAGATTCATCCATGATGTGCAGTATGTCAGAATTTCCTTTCTTTTTAAGGCTGAATAATATTTCATTATTAAATATTAATACATTATTATTAAAATGTGGTATGTGTATGGCTTCTTTGTATGGCTTTATCCTTCATCTATTGATGGACACTTGTGTTGCATCCACCTCCTGGCTATTGTGAATTGTGCTGTCGTGAACCTGGGTGTACAGATATCTGTTTGAGTTCCTGCTTTCAATTATTTTGAGTATATATTCAAAAGTGAAATTGCTAGATTATATTATCATAGACAGAGTGAAATTCAGTACTAAAGAATAAGCTATTTCATAGGGTTGTGAGTTAACACTTAAAGCATTTAATACACTGTATAGTAACTTTTCTTTAAATGTTAGTTACTTTTGTTATTAAAGAACTAGAAATTTTTTCTGAATCTTAGAAGAGAGGTAAGGGATACAGACAAGAAAAACAACTTGGGAGTCATCAACTCATACATGGTAGTGGAAGCCAATGGAATAGATGAGATCACTCAAGGAGAGAATGTAGAGTGAGAAGAGAAGTGAATCATGTTCAAAACCACGAGCATATTAAGAAATAGAAGAGATTGTATTAGTGAAGAAGACTGAGAAAAGAGCCTTGCAAGGTACAAAATAAGAGGACAAGAGCTGAATGGATAGGAGGTTTTAGTCCGAGAAGAAAACAGTAGAGTTTCAGAGGTGGGGTGATTGTGGATGATAACAAAGTCCAGGGTGTATAAGTTTGGGGAGATAGAGACCAAGAACACTAACCTACAATAAATTTAAGAAACTGCAAGATAAGGTGCACATAGAAATTGAAGTAACCCAGGCTGATGGGAGGAATTGGGATGCAGAGGAACATAGCAAAGAGGAATTCCAATTTCTTTACAAAAGCAAGAGAGTTACTTGAAGATTGGAAGATTGCAGCAAATAATAATGGAAAGAGGAGGCAGCATAACATTGTTATAAATTTATGAATCTTAAAATCCTTATGAAAGTGTGCAAAATACAGTAGACTAAATGCACTACAGTAAAAAAAACTTCGTCTAACTTTCTGATAGCATTCATTTTGAAAACAAATGAGTTTCCCTCACAATGCAATCTTGATAGAGAATCATGAGTTAAACTGAATAGACTTATCCAAATATCTGGGTTTGGATGTTTCAAAACTCCATATAATTAATGTCTGGAACTATTTCCTGTGTAAAAGTGGAATTTAACAAATATCCTGGCAGCTCAACAAAAGCTATTGCTATTAGAAATACCTAGCTGGGTGCCACAAAACTGCTGTAGCCAGACTGCCTCTCTAGATTCTGCCTCTCTGGGCAGGGCATCTCTGAAAGAAATGCAGCAGCCCCAGTCAGGGGCTTATAGATAAAACTCCCATCTCCCTGGGACAGAGCATCTGGGGGAAGGGGTGGCTGTGGGTGCAGCTTCAGCCAACTTAAACGTTCTTGCCTGCTGGCTCTGAAAAGACCAGCAGATCTCCCAGCATAGAGCTCTGCTAATGGACAGACTGCCTCCTCAAGTGGGTCCTTGACGCCCGTGCCTCCTGACAGGGAGACACCTCCCAGCAGGGGTCAACAGACATCTCATACAGGAGAGCTCCAGCTGGCATCTGGCAGGTGTACCTCTGGGATGAAGCTTTCAGAGGAAGGAGCAGGCAGCAACCTTTGCTGTTCTGCAGTCTCCGCTGGTGATACACAGACAAACAGGGTCTGGAGTGGACCTCCAGCAAACTCCAGCAGACCTGCAGCAGAGGGGCCTGTTAGAAGGAAAAGTAACAAACAGAAAGCAATACCATCAACATCAACAAAAAGGATGACCATGCAAAAACTTCATCCGTAGGTCACCAACAGCAAAGACCAAAGGTAAATAAATCCACAAAGATGAGGAAAAACAGGCGCAAAAAGGCTGAAAATTCCAAAAACCAGAATGCCTCTTCTCCTCCAAAGGATCACAACTCCTCATCAGCAAGGGAACAAAACTGGATGGAGAATGAGTTTGACAAATTGACAGAAGTAGGATTCAGAAGGTGGATAATAAACTCCTCCAAGCTAGTGGAGGATGTTCTAACCCAATGCAAGGAAGCTAAGAACTTTGATAAAAGGTTAGAGGAATTGCTAACTACAATAACCAGTCTGGAGAAGAGCATAAAGGACCTAATGGAACTGAAAAACACAGCTAGAGAACTTCATGAAGCATACACAAGTATCAATAGCTGAATCCATCAAGTGGAAGAAAGGATATCAGAGATTGAACATCAACTAAATGAAATAAAGCATGAAGACAAGGGTAGAGAAAAAAGAATGCAAAGAAACCAACAAAGCCTCCAAGAAATATGGGACTATGAGAAAAGACCAAATTGGTGTACCTGAAAGTGATGGGAAGAATGGAACCAAGTTGGAAAACACACTTCAGGATATTATCCAGGAGAACTTCCCCAACCAAGCAAGACAGGCCAGCATTCAAATTCAGGAAATACAGAGAACATCACAACGATACTCCTTGAGAAGAGCAACCCCAAGACACATAATCATCGGATTCACCAAGGATGAAATGAAGGAAAAAATGTTAAGGGCAGCCAGAGAGAAAGGTCGGGTTACTCACAAAGGGAAGCCCATTAGACTAACAGAAGATCTGTCTGCAGAAACCCTACAAGCCAGAAGAGAGTGGGGGCCAATGTTCAATATTATTAATGAGAATGATTTTCAACCCAGAATTTCATATCCAGTCAAACTAAGCTTCTTAAGTGAAGGAGAAATAAAATCCTTTACAGACAAGCAAGTGGTGAGGGATTTTGTCACTACCAGGCCTGCCTTACAAGAGCTCCTGAAGGAAGCACTCAATACGGAAAGGAAAAACTGATACCAGCCACTGCAAAAACAAACCAAAATGTAAACACCATTGACACTATGAAGAAACTGCATCAACTAATGGGCAAAATAACCAGCTAGCATCATAATGACACGATGAAATTCACACATAACAATATTAATCTTAAATGTAAATGGGCTAAATGCCCCAATTAAAAGGCACAGACTGGCAAATATGATAAACAGTCAAGACCCATCAGAGTGCTGTATTCAGGAGATCCATCTCACATGCAAAGCCACACATAGGCTTAAAATAAAGGGATGGAGGAATATTTGCCAAGCAAATGGAAAGCAAAAAGAAAAAGCAGGGGTTGTAATCCTAGTCTCTGATAAAACAGACTTTAAACCAATAACGATCAAAAAAGACAAAGAAGGGTGTTACATAATGGTAAAGGAATCAATGCAACAAGAAGAGCTAACTCTCCTAAATATATATGCACCCAATACAGGACCACCCAGATTAATAGAGCAAGTTCTTAGAGACCTTCAAAGAGACTTAGATTCCCACACAATAATAATGGGAGACTTTAACACCCCACTATCATTAGACAGATCAACAAGACAGAAAATTAACAAGGATATTTAGGACTTGAACTCAGCTCTGGACCAAGCAGATCTAATAGGCATCTGCGCAACTCCCACCCGAAATCAACAGAATATACATTCTTCTCAGCACCACATTGCACTTATTCTAAAATCGACCACATAATTGGAAGTGAAACACTCCTCAGCAAATGCAAAAGAATGGAAATCATAACAAATTGTCTCTCAGACCACAGTGCAAACAAATTAGAACTCAGGATGAAGAAACTCACTTAAAACTGCACAACTACATGGAAACTGAACAACCTGCTCCTGAATGACTACTGGGTAAATAATAAAATTAAGGCAGAAATAAATAAGTTATTTGAGACTGATGAGAACAAAGACACAATGTACTAGAATCTCTGGGACACAGCTAAAGCAGTGTTCAGAGAGAAATTTATAGCACTAAATTCCCACAGGAGAAAGCAGGAAAGATCTAAAGTCAATACCCTAACATCACAATAAAAAGAACTAGAGAAGCAAGAGCAAACAAATTCAAAAGCTAGAAGAAGACAAGAAATTACTAAGATCAGAGCAGAACTGAAGGAGATAGAAACATAAAAAACCCTTCAAAAATTCAATGAATCCAGGAGCTGTCTTTTTGAAATGATTAACAAAATAGGTAGATCACTAGCCAGACTAATAAAGAAGAAAAGAAAGGAGAATCAAATAGACACAATAAAAACCGATAAAGGGGAGATCACCACTGATCCCACAGAAATACAAACTACCATCAGAGAATGCTATGAACACCTCTATGCAAATAAACTAGAAAATCTAGAAGAAATGGATACATTCCTGAACACACACACCCTCCCAAGACTAAGCCAGGAAGAAGTCGAATCCCTGAATAGACCAATAACAAGTTCTGAAATTGAGGTAGTAATTAATAGCCTACCACCAAAAAAAGCCCAGGACCAGATGGATTCACAGCCGAACTCTATCAGAGATACAAAGAGGAACTGGTACCATTCCTTTTGAAACTCTGCCAAACAACAGATAAAGAGGGACTCCTCCCTAACTCATTTTATGAGGCCAACATGATCCTGATACCAAAACCTGGCAGAGACACAATAAAAAAAGAAAATTTCAGGCCAATATCCGTGATGAACATTGATGTGAAAATCCTCAATAAAATACTGACAGACTGAATTCACCAGAACATCAAAAAGCTTATCCACCACAATCAAGTCAGCTTCATCCCTGGAATGTAAGGCTGGTTCAACATATGCAAATCAATAAATGTAATCCATCACATAAACAGAACCAATGACAAAAACCACATGATTATTTCAACAGATGCAGAAAAGGCCTTCGATAAAATTCAACAGCCCTTCATGCTAAAAGCAGTCAATAAACTAGGTATTGATGGAACATATCTCAAAATAATAAAAGCTATTTATGACAAACCCACAGTCAATATCATACTGAATGGGCAAAAGCTGGAAGCATTCCCTTTGAAAACTGGCACAAGACAACGATGCCCTCTCTCACAACTCCTATTCAACATAGTATTGGAAGTTCTGGCCAGGGCAATCAGGCAAGAGAAAGAAATAAAGGGTATTCAAATAGGAATAGAGGAAGTCAAATTATGTCTGTTTGCAGATGACATGATTGTATATTTAGAAAACCCCATCGTCTCAGCCCCAAAACTCCTTAAGCTGATAAGCAACTTCAGCAAAGTCTCAGGATACAAAATCAATGTGCAAAAATCACAAACATTCCTATACAACAATAATAGACAAACACAGAGCCAAATCATGAGCAAACTCCCATTCACAATTGCTACAAAGAGAATAAAATACCTAGGAATCCCACTTACAAGGGATGTGAAGGACCTTTTCAAGGAGAACTACAAACCACTGCTCAAGGAAATAAGAGAGGACACAAACAGATGGAAAAACATTCCATGCTCATGGAAGGGAAAAATCAATATCATGAAAATGGCCATACTGCCCAAAGTAATTTATAGATTCAATGCTATTCCCATCAAGCTACCATTGACTTTCTTCACAGAATTAGAAAAAAAAAACTACTTTAAATTTCATATGGAACCAAAAAAGAGCCCGTATAGCCAAGACAATCCTAAGCAAAAAGAAAAAAGCTGGAGGCATCACACTTCCTGACTTCAAACTATATTACAAGGCTACAGTAACCAAAACAGTATGACACTGGTACCAAAACAGATTTATAGACCAATGGAATAGAACAGAGTCCTCAGAAATAACACCAGACATCTACAACCATCTGATCTTTGACAAACCTGACAAAAACAAGCAATGGGGAAAGGATTCCCTACTTAATAAATGGTGTTGAGGAAACTGGCTAGCCATAGGCAGAAAACTGAAACTGGTCCCCTTTGCTACCACTTACATGAAAATCAACTGAAGATGGATTAAAAATATAAACTTAAGACCTAAAACCATAAAAAATACTAGAAGAAAACCTAGGCAATACCCTTCAGGACATAAGCATGAGCAAAGACTTCATGACTAAAACACCAAAAGCAATGGAAACAAAAGCCAAAATGGACAAATGGGATCTAATTAAACTAAAGAGCTTCTGCACAGCAAAAGAAACTATCATCAGAATGAACAGGCAACCTACAGAATGGGAGAAAATTTTTGCAATCTATCTATCTGACAAAGGGCTAATATCCAGAATCAAAAAGGAACTTAAACAAATTTACAAGAAATAAACAACCCCATCAAAAAGAGGACAAAGGATATGAACAGACACTTTCCAAAAGAAGACATTTATGCAGCCAACAAACATATGAAAAAAGCTCATCATCACTGGTCATTAGAGAAATGCAAATCAAAACCACAATGAGATACCATCTCATGCCAGTTAGAATGACAATTATTAAAAAGTCAGGAAACAACAGATGCTGGAGAGGATGTGGAGAAATAGGGATGTTTTTACACTGTTGGTGGGAGTGTAAATTAGTTCAACCATTGTGGAAGACAGTGTGGCGATTTCTCAAGGATCTAGAACCAGAAATACCATTTGACGCAGCAATCCCATTACTGGGTATATACCCAAATGATTATAAATCATTCTACTATAAAGACACATGCACACATATGTTTACTGCAGCACTATTCACAATAGCAAAGACTTGGAACCAACCCAATTGCCCACCAATGTTAGACTGGATAAAGAAAATGTGGCACATATACACCATGGAATACTATGCAGCCATAAAAAAGAATGAGTTCGTGTCCTTTGCAGGGACATGGATGAAGCTGGAAACCATCATTCTCAACAAACTAACACAGGAACAGAAAACCAGACACCACATATTCTCACTCATAAGTGGGAGTTGAACAATGAGAACATATGGGCACAAGGAGGGGAACATCACACACCAGGACCTGTTGGGGCTTGGGGAGCAAGGGGAGGGATAGCATAGGAGAAATACCTAATGTAGATGAGGGGTTGATGGGTGCAGCAAACCACCATGACACGTGTATACTTATGTAACAAACCTGCACATTCTGCATGTGTATCCCAGAACTTAAAGTATAATAATAAAAAAAGAAATACCTAGTTGAATGAAGATACATTTGCATATTAAATAATGTCAGATAGTGGCTTATTGACTTGATGGTTGATGTTGAAACCCATAGGAAAGAAGATAAAAGAAGATAAAAATAGCCTTTGAAAGTCTAAAACAATTCTATACTTATACAATATACTCTTGTCTCTATGCAAAGTCAAATCACTGTAGGCTAGTAAGGAGGTAACAACTTAGTTGAGCATGCCATAAATTAACTCCAAACAGCAAAGCCAAAAAGCCAAACTCAAACTTTAAAAATGATCTCTTGGCTCAGACTTCAATAAACAGAGAAATGGCAACGGGTTAATCCTTCACTTGTAGTGGGCCAAAGATAGAGATGTGGCCCTGATTGTTCCCAGAAGCATACAAAAAAGCATGCTTGTGTGAAGGTATTCATAATAAATAAGTAGTGAGGGCATGTTCATGAGGAAGGG
The DNA here is from genome assembly GCF_000001405.40 of Homo sapiens. Classification (NCBI taxonomy): domain Eukaryota; kingdom Metazoa; phylum Chordata; class Mammalia; order Primates; family Hominidae; genus Homo; species Homo sapiens. The sequence continues at coordinate 145,961,961 of NC_000004.12, read as the reverse complement.
GACAAATTAAATTACAGCATGAAGATCAAAGCAATAATTTAAAGAAATCTATTATTTTTGAGAATAATCACAACCACTCAAAGCATACTAAGATTTGGGGCATGTGGGTTAAACAGCTGTTGAACCTAAATCCTCCTCTTCATAGTTAAAGCACTAGCTACGAAACAGGCTACAAGGCAGGTGACCTTCGGGAGGTTCTATTATGTGTCCTTGACATTCAGGGAAAGATGGCCAAAAGGAAGATTTTGCCTCTCCACAAAGAAATTTGCACAGGAAACAAAGCTGAAAAAGATACATTGTAGTAAATGAATATTGAAGAAGAGCTATTAGTGCCACATATTTTAAGCATTATAGGAAGAATCTTAGGGTGGAGTTTTTTTTCCACTACAAGAAAAAAGGAGCCACTTAAAAAAAATTCATTATTGGCCACATGGAAATGAAAACACTTTTACTATTAATTCCTTTTTTGGAAGAAAAAGGAAGACAAAGCATTCAACTCTCAAGCTTTTAAGGTAATACTCAATTCAGTAAATACAAGTAATAAGGGCAATATTTTAAAACTGGCTGCATTATGGCTAGTTATGAGGGAAAAATGAGAAGAGAAAGACAGGGAAGGGAAAGACAGAAGAAAATAAGATAAGCATCTTCCATCATGACTTCTTCTTCCAGACTCTTCAACCCTGCCCAGCCCCACAGGAATACCTATGCAGTAGCCCGACTCACTCATCCCACAAACAACCCCAAACTCTTCCTCTGCCACCCACCACCACACTCGTGTTAGCAAAAGAAAGTTATTCCTCAGGAGTTTGAGACCAGCCTGGCCAACATGGTGAAATCCTGTCTCTACTAAAAATAAAAAATTAGCCTGTTGTGGTGGCACTCGCCTGTAGTCCCAGCTACTGAGGAGGCTGAGGCAGGAGAATCGCATGAACCCAGGAGGTGGAGATTGCAGTGAGCTGAGATCGTGCCACTGCACTCCAGCCTGGGAGACAGAGTGAGACTCCATCTCAAAAAAAAAAAAAAAAAAAAAAAAAAAAAGTATTCCAAACCTTCTTCAGAGATCTTCAGCTCCCAGTGTCACTCTCGCCATCTAAGTTTAACCACTTTCACATCCCTGAGCAGTCCAAAATGGGTAAACTTAAACAGGCCCCCATTTACATTCCTCAACCCACTGTATTTTCATCTCTCCACTGAACATTTCTTTCCTCCCTTTTATCTCAGGAGAGATGGCATCCTCTCACATGTTTAAGCCTAACCCCTGTACCTTTGTCATGGAGAGTTTCTCTATGGCTCTATCCCTTCAACCAGCTCCTTTCTCTCTAAGCAGTCAAATTACGTAACAGAAGCAGTATGCTATGGTCTGAATGTTGGTATCTCCTCAAAATTTATATGTTGGAACCTAATACCCAACATGATAGTATTAAGAACTGGGGTCTTTGAGAAGTGATTATGTCATGAGGGCTCTGCCCTCATGAATAAGATTAGTGCACTTATAAAAGAGATGGGAGGGAACACTATGTCCCCTTTCCCTTTCACCTTGTGAGGACACAGCAAGAAGGTGCCATCTATGGAATAAAGCAAGCCCTCGCCAGTTACTAAATCTGTTGGCAACTTGATCTTGGAGTGCCCAGCCTCCAGAACAGTGACCAAAAAATAACTGTTGTTTATAAATTACTCATTCTTAAGGTATTTTGTTATAGCTACCTGCACAAACTAAGACACAATAATGAGGTAAAACATTTGTATGGTATTAATGCTCTCCCACTTTTAATCTTTGAGAGGTAAGGTGACTCACCAATGCTCACACAAGTAAGCAGTGGCAGAGTGAGGACTCAAACTCGAGTCTTCCAGTTCCAGGCCCAGGCCAACAGCTGGACCATCTCCTTGAGATCACTGTAGGAGAGCTTCCCAACTGCTGAGTGCACATAGAGATCCCTGCTGGGTTGGAGCACTGAGTTACTAAATCCCTGCAGACATCCTAAGAGTCTTGCAAACTTGAGACGTTGGGAGGCCCAGCATCTCTCTTGCCACAGCAGTCTTACCCATTGACACCAAGATACTTTACAAATACAACCATTTTCCACAAGTGCCAAGATTTGAATGAGGCTGGGAAGTGCCAGGGTGATCAATCATCTCAGTTTTCCCAGCAGTTTCTGGGTTTTAACACTAAAAGTTCTAAAGTTCAGCATCCTCAGTCCTGAACATACAGGAATGGTTGATCACCTTAGGAAAGTGCAGAGCTGCAGCTGTCTATACCTCTCCAAGGGTGAATCCCATACACTGCCTTTTATTACTGGGCTTCAAATTCACTCAATAAACATTTGTACAGTCCCTACTAAAGTCAAGGGTGCTATGCTGGGCATGGGGATGCAAAATGAACAATCCATGTCCCTGCTCTCAAGGTGCTTGAATTCCAGTGGGGAAGATGGTGCATATGTCCAAATGTGCACAACACAAAGTGAAGTGTGATTTTAAACAAACAAACAAAATACCTCCCATCCACCCACCACCACCACCACCACCACCAACAACAACAAAAACAAAAACCCTGTGTATTATAACAGTCAAAGGAAGAGAGACTTTCAGGAAGGAGAGGCTAAGGAAAATCTGGAAGGGCAAGGACTAAGATGAGTCCAATGGATTTGAAGCCTAGAAGTGAGGAGAGAGCAATTCAAGTAGAATATCAAGGGCAGAAATTAGCAGGGAGTGAAACCACAGCCAGAGCTACCCTCAAACCCTTAAGCCAGAGGATTCCACTTTTGATCACAAATGAAAAACTGGTATCAGACTAGCCCTCCCACCATAAACAACTAGAAAACTGGACAAAGTATGTGAATCATCATTAGACACTGCACAAGTGGCAACTGTCAGCACTGAAAGAATTTAAACAAGAAAGGTTAGCCCAGTGATAGACCCAGTGTTCTGCCTGGAGGCATTTACCGAACCTTGGATTGGGGAAAGAAACACCAGCAAAGCATAGTGATCACACTGAGCAGAAGAGACAAAGATCAGAGATGAGGGAGGCAGCCTCCTTACCTCACTGTCTTTACTCTGCTTTTTCTTCAAAACATGAATTCCCACCTGACACTATACATTTTATTTGTTGTTGTTATTTTCTGTCTCTGACTCTCTCCTCAGGATGTAATCTTCATGAGGGCTGGGCAGAGGTACTCTTTATGTTATTCATTGCTGTTTCCTTAAATGGTGTATGTAATCAATGCTCAATACATGCTTTTGAGTGATTGAAACCAAAAGGGAGAGGGTAATGAGGAAATAAAGGCAGGAAACAGACATTCTCAAGAAATATACAGGTGAGGTCAGGAGTTCAAGACCAGGCTGGCTAACATGGTGAAACCCCGTCACTACTAAAAAAAAAAAAAATACAAAAAGTAACCACGCATTGTAGTGAGCACCTGTAATCCAGCTACTTGGGAGGCTGAGGCAGGAGGATCACTTGAACCTGGGAGGCGGGGGTTGCAGTGAGCTGAGATCATACCATTGTACTCCAGCCTGAGCGACAGAGCAAGACTCCATCTCAAAAAAAGAGAGAAATGTATAGGTGAAGGGAAAGGAGAGATAAGTCAGAACCACAGTAATATCATAGAGTTTAAGGAAGGGCATTTTGTGTAGAGAGGGGGTATATGAAGCATGAACATGTTTGAGGGGTCCAGGTTTCATAGGGTAGCAGGTTGATGAGCTGTAGCCTCTAAAGTTCTCTCTGGGCTGGTCCAAAGGTTGAGAGTTATCTCAATTGATTGTTCACAGTCAGTTATGGATGAAACTCCTTGTTTTACTCTTTTCCCCCTTCTTACTGCTGTGCTTGACTAGTCAAAAAAATAAATTAAAAAATAAAGATCCCTCTAAAGACTGGAGGCTTGGATGGTCAGTAGGGATGAAATTACCGGACAGCAGTTGGGCACAGTGGCTCATCCTTGTTATCCCAACACGTTGGAAAGGTGAGATGGGAGGATTGCTTCAGGCCAGGAATTTGAGACCAGTCTGGGCAAGATAATGAGACCCTGTCTCTACCAAAAAAAAAGAAGAAAAGAAAGAAAGAAGAAGGAAGGAAGGAAGGAAGGAAGGAAGGAAGGAAGGAAGGGAGGGAGGGAGGAAGACAGGGAGAGAAAGAGAGCCAGAGGGAGAGAAAGAGAGACAGAAAGAAAGAGAGAGAGAGAGAGAAAGAAAGAGAGAAAGAGAGAGAGAAAGAAAGAAAGAGAGAAAGAGAAAGAAAGAGAAAGAGAGGGGAAGGAAGGAAGGAAAGAAGGAAGGAAGGAAGAAGAGGGCTGGAAAATCATAATGTTGATTAGAAAGAAATTTCACAATTTAAGATTGAGTTCATTATCTCTTTATAACAAATCACCTCACACTAAGTGGCTTAAAACTGTAAAATTTATTATTTCTGTCACTTCTGCATTTGGGTTGGGAAATGTCCAAGATGTTTCTTCATTCACATGTCTGAATCCTCAGCTGATATGGCTGGAACAGCTGGGGGCTGGCCAGGCATCTGTGTCTCTACGTAGCCTCTTACATGGCTAGCTTGAGCTTCCTCACAGCATGGAGGCCCAGGGTAATCAGGTAACACAAATGGCCTCTGAATTCCCAAAAGAAGGAAGCAGAAGCTGCCAATTCTGTTAAGGCCTGGGCTCAGAAGTCCCAGAAGTCACTTCCACCACACTCAGTCACAAGGCCAGCCTAGATTTCAGAGGAAGGGAAATAAATTACAGTTCTTGATGTGTAAGGCAGCCAGCATGAGTGTTCCAAGAATGAAACATTTTTAGGAGCCATGTTTGGTGCTAGTTACCATGAAGGCTTAGAAAGAAGCATTACAAAATGACAACAAAGACCTGGCAGGGTGGCTCATGCCTGTAATCCCAGCACTTTGGGAGGCCAAGGCAGGTGGATTGCTTGAGCCCAGGAGTTGAAGACCAGACTGAGCAACATGGCAAAACCCTATCTCTAAAAAAAAAAAATGCAAAAATTAGCTGGGTGTGGTGGTGAATGCCTGTAATTCTAGTTTCTCAGGAGGCTGAGGTGGGAGGATCGCTTGAGCCTGGGAGGTCGAGGCTGCAGTGAGCCATGATTGCACCACTGCACTCCAGCCTGTGTGACAGAGTGAGACCCTGTCAAAAAAAAAAAAAAAAAAAAAGGTTGAGGCCACACCAGTGGCCCAGTAAAATAGAGTGGAGATTATTGTCCCTAGAGCCTAAAACATCAAGAAACTGAAGGGTTGTAGTGTAATTGATGTGAATACCTGAATACCAATGGATGTTAGTGTATGAGACACAGACACTGAAGTCACTGAGGAAGATGGACGTGTGCTCGGCAAGATATGGAGTGAGGGTGGAAGAGATGGAGAGAGGCTGCCATGAGTGGATGCTGGACTTCAGAAGAGAAGTAGTAGAAGGATAGCCTGGAATTAGCAGAGTTCAGGGAGGCAACCCCCTCACCTCAGCCCATGAGCAAGAAGAGTGACCTCTGCTGGACAAGGTTGGTAAGGGACTCTCATGACAGAAATCCAGGTTTTAGTCAAATTGATAAAATAAGAGACCAAATTGAAAATGTAAAAAAGATAGATTCACCATGGGAAAGGGCAGGTGATAGAAAGATGCAGCTGGGTAAAAGATGGTACTGAAATCTTCCAGACAAACGTGGGAATAGAGATTTGCTAGGAGAGCAAATTTAGGGCCGTGTGAGGGGAACATAGAATGGAGGAAGATGAATATTAGCAAGTAGGATTGAATGTCTCTCATTCTTGCATTTATTCATTCATGAGGGGAGGAATAAGTAGATGTTTGTTTAATTATCCAGGTTGGTGTCAAGGTTTTCATCTAATTCGTTGCTTCTGAGTGTGGAATCATCACTTCATTTGCTTAGCTTCCTTTAGGTTGATCTTGAGAGCGGGCACTAAAGTTTGGGGAACGGGGAGGAAAGTGAAAGACAAGGAAAGTTTATATCAGAGAAGACTCACAGAGCTTAATAAAAAAAAAGTTCAAGTAATGATATCAGACTATAAATCCATATGTAAAATTTGAAACACCATCTCCTTGCCCCCAAGAAGGAGGAAATCACTATTTAGTACATAAATCTGGCCAATTTATGTAAAACTGCATGCTCTCTCTCTCTCTCTTTCTCGTTCTCGGAAAGAAGTCATAAGAGGTAAGACATTATGTGACATTTTTATTGACCAAAAGAAAACCAAACTAATGTAGCGTCATGTCAAAAGGTAATTTTTTTGCTGTTACACACCTCAAGCCAAAAGGATTGCAAAGTATTTCACATACACACTGCTCTCATACTCTGCAAGCTAGGTAGCAGAAAGGACAGCTGCCAACATGGCACCCCCCATGCTCTAAGAGGGGCACAGTTACTAAATTTTAATTTTTGCTGCCTTTACAATATTTTAAGTTTGAAATGGAAAGTACACAGATTCTTTCATTAGGGAAAAAGGGGATGGTGATGAAATAGGGTGGTTGTTAATCTGAATTAAATATTTTCTTGTTTTCTTTTTTCTCTGAAGAGGCAAAATACTCCAATTATGGCTTAACGGAAGTTGTTACTCAATGGGAACAATCCATTCACAGTGGTGAAGAAAACAACATAGGTACCTTCGTCAGTTTGATCTGGTCTAAATGGCATTCTTCCCTAGAGCAGGCAGAGAGGTGAGCAAGATTCGATGGACTTTCAGAACACGTCATTGACAGGAACTTTCTCTCTCCTCTGATCCCAACACCATAGGCCCGGAGGAAGGCAATTTTGCTCTTCTGAGTGGGCCGTGGTCACCAGGGAGGCTTGAGAGCATTCGGTCTCCTCTTTATCTCTAAATAAAATAAGACATCTGGCAAGCTCTCTTGCCTAACTAACACCTTAAGCCCAGACAGAAAGTCATCTGGCATCTACCCAACTTCTCTGAGTCACTGAAATGACTTGCTTAAGATAACCTGGTCAGAAGCAGCTGCAGTAAAACGACTTACTCCTCCTATACAGCAACATCCCCTGGGCACAGATTCCCTCCTTTCATGAACGAAGGTGATTCACTCCATACTCACACCCATTGCTCAGGCCAAAGTTGGGTTAAAAACAAAATTAATATCCAGCATCTTCTCTTAAAAAAAATGTTTCGATAAAATGAACTTCTCTGTCTTGCTTGCCTAACAGAACATGAGAATTGTGAGGAAAAGAGTCTCTAATTTTCCTCCACATTGCTAACAATCTTTTTGCATTGTCCCTAGACAATCTAATACTTAGCATACTTCTCTGCAACCTCTTAGTTCATGTCCAGGCCTTTTATGCCAAACCAATCCATTACACTTTCTTTCTAGAGCCAAGAGGAGTGGACATTTGTTTTTTTGGTCACTCAGTGTACATACACCCTACTTCCTGTAACTGCAGTCAGGGGAGCACCTGTCACTCATTCTTGGTCCCTGTGGCTCAAAGGCATCACTCCATCCAGGCCTAGAATGGTCAGTGCATGATCACACTTTCCTGGGTACTGCAACTGGGTCCAAGGTAGGTAAACGGCCAAGTCAGAGCCCATAAGGAGCAGTGAGTTCGAGCAGATACTTCTAGGAAAGAGACTTTCTTTCTTCCTGTGCTGAATTTGAGAGGGCAAAGAGGTTAGAGCTGTGCCTTCATTTGCTACAATATAGAGTCTGTGATGAAAGCCACCCCAGCAGGAGGAGTTTCTGAGAAAGAGAGAGTAACCAGGTCCTGAATATGCTGTTAGAGCTCTGAATACAGGAAGGACTGAAGCAAGCCAATTCCTGGGCTTTTCAAAGAGCCATTAATCCTCTTTTTATCTTAAGGCAGGATTTTGCAACCAGAACGGTCATACCTGGCACTCCAAGTATCATCCCAGAACTCTGTTTTCTAGATGCTGGCTATATTTACATGCTCTCTCCTTTGCATGTTAAAATGATCCTCCTCTTAGAGTCTCTAACAAATGTCCCCTGGTTGAAGCCATCCTCGTTCATTCTGTTCAATCCAATGGTGAAGCATAAGTTCTTCACATGTTGACAGCATCTTCTGTATCTTTCTCTTCTTCCCATTCATCCTTTTTCAATCCAGCAGTGATTTACAGAGTGCTCAGTACATGCTCTTAGAAGGCATGAGGGATGGGCAGCCTCAGCCTGAGCCTCAGCCCCAGCAAATACACATAATTGCAGAACAGGTGGTGTTCACCAGGACAGGAGAATGCAAAAAGTGATGCAGAGCACAGAGCAGGGGTCCTGGTTGGAAGGACTGGGGCTCCTGGCATGTCTCCAGCCCTCCAAAGATCTTCCGTAAGGTTGGACGTTTGAGCAAGAGAGCATTTTCCATCTTCCCTCATGCTCACTTTTCATTCTCCTTATATATTGAGAGATGACTACTTTGGAATACAGAAGAAGTATCCCAGGCAGAAATTCATTCCACTTGGAACATACATTTATGAGTATATCTACCATATGCCTGGTACTTTCTGGGACCTGAGAACAGAGTACCTTAGTGTCACAGAACTTATGCTCTAGTGGGACAGACAGGCCACAAACAAGTAAAACATAAATATCTAATTGATATCAGATGCTTAAAAGAAAACTAGAGCATGGTAGATGGATTAGAGCATGGTAGAGGGATGGAGACGCTTGGCTAGAGTTGACGTGTGGGCCTGTCTCAGGTAAGGTGATGAGAGAAAGCCTCTCTGAAAAGAATGTCATTTTTGCAGAAACACAAATTAACTGAGGCTGTATGTCACATGGATAGCTAGGGAAGGAACATTTCAGGCAGAGAGAAGCGCAACTGCAAAAGTCCTGAAAGATCCAACTTCTCCATCGGGCGCTGTAGACACAGGGCCTATAATACTTTTAGGGGCACACAGAAATGCTTTAATTCTTTCCACATCAGAAGAAAAAATGAACTTTCAGGTCCAAAAAATGTTTTAGTACATAATATGTGTATGTTCATCTTTATACCCATGCAGTGGTAGAATATAATTTTGATTTTTTTTTCTTTTATACTGGAGGAATAGGCCCAAGAAAGTCACAATGCAGCTCTGGGCTTGTTAGGAGAAGAGCAAGGCTATGTGACCAGAGGAGTCAGGGTGGAGGGATGGTGGCAGGAAGTGAGCTCAGATGTGCAGGCAGGGATACAGGCAGGTGGAACATCAGGTCTGGAAAGCTAGATTTGGGAGGTAGGCAGCTAAAGGGGGAGAAGAGGGGCAAAGAAAAAACCTGAGTACGCAGAATTTTTGATGTTGCTAGAGTCCTCAATTGGAACATTGAATATTCCTGACCACTTTAAGCAAGGGGCTTCTAATGACTTTTTAATTTTTCTGCAATTTAAATGAATAACTTCTTGTAGGTTACCAACTCCACCTGAATCTTGAGATCAGCTTCTGTTGCATCTAAGCTTGATGTTTTCCTTCTGACCTTCTACCCTGCTCCACTGTGGAATAGAATAGCGACTTAGAATGATGTTGAGGCATTTTGCGATATTCAAATGCCATAAAAATGTGGGTTGTTGTCAGGATGGTTAATAATAATAAGTAATAATGCTTCTGCCCATGGATGGACTTCGGCTTAGAGACAAATAACCTTTTTTGCTGGCTCGCCTACCTTGTGTCCATACCCAGCATAATCAGGAATCTCTCAGCCACAACCAATATTTCAGGATTTGTCAAGCTGTGTTGTGAACTCATAACGTTTATGACACTGCTTGTAGCTTCTCATTTACTAATACCAGCAATATTTAAAGCTCTTAATAGTAAAGGCCTGAGCCGCTTGCTGCATCATCCCTTGGCTTTCCTACATCCTGTTGAGACAATTGAGGTCATCTCTCATTTTCTATTGTGCATACTCATATTTAACATGACCTAGTGGAACTGGAGCCTGTGCCAGCAAGCTAGGAACTCCCAGCATCCCCCAGACCTCTCAAGGTCCTTTGCAAAGCTGGTTGTTTGAGCAAGGAAGCCTTTTTTCTGCCTCTCTTCTTAGAAGGAAATAAGTTGGGATGCCTTAAAGTCTGTGAGGTCAAAAGGGCTCACAGATTTTGTCAGAGCTTCTTTAGGAAGTCACTTTTTATTGCATCCTCCTGTATGGTCAAATACCAAATTTAAAATCATATAAAAGGGCTTCTGAATTTTAGGGTTAGGGAGGACTTTACAGGAAGGAGGACAATCAGTTTTAATGATACCTGGGGGTAAGAAGAGCTCTATTAAATGCCTACTGTCCCAAAATATAAACTTGTAAAACTACATTTACTTTTGTAAATGTTATCAGAGAAAGTGATGGAAAGATGTAAAGAAAAAAAATTGTTTTAGCGTCTCTACTTTTTGAGCCTCATCTGATTTCTGACAGATACAGCTTCCAGATGGAAAAGCCTGTGGATAAACCAAGAAGCCCCCTTTAGGACCCTTTTCAACTACAGGTTAATTTTCAGTGGAAACTCAAATTCACCCATGTTGCAGTTCCAGAATTCAGAAAGAAATGAAAGTGTTGCTGATAGTTCTGCTTTGAACATGTCTTATCATGGAATAACAGTCCTGGGCATCTCTTTTTGTTTGATTATTTTCTTCGACATTATCATTTGCAAATAAGTGAGCCATACAAATGATGCTAGAACCCCAATCCCTGAGGGTCCCTGAGAAAATGAGATGCAGCCTAAAATACCTGAGTTGTGAAATTGGAGAAAGCCCCCCAGCAGCCTGGTACTTAGAGTGAAGGAGGTGATCATCCTGCACTCCTTCACCTGTCCACTGCATCTGGTCCGGGTGCAGGGCACGGTGAAAGGGCAGCTTCAGAGGAGAACAGCAAGGATGCAGGAAAGGAGAATGGAGGAGTGCGAGGGCTGCTCTCTGCCAGTATTTGGAGGATAGTCATGTAAAAGAGCAAACCTATGCTCTGTGGCTTCAGAGGGCAAAATAAAGCACAGAGAGTAGAGAGTGAAAATGCTAGATTGCCTTATTTCATTTTTTTAACTATGGTAAAATAAACATAATAATTTTCTATTTAAAACATTTTAGGTGTACAGCTCAATGGCATTAAGTACATTCACACTGAGGTACACCAACTATCTCCAGAACTTTTTCATCTCCCCGAATGGAAGCTCCATACCCATTAAACAATAACTCTCAATTTACCCCCTTTCCCAGCCCCTGGCAACCACCATTCTACTTTCCATCTTTATGAATTTGACTACTCTAAGTATCTCATATGAGTAGAATCATACGGTATTTGTCCTTTCATGTCTGGCTTCTTTCACTTAGCATAATGTCTTCAAAGCTAACCCATGTCATAGCATGGGACAAGATTTCCCTCCTTTTAAGGCTGAATAATATTGCAGTTATGTATACACCACATTCTGTTTGCTCATGTATCTGTCAGTCAGTGGGCATTTGGTTTGTTTCCACCTTTTAGATACTGTGAATAATGCTGCTATGAACATAGATAAACAAATATGTTTGAATCCCTACTTTCAACTCTTTTGGATATATACTCTGAAGTAGAATTGCTGGATTACATGGCCATTCTATATGTAATTTTTTAAGAAGCCACGGTGGCTGTACCATTTTATATTCACAGCAGCAATGCACAAGGATTCCGACTTTTCCACATCTTCAGCAACACTTGTTATTTCATGCTCTTAATTTTTCAGATAGTGGCCATCTAACGGGTATAAAGGGAAATGCTAGATTTTGACTGACTCTTAAGAAACAATGATCTCACAATACGATCTGTCCAATTAGAGTCTGCCTCATTACTAAGTATGATCATATCAGAAGTTAGTCTAGATAAATGCAAGTCTAGTTCCAAAATTGAGAGTCTGTGAATATGTGACACAGTGGTATTTGAGGACCTTATTATTTTGTCTATTTTCTGGTCTGATGCATATAAGATAACGCATGAATTGCAATGGTTGGTTGGGAGTTACATGTGTATAACACATGATCATCACAAACTGATGATCAACAGATCTGACCTGCAGATACATTTTGTTGAGTATATATGTCCCAAAACTTGGAGATTTCTCGATAAAATTTAGATATCCCGCTTCTCCTATAAGATGGGAAAACACAGCAACAATGGGCTTACAATCCCTGGAATGAGAAACAGGAGGTTCCCTCCTCACTGTCCTGCTCAACAGTGTGTGACCTGCTGCCCCAGCCCGGCTGTGCATTTAAACAAGCTACCCAATTATAAACAAGTGGTAGATGTCGGTGACTTATGTACCTTAGGAGCTTTCCATAAGATACAAGCCCTTTGACCAAAGCATCTGAAACAGGAGAATATTACCACATTAATCATTTTTCCAATATTCATATATTTAATTACTTTGTTTTGTTAATTTTTAAACAAAAGTAACCAGTAAAGTCTAAGTCGTTACCCTTAGAGCCTTTTACAAAAATGGTCATCACTTGCCATTATGATATTTGTTCCATAAGAGCAAGGGCCGTGGATATTTTCTCACACAGTATACTCAAAGCCTAGGTTGTATGATAACATTAGCCATTACTCTGAGTACAGAAATATTATTGTTTGTTGTTTTTAATAAGTTTTGAGTATATTTTGTGGTGGACTGAAAGCAGTCATCCAAATCAGTAACAGGATGACACAGGTACTTAAAATAGTGTGTGATTAAAACCATTCATTCAAAGCACATCAAGACAACAAGACCTGTTTTGTGACTTTAGTTCTTTCAAGGGTAAGACTTGAACCCAAGATTGGGTTAAACATTATCAAAATTTGTGTATGTGGGCTTGTTTTGTTTCGTTTGGTATAAAAATCATTTTCTGAATTCAGAGAAAGTGCTAGTTTATAAAGTAAATTTAGTTTTTGATACTATTATTCCAGCTTTCTTTTTTCTTCTTTCTCTTTCCTTCTTTCTTTCAATTTTTAGTTTTCCTTGCCTATCTGGTTTTTTTGGACAGTGATAAAGAAGTGTTGAAAGGGAAGAAGTAGTCCTCATTCAGAACTATAGTTTTCCATAGGACTATAATGTAGAGTTGAAAGTAATCCAGTGTGGGTTATGATTTATGTCAGATGAATGCCAGATAATTCTGGGTCATTTATTTTGTTTCAGGAACAACAATAGGGGAAGGAGAAGGAGAAGGAGAACAGGTGGGTTTAAAAAATCAAATCACGAAAACCTCAATAAATGTTTTATAACTGAAATTTATAACTGAATGAATGCCACAATGCCTAAAATTCCTGCTGTGAAAGTTACTGCTGTGGGATAAAGCATGGGGAATCCAGAAAGCAGAGGTAATATATTCAGATTTTTCCTCTAGCAGCCAAAGCAAATGAAAATGTTTCCCCTGGGAATCTGGGGATAGAGCCTGAAGAAGGTTCTGGGCAAAATTTCTTTGAAACCTTGCATTTTGACTTAAAGTTCATGCAGAGTTTGGACCTCATGGCATATCCCATGCCGTCAGGAGCAGCAGCATATACCAGCTACAGTGCTTAGATTCAGTTAGACCCCACAGCAACCTCATGTAAGGGAAGTACAATATTGTCATTGTCCTCATCTTTAATGAGAAAAACCAGAGTACATGGTATCTCCATACATATCTTAATAAAAGTACATTTTAAATTATTTCAAAGTTAAATTGCTTAACTTTCAACAAACGTATCAGCAAAAGGAGCATTCCAGAAAGATGGCCATATTTATTCTATGACATCTTTTACTTTCTGGGTATTTCAAAGGTATCCCTGTTGGTAAAAGAGGATATGCTATTTGTATCACTGAAGACATTGGCATTGAGTAGCTAACTTACTTTTGTTGCGGTTCAAAAAAGTTTTAAATTATAGTAATAATATATGTTTCACTGTTAAAAACTTGGAAAATAGAAAAAAATGAACTCTCGTTATCCTGTTAGCTATCATTTTGGTAGAAAAAAAGCATGAGGAAGCCTCGGGAAATGGAAAGGAAAAAAAAAGAACAGTTATATTTTGAATAAAGAAAGATTATGGGACCATCTATCAGGAGAGGTTTAAGTGGGACAACACAGTGGTATTTCTGGTTGCTAAAAGGACCGGTACTGCTGAGAGAGCAAATGGCATCAAACATTCCAGAAGTGGAGACAGGAGAAAGGATCGAGGAAACATCAAGGAAGGGGTCTTGGAGATCAGTGTTGCCCACTCATCAGTTTTGCTTACGTCACCTTAAATTTGTTCAGAGCATGGACCTGAGATGGTCCTAGATCCTGTGGCACCAAGGCTTTCCTTTGGGAGACTGACTCTACCTGATCATTACTCCTTCTCTGCACCCCTTCCCTGCCCTGCCCCCTGCCATAATCATCTACTAATGATGTACTTCGAATTTGTCTGAAGCCTAAATTACCTCTCACATAGCCTCATTCTCTGTTCTCAGAATTCCTGACTAGCCTGGAGAATTTCTGTACTTTAAAAAAAAATCATCCCAATTTTATGGGAAATAACAAAGAAGAGTTAAGTAAAATAAGCCACGGAGTTCAGTAAACTCCACAGGGTCAGGGGTAATATCTCTATTTGCTCACTGTGGTATTCCCAGTGGTTTTGGCCAGTGCCTGGCCCATAGTAGGTGTTCATTAGATATTTAGTGAACAAATGAAAGTACATTGTATCAGTCTGGGTTCAGGCAGAGAACAGAACTCATCCCTCATGATTCAAATGAAGAGGCTTTAATGAAGAACTCCTTACATAGTGGTGGGAACTCCTTACATAGTGGTGGGGTAAGGGAACTAATGAGGGCTGAGAGGCATCCAGGAATCACCATCTGTGGAAGGCAGTTACCAGCGCTAGGGCTGAACGGATGAGGAGAGGAAACAGTGTATTCCAAGTCCAGTGAAGTCTGCACTGTGCTAGAGGCTGTAATCATGGAAGGACAGAATTACAGCCAGAGACAAAGCATCAAAGCAGAGAGGGAGAAGAGAAGAAATATTCCCACCCTTCTGCCATCCCACTCTTCTCTCTTACAATTACCTCCTGTTGCCTGAATCCAGCTGTATATCAAGCCAGCCAGGGAGCTTGGGTGCTGCAGTCACTAGCGGTCAGTTCCTGGGGCAAAGATAACAGGGTAGAGAAGGGACAACAAGCAAAGGAGGCAAATGTGGCGAAACCAGCACAATGCTACTTCACTAGCACACGGGAAATTCAATGTCCATTTCTGCATGTTTAGGCTCTGGTTACTCTTAGAGATTACTTTGTTCTCTTTAATAATGTAACAATTGATATATACATGGGAGCTTATACTTGGTTTTCAGGAAACTGGAACCAACATTTCCTGGGGAGAGCACTGGGGCATCTGGGTCTACTCCTTCCCTATTAGACAAAAAACAGTCTCTTGGCATTTAGGACATGATGCATGGCCCATCTGTTCCTCAGGCTTCTGCCTGATTGATGTAGGGAGAGCGCTGTGGCTGTAATTAGGCTGTCTATAGCCCTCAAGTGCAAGTGGTCTAATTATGTGGCCTTGAGCAATTTCTTGCCTGGGTTATGCCTCAGTTTCCCCAGCCTTAAAGTGAAGAAAATATGGTTCACAGAGCTGATGTGAAGATGAATTAAATAGTCCTTGCTGATATAGTATGTTCCTTTTTTTTTCCTAGATAGAACTGTGTTGACACTCAAACACAAATACTGCTGAACACTTACATTATGCAAAAGTCACAACAAAGCTTCTCACGGACACTGCACTAAGAAGCGAACTCTCCAAAAAGCTGGGATATGTGAAAAATCAGTCAGCAACATAACCTTCCTCTAAAACAACAAGCAATCTGGCACAAATGAAGTGTGAATCTCCTGGGGTGCAGAGGCATGACCTTTGGAAATTAAGGAATTCCTGCAAAGCCTGTTGTCTGTTTTTCGGGACATCATTAATAGGAATTATATGGAGCCATTTCTGTGTATTCTGTGGGCCCAAGATGTGTGCCAAAGGAGCCTAGGTGTATGAGGCTTTTACACAATCATACTTATACTTGCATGGTGCAGCTTCTCTATGCTAGCCTAACTGCACATTAACTTGTTAATCTGTTCCCCAGACTCTGTTTACTGAAAGGATACTTGCTAGACCAGTTGTGCTTCAGACTCCAGGACAAGGATGTGAACTTTAGTTTATCCATTCTGTTCCTTCCTGTTATTTTGGGCAATTTGTAGGAATCATTTTTTTGTCTCAAACACTTCACAAAATTCCATTTCTCTCATTGTTCCCTGAGTGCAGTGTAAAAGAGGATGAGGTTTCAGAAGTTGCCTCTGTAAAAGCACCCATCCTTCTAGTGTGAAAAATGGCCCATGGACCTGCCATCAGGGAGCTGGGCTGAGTTGAGTGACTCATGGTTTTTGCTTTAAGAGTAAGAGAGTTGCAATGATACATTGACACTGGATACCTATGAACTCCACTGAAAGACTGCCTAAGACAATTGGCCAAGACTAAGTGTACCATTGCCCAACACTGAAACGGGATCTGAGCTTAGGCTACCTTCTTTCATGAAGGTATGAACACTTTATTTTGAAATGTCCACAAGGTTTCTTCTCAGAGAATGTAATACCTTTTTTAGGGCTTCCAGTTTTTTATCATAGTATCTATATTCTCAAGATAGAGTTGATCTATATGGTTTGGGGTTTCTTTTTGGTAAATTTTAAAGTTTCTTTCTAATCCCAATAGCTATCCTTCATTCACATTTAAAATGAACCTTCCAGGAGCTAGCAAACAATATCAAACCTACACTAAATTGTCTACACACAATATTTGAAAGCACTCGATTCCTTAAGTTTGTATATTGTGATTTCAAATGCTTCTACATTCTGGCTTACAAAATTGGTTTGCTTAAATACTTTAGGATGCATAAATATGCCTTTACAATGTCCTACATTTAAGCTCTAATTTTCTGGAATAGCCAAGAGCTCACTAGTCAGAGCTCAGCAAGCAGCATTGCCCAATGTTTTAGTTACTCTGACTCCTCATCTGTGGAATACCAGGGCAAAACAAAGTGATCTGCAAGGCACTTTCTGGCCATAAAGTTCTGTGGCTCTAATTCGAAGCTCTAATTTTGCCTCTTTACTAAAAATATTAAAGTAGGAAATGAAATGATGTCAAAGAGGGAGTGTATAATAGTTAACTCCCATGGCATTGCCATTTGTTGCTTTATACGAAAGGACTTTAAGTCCAATAAAAAGACATAGCCAAACTCTAGCACCAAAAGGACACAGATGGAGCTCAAGGTAACTTGGTCCTACCTTCCATGAGATAACCAACTACATAAAAATTGGCATAAAAATGGGCAGTGGTAGAAGTGGAATTCCAAAAATGGGGGTAGACAGAGGTGACCACAAATGGCAGAGACAGTAATCATGGAGGAGAAGATATAAGAGAAACGCACAGGAAATTTTTTTATTGGTTTCTGCTCCCATTGTACTTGCTGATCACCCAAAATCATGAGTCTGGGCATGTAGTAATTTTGTATTTTGTTATTCTTATAACCATATTGTAGTCTAAGGAAGATGTTGCTTGACATGTACATTGGGTAAACAACTTTGTCAAGATGCCATGGGTATGTGAACCATAGTGGGGGAAGAGGCTGGGGGAAGAACGTACAAAGGGACAGAAAGATGTTGCAGAGAAGCTGAATCAGAGCTGCCAGGAAGAGGGGCCGTCAAGGATGCCACATGCAAGAGGGGACTCACAAGGAGGCAGCAGTATGATTTGAGGCAGTTCAGAGGATGACTGGGCCAAGCAGCAAAGAAGTACATTGCACTATCAGACAAATCAGTTCAAAAATACATGAAAGTGGGGAGTAGCTGCTTAGGGGAGTTCCCATCCATGCAGATTTAAGAAAAAGGCCCAAGGAAGAGAAATGGACAGAGATGCTAAGAATCATGGCATGTAAGGGTTCGGAGACAAGAGTTTTATTTCATATTGTGGTTTAAGTTAGGAGTAAGCAAGGAAGAACTGAGTGGTTTTGAGCATCAGTGCTGACAGGATGAACCAGGTGAGGGAAACACACCACAGAAATCTGGAATTTGACCAATCTAAATATGACTTTGTACTCTGAAACATTCACATCAGGTGTTGGAGGTGAAGAACTATTGGGACGATATTTAGGGAAGGGGCCCAAGCCCATGGGTTAGAAGAAAGATATCCCAAATGCCCAGAAATGTTTCCTTTGCTGATTCCATCCATTCCCATGAAAGTACATATTACAGTAAAAGCCTACCCCTCTGTAAAGGATGGCAGGTCATCGTCACCAGATAGTGATTTATAACATGTCAAGTCCAGGCCAGGTGAGACGCCAGATCCATGTCTCTGTTTTGGGACAGGCATTCATTATTTAAAATGTCAGACTTGGAGCACATTTGGGGTAAAGAGTATCTCTTCTTAACTCTTGAGGCAGATGGTTCATACCCTGGGAAAGAGAGAGGGACCCTCGCTGGTTTTACTTTCCTAGAGGGTCTGAGGCTAGGAGAGACTTGGGCCTCTGTTCAGAGTAACTGGCCTCTCCACGTGGCTGGATAACCTGTTTCAACTAGAGTGGGTGAGCACCCTCTTCTACTTCTTGTATCCCATAAGGGATCTCATCAGAGGAGCTAATCTTGGGGTACACAAACTAACTCTCAGCTCCAGGGGCTTAGTGGGCTTCATTTTATGAAGAGGGTAAGCATGTTTACAATTGGATTCCAAGACCTCTGGTAAAGCCTCCATACCTGTCATTTTTCTCTTTAACTGCAACTTAATTTCTATGGCAGTGGTTCTCAAACTTTTTGGAATCAGAATTCCTTTATACTCTTACAAGTTTTTGAGGAGCCCAAGGACCTTTGTTTATATTGGTTATGTCTATTGATTGTTACTCATTAAAACTGTAGAATTTTTTAAAATTTTTATTAATTTATACATAATCAGAAACAATGCAAGTTAATACATTTTCATAAAAAGTAACTATTTTTTTCAAAACAAAACATTTCATAAGGAGATGGGCATGGTTTTACGTTTCTGAAAATCTTTGTAATATCTGGCTTAATAGGACACAGCTGGGTTCTCATATCTGCTTCTGCATTCAATCAATTGTGATATGTTGCTTTGGTTAAAGATGTACATGAAAGAAATCCAGTTTGATAAAGATACGTAGCTGGAAGAGGGTGAAGTACATTAATACCCTTTTTAGGTAATTGTGGATATTCTTCTTTGATACTACACCAGAACTTGATGAGTGGTAGTTTCTTAAAGATTACTTACAGTATAGAATCTGAAACCATATCAATGAATTTTTCATATTTTTTCACATTAAAACCCACTGATCTATCTTGTGCTTTGAATGGATCTTGTATTACAGCATGATTTGGTAACAGCAAGCATTGGTCATTTGGAAAATATTGGTTCACTGAGCTTTGCGGCTCTTCCAAAATCTTGAGACAATATCAAAAAGTTACATTTATTAATATCACCACCCATTTCATCAAAAAGGCCTATAAGTATCAGGAAGCTGTTACATTAATGGTGACGGATACAAGTTATCTAAGATTCTAATTTGTACTTGTAAATGCAAATATTGTCACTGCCAAAAAATAGTATGCATTGTTTTCTTTGAAATTTCAGGCTAACCTCATTTTTTTTTTTGAGAAATACCCCTCTCAGTTTGTCAGTCAGTCATCCTTTCAAGTAAAAATAGCATTCCATTAAAAAGTGGCTATTTCAAACAATCTCACAAGTGATTTTCCTTCAGACAACCTATGTATTTCAGTATGCAGCAGAAGTGCTTTATATGTATCTACCTTTTTGTCAACAAAGAATATTTAAAAGTCTTGTACTTAAGGATTGAGATGTAATACAATTAATAATTTTTACTGCTCTATCAAGGACATTCTTAGATGAACCTCCCTTTTTCCTTCCTCTAAGTGCATGATGGTGAAGAATAGGATCACTATTATACTTTTTGGTGCTCTGCCCTGATTAGTGCTAAGATGTGGCATTTTTACCCACCATTGCTTTTGCATCATCAGTGCAAATGTCAACACAGATAAAAAGACAAATAACATCTTACTGTTAGTATGCAAGTAGTTCTGACCTCATGGACTCTGGATAGTATGAAAGTAGTTTCGGACCTGCAGACCACACACTATTCTAGGGTAAGTGCTCCCTTTGTCTACTCATCGTTAGCAATATTTGAGCTTGAATAGATTTCACTTCTGTGAGAGTGTTTATGAAACTTCTTCTTAGAGTGCACAGTTTTGAGAAAATCTATTTTAATTTCACATTTGAGAGGTAATGGAGATGGGGGTGGAGAGAGTACTATAATTATTAAGATAAAATATGCTTTTTAAAGCTTAGTCCATGGGTGGGGTGAATCAAATAGAATATTCCAATCTGATGAGTATGGCCAACAATAATCAAAGCTCATGGTTCATGGGTATATATATCCCAAAAGCATACATTTCCAAAATTATTTATGCATTTGATTTTGAAATCCATTATCGTAACCCCCAAGTATTTATTTTCCTAATGTTTTTGTTAGTCTGACATTAAAATTAGTTTGTGTTCCCTGAGCATACAGCGATTGAGGGTGAGATGCAAATGACCTTGAAGAGTGTTTTATAGCATAAAGGTACCAACCTGAGATTGAAACGGAAATTGTTCTGTCCTTATTTCCATTTTCTATTGTTGTGTACTATTTCAAATAATTTTTGGAAAGAGGTGGAGGTATGAATAAATTCAATTTAAAAATGCTTTTGGCTGTTGATAGAACACCTATATAATTAAAAGTTGACAGCATTTTCCTGCATGCCTTTAAAAGGTCGCAGGAAATGTACTCTGCTTTGAGGAAAGGCCTAAAGTGTGTTTTCAATTATAGCAAACTAAACATTAGGAAGAGTCCTAGCAATTCAGAAAAGGTAGTGGTGTGTCTATGCAGAGTCATAATCCTGAACACCCTAGCCAAAGGTTCTGAGAGAGCAGTGGTGAAGTGTGGTGACCATTTTGTTCAGCTGTAAAGATTCTACACACTCAGAGCATTGGTCTACTTGGAAAGGATGGGCTCTAATTTATCATTAATATATTAATTTCAAGTCCAATGTCACCGACAATAGTCAAAATTATGGCAAATTGAATTTGACCTGAGTGGAAAGATAGTTATATTTCAAATTATAATGCAGGGCAACCTAACTACCAGTTTTTTAAAACCAACATTTGAGGAAGAACTGGTTTAAGGATGATGCTCCTTTTTTTTTTTTTTTTTTTTTTTTGAGATGGAGTCTCGCTCTGTCGCCAGGCTGGAGTGCAGTGGCCCGATCTCGGCTCACTGCAACCTCCGCCTCCCAGGTTCAAGCGATTCTCCTGCCTCAGTCTCCCAAGTAGCTGGGACTACAGGAGTGTGCCACTACATCCAGCTAATTTTTGTATTTTTAGTAGAGACGGGATTTCACCATGTTGGCCAGGATGGTCTCGATCTCTTGACCTCGTGATCTGCCCACTTCCGCCTCCCAAAGTGCTGGGATTACAGGGTGCTCCATTTTAAACTTGACTGCTCTCTGTTTTGGTTTTAGATTGAATTCATGCAGGTGTTTCAAACCTCGCTTTCAATAGCATTACTTGTTACTGGGAAGCTAGATCTTTTGGGGGGAGTTGGCAGGGAGGGGTTGAACGTGAGATTTCTCTATCAGTGAAAGACATCTTTTGGGAGATACAGCACTCTTTAAGCTTCACTTATAAAAGTGTGCAATATAAAGCCTTATTATTATTTTTAATAAGGCAAGTCAGAATTTAACCCCCATGGCTCTCTTTAACACCACTGAAGTTGTAAGAATTAACTCAACCTCAAAGAGGCATGAGTTATCCATGTAGGCTTATAGAGTGTCATTTTAATGTTCTATGTCTTTACTGTGCCTCCACTTTCTTTGATGAAAAGGTCTATTTAAAAATTGGTAGGAAAATATTTAACATAATAAGATGATGAGTCAGAGTTTTAAAAAAGCTAAAAAGGGAAGATGTAGTTAAATAATGCACCTTTTTATTTTCTAGCTACATGACTCATGACATATAATGTATTCTGCTAAGTTCAAAGTTTCCTCTTACAAAGAGAGTTTTATGAAACAACTCTTCTTCAGACCATTTTTATTTCAATTATAGTAGCAGGTTTTGGAGTTTAAATCATTAACAACCTCTGAGTGAACTTTTATCCAAATGACTGCAAGTCACAAAGAGAACAGTCCTCTTTCACCAAGTACCTTTTGTGCTCTAGTGAGACCCGTCCTTTTCTATTTTTCTCCTTTATGTCTCTCTTTGAAGAAAGATGTGTGATTTGTAAGGTAATGAAAGTATGTATCAGTTAATGAAAACTGCTATATTGGGCTCATAATGCACACTGGAATTGCTTCAGGGTAAACTTCATATACCTGCAGTATATAGCAGGGGAAAAAGTGAATTTCCGAAGTAAAGATTGCTGTGTGCACTCTAGGAGTATCACGTAGCAGTTAAAGCAACCATCAGGGGTGACCTAATCTTATTTTCCTCTCTTTGTCAAGTAGCTGTAATGTTCATTTAGGAGCATTTTTCAGTTTTAACTCCAGTGGACACTCCAAAACTGGGCACTTATTCTGTCAACTGTCAACCAAGTTATTGATTTCACCATATGTTGTCTTCATTTTTTTTAAATTAGTTTTTTTGGAATGTTTTTGAAGAGTGTGTGGGAGACGATAACCTCCAGATTTAAGGTGATGGGGTAGGGACAAAAGCCTGCAGAATTTCATACAGAACAAAATGTAGCTTAATAAACAAAAGAAAGTGAAGAGAGAAATTTATTTCCTTTTTAAAAGTCAGTAAAATAATGAACTAATCGTTGTTTAAAGAGTGAGAAAAACTTTTTCCCCCTAGATTTGGTGACTAGCGGGATAAATTTGAAGAACTCCATCCCACCCCCGCACGCGCGCCCCCCATTCTTTCCAGACAGAGCGGTTGTAAATCCGAGGCTGAGTCCGCCCTGGGAGCCTTGGGGCACTTTCCTCTTTGCTCTGTGTGTGTGTGTGCGTGCGTGTGTGTGTGTGTAGCTCTCGCTCTTTCCCTCAGTCTGTGCCTCTTGTGTGTGTGTGTGTGTGACAGAGAGAGAGCGAGAGAGAGAGCGCGAGAGGAGAGAGAGCGAGAAAGAGAGAGAGAGAGAGCAAGAGAGCGAGCTGTGAGCTGTGCTGCCGCCGCCGCTGCCCTTTGATCCCGACATTAGTGTTAGGGGCTCGGAGACACAGAGCGCGGCCATAGACACCGCCGCACCGGCACTCATTTATTTATACCTCCCATCACACACGCGAGCATAGGACACACACACACTCACACCTATTAGATCCGTTTCCATTGAAGAATATTACGCTCGGGGACAAGCCAGGTGCACGACCAAAAATTTAAAAAAAAAAAAAAAAGGAAAAAAGAAAGGAAAGAAAAGAAGAAAACCCCTCTTCTGGCTCCAGGAAACAAGCTTCAACCCATTGCACACACCGGAGAAGGGGTTTCCCCCTGCCCGCCCGCCCGCCCCCCAACTACCTCCCCGCTCCTGCCAGTGTCTGCCTCTCTGCCCCCACGGGGGTTTATTTGATCTCACATTAACCAAGGAGGAGAATGTGAGAAAAGGGGGAAAATGCCCAGGAGGAAGCAGGAGCAGCCCAAGCGCCTTCCCTCACGTAAGTCATCCCTTCTCCACCTCCTCTCGTGCCATTTTCTCGCCCTCCCTCTCCTCTTTCCCCTCCGCAGCCTCCTCCGTTGTTTTCTGCATTAGTTTAGGGTTACAGAGGTGAAACTGACAAAGACACAGCCCGGGTTACTCCTCGTTTAGGTCTATGCTGAGGCAGCCATGTTGGTGATGATCAGCCCCGTGCCCTTTCTATTCTCTCTCTCTTTTTCTTTCTTTCTCTCACCCCCCCCCTTTTTTTCCTTGAGATCGGGCTTTTTTTTCCCTTTCCCTCCCCTTCCCCCTCCTCACTCTGGGTTGCTGGGGGGAGGGGGCAAGAGAAGGGAGGAGGGGAGTAGTGTGGATGCCGGGGGTTTTATCGGGGGTTTGGTGGGGGGAGGTGGGAGAGGTTGGAATCTTAAAAAAAAAAAAATTCCTTGTGGATTCCGGCGCCTGAGGGTGCGGGGGTCGGGGCGCGCGGAGGGCTGGGGGCCGTGACATGGCGTTTGGGGGTGTCGGGGAGAGGGCGCGCAGCAGCCGCCGGGTACAGGATCCAGGGAGAGGTCCGTCCCTGGCTAAAGGTTGCGCCGGGGTTGGTCGGCCCCCGAGCCGCCGGCGGCAGCGGCGGCGGCGGCTGGAGCAGGAGGAGGCGGAGGTGGAGGAGGCGGCGGCGGAGGAGGGGAGTCGGGGGCGGGCGAGGCGGGAGCGGCTGGGGAGGGTGTAGGGGCACCGCACACAAACACACGGGTACACACGCGCCGCCGGGCGGCTGCTCCCGCGGCGCCGAGGCGAGGGGGCGCGCCGGGGCGCGGGGCGGCCGGGCGGGGGGCGAGGCCGGGCAGCGGCGGGCGGATGTGGGGTGCGGGAGCTGCGCCGAGGCGAAGGCAGGAGGCAGGGCGGCTCGCGGCGCGCGAGGTCCCTGCAGAGCGGAGGAGAGGGAGGAGCAGGGCTCCTGGCCGCAATAAAATGCGGGGTCAGTCGGAGCAGACGGAGCCGGGCGAGACTCGGGCTCTCAGACCCCCTCCTTGGCGAGCCTGAGCAGAGTCCAGGACTAAAGTGCATCACAGCCCTCCCCGGCGGCAGCCACACACGCCAACTGGAGACACACACCCGCCGGCACGGCCCGGTCCCCTTCCCCTCCTCCACCCGCGCCCCCGGTCCCTCTCCGCCCTCCCTCCGGCTTTTCTTTGCGCGACTCTTAACTTTTCCCCCACTCCCTCTCCAGCTCCCCCCAACCCCCCAGTCTTTCTCCGCTTTGAGTGTTTCGAGATGCTGCTAAAGCTAAAAGTGAAGGAGAAAGAAGCAACTAAAAATATCCCCCGGGGCCGCCCGGCTCCTTGAATGCAGGGAAGAGGGGGCAGGGGAGAAGGCGTGGGGCGGGGTGACGGGGAGGAGGGGACGCGGGAGGCGCCGGAGGGAGGGGTCGGGGGAGACGGAGGGTCAATTTCTCTTCTCTCCCCCCACACTACTCCCCTCTCCCGGCGGTTTGGCGCTGCTCGGAGCCCGATCCTGCAAAACCCGGGCTGGGGGCGGGAGTGGAGCCGGAGCGCCCGCCCGCCCGGGTGTCAGGCCGACGTGGTCGGTCACCTGAAGTTCACGGAGGGTGGGGGAAGGGTTAAGGTTATGGTGTCTCGGGCTCGGGCTGTGTGTGAGCTTGTGCTTTTCCGCTGCAGACAGGCAGGGCGATCGATCTCCCCCTCGCGAAATAACCGCGGCGGTGCCTGCCCAGGGGACCGGGAGGGGGGCGCGGGCTGCTCGGGCCAGGCGCCCCCGCGCCTCCGTGTCACCCGGGCCGCAGCCGAAGTGGCGAGCAAGGGCACTTGCAAGCAGTCCGCTCCGCAAACATTCCTCTTTCTTTCCCCTTCCCGGTACGCAGGAGTCGACGCAAAGGGCTTGGGTTGTGCTTTTTTCCCCTTCCTTTAAAAAAAAAAAATGCCCCTGTGCAGTCCTTTCTTCGCCTGCCCGCTAGAGGTTCTGAGGATAATATCACATATGTAATATATATGCACATAAAATCACTCGCAGGCGGCTGCGTGTGTAGGGAAATTTTGTGCGAGGAAGGAGAAGGCGGTGGAGTCGGGGAGGGCGAGTTGGGAGGCTCCGCGCTGCGATTCACAGAAAACTCGCAGCAGTTGGTGGAAGAGTGTGCGTGCACATGGCCGGACTGCCCCGCTGCCGGGCTCTTGTCGGGGGCGTGTGGGGGGAGGGAGAGGAGGCAGGAATCCTGAGGGGGTCAGGGGAGGTCTGCCGTGCTTGGACAAAATGGGCTTCAGTGTTCTCTGCGAACTTGCCCTTAGATGGCAACTTTGGGAGCTGATGAGCTTGTGTGCGAAAACAGGGCGGTGAGGTTATTTGGTCATTTTCCCTTTCTTCTCTTCTCCCCCTGCTTTAAAAAAAAAAATGTTGGCGGGGTTAGAGGGAGGGTGGGAGAGGAGAAGGGATTTATCTGTTTCGTCTGTGACGGAGATGGAACGCCTTCCCTCCTCTTGTGTGTAGTGCAGTCGGGCAGCTGCAGCGTGCCCTGCTGATGACCTTGACCCTGACCTCCTGCGACTACCCTCTCCGTCTGAGAGGAAATTCAGGCTCCATTTTAGCTCGTGTGCTTGGTGGGCCTTTCCTGCGCGTCGGTGCCTGGTGATGAAGTTATATTTTCAGAGTGGGCTCTCCTACTTTGCTGTCTGATTGAATCCTGTTAGCCACTCACTTAAAAAAATATCACCTCCCTCTTTCAGTCACATAAAGTCACTTTTACTGAAGTAAGAAGCAATTACCTTTGGAAACACCGTAAAAGTCCCTGCAGTTTTGAAAGGGAGGCCTTAATTTTCTAAGCTTTTCCACTTACCTTTGCATTGAATGGATTTTTGTGGATATGTGTTGCCTGTGCTAAGTGTGTTTTGCACATGTTTTTAAAGCAGTTTGTGTTTGGACTTTGCAATTTCTGGGCAAATGGTGTATTTTGCAGTTCAATCACAGTCACCCAAGGCTTGCTAACTGCTGAGTGAGGCTTGAAACTTGCAAGTGGTGTGAAGTAGTAATTATTGACTTTGGGAAAAATTAGTGTTAATTTGTATTTAATGTCGAATATAATTGTAGTTCTAAGTCCCACTTTTAATGCTAGACACTTTGTTTGTTTGTTTGTTTATATGTGAGAGGAGGAATTCTTTTTCACTGGAGTACTGTTTTGTATCAAATTTAAAATATAGGAAGTCTGGGGATTAAATATTCCTCCTAGAAGTCATCTCAGGGTTTTAAGAAGTTAAATAGGGGCAGATTTAAAAGTTGACTCTAAAAGAAAGGAGTGTGTAACGGAGGAGGAGAAGGGAGATCTTGAAGGAATGAGAGGGGCAAAACTGTTTTTGAAGCCAAAGAGCCCTTTTGAGTAAATACAAAAGAGGTTAATAGCCACTGTTAATATATTGTTTTAAGAATCTGTAGAACCTGTGAACACATTTAAGAAGTGCAAATTAGAATACAAAAAAGGAACTTATGAAAACTGAATCTATAGAAAATTCGGAGGGCTTTCCACTTCCTCTTAGGTCTCTCCCTGTGTCTGCACCCCCCTAAGGATTCTACAGCATAAAGCATTGCTACTTATAGACTCTTTCTGTGTTGGATCTATTTTTCTGATATTAAGTACAATACTAGCCAGACACAGTCTGGATCTACAAAGCCCAAAGTCCTCCCACTACACAGCACAGACACCAGGGAACCTGGAAGTTCCACCCTGGAGTGGATTAGTCCTGGAAATCCAGACTAGCACTTGGTATTATCTGATACCAAGTCTGGGGTGAGCCTCAGCCCCTGGCACAGAGTCCCAGCAATTCCCCAGTCTGAGCTCCGGCCTGCTAAGGTTTCCCAGCTCCTTCTGTTCAGTTAGACACCCATGGGACTGTTCAGAACCGAATTAGCTTTGGAGATGGGTTAGCCTTTAACCTGACACTACTAACCTAAGCCTTAGGTTTCTGATTTAAAATTCTACACAGCCATTTCCTCCTGGGCCTCTGAAGTAAGTGTGTGTGTTTGTGTCTGTGTTTGCTTTGTTATATGGGCCTTATACATATACAGAAAAAGATGGCCTATACTGTAGGGTTGAATGGCGATCTTACTGTCTATAAATCAAAAGAAGTCCTGTATTAACTTCTGCAGGTGACCCTAAGCAAAGAGTATTAAACCTACACTATTTTTGAGGGGTGGTTTTAAAAATTATTACACGAGATACAGCCTTTATTTCTTGGCCTAGAGCAGTAATTATCATTTTGGGATTTAAATATGATTCTACTGTTGTTGATGGCTCTTTTACAAAAGTTCTTTCCATTAACAAGGTCCAATACTATATTTAAAAAAATGTCCAAGAGGCCCTTTGAGCTATATCACCTGCTTGTCTTTAGCAGAATCCTGAACTGGATAACTTTAAAAAGTTTGTCAGCCTAAGAAAATGGAAGAGTGGGTAACTGTGTGGCTAACTGATGCTGTGACCGTTACCACGCATGGGACTGGGCACTTTATGAACGGTTTTACATTTGGAATCACAAACTGAAGAGGGAAAGGATGAGGAAGGGTGTTCTCTTGTTTTTTTGTTTTTTTTTTTTTCACCATTGGTGATCACTTATTTCTTCATTAGCTTCAGCTTACACATAAATATATACAAGTTTAGATCCTATTATATTTACCATTGGAAATTTACCTGATGCCTATTCCCGAGGGGGAACACAAAGGAAAAGTTAATAAAGCAGTTGTTTTGTTATTCCAGTATTTTCATTGTTTACTCAGTTGTGGGTCAAGACCAGATCAGGTTATTGTGTTCTTCATTAACAAAACTTTTTAAAATTCTTTCTTGCTTTCTAGTAAAATTAGGAAGCAAAATGACTGAAAAGCAACGGGATTTCTTATTTTTATCATTTTACCAGTCTTTTTATGTCTAATGAAAGAGAAAGAAAGATTGAACTCTTTTCTCTTATTTACTTTTATTAATTTTTGCAGTGACTGGGCAGTACCTCCTGACTAACTGTGGCAGGGACCACGTGAGAAAAAATTTGAGTCTCAAGTAGCAAAATATTTCACTGATCCTGTCATCCAGAGCTAATGATTCCAAGGTACCCAGAAGCAGTCTAGATTGATGCTGGATAATAATGCCTATCTGTTCTCTAAAAAGAACATCCCTGTATTCCTATACAGTAAGTAGGGTATCACTGAGCTTTCCTGTTAAAATAGGAAAGATAACTCAAAATCACATTCCTTCTCATGCTTCAAAATAGTTTCTAATAAAAACATTGATTTTTAATTTACCTGCATGCTGCCATCTCACTCTGGGGATGACACAGCTGGTGTGAGTTGACAAGTCTTGCTGCACAAAGTGTTAATAAATCATGCTGGAGAGGTATAAATTGGACAGCTTTCGGCCAGTGTTAGAGCTTGCTGTGCATTTGAGATTTTAGAGTCTGAATGGCCTCTATTAGGAGAGTTCGAAGGGAAATGTAGAAAATCTCTGTCTTGTGAGGCTTGTAAAATCAGATGGACAAAGACTATGGGCACACCTAAGGGAAAGTGTGTTGGTGGAGTGACGATGCAGGCTTCTCCTGAGGTCAGAAGTTGGTTTAAAATACAAGCTGAGCGCGGTGGCTCACGCCTGTAATCCCAACACTTTGGGAGGCCGAGGCGGGTGGATCACGAGGTCAGGAGATCGAGACCATCCTGGCTAACATGGTGAAACCCCGTCTCTACTAAAAACACAAAAAATTAGCAGGGCGTGGTGGCGGGCGCCTGAGGTCCCAGCTACTCGGCAGGCTGAGGCAGGAGAATGGCGCGAACCCGGGAGGCGGAGTTTGCAGTGAGCCGAGATTGTGCCACTACACTCCAGCCTGTTCGACAGAGCGAGACTCCGTCTCAAAAAAAAAAAAAAAAATACAAGGAGTTCTATTAATGTCAACATGTTCTTGTAGAAAAGGCTGGATTGGAAATGTATGGTGCCTGGCTGGGTTGGTAAACTAGTTTACTTAAGTAATCCCAGTAGTTTGCGTTCGGATTCTGTCTGGACAAGTTAGTTTCACAAAAGAGAAAAACTCTCATCCACTGTTATTAACCCTGGTCACTTATAAGCAAATTGGTATCTTTGGACTTAAAGATGACAAGGTGTCTCAGACCGTTGGCTGCTATAACAAAATATCTTAAACTGGGTATTTTATAAACAGTAGAAATGTATTGCCTACAGTTCTGGAAGTTGGGAAGTCCAAGATCAAGGTGCCAGCAGATTCAGTGTTTGCTGAGGGCTCAATCTCTGCTTCAATGATGGTACCTTTTTGCTGTGTCTTTATATAGTGGAAGGGGCACACAAGCTCCCTAGGGCCCCTTTTATAAACGCACTAATTCCTTTCTTGAGAGGTCTACCCTCACGATCTAGTCACCTCCCAAAGGCCCCATCTCTAATACTATCACATTGGGGATTAAGTTTCAACATGAATTTGGGGGGGACACCAACATTCAGACTGCAGCACAAGGTGTGAGAGAGGGAAATGATGGTGGAGCCCACATTGCTATACCTGTTTCTATGGCTGGTCAACAGTGCCATCTGTGAAAGCTGAAGGCAGTGTATTTCTGAGATTAGGTTAATATATCCTTTGTCCCCTTTTGAAGTTGCCATGTCTTCCTCCATTCTTCATTTTTAAATATCCACTGTAGTATTAGGACAGGACAAGGAAAAACAAACAGAGTAGGCTGGAGCTAATCTCTCCATTCTGAGTGATGTATTGGTAATTTTGTATAATTTAATCAGACTGATCACAGAACAAGATAATCAGAGTATGACCTACAGAATAGGGCTTTAGGGGGCGTTAAGGATTTCCAGCATAAGGTTTTACAAGAACATGAGCTTTGTGGCGAAGGCATAGATTTTAGGTTTTCTCTTATTGGAAAAAAATCCAGGCCAGGCCTAGTTATGGTAGGATGTGAGCTTTTTTTCATCAGATTTCATAACTATATTGGCTTAGTTAATGTACTCTTAGAACCACATTTTAAAGGTATAGATTGTAAATGATGGTGCCTGTTTCTGAGATACACTTTTCTGTCTCCTGCTTTGCCAGGTGTAGCTCAGTAATTCATTCCATCTAGGGCTAAGTGTACAACACTTTATAGTTCATGGTAGCTAAAATGTCTTCTATCATATTTTATAAGAGAATAATGTGTGAAGCACAGACCTTAGAAATAGCTAAGAGTACTTGATGGGCTGACATTTCTGGCTGCTTTCTCCCTTCTGTTTGGGAGTAAGTTTTTTGTATTTCTGTCCTCTCTCTGTAAGTTATTTTTTATGATATTGGAGAATAGTGTGTGACTAGGTGCTGAGGCAGGGGCCTCTCTGATGACTCCTGTCATTCCCCAGGGACCCACCTTGGGCTAGAATTGTTGTAGTTACAAAGTAGTTTCATAAATTAAAATCAGACTTTGGCTTGATACTAATCTTAAATGGCATGGGTACATGTTGCTGTTTATTTTTTAAAAGTTAGCTTCACTGCATGTACACACATGCGCGCGCACACACACACACACGCACACACACAGAGAGGCTGCACTGTAGCTAATTTTATAAAATGCACAGTGATACGCGCCCACGATCTGAGGTCAGAATGTGGCCTTTAGCAACTCTGCTTTCACAGTCTGACCTAGGGTTATACTAAATGCAGCAAATTCAGTGTGCCTAAAAAGGATATTGTTTCCGACTGTCCATTCCCTTCTTATAAAAAACAGCTTTTACTACTGAAGTTCTGTCTCTGGAGTTCTTAAGTGACCAGGGTTTAGATACACTTTGCTTCTGTTTTTAAGAAAATCCTAATTCAACCAAGTTTCTCTACCAGCAAGGAAGAAATGCATGGACCTTCTTGGAGGCCAGGGCCTGAAAAAGCAAACCCTAAAATAACCTGTCTCTCTATCTCTTTCTCTTTGGTCATTTCTACATGGGTCGGAAAAGTGGTTAGACCCCATTAGAATTGTGATGTGAAGGGAAAAAGAAAAGGGGTGAGAGAGAGATGTGGATCTCAGGGTGAAATGTTTTGAGTGTGCTGAAGAAGCTGGCCTTCAAAGGAGACTGAAGAAGGCCAGGAAAAAATGATCTTTTACATGATTGATCAGTAGCACTCTGCTTATCTGAGCTTTTGAAACAAGCTACTGTGCTTGTGGAGGGTGATAGATGTTTCTAAGGTTACATAGTGCTAGTATCTTAGGTGGTCTGGTGCTGTATTTTAAAAAGCTTTTGTTGTTGTTTTGTAATGAGAGGGAGAAAGTATCATCTGTGACTGTGCCCTCTTTAACTTTGTCTACTGTGTATGGCACAACTAAAGTAGAAACAGGATTCATGTGCTTTCAAAGTTCGTAGGGCAGCAGTCAAACGTACAAACTCTGGGGCCAGGCTGTTCAGAGCCCAGCTTTGCCACTGACTAGCTGTGTGACCTTGGGCAAATTGCTTATCTTCCCTGTCCTCCACTTTACTCATCTTTAAATAGTGGTAATAGTTTCTGTATCACAGAGCTATTAGAAGGAATAATTGAATACATATACAAATGTAAATATTATACATATACACAAAATCATGCCTAATTAGTGCCTGCTGCATAGAAAGGACTTAATAAATATTACTTATTATTAAGTATGTGAAAGGTGTTTCAGTTTGTTTAGATTGTGAATAGATTACAGGTATTTCTGACCTGGAACTTTTTGGTGGTTTCTATGGTTTTTTTTTCTCAATATATCTCATTAGTGTGGTGAGTAATAATAATATGATATGGTAAAATTCTTTTACAAGGCTATTATTGTAGGGCTTGACTAATACTTGTTTCATAGGCCAACAATATTATATTAGGCTTTTACTACAGGAATGAGTTTCTCTGTTTATATGATTTGACCTGAATTATATCTAAGTTGTGTAATAATCATATGCATTATAACCAGATTTTACTATAAAGTGAGGATACTAAATCCTCCTTTAGACACTTAGAGTGAGACTCAAATTAGAGAATAGGTATTCCATAAATATTTATTTATTCTTCTGTTCAACAGGCAGCCCACTGGTTAGAGTAACACAGACGAAATTTATATTAGGTGTTCCATATGTTACATAGGTAATAGTTTATTTACACAGAAAGAAGGAAAGGCAGGGTCTGCTGTTTCTAATCACAGAGAACCAAATCAAGAGAATACATGCAATGAATCTTAAATGAAGGATGGGGTTGTGTATATGTGAGCACAGTGGGAAAGAGAGATCATATCGTAGGTTACAAGCTGGTGCCATAGTAATGTGTTTTGCCCCACACAGATACTGTTTAAAAACTTGAGACAACATTTTGGAAATCGGAGGTTTCATATAAAAATCCAAATTTCCAGCTTCCTTTGAAAACTTGGAAGAGTCACTCGCACTGGGCCCACCTCCCCACATGGCAGCAATCTGCTGTAGTCGGTGGCGGCTGTCTCCATTCCCCAGGCATGTGCTCGTCAGTCTGCCACAGTTCCTGCCACTCGGCCACCATGTCCCCATATGCATATACACCTGCCCACCTCCCTCAGGTATCTTACCTCCTGATCCCTGTAGGCGTTTGGATTAGAAACTGTTCTGCATTCCCCAGCATTCTTTGATCTTTCCATTCATCACTGACTCTCAGGTGTTGTATAGCACATTTGATGGCAGTATCAAGAAGCCGTATAGTAATCCCTATCCTAGCAGCACCACATTGCAGCCGTGACACAAGCGAGTTACTGCAGTTATCTGCCTGTTTTTCTCATTTGTGAAGTGGGAGACCATTGTAGGTTCTCTGAGACTAAGTCAGCCTATACACGTAGATATTTTAGATTTGTGTCTGGCATAGGGTATGTGCACAGTAAATGCTGGCCATATTAACACACTTGAGGTGTGAATTCATGTCAACTGAGGATTGCTTGAACTGTATTATGTAATTAGTCAAGGAAAACTATTGCTGTCCGTCAGTTTCTGATCACCATCAGCCAACCCAGTGGTTCTCAACCAGATGTATTAGAATCACCTGGGAGATTTTTAAAAAATACAAACACCCCCAGAGATTTAAGTTGAATTGACCCAGAGTGGAGCTTGAGCATGAACGTTTTTTAAAAGCTCCCTGGGTGATGTGATTCATTTGCTTAATCCCGAGTTGAGGACCCCTGAACTAACCAGAACTCCCACTCTGGGATGTTATCATTTCAGTCAAAAATAAAGACAGGAGATGGTGAGCCTGGTCAGCTTATTGATGGTATTTTTTCAGGCTCTTAAAACCCTAAAATTAGCTCGTGGACCTGGGTAATGGACTGCAACTCCTCGAGGTTGGAAACCAGAGAGACTGATGGAAGGAATCTACAGTAGGCAGGAGACACAGACTGCAGTCTTCTCCCTTAAACTCTCCCATCACCAAGGTTTTTCACTGGCTTTGTGACCTTGGGCAAGTCACTTAACCATCTCTGTGCTTAAGTAGCTCCATCATGTAAAACGGAAAACAGTACATTACTCAAACCTTCTGTTTGTATTATGCTTTATTCTTCATGAAGCACTTTATCATCTGCCTGTGAGGTGGGCAGGGAAGGGCTGCTTCTCCCACTGATTGGACAGAAGTGGACACAGACCCAGAGAAAGGAAGAAATTAGCTTGTAGTCACCAGTGTCAGCACTACCAAGGGCTGGACCATTTGATGGTCTCTTGAGACACAGTGCAGCTGTAGGTCTGTGAAATCTACATGGGATCTCACAGCCTGAAGGAGATGGTTTTGGCCACTATAAATTGCTTAGAGCCTCTCCACTACAGGAGAACCCCTTAGGTGTTGATGGAACGTGATGGCCCCATGATTCATGAAAACCTCTGCTGCCAATAGTATTTCCCTCCTCAAAGACTTAAGATCTGAGTTCATCTCAGTCTTATCAAATCAAATGTATCTTCCTTCTAACTTCTACCCTATTGGTCCTACTCTCTGTTTTCTGATCAGCACTTCATAAGTTTATGAAAATACTTTTCAAGCTGAATTTTAATTATTTGTTTCCATCTCTTTCTCTGCTCACTTGTCTCTGAGCTCCTTGAGAGCAGGGACTAAGCAGAGAATAGTAGAACGGAGTCACATGCAGTGACACTGTCTGAGGCCTGAATTATGTGCTCCATATGGAGAGCACTGCCTTTGCGTAATGGCCTAGAATTAGGCGGCGTTTTCTAATCTGCACTTGTTTGGCCGTACTTGTTAACCCAACAGTCCTCTCTAGAGCATGAAACACAGCTGTATTTGGGAGGAAACAAAGTGTGGGAGACCCTACGCTCCAGGAAACGTTACTGAAATGTGCTATATGATTTCTCCCTTCTAGAGGAAGGCAAACTTCAAATAATAACTTACTGGGTTTTAATCTGACCTTAAGAAAGTGAGAAATCAAATTACAGTGAGCTGCTTTGTGACATTTATAGAAAGAGAGAAATTTCACAATCCAGAAGTAGGGTTTGGGTTGGCTACTAGATCGTAGTTAGAAGTGCTGTGCACAAATGGCTACTCACATACTTGTTGATAGGTGAAAAAATATGTGCAGAAGAAGAGAAAAAGTATGAGAAGCTTAAACATGACTTGGGCGTACTCCATAAGGCTGAAACCATAGAAAACACAAATATTAACTATTAATTTATTTTTAAAAATTGATATTGGCTTTTAATGACAAAAGTAGTATATGCTTAGTATAAATAATTAAACTCATGCGATAATGCTTAAGTATGAAAGTCCCCTCATCCCAACTTCCACCCCCAGAGATAACCACTGTTAATCAACAATTAATATTTAAAACTTGGCCTTTATTTGAAAAATTGGTACATTTCAGCATAGTTGGCTAAAAGAATTTAAGTATGGAATTCAGAACAAGGGTGGCAACATCACTCTTACAAACTGATTCAACCCATCTATAGTATTGAATCCCAGATTGGTTGCACTGATTTAAAGGGAGAAATTGATAAACTGCTCACAAGAAGGGAGGCAACTAGAATGTTGTAGGCTCTTGAAATCATCATATGAGAAATTAGTTATTGAGGCAATTGGGAATACTTAAGAGTGGGGGTGGATAAAAATTGTGCATGATCACTACATTCAAATATATGAAGTTCTTTCAAGTGAAAAAGGGAGTAAATTGTTATTCATCCTAAATTCTCAGCTTGTGTGTGATAACCGATACTTCATTTGTTCATTCATTCATTCATTTCACCAGCACTAATTGAGCAAAGTGTGTCAGGGATTGGGAATTTGTGGAACCGAATAGAGCATGGTCCCTGCTCTCAAGGAGCTCAGAGACAAGTGAGCAGAGAAAGAGATGGAAACAAATAATTAAAATTCAGCTTGAAAAGTATTTTCATAAACTTATGAAGTGCTAATCAGAAAACAGAGAGTAGGACCAATAGGATAGAAGTTAGAAGGAATATACATTTGATTTTATAAGACTTGTTGAATAAATAAAACTAACCAAAAATGAAACAGCAGATGTTGTGTTTATGAAGAAGCTGGTTCAACCACCCGTTGGGGGTGATTTTCTAAGGACTTCAAGTAATGTGGGGTGAGATGAGAAGCGTTGAACTCTAAAATTGTTTAATACTTCAGGAAACAATTCTCTAAAGTACTGCTTTGCTTGGTTTCTATTTAAAGTTGGAAATCTGTTCCCATAGCAGGGGAACACGTCTTTCACTATACTGAATTGAGAGCCTTTTGGGAGTAGAGGTGTGTGGCGACTTGGTGTCATGTTAGAGCAGTGACAATTTGATTGGCTAAGAGTTGTAACCCCCACTTGGTGCTCATTCATTAAGGAAAACTTTTGAGCATTTACCTGGCTCACAGAAGTTCTGTAGGATGCAACCTCTGCTGATAGTTCTTTCAAATGTTGACACGAAATAATCACAGAGGATAAGTCAAATCAATATGATAACAAGTGCAAGACCATATACTATCAGTTAGATGGGTAAATGTTTGAGGAATCACAGAGCAAGTGTGATGGGTAAAAGATTCTCAAAGAGGAATGACATATAAAGCATCCTCAAGGAAGTGATGGACTTAGATCCTGAGCAGAGAGGAGAGAACATTCCAAGAAGAAGAAATGTCATTAGCTGATATGGTTTTCCTGTGTCCCCACCCAAATCTCATCTTGAATTGTAGCTTGCATAATTCCCACATGTCATGGCAGGGATCTAGTGCGAGGTAATTGAATCATGCGGATGGGTCTTTCCTGTGGTGTTCTCGTGATAGTGAATAGTCTCATGAGATCTGATGGTTTTATAAAGGGGAGTTCCCCTGCACACACTCTCTTGCCTGCTGCCATGTAAGATGTGACTTTGCTCCTCCTTTGCCTTCCACTGTGATTGTGAGGCCTCCCCAGCCATTTGGAACTGTGAGTCAATTAAACCTCTTTCCTTCATAAATTACCCAGTCTCGGGTATGTCTTTATTAGCAGTGTGTGTAACAGACTAATACATTAACCAAAACAGGGCAAAATAAACCAAAAGTTCATTTATGTGAGAGACACTAAGATAAGGGACTTCATTGAACCAGAGGGGCCATATTAGTAATGTAAAGATAAGAAGTAGGAAAAATATGGAAGGGGTTGGCCCAGATAAGAGATTATGATTGCTAAATTTAGTGGTTTGATTACATCTCAAAAATCAACTGTGAGGTGTGGTAGTTTCTTTTACAGTGATAAAAATGGAGGTGGAGGGTGATGGCCTAAATGAAGAAGTGGCCTTTTCAAGTAGGCAGAGCTGTTGAAAAACCAAACTCAGGTGGATGGCGGTGGATGTGACCCCTGAAGGGGCTGTTGGGAGAGCCCTGCCTCAAACCAGCTTCTCAGGGCCAGTGCTGCAGACACTCAGCCAGGGCTTGCCCTCCCCTCTTACCCCTCCCTTACCTCTTTGGTTCCTCAATAATCAGCAAGGAGTGTTCTAATGCTGTGTCTCCCTTTGAAGGTGATATAATATGTGCTCTTAAAAAAAATAGTATATCTAACATCTATACATATATAATGAAAAGCATAGTGACAACAAACATCTGTAAACCTACCGCCCAGTTTAACTAGTTTTAATGCTATTGAACTTGTTTGTGTATTCTTCTCCTGCTCCCTGTCTCCTAAGAGTTACCCTAAATTCTCTGTTTATTGTTTTTCTTGTTTTTTCTCTGGACTTTACCACATTGCTTAGTTTTGCTTGTCTTTGAGATGTGTAACAGTGTTAGTGTACAGTGTGTGTTCTGCACCTTGGTGTTTCATTCAATGGTTACCTTTCTGGGATTTATCCATGTTGATGCATGTAGCTCTGGCACATTCATTTTCACTGCTCTCCAGTATTTCACTGTAGAAACATACCACAATGGATGTTTGCTTTTGTTTCCACTTTTTTTGCTGTTTTGAACAGCACTGCCGTGAACATGCATGTACATATCAGTTTAGCCTGAGTGTGAATTTCTCTAAGACACTGGTTCTCAAACATTTTGGTTTTAGGACCTTTTTACCAGGACCCCTAAACTCCAAAAACCTTTTGTGCGTATGCATTGTATCTATTTATCTATATCATGGTAGAGATTAAAACTGGCAAATTAAATATGTTATTAAAAATACTGATTCTAACCCATTACATGTTAACTATAAATAGCATATTTTAATAAAAATATATTTTCCAAAAGAGATTTAGTGAGAAGAGTAGCATTATTTTATATTTTTGCAAATCTCTAATGCCTGAGTTAACAGAAGACAACGAGAGTCTCCTATCTGCTACGGCATTCAGTCTTTTTTTTTGAGATGGAGTCTCCCTCTGTTGCCCAGGCTGGAGTGCAGTGGTGCAGCCTCTGCCTCCTGGGTTCAAGCGGTTCTCCTGCCTCAGCCTCCCAAGTAGCTGGGATTACAGGTGCCTGCCACTGGGCCTGGCTAATTTTTTTTTTTTTTTTTTTACATTTGTAATAGAGATGGGTTCTCACCACGTTGGCCAGGCTGGTCTCAAACTCCTGGCCTCAGGTGATCCGCCTGCCTCGGCATCCCAAAGTGCTGGTATTACAGGCATGAGCCTCCGCACCTGGCCTGCATTCAATCTGTGACATGTTTTGGATGGCATATCTGAAGAAAATCTGACTTCACACCAATATGTAATAGTCTTTTCAGATAATTGTGAATATTCATTGATATTACACCAAGACTCAAAAAGAGATAGCTTCTTAAAGATTAGTTGCAATGATTAATCAAAACATTTCAATAAACTTTTCATATTTTGAAGCATTAAAATCTACTGGTCTCTCTTGTGCTTTGAATGGATCAATGTGCATAGAACATCTTGTGTTGGACATTTGGAAAATATTGGTTCACTGAGTTATGTAGATCTACCAAATGTTGACACATTTTGTTATAAAATATAAAAAAAATATTAATATCAACACTGATGTTATCTGAAAGGTGTTTAAGGACCGTATTGGGAAGCTGTCAAATTCACAGTGTAAGATACATGTTTTCCAAAATTTTAATTCTTGTTTGAAAGCTTGAATTTTATTGTTGGCAACAAACACTGTCAGTTTTTCCTTGAAGTATCAGTCTTACTTTTCATTTCCAATGAAGAGTCTGCCAAATACCGATACTTGAATGACCATAGTCAGTTATCCTTTCAATTAAAAGTGATGTTCAAGGAAAAATTGGCTAGTTCGGCTCTTAACTCAGTCACACATGTCCTTTTCCTTGAGACAGCCACCGTACTTTGGTGATAGCAGAAGTGCTTTATGCATGTATTTCATTACATGTGTTATTAAAAAGATGTTTACTCAAGGGTCAGTCTTCAATGAAAATAATTTTTACTGCTTCATCAAAGACATTCTTAAGTGAAACTGGCAGGGCTTTTCTCCTTGGTTTTGTTTTTGTGTTTGTGTGTTAGTTTTCTAAATATGTGCAGCAGTGAAGAATGAAATCATTACCAGTATGATTTATTGCTGTTGCTGTGATTCAAGCTAAGGTCCCAATAGTTTTACCCGTCATTGCTTTTGTATCATCATTACAGATGTCAATGGAGTAATAAGGGCAAATGATAGCTTAGTATTATTATAAAAACAGTTTTGATCTTGAGGATCCCTGAAAGGGTCTCAGAGACACATAGGGGTCCACACACCACACTTTGAGAACCACTACTCTAAGTTGTCTACATAGTAATGGAAATGCCACATCTTGGTGCATGTGCGTCTTCAGCTTTACTAGGTAATGCTATAATGTAGCACTTTGAATATTTTCACCAAAGACCCCAAAAGGCAAAGAATCCTGAAGATGGGGAATCCTAAACTCACAACGGTTCTCACAGCTTCTGTGAGATTTCCTTGATGTATCTTTGAATTATCTTACAATGTGCATTATACTGTATATCTGTTGGTTTAGACTAAAAGTAATGTTTTCAATAACTCATCAGTCAAATTACCTTTGTTTCTTGTAAATATGTATGTATCAGTTTTGGTCTGTGAAGATGCTCCATATTTATCCTGGTACCTGTTATGATTTCCTGGAACCCCTGTTGGAGGAGAACTCCAGTGAGTGCCTTGGTCCAGCATGATTTATCTTGGAGACTGCATGGTAGCAAAGAAGAGATGACTAAGATTTCCAGTCTTGGGGAATTAGGAGTATTTCTGGTCTTCGTGTCTTCTTTTTCTGGGTTGCTGTCCTCATTGTCCATGAACCCACTCATCTGAGACAGAAACCTGAGTGTAATCCAAATGCCACCCCCTTCCTTTTCCTCCCCTCATTGAATTTCTTCCCCACCCAGTTTTGTTGGTTCTGCTTCCCAAATATCTCTAGAATAAATCATGCCCACCCCCTGCCACTGCTTTGGTTTACACTCATATTTTTTCTCAAAGAGAATTGAAATGGTTGCCAGCTGACCTCTTTTTTTTTTTTTTTTTTTTTTTGCCTGAGTCTCACCTCTCCCCTCCCCAACCCCTGCCTCTGTAATCCAGTCTCCACACTGCCACCATGGCAGACTTTCTAAAACACTCATGTAATCCAGATAATCCTATTTAAGATCTTTTAGGCATTTTCTAAAAGGATAAAGTCTGGACTTCTAGACTTTGCCAAGAAGCAAATCTAGAAGATGCTTTGTCATCTAAGCCCCTTTCCTCTGCCATGTTGTATACTCCTTGTTTTATTCGTACTGAACTATCTGTTCTGCAAATCATACTTATACCTCCTTTTCTTGGCGTATTCTTTTCTCTGTTTCTGAAATATCTTCAACTCATTTATGTGCCTGATAACCTCCTACTTAGCCTGCAACACTCAGTTCTCTGAGAAGCCTTTCCTGCTTCCCCTCCTGCATTGTCCCACATGCTGGGTAGAATTAGGCGTCTCCTCCCCTGGTTCCCATAGCTCTATCATAATAACTTTGTGTGCATAGTATACTTCCTTACTAGTCGATGTTCTTATTGACTGTGAGCTTTTAAAGGGCATGGACTTTCTTATTCATTTTTGTACATTCTTGCACATAACAGTAACTGATTATAGTAGGTGGTCAATAAATAGTGCTGAATAAATGAATGAAGGGAGAAGTAAAGAGCTGGTCACAGAATCCAAGAAATAGGAGATGTTCTATTAATATTGTTGAATGAAGAAATGAATGAAATTAAGAAGGGGGGAATCCCATAGGTGTTTCATAAACACTGCTGAATGAATAAACAAAGAAGTTAAGACTGGGTCACAGAACCAAAGGGTTTTAGAGGTGGAAAGGACTTTAGAGACCATCTCCTGCTGTCTTCCTCTTTCAAAAATGAGAAAACGATTTGCCTAAATTGTCCCGGGCTGGGTATAGGAGGCGATGAACAGTACCCTGGACATTCGCGTGAATGTAGCCTGGAGATGACTGGAGGGAGTCACATGCTTCTCCTCCCTTCCTGAGGAGACTTGCCCAGAAGAGCAGAGGCCGTGGCGTATGCTGCAGGGGATACCACCGTCTAAGTGCAAGAGAGAACTTTTGTGGTTGGAAGTCTGTGGCACATTCCAGACTGTGGAGTCTCCCCTCAGCTATTGGCTGTTGCTCTCTTTCTGTCCTCAAACTGTGCCAAGACCGTCAGATTTTCCTGATGACTGGGCATATTCTGCATCTGGATTCCATGGTCATAACAACCAGAAGTTTCCTGTCTTCTTTGGTTGGGGTGATTATGATATAGAGCTGGGTAACAATATCAACAGTTCTGAGGTAAGCCGTCCTCTTTAAAACATAATGTTTTCTCATTTGAGATTTCTAGGTGCCTGGGAAAAAGGGAAAGCTATTATTCACTAAGCGTCAACTCTGTGCCAGGTGCTTTACTTATGTAATGCTAATTTACCTTTACATAGCCCTGTACAATTGCAGATATTAGTATCTTATACTCTAAACAGGAGAAGGTGCTTGTAGACTTCAGGTGGGCCTAGTGTATAGCAGGATAAGATTCGAGTGGGAGTGTCTGGTTCCAAAGCTTGTGCCCTTTCTATTTTGCCATGCTGTTTCATGCTGTATAAATAGATTTTCTGCTATACAAAACTTATTGTGGCCCTATTTCACCAATATTAGTGAATTGTTGGAGTTGATTATATTTATTTACTTAAAAGGAGGAGAATCTACAGGTTTCTGGTTTAATGTTATCCATGCTTTGCAGTTTACATGTACTTGGCCATCTTGGCAGGACCACCATGTATGGGAGAGAGAGCAGTATTAATACCCTACTTTATGGATGATGGATTTCAGTAGTGGGGGACAGAGCATTCTTCATATTTCTGGTTCATCACTGTATTCCTCATACCATGTCTAAGAGCTTGTTTATAGTAGGGTTTTCAATTTTTGTTAAATAAACATCAGAAGTTATATAGCTGGTAAATTCCAAATTCAAAGTGGAACCAGGTCTCTGAGTCTCAGCTCAGTGGTCCTTCCTTTGCTAAAGCATTCTGCTTTTCCCAGTGCTCTAAGCAGAGTGATGCAGGAATGAGCTCTCCCTTTCATGAGTATATGTGGGACTTGGGAACTCTCTTGATTTGGCTGTCCAGTGAATTTCCACAAATCTGAACAAGTACGGGTGGTCCCTTAGGATAAGATCTTTCTTGTTTTTGCCTCTCCTCTTTTAAATACTCAATATAGGATTTGTTTTTATTTTAATTTTTGAGACAGGATCTTAACTCTTATAGTCCAGGCTGGAGTGCAGTTGTGTGATCATCAGCTGCAGCCTCCACTTACTGGTCTCAAGTGATCCTCCCACCTTAGCCTCCCAAGTAGCTGGTACTAGAGTATGCCACCAGTCCTGGGTAATTTTTAAACTTTTTGTAGAGATGGGAGTCTTGCTATGTTGCCCAGGCTGGTCTCAAAACTCCTGGCCTCAAGTGATACCCCACCTCAGCCTCCCAAAGTGCTGGGATTATAGGTGTGAGACACTGTGCCTGGCTCAATATAGGATTTTAAATCATTTCTATTTACCTGACACTTAGTCCCCAGTAAGATGATTGGATAATGACTGATGACCCAAAGTGGATTCATAGAGGATTTGCACCAGGAGGATCCCTGAGGTCATCTAAAACAGTGGCTTTCAAAACAAAACAAAATAGGTGGAACCCTTCCTTGTCTTTATGGAGAGCTCCACTATGTAGAAAAGATCAAAGACAAAGCAGGGCTGTGCAGGCTGGGTGTGTGCTGGGGTGAGAGCTGGGGGTGGGTCCATAGAGCCCAACCTTGCCCGAGAGCCCCAGGCTTCCTCTATGTGTGGTTTGGAAACCACTGATCCATCCTAACCCCTTATTTTATAGATGAAGAAACTGAGGCACAAAGGTGCTCAATGACTTACACAAGTGGCTGGATTAAAAAGATGATGATGAAACTTGTTGCCATATATCGGAATTTTTTTTTTTTTTTTTGAGACTGGGTCTTACTTTTTTGCCCAGGCTGGAGTGCAGTGGTGCAATCTTAGCTCATCGCTGTTTTAGAGCACCATTCCGCTTTTTTTTTTTATATATAAAGAAAAAGTACCTGTTCTGGAGAGCAGAAGTCTGCAAACTGTAGCCAGTTTTTTTTTTTTTTTTTTTTTTTTTTTGCCTTGAGCTAAGAATAGTTTTTATGTTTTTAAAGGGTTCTTTAAAACAACAACAAAATATAAGGACAGAGACTATATGTGCCCCGCAAAGCATAAAGTAGGATTTACCACTGCTGATATTAATGTGGAAATTTTTCTTAAAAATTAGGTTTTCTGTAAGTAACTTCAAAACAAAGATTTAAAACAAAGCCTGATTAGTTGAGCAAATTTATTAGATTGGTGCAAAAGCAATTGATGTTTTTACTATTAAAAGTAATGGCAAAACCGTAATTACTTTCTGCCCCAACCTAATATATCAAAAGCTTTTCAAACTTGTGTGTTTCAAATAACTTCTTTAAATTGCCCAATATATTTTCACTCTCCTTTTAAAATACCAGTTTTGGGTGGAGGATAAGCTGGTTAATGAAATTCTTATAATATGTGGGAATGTTGCAGCTACAGAACTGCAGACAGTTCTTAGGTGAAAAAGAAGTGGTGTTTTTATTCAAATACAAAATTAGGGCACTTAACAGTCACCCAAAAGGTCAAGAACCAGAGGAACTGATGTAGGAATAATATAAGTGGTCACTCCCAGGAAATGGCATATGAATGTTGTTTTTTCTTTTCTTTTTTTTTTTTTTTTTTTTTTTTTTGACCAGCTACCTTGGAGTTGAGCCTTATCCAAAGTAGCAGTAGAGCATGTTTCCAAACTTCAATCTTACCACTTGATGCATTTTCCAAAGTGCTATGATTTGAGTGTGTTCCCCAAAGTTCATGGGTTTGAAACAATTGCCAGTGCAACAGTGTTGAGAGATGGGGCCTTTAAGAGGTAATCAAGAGGGACTTTAAGAAGCTGTGGCTTCATAGCTGGGTTAATATTATTATCATGGGAGTGGGTTTGTTAACAAAAACCAGTTTGGCCCTCTCTTGCTCTCTCTGTCTCCAAGTGATACCTTCAACTATGTTATGATGCAGC
Source organism: Homo sapiens (assembly GCF_000001405.40). Classification (NCBI taxonomy): domain Eukaryota; kingdom Metazoa; phylum Chordata; class Mammalia; order Primates; family Hominidae; genus Homo; species Homo sapiens. Next base: position 145,917,377 of record NC_000004.12, on the reverse strand, counting down.
AAGAAGGCCCTCACAAGATGCAGCCCCTTGATCTTGGACTTCCCAGCCTCCAGAACTGTGAACCCAATACATTTCAGTTCTTTACAAATTATCTGGTCGTGCGTGTTTTGTTATAGCAACATAAAATGGACTGAGACAGAAAATTGGTACTAAGAAGTGGGGCTCTTGCTGTAACAAATATTTGAAAATGTGGAAGTGGTTCTGGAACTGGGTAATGGATAGATGCTAGAAGAATTTGGAGGAGCAGGTTAGAAAAAGCCTAGGTTGTTATAAACAGAGCATTAAGGGCAATTCTGGTGAAGGCTCAGAAGAAGAGAGCTAGTGGTAAACTAAGAAACTTCTTAGAGATTAATTAAGGGCTGTGATCGGAATGTTGGTAGAAATATGGACAGTAAAGGCCATTCTGATGAGATCTCAGATAGAAAAGAGGAATTATTGGAAACTGGAGTAAAGGCCATCCTTGTTATGATGTGGCAAAGAACTTGGCCGAATTGTGTCCATACCCTCGGGCTTTTAGGAAGGCAGAATTTAAGAGCCATCAACTAGGGTATCTCTTGAGAGAAATTTCTAAGCAAAATGTTGAAGGAGCTACATGGCTTCTATTAACTTCATATAGTAAAATGAGAGGAGAGAAATGATTTAAAGATGGAATTTATAATTAAAAGGGAAACAGAAATGAGGAATTTGAAGGATTCTCAGCCTGGCCATGTAGCAGAGAATGAAAGAACATTTTCAGGAGAGGAAACCATAGATGTGGCCAAGGAACTGATTGATTGATAAGGGGATTAACATGGATAGAAGGAAACCAAAGGACGATGAGAGAATGACCCCAAAGGTACTTTGGAAATCACCAGTGCTCCCCTTCCATCACAGGCCCAGAGTGCCAAGGCCTGGGGAAAGGAAATGTCCAAAGAGAGTCCTCGGGTGCCCTTGAGACACTGGGCTTGCTGCCTAGGGCTGCTGTAAGTCTTTGCTCCCCACATTCCCGTACGGCTCATGCCCCCAGTTCACCCCAGGTGTCACAGCTTTGGAAGGTGTAAGCAGCAAATCTTGGCTATGTTCATGTGGTAGAAGTGTGCAGGTGCTCAAAATTCAAGAGCTGTGGGCATATGGCTTCCTTCATCTAGATTTCACGACCGCCTGGGGGCCCAGGCAGAGACTTTCTGAGGGGCAGAGCTGATGCAGGGAGCCCCCAACTAGGGCAATGCCTAGTGGAGCTGTAGAAGTAGGGGAGCATGCAGCTTCAGGCTGGGAAAGCTGCAGGCACAAGACCAACCCTTGGATGAACTGAACCCAGCAAAGCCATTGGGGTGGGGTTACCTGAGGCCTTGGCGGCCCAACCCCCACCCCAGTGTACAGGGGATTGGGGACATGGAGTCAAAGGAGATTATTCTGGCATCTTAAGATGTAATATTGTTTTCCCTGTTGGGTTTTGGACTTACTCAGGACCAGTTATCCCATTCTCTTGCCTATGTCTCCCTTTGGAATGAGAATGCCTATTCTATGCCTGTCCCACTATTGTATTTTGGAAGTGGATAACTTGTTTAATTTTACAGGCTTACAGCTGGAGGGAAATTTGTCTCAGGATGAATTGTACCTTGAGTCTCACCCATATCTAATTTAGATTAGACTCTGGACGTTTGGATTTTTGAGTTGATGATGAAAGAAGTTAAGACTTTTGGGGCTATTGTGATGGAATGAATATATTTCGCATGTGAGAAGGACATGAATTTTTGGAGCCAAGGGTGGAATGCTGTGGTTTGAGTGTGTCCCCCAGAATTCATATGTTGGAAACTCAATCCTCAATGCAACAGTATTGAGAGGTGGAACCTTTAAGAGGTGATTAGGTCAGGAGAGCTCTGCCCTATGAATAGATTAGTATCCTTATCTCGGGAGTGTGTTGGTTATTGGGAGAGCGATTTTTTTTTTTGAGACGGAGTTCCGCTCTTGTTGCCTGGGTTGGAGTGCAATGGCGCCATCTCAGCTCATGGCAACCTCTGCCTCCCAGGTTCAAGCGATTCTCCTGCCTCAGCCTCCCGAGTAGCTGGAATTACAGGCATGTGCCATCATGCCCAACTAATTTTGCATTTTTAGTAGAGACGGGATTTCTCCATGTTGGTCAGGCTGGTCTTGAACGCCCAACCTCAGGTGATCCACCCGCCTCAGCCTCCCAAAGGGCTGAGATTACAGGCGTGAGCTACCACACCCGGCCAAGAGAATGAGTTTTTATAAAAGTGAATTTGGCCATCTCTTGCTCTTGCTCTCTCTCAGCACAGGATGCCTTCTGTTGTCATGATGCAGCAAGAAGACACGCACTACGTGTGGCCCCAAGGGCTGCAGAACCATGAGGTAGTAGATTTCTGTTCCTTATAAATTACCCAGTCTTAAGTATTCTGTTTTAGCAACACGAAATCAGCTAAGACAAGAAGCATCCGAGTTTTATTGGGGATGGAATGAATGGCTCCTCTGGAGCATCCCTGCTGGTGACAAAGCCCTAGAAAACAGTGCTGGATTTCTTTTAGGTGAAAAATCTAGAAAAGCCCTCTTAGTGAAAACCCCAAGGGCATGCCTGAGGAATGCCTGAGAAGAAAGGAAGGTACACCTTCAGGATTCTTCAAAGAGAATTAAATGGATAAAACCACTGGACTTGAGTTGTTAAGGGAATGTTAATTTAGCTGTGGGGTATCCTGGCCCTTGGAATTACCTTAGCTTGTTGGTTGATTGCAGTTTTTGTTAATTGTTGTTGTTTTTTTGCTCTCTATTGTTGACTTCTGTGTGTACCAGAAGGTGGGCAGGGAAAATAAAAGGAGACAAGGAATAAGAATACATTTGACCACTTGATAGCAGCCCTGGCACAAAGCCTAGTAGGAGTAAAGGTTAAAACTGTTGGCCTAAATCAGTGTTTAAAGTTAACTTTGAGTTAGGGCTGTCCTTGAAATGGATTGTCCTTTGCTCTCATGGATTCTTGTGCATAACTGATAAAAAATATTCTCATACAATAAATTGCACCAATATCATTTTGTGAATGTGTTGGTGGGTTGCAGGGGGCGCGTTAGGGGAAGCTGCCTCCTTGCAGCTTTTGTTTTATACGTATTTAAGCACTAAATAAAAATCTATTTTGTCTCTTTTCCCTTGCTAAGTCTCTTGTCTCCCACGGCCCTTTTCTTTCTGGATATATGTATATTTTTAGTAAGTAAAGGACTTACTGTATGAAGTTTTTCTTTGGCAGACAGAATGATGATGACTATAATATGTTTATTACAAGGTACATCATGCCAATGCTCTTGGTGTGTGTGTGTGTGTGTGTGTGTGTGTCTACAAAGAAATGTATCATTTTATGTATAAGCTAAGATTTTGATAAGTAGTCATTTATCTATCCATAGAATGCTATTTCTTAGACTGTAGAATGCATTGTTATATGGTTAGGGCTATTGGGGGTGTTCATTTTTGTTTAGGTTCTTTGACCTAGTAAAGACTTCCTGGTGATTTCAGTAGTTTGGTAATTTATTACTGATCTTCTAAGAAGTATTGGTAATGTTAAAATGAAAACATTTATACAAAAAGAAATAAAAGTCAAGGAAGCAGATAATCAACCGATTTATCAGCCTTAGCAGACAATTTTTCTGATAACGATGTGGTAGCCATGGTAAATTTACTTCTGATTGCTTGAGGGGACAGATTCTATGTGCCTTTTGTAATAAGAGGTGCATGAAAGGGTAAGGGAGCAAGTAATCAATCCGTGGACTAACCAGTCCCATTTTGGTCTTTAGATTGGCCTTTTGGTGAGTAAATTCAAGCTATCTTTTCAACAAAAGAAAAATTTTGTTATTAATTTGCTGAAACGTGAGTAAGGATGTAAGGATGAGTATATCTTTTTGTTTGGATATCTCTAAGTAGCCCTAGTAAGGGAAGGCCTCTTTTGGTAATGTCTTTTTTTTTTTTTTTTTTTTTTGAGACAGGGTCTCACTCTGTTGCCCAGGCTGGAATGCAGTGGTGCAGTCGTGACTCACTGCAACCTCTGCTTCCTGGACTCAAGTTATCCTTCTGCTTCAGCCTCCCGAGTAGCTGGGACCACAGGCATGCACCACCACACTTGGCTAATTTTTATATTTTTGGTAGAGATGCGGTTTCACCATATTACCCAGGCTGGTCTTGAACTCCTGAGCTCAAGTGATCCGCCAGCCTTGACCTTCAAAAGTGCTGGGATTATAGGTGTGAGCCACCATGCTTGGCCTATTTTTTTAAACCTTTCATTTGAAAGAAATTTGAGTAAAATTGAGAGATAAGCAAAAATTTATTAGTCCACTCATAGTCCTTCCAGCCTCACAGGACTTAACACTGATCAGCAATGTGGTCGGTTTTATGTAATAATATCCAGCTTATTACAAAAACTACATTACAAACTGAGGCTATAGTTGAGAATCCAGAGGTGAACAAATTCAGGAAAAATGCCTCAGGCCTTCATCCAAATATACTTATATTAGTTTTCTTGGGTTGCTGTAATAAAGTATCACAAACCAGTGCTTAAACAACAGAAATTTATTGTCTCACAATTCTGGAGGCTAAAAGTCTGAGCTCAAGGTGTCCACAAGGCCACTCTCGCTCTGAAGGCGGTAGGGAAGGGTCTGTTCCAGACCTCTCGCCCAGCTTCTGGTAGTTTCTAGGCTTATGATAGCATAACTCATCTCATGGTGTTCTTCCTGTGTGCATGTGTGTCTCTGCATCCAAATTTCCCCCTTTTATAAGGACACCAGTCATACTGGATTTGAGTCCACCCCAATGACCTCATCTTCACTTGATTATCTGCAGAAGCCTATTTCCCAATAAGGTCACAGTCACATGTACTGGGGGTTAGAACTTCAATATCTTTTGAGAGAACACAATTCAACTCATGATACTAGGTATTCATTCCAAGTTTGTACACAGTTTTAATAAGCCTGGTGATTTTTATCTCAGTTTATGCATACAAAGAGTTATAAGTATAGGAGAAAGAGTCTCTGCTGAGGATATAATGGAGAACAAAAGTATTCAAAAAGACTATTAAAGTAGGAATAAGAACTTAAAATACATAGTTGCTTTGGGCCACTCAATGGAGGGACAAACTGCTGAAAAGTTCCAGTAGCTCCTGAAACACATTTATATATAACAAACATAATAACAGCATCAACATATTATGTTTGAGTGTGTGTGCACTTTTAAATCCCATCAAATTAAATTTTGAAAATATTGCGTACTTGATGGCACTTTGATAATTTTTGGTTACCTGAAAAATTATTCTTTTGTCAAGCTCCTCACATATTGTCAGATGTTCTGAATATTTGGGTTTCAACTTGGCTTTGTCACTCAGTAAGCATGCATGTTGTGTAAGCCATTAACTTTTTGGAACTTGGGTTTTTTGGTCTGTAAAATGAAAAGTTTGGTTTCCTATATAAAATTATTGTGAGGATGAAATTTGCTGATGAATATGAAAACATCTATCATAGCTCCAGATGTGTTTTCATGATTGTTCATTCATTCAACAAATGTTTATTGGGAGCCTACTGTATGCAGTGGCTTGTTCTAGAATTCATTCATTCACTTAATGCTGATTGAAAAGTACCATGATTTAGTAGTATTGGGACATCTGAGCTCAAGCACTGCCTATGTTTGGAAATCATCTAGGGGACCTTGGGCAAATCTATGGCCCTCTCTAGGCCTCTAACTAGAGACTAGTCATATAGAGTAGATTTCCAAGGCTTTTCCATCTGTAAAATAATTCATATAACAAACTTCAAGTATAATGAATAGTTTTTGATATCGTACAGATTAATTGTATTATACTGGCAAGTTACTTTATCCTCTGCGCCTTTGCTTTTGTCTTTGAAAGTGGGGTTAATAGGTCTAGTACTGTTTTCTGGTTAGTAATAGCAGTAATAATGATAGTCACCCATTATTGAGCTCTTGGCATTGTGCTAGATATTTTTATACATTCTTGCTTCTACAAACACGGTACATGTTTCTCCAAAGCATGTCGGTACCTGGAGAAACAGGTTGCATCTTTCTAGAGAATAAAGTTTCCTTGATGGCACAGCTGTTTATAGAGTGGAATGCAGAAGTCACTTGAAATGTTAAGCTAAAACTCAAAGAAAGTTGGGGCTTCTTAGAGGGGGCGGCGACTTTAATACCAAGTTCCCCTGCAGTGTTGTTCTTTCTTGGCCTTTGGGGAAACTGGTGGAAAAGTTTGCAAAACAGGCTTTTTCCCTGTTCCATGTTTGACTCACATGAGAAAAATAGCATTCTAATTTACAATTTTGAAAATAGTTCTTATTTCCATCACTGACAGATGTTACCTTTATGATTGTTCAGCCTATTCTTCCATTTCATTTATGCATTGGACAAATAATAATTGACTGCCTGCTCTGTGTTCAGTACCAACCTAAATGCCGAGGATGCAGCAGCAACCAAAATAAAGTCCTCCCTCGGAGCTTGTATTCTAAAAAACAGTGAGGTTTGAGGGCAGACCTGAGGAATTAGGGGAATTAAGCATGTGGCTGTTTCAGGCAGAGGAAGAGCAATTGCAAAGGCCCTGAGGCAGGAGCTTATTTTCCTAGTAAGGGAGAGTGTTAGGAGAGGAGGTCACAAGGAGATGATTAGGGATGCCTTGAGGTTCAGGTAAGAGTTTTGTATTTTATACTGAGAAACATGGGAAACCATTGTGGAAGTTTGAGAACTTACTTTGGCTGCTGGTTGAGAATAATGGAGCAAGGTTGGGAAGTGAGGAGACCAGTTGGAAGGCTACTGCCATAGTACAGGTGGGGGATGACAGCACTGGGTACCAGGTTAGTAGTAGTGGTGGAAATGGTGCAAAGTGGCCAGATTTGGTACCTCTGTTGAAGGTAGAACCAACGGAATCCGAGAATGAATTGGATGTGGGGTCTGAGAGAAAGAGAAGAGTCAAGGGAGGTGGCATGGTTTTGGGTCTAAGTAATTGAAAGGATGGAGGAGTTGCCATTCCTGCTGAGACGGGCAGGTAGAGGGAGGAACACGGGCAGTTCCTCGGCCATGGAAGGTCTGGCTAAGCACTTTATATGAAGAATACTGAAACTGACTTAGCTACTTTTTCGAACTCACTCTGCAGAGGAGTGATGCGTTCATTTGTGTTACCTTTATTTTACTCACGGTCATTTAGAATAATGATTTGAAAATGTTGCTGTGTGCCAAATGCTCGTCTTGACCCAGGAGCCCCTCCCTCCCCCCGTGTGTGGACTACTCTCGTCTCCAGACTTCCTCTCACTTCCTCATGCCTTTGCAGCACCTTTTCCCTAGCTGGACTGGTGACAGGAATCTGGTTGTCTTCTGCACCCTGGCAGTTTTAAATAACTAGCAGTTCTTACATTTTCTTCCTGGGCACGCTGACAGCGGTTGGGTGTCCTGGACATCCGTGTTTCGATAACTGTAATCTCCGAGTCTCTGTCCTGTGAAGCCCATTGCCGGCCGTGCATTTACCTCAGACTGTGGACTTGGAGCCTTGAAGACGCGAGAGGTCTCTTAGTTTCAGGCAGACCTGGTGTGGGGGATGTGCTAAGGCTCTCAGGCTACAAAGGGACAATTTAAAACTTGGCAAGTAAAACCGGCCTAAATGCGGATGTGTTTTATGCTTAGCATCATAAAATTGATTCAGAACAGCCTGATATGCGGCAGAAGAAACCTTTATTAAACATTATAGAGGTCATTGCTTTTGTCTTCCTGATACCTCTTCCCTCTCCTTTCTTCTGTGACCCACATTGAGCCCATTGTAGAACCCGCCCCCTGGCTTCAGTGATAGGCCCATGGAGGGGAACATGACCTCCAACAGGCCAATCAGAGGCGTAAAGACCTTTCTCTAGTGGGAAGTCATTGAGAGTGAAAACCCAGAACCGGTTGCAGCCAGGTTTTCAGCCTCCTGGGAAAAGTGGCCTGAGAGGAAGAGACTAGAGGCGAATGAGAGAGAGCCCTGATGGTGCTTTCGACATCCTATCTGATGCTGGCTCCATTGTGCCCCTTTTATTGTTTGGTACAGGAACTGAGAAAATTCCCTTATTGCTTCATGCGGTCCTGCTGGTTTTCTGTCATTTACAACCACAGGAGCCCAGATACCCCTACTATGAGCAGGGAATCAAGAAGGAACACAAAAATGACTAACTCATAGCCTTGCCTCCAGGTATTTATAATGTAATAGTTTGATTTCAAAACTAGTGAGTATGGTAAAATAGTTGGTAAGGTCTACCTTTGACAAATCAATAGTATATTTTTAAAATGTGAAGATAGTGTATTTTATAAAAATATACAATTTTTTCATTGGGTTAATTTATCCAACATATATCACTTGAATATTAGCTTTCTCCATGACTGGCATATTTCCTTTTTGATAATTTGCTGAGGAGCAAGGCTGCTTGTTAATGAATTTTTGTCTACTATTAAAATCGCCCTCATCCTTTGAGGTCCATTTCCAAAGCCACCTGCACCTCTGGAGTTCATTATTCCCTCTTTTGTGCTTACACAACCCTTGCTGTTTCTGTATGGTGGCACCAGTCATTATGCTTTGAATGCTTGTGAAACCCTCACTCTTCTGTTGATTAGAAACTTTTATGCCAGAGACTGTTGTGTCTCTGTTTCCCTTTGCAGGGAACAGTTCCCTGAACATAGTAGGTGATCAGTAAATGCTTGTTGAATTAAGTCAATTAGTAGCACTGGTTTTGCTAATAACTTTTGTAGTAAACTTACAAACTACTTTTATGTAAAACTGCATGTAAAAGTTGGTTGTATGATTTGCAGCACTTATTATGAGTATAACTGATAATGCTAATGGAAATGTATGATCTTAAAAGGCATTAGATATTTAGCTATAGAAGTGTATTAGTAGGAAAGGGAAAACTTACAAGATTTTTACATGAAAATAAACCAGAAGGTTGGTTGGTAGGTACCAGGTGAACATACCTGTGGTCACAAGAAGAGAGTGTTGGAGACACTGATTGTTAGAGAGTTGACCGTGAGAAAGCATCTCTCCAATCCTATGCCAGGTGAGTCCTAAGAATTCAAGTCCTGTTCTCATTAAAACCTGCTGGCTAGACTCATATGGACTGACTGGTGGGAATAGTTTGCGAGTAGATTTAGAAATGGGACTTTTAGGCTTCCTTCCCCACTTGCTTAAACCAAAAAGCTTGAAAATTAATAGGTGTCTCTTTGTTATATATTTTTTTCACTGTGCACTCACAATCTTTCTGAACGAGGATGCTCTGAGATGTATATTGGTCCAATTAAATGCATCTGATTAAAACTGTCAAACCAAAAAGGAAGTGAGTTGAAAAGACATTCTCTACCGAGAATGCAGCAAGAGTTGTAGATATCAAGTTACTGAGTTGCTGCTTGAGAACTGAATTATAAATAAATGTGTTAGGTAGTGGAATTTTGTTTTGTTTTCCCCAAAGGAGAAATATTCGCCACATGGAAACAAAATTTATTCAGCATATTTTCATTCTGTAATTGCACCATTGCTATTCTTAATTCTTTGTGTTTCTGATTTAAAGGGAAAACACACACAAAAACAGACTGTTGTGTAAAATTGACAAGAATGAGTGTGAACCTGACAGTCAGAGACAGAGGTTGTTGTAAAATTAGCAATGGAAATAGCTTTCTTCTCTGGAGGTTAAAAATAATGTATTTACAAGGAAGTTATTTACATTGGCCACTTAGAGGCTTCCCCGGGAAGCCTTGGTTAAGAAAGCTGTGAAATCCACGGTCACTGTACCGCAGGAAGCACTTCCAGGACCTTGGCTTGTGCAGTGCTGCTCTGTGACCATGTGAAGAGTCTGCGCTGGTTGGCAGACTGGAAAATGGAGGTGTCTTGCTGCCTGAGACTTCTCAGATTGTGAAAGAGAGACACAAAAGTCAAGGCTTGCATGTTCTAAAGTTTGTTGTGTCCAGCAAATTCATCTTCTAGATTTAAAAAAATGCTTTGTTTTGAGCTCCACAATGAGAGAACTTTTTCTCACGATGTAGTGTGAAAGGAAATTCCAGGCTAGGAAAGGTGCAGGTTGTCGTACACTCTGCAGAAGGAGAGCTCACCATAGCTAGACCACTGCAACATTCAAGAACTCCTCCATTATGAGATTGGACATGAAAATAGAGGAGCCCAGCAGGCAAAAAAAGAAGAAAAAAAAAGTGGGAGAAAATCCTTGCTGTTTTGTGAACACAGACATATTTGTTTGAGCTTCTTATAATTTTTCCCCACCCTCTGCACATCCTCATTTTCTTGCATTCATTTCTCCCAAAGCTCCTCTCACCATTTATTTAACCTCAGGTATTGCCAGAATAATTTCAGCTATGTTTCTCCTCAAGTTTCTGCTCTTTCTCTTTCTATGCCATGCATTAAAATTATATGGTAACTTATTTCTTGAATAACCTCAATTTCAGTAGCAGCATCTTCAGAAAAGTGATTAACAGAGTATTATGAATTTAAGAGATACTCTTCATGCATCCAAGTTTTCTTGCAGTCCAGAGGTGTGTGTATCTCAGTGATCGAGTCTGCAAACAACAGAGGGATGGATGGTTGAGAAATTATCTAGGCATTTTAGGAGCCACAAACAGTTCTGTTTAAGAAATACTTTGTTTATTCACTTGTTTATTTTGAGTTTGTGTTTTGACAAGTTAGGAAAGTTGCTTTAAATGTAGACATTAGCTGTTGTATCTTTCAAGAAGGTTCAGACATCTTTATCACTGCTTGGTAGGATTAGAACCTGAATTGACAGTTTCTTTAGCCTTTGGCACACTTACCTGTTTGCACACTCACCTGTTTCAGCACGTTTGGAGGGGGAATATTCTTGCTCACTGAGGGTGTGGAGGGGGTTAGGAAATTAAGCTTTGCTTTTGGGACTTTGCCAGTAGAAGTGCTAAATTCTTTAGGCATTTGAATCTCCTTTTGACCGACTCCAACAAAGAAGAGGCAGAATGGGAATGAAGAGATTAGAGTACAGGAATAATGAGTGTTCACCTCTTAATGATTTATCTCAAGATAAAGAGTGAATACTGTCCTTATCTAAGAGAATCCCTTGCTGATTTCTGATTCAAGAGGTTGGCAGGAAGGATGGGGGAATGGAAAGCGGGTGAGCAGCTGCTCAGAGCTCTCTAGAAGTCGTCGTTCAGCGGTTCTGTCTGCAGATTGTGCAGTGGAACCTTGCAGAGAAGCATTGGGCCAGCTGAGAGATTTGGGGTTCTTGGTTTCTGCATTAGCTCTACGTGGTCGTGTGTCTTTGATTCAGCCAGTAACCTTTACTTAACGTATTTAATAGTCTGAGTAAAATGACAAGATTTGATGTGTGGTTGTAACTTCTTGTGGTTCTCAAAACCTAGATTTTAGGTATGCTGTTAGGTGACCCTACTGCATTAGTTTGGAACCATTCTTGACTATCTTGAGCTCCTCTGGTATGACACACATATGACCTAAAAGTATTTAAATTTGAATAATATATTTTCCCGTTACTTCACTTAATGAGTGTACTTCATTTAATAATAAAGATTAAAGAAAAGATTATTTGAGCAGATATTCAACAAATTCTTACTGTAGGGATTTTTAAACTTTTGACTTACTATTTATAGGATACTTCCTATGTGATTCTACTGAAGGATGAGATGTTTAATCTGAAATCAAGAAAGGTGGTTTGCCAAAGAAACATAAAATTAGCCCTATTGTTGAAATTGATGTTGACTGCTTGGTGTTTGGTAAAAAGCATCTCTCCAAGAAGCCACTGGGGAAATGATGAGTTTAGGGTCGCCGCCAATTTCAGGAAAGATGAAAAATGTTAAAATCAACTGGGAAGGAGGAAATGTGGCAGATCACAAAGAACCAGACTGTTTTTAACAGAGAAAATTCAATTTAATCTGCTTTTTTTCCCAGCAAATTCCATTTGATATTTTACATTTTCTTGATAACTTAATAAAGAATCTCAGGAAGGAGTTGCAGAATTTTAGCTTCGTGAAAGAGAATTTGTCATTTGTGACATTTCTTCTCTAAATAGCATGGGAAGATCAATGTATTAGTGTATGGTTCATGCATTACTAGTTCTAGTTACTTCTATTTCAAAAAGAAACAGCATGCTATATGGCAAAACTTGGCACAAGGAGGGATTTTGGCTCAATCCCTACACATACATTGAACTCTGCTAGGGACCAGACATTGTGCTAGGCACAGTGTGGAATATGTAGATAATAAAATACAATTCCTGCCCTCTAGGAGCACCACTTTAGAAGGAAGCCAACAGCAGACAGATAATTTAGAGTAATATAAAACCAATGTAAACAAAATATGAGAATGTTGGCTCTGCAATAAAAATATGCACCTAATTGAGTCACTTCTCACGCCTTGCAGTCCTGAGCTGAGCCTTCATAATCCCCACCTGGATCCTAGCCTCCTAGCTGGCCTCTTTGTGCTCATCCTTGTACCTGAAGTCTGTTTTCCACACAGCAGCCAGAACAATGCTTTGACAACATAAGTCATGTCATAACACTCGCTTGCCACAAACCCTCCAGTGGTACCCAGTTTTGCCAAATTCAGAAGACCTTTCTGCAGTTCACAACGTCCTGTAGATCTGTGTGACCCCACTCCTGCACCACAGTGCATGTGCACACACGCGCACACACACACACACGTGCATACACACTCTCATACACATGCCAACACACACTGACTCATGATATTCTCTGACCTCCTATGGCACTGCTCTGACCTCACTCACTGCACCCCATGCACACTGGCTTCAGTGCTGTTCCATGGGCGTGCCAGGCATGTTCCCACAGCAGGGCCTTCACAGTGACTCTCCCTCTGCATGGTCAGTTTCTCACTTCCTCCAAGGCTTTGCTGAAATGCCACCACTTCTGTGAAGCTCCACCTTGACCACCTGTTTAAAATTGCAGCTCTCTTCCCACCCATTACTCCCCATCCTCCCTGTCTTGCCCTATGTGGTTTTCCATGGACTTATCACCCTCTGGCATGCTATGTTATTTACCCATTTATTAATTTTGTTTGACACTTGTCTTCCCCCACTGGAATGTAAGCTCCAAGAAGGCAGGATCTTAGTTTTGTTCATTCTGAGTGAGAGTTCCAGGGAGAATTGTAAGGAAGAAACCTTTGAGTCGGGTGTTGAAGGGTAAGTAGAATTGGACAATCAGCTTTTCTGGGGAAAGACATTTGAGATGGAAGGAATATCGTGAGAAAAGGTAGAAAAGTGGCAGGGCTCATGAATGCCCCTAGAATGGCAAGGAGCCTGCCTAACTGGTGCATGAGAGTGTCATGGGAGTGGTAGTGGTGGATCGATAAATAGAAAATAATGAAAAGACACTCTTAGTGGAGGGAGGGAACACATTCCTAACCGCTGCCTGTGATAATATGGCAAGCATGTTGATGACTGGAGTTGAGGACCCTCAAATAGGTAGCATGCATAACATGGGAGGTACTGTCACAGTCAGAAGCCAGAAATGTGAGTAGTGTTTGCTAATGAAATCTGATTTTATACGGTACTTGACTGTTTTCAAAACATGATCACATGCTTATTATGATATAAGCTTTATAACAACTGATAAAGTGAGTTAAGCAGGTATTATGTACATTTTTGATAAGCTTTTTAAAAAATGAATTGCATCTTATATTGGAGGAAGTGGATTCTCAGACCAGCTCAGTGACTTGCCTAGAGTCACGGAGTTAGAAAGTAGGGAAGCGCTTCCCACTGTCTGTGTCTCACGGTCTGTGTCCCACTATGCCAGGCTGCCTCTCTCATTCTGTCACAGTGCTAAACATACTGTGCTGGTTTTTCACAAGGATATAGGCTTCTTTCCATTTCCCCCCATTCCCTGAAAATAGCAGTTTCTTCATCCAATTACCTCTTTACCAGATCCATTTTTCTTTTTCCTTCTTTTCCCTTTCAACTTATCTGGACTACTTGGGTATGTTTTTACCTTTGCCTGTGTAGCATTTTTTACTTTTTTCAGGCTTCTGCCAAGTCTGTCTGACATTCTGTTAAGGCTGTTGCCACCTTTCATTTGGTTCTTGGGTGGAAGGGAAGAGAAAGCATGTCATCACCTCCATTTGAATGTCTTGAGACTTACTTATTGTTCACTTTGGGAGTAAACCTGATCTTCTTAATTCTCCCCAGATGTTAGTAGGCAGGAAGAGGCGGAGGGAGAGCTCAGTGAAGGAGAACACTGGTATGGAAACTCTTCAGAGACTCCGTCAGAAGCATCCTATGGGGAAGTCCAGGAGAACTATAAGTTGTCTCTGGAGGACCGGATCCAGGAGCAGTCCACGTCCCCGGACACCTCCTTGGGAAGCACGACTCCCAGCAGCCACACGTTGGAGCTGGTGGCACTGGACAGTGAGGTCCTGCGAGACTCACTGCAGTGTCAAGATCACCTTTCCCCGGGAGTGTCTTCTTTGTGTGACGATGACCCAGGCTCCAACAAGCCCCTGAGCAGCAATTTGAGGCGGCTGCTGGAGGCTGGTTCCCTCAAACTCGATGCTGCAGCCACGGCTAATGGCAGAGTGGAGTCCCCCGTAAACGTTGGCTCGAACCTCTCCTTTTCCCCGCCTTCCCACCACGCCCAGCAGCTCAGTGTTCTGGCCAGGAAGTTGGCCGAGAAGCAGGAACAGAATGACCAATACACTCCAAGTAACCGTTTTATATGGAATCAAGGTAAGTGGTTGCCAAACTCAACCACCACCTGCAGCTTGTCTCCGGATTCAGCCATCCTAAAACTGAAAGCTGCAGCCAATGCCGTTCTGCAGGACAAATCTCTCACCAGGACTGAGGAGACCATGCGATTTGAGTCCTTTTCCTCCCCTTTTAGCTCCCAGTCTGCCAGTTCTACCTTGGCCGCTTTGTCCAAGAAGGTCAGTGAAAGAAGTTTGACTCCTGGTCAGGAGCACCCTCCACCGGCCAGCTCCTTCCTTTCCCTGGCTTCTATGACCTCCTCAGCGGCCCTTCTGAAGGAGGTGGCCGCAAGGGCTGCGGGCAGTCTTCTGGCTGAGAAATCATCGCTGCTGCCTGAGGACCCTCTACCGCCCCCGCCTTCAGAGAAGAAACCAGAAAAAGTCACTCCGCCACCTCCACCGCCACCTCCACCACCTCCACCACCACCACCACAATCCCTGGAATTATTATTACTCCCAGTTCCTAAGGGAAGAGTTTCTAAACCCTCCAATTCAGGTATGGCATCTTTTCTTTCAATCATCGTGTAAGTCCTTTAGACTATAAACTGCGATGTCTTATTCATTGCTTTTTTCAGTTGGGTTCCCCATCTGATCTGAGGCAGGAATAAAAAAGCAAGAGCACAACAAAAATACTTTAAGTAAGCAGCATAGTAGTCTTTCATGTACGTATTACACAAAGACTTCACAAATAGCTTCACTTTTGAAAGGTAATGAATAATCTTAGAGACATACAGCATTCCCTCCCTTTCATACAAATGATTTTTTTTTCTTACTAAGTTCAGGCTAGGTCCATACAAGATATATTTAATGGGAGAAGATCAAAGCATCTTTGTCATGGAGTGCATGGCATCACTGAACATAAGGGGAAAAAAACCCACTGCTTTTGAAATAGTGGACAAGGGAGAGCCCACACTCCTGCTGCCTCCATCACAAATGGACTTTTGTACAATCAGGAACTACTCTGCCCTAATTTATCACACCATATACTTTTATGTTAGCATTTTTATTACTTTTTGTGGAATTTAAGCCCTTTTCACGTATCCTATTCTCCTACAATTTCTTGTCCTATAAGAACTCAAAAAGATTGTCAATCAAACATAATCAACACATTTCCTGTGAATGCTTTATTTAATTCAAATCCAATCCAATTTTGAAGGAATGTGCATGTGGAAAATTTGAATCCTAAGGTTTTTCTAGTGGAGGCAGTCTTTCCAAAGGAGAAATCGCTGTCATATAGGACCTTAGCATTCACAATTATTCATCTGAGGGAGAAATTTAGTCACTTGAATTCTCACAGTGGAAACACCATTTCTTGTTCTGGTTTGCTTTAAAATTGTGTACATGATAAATACACGTTCCTGGGATGCGTGTTGGGGTTTCAGATGTCTCTTAAGGATATCCTGCCAGACTGGAGCAGGAAGTAGGCTATGTGCATCCTCATCGGTACAAACATTGCCATCGTGTGTGTCTAGCCAACTTTTGATTATTTTCAGCAACAATGATGAAGAGGGTTTGGAATGGCAAATAATTGACGGAACGATCACAGTTAATGTCAATTTGATGCATTTATGACAAATTTCCATTTAAATGGCTGAGTGAGCTATATTCACTAATTATAAGTACTTCAAAACTTGAGTCAACAGCAGAAGACAACGAGGAAAATGGGTATCTGGGACTTTTATGACTCTTGGTGATCCAAACTGTTCTCTCCAGAGTTTCTGAAATGTCAGTAAAATCCTAGGATGTTGTCAATTCTAAGTTCCACTTCTCCTCTCTTCTCACCTGCCATCTGGTGAAATAAGGAGAGAAATGGGTAAAATTAGGAAACAAGGAGAAGAGCAAAGGAGGCTGGGGTAGTTCTACGATGGAAAAAATCACTCCTGACTTATAGAAATTTCATTTAGGGATAGCAGTAGAAAGAGAGGTATGGCTGTATATAAAATAAAATTTTAGGCCGGGCGCAGTGGCTCACACCTGTAATCCTAGCACTTTGAGGGGCCAAGGCGGGTGGGTCACCTGAGGTCAGGGGGTCAAGACCATCCTGACCAATATGGTGAAACTCCGTCTCTACTAAAAATACAAAAATTAACCAGGCGTGGTGGTGTGCGCCTGTAATCCCAGCTACTTGGGAGGCTGAGGCAGGAGAATTGCTTGAACCCGGGAGGCAGAGGTTGCAGTGAGCTGAGATCGTGTCACTGCAGTCCAGCCTGGATGAGACTCTGTCTCAAAAAAATAAAAATAAAAAAAAGAAAATAATAATTATATATATGTATATTCTGCATATCTAGTTATTGAATAAATGTGTGAATGGCGTTTCTAGTATACAATTCATCTGGACATTTGTTAGTTGGGAAAGCTTATGCAAAGTTAATAATAAACTTTAGTTGATTGAAGACTTGGAAAGAAGTGACTGATAAAACCATGTTTCCTGAAGCCCAGACTGTAGCAGCTTTGTCATATTGAAGTCTCCGGTATAACCAGCAATGGTTGTGAATATAATTTTTTTCACTCAAACGACCAGATACATGTAAAGATGAGAAAGAGGTCATGAGCTTCCAGTGAATGGTAGACTTTTTGTTTGTTTTGTTGTGGGAAATACACCCAAGGGAAAAGCTATGTTCCTTTTTGGTTTAAATACACTTAATCTATGCCAGCAACTCAGTGGGGTTCTCAGAATAATTGAATATGGGAGATCTATAAGAAATCGTTTCTTACTTTGCTTTTTACTATATTTATTATATTGCTGAAACACTTAATATTTTAATCAAGGGATGTTCAGAATGTTCAAACTGAAAGAGGAGGGAAAGGAACTTCTCAGCTTTGGGTTATAGAACCCTGTGCTGATTGACTTGTACCTAAGGCCTCCCCACCCCAACTCTCCCATTTCAACATGCCTCTGTTCAGTCTAAGACTTGAAGAAGCAGCTTCATCAGCAGAGTAATTTTATTTAAAAAATCTTTCATTTTGTAAAACTCATGCATGAGGAAAGATCACTGCCAAGAAAATGAGGGTCCTTGAAATTGTTACCCGAAAAATATTCCATACGTCCACGTGGGCCCATCCTACGTTCAAGTTCTGTTTGTTATTGCATGGCTTGGAAACAGAAGAGGGGATGCCCTCACTCTTTTCAGTTAAAGTGAATGTCATCACTTCCCAGCAGCCTAGCTAGATTATGGGTTAATAAGGAGTTCACAGAGTATCTAATTTTGTTATTTGTCTTTGTATCATGGGTACATGATTTGGTGTTACTGGGGATCACTGATTTTGGCATCTGAGGAGTGGAAGGAAAGGTGGATCATCTCCATCTGTCCCCTCTACCCTCCCCAACTCCCTTTTCTTCCCTCCCCCTCCCTCCCCCACCTTCCACACATTATACTGTTGGTTTGGGGGCCACCTGGGGCTGGATTGGGATGTACCTTCGATTTATCTAAGAAGCATTATGGAAATGTGGTGAGAGTCATCACCCCTGTATGGGAACATTTGTCATTATTATTCTTTCCTCTCCCTTAGAAGGAAATCTTAGTTTAATTCAAAATACGTAGGTGCATTGGCCTCTCACAGCAGGGAAAAGAGTTTCTGTTGCCTAATGACTTAAGTAAACAAATAATAACCGCCCCCAAGAACAACAACAAAAAGCCACAAAAATAAACTACACACCATCCTGATTTCAGGCAGGGCTTTCATTTTTAAAAAGCGATTTCTCAAAATGCGCAAGAAAAAAGCATATAAAGTTGATTCTTAAGTTACAAAGAGATATGTGCTAGAAAAGCTGATCCCGCCTTGAGTAATTTAGACACCACCATTTCTTTGACCTTCTTTAGGTCAAGGGAAGTCCAAACCATGAAAAAAAAATTGTCTTTTAGGTTTGGCCTTATTCTTCTTTTTTGAACAGGATTCAGTGGTTGCCAGGTCATGGTGTATTTAATTCCTTAAGAGTCCACCACTCGATAGCCTTTCCGCCCTGCAAGAGAGACGTGACACTTGAGGGGGAGGTTTCTTTCATGTGACCCTGCGCCCCCAGCACATGCTACACGGCTCCTCTGAAAGGGGACACGATAGAGGGAAGATTATGTCCGTTTGCTATAAAGATAAATGTCACACATTGACTGAATTCTCTTTGAAGCTACTGTTCTGTTGCAGCTAAGAATAAAATAAATGGTTTTTATTTTAAAGACAAAGTTTCTTGTAGAAGGCCAACAAGATTCCCAGGATGCCAGACTCCTGTTTAAAAGAAATAACAGGGAGAGTTTCAGAGAGAGGGTCTCCAAAACATCTTATTGTACTGAATAAAATGTAAATATTCTTAGAAGCAAACCTGGTCTCATACAGCTGAGAACTAAGAATATTTCCTGTGGGTCAATACATAGGGGGTTTCTGGCTGCTGTTTTCTTTAATATTTATGTGATGTTATTAAAATTATTGCAAAAGCATACAAAGTCCGGAGAGGGAGATCACCTCTCCTGATACTCCCATTAGGCCCGTGGTTATTATAATAAATCTTTTGTTTGTGACAGCGTCTGGCTCTATAGCCCAGGCTAGAGTGCGGTGGTGCGATCTCGGCTCACTGCAGCCTCCGCCTCCCGGGTTCAAGCAATTCTTGTGCCTGAGCCTCCTGAGAAGCTGGGACTACAGGCATGCACCACCACACCCGACTAATTTTTGTATTTTTAGTAGAGATGGGGTTTCGCCATGTTAGTAAGGCTGGTCTCGAACTTCTGGCCTCAAGTGATCCACCCTACTCAGGCCCCCAAAGTGCTGGGATTACAGGCATGAAGCACAGGACCCGGCCATAAGTCTCAATAAGCCTTAATCTGAGAATGATCCCATATATGAACTTGTTTAGAAAATTCACTTTTTAACCTAGATTTTTAGAACTGTCCGTCATTAATCTCAATTGTATTTTCGCAGTGATTTAAACTTAGTATGGCTATAGATATCAGACTTCTCTGAATATTTACTAGTTAAAATAGGCATTAATAAAGTCAGCATCCATAATAACAGATAAACCCAGGGACATCCATTGCTAACCTAGGCTTTTTTTGTTGCCATGAAATAGCATTTGAGACACATAACAAAGAAATTCTGTTAAAAGATTTAAAGTCCATGTGTATTGTTAGGAAGGAAGATAGGTCGTCATCCTACACAGATGTGTACCGGTAATGTTAGTAGGTCCAGAATGGAGACCGTAATAATGCACAGATTATGCAGATCCAGGGTCACCAGGCATCTTGAACTCCTAAGTTTATGGTAAGGTATATACGCAGAAACCACCCAGTTGCAAGTTATATTGACTTGCTGCAAATCACCACATAGGATTGAACAACAGGAAGTTTGATTTCGAAGCCTACAAAACAGTTACATTTGTTTTAAAAATACCTTTGTGTTAAAGCAGTTAAGCAACTACAACCCTCCGTGATTTAAAAAAATTTTTTTTTAGCCCAATGAAGTTTTGTTGTTGTTGTTTTGTGGATTTATGCATAGACAATAGGTAGAGCAGCAAACCAGAAGTGAAGAGATGAGCTGTAATCTCAGTTCTGCCACTAACTGGTAGAGAGACTTCTCAGCATACTACCTCAGTTTAGTATCCTCATCTGTAAACAGAGCTGGATGATCTCCAAGGTCTTTTCCTGTTTTAGAATTTCTTGCTTATATTTACTACTGTAGCTCAGTGTTTTAAAACTCTGTTTATTAACTCAAAACAAACTCTTTTTTTTCCAATTTTTGAGTTTAATATGTTGCTTCTTAAAATTCACTATCAAACCTCCCATAAGATCATCTCTGCTTTGGGCAGATCTTGTTCATTATAAATGGTTCAACATATATCTCTGTACTTTATTAATGATGTAGTCATTCCATATGCATTTTTAATATAAGCTGCTCCAGGTTCATTTTTGGAAATAGCTGAGGTCTAAGTACACGAACATTTATCTGTTTATCCATCCATTCATTTAGAATGTGTATTGGGGCACTATGTGAAAGGCATACATACACTCTTGTCCTAACACAAGTTCCATTGGGACTTACTGGCAGCCTCCTGCGTCTTTTCCTTTCATTTCTAGCCCTCATTTCACTTCTCTCTATTCCCTTAACCCAACCTTTTTCATTTAATCTCCTTACGGTCTAACACACACTTACTGAATTATATGTTGTACCTGGCATTGTTTGGGGGCTGGAGACACAAAGGTAAGGACTTCCAGGCCCTGTTGCAGCCAATTCCTCCCTCCACTCTTTTCTATCTTTTCCATGTCTCTTTTTTTCCCTGCTGAGCTGGATTGTCCATCAGTATTTTGTCTAAGGTGAGCCAGATCCTACCTGAGCCACACTATGGACTTCTGCTTATTTGTTTCATATTGGCTCCAGTGACAAACTACAACGTTGGGCCAAGCTCTGAACCGTGTATTTATTATGTGATGTTAGTTGTTTAGATTTACATCTGCTCTGATGGTGAGTTTTCAGCTTTGCAGGGCATGTTTAGAGTTTGTTTATTGTCACTACTCTTACTACAACAACGGCTACTACAGGTAGCTTCTATTTACTATGTGACAGGTGTCTTATGCACATTCATTATTTCGTTTATTCCAATAATATTATTGCCTATGAAGAGAATATGTTTTCTCCAGAGGAGCAAATTAGCAGCTGTTCATCCCACTTGTTTTCTTAGCATTTGATGGAATTTAGTTGTGTTTGCAGTGATAATAACTAGCTAGTGATATACTTGGGAAAAGTTATTTATTAGGCAGTTGTAAACTAGGTAAAATTATGAACATTTCAATCCTATTGCCTCAAGAGTGTATGGTTCATTCTGAGGAAGTGGTCCTCTTTCCTTAGGTTCTAACTTTGAGTGAAATTTACAGCTGTCAGTTTCCTGAAAATAGTTTGGCATACGAAATAGAATACAACCTTACTTCCTCCCTTCTTTAAAGTAGTTAACAACATCATAAACACATGGAGAACGTCTCTAAAATATGAAATTTCTTTCTTGAATAAATAAAAATGTAGATGTTATCGGTGAGATGACTGGCCAAAGGTGAAAATCAGTCATGGTACTTCGGTTACTTTTATCATTTGGTTTCTGTCATCTTCCTTTCCTGCTGTGATCAGTTAAAAATTTCAAAAGTTACAGTAGTGTAGCTATTTGACCACATTTCTTGCAGTTAGTTTCTCTTCATTGTGTGTTCTAATTTTTTTCCTAGTCAGTCCAAGTGCACCCTAATTTGTACCCAACTTGTGTATTTTGGTACTAATTAAAACTAAGGAAGCATAGCTAAATGGATTTATATGAAATAATAATATGCAGGGTTAAATGTAATGTACTCTGTAAAACATTTGAAATAAAGAATTGTTGATTAGGGTGAAGACTGAGGGGTCTCAGAAAGAATAGGAAACGCATTGGTCACATTAGGCAAGGCAAGATGCGAGGGGAAGACGGCAGTGTTCATTTTTTTAGCTAATGCCCTTTTATTGCCTTCCTATGGTGTGCCATGAAATCTCAGGTCAGTGGAAAACATCTCAGTTTTTCTCTCCTCTTCCAGACAGTTCTGTAAAATTAGGTAGTTTAGGAATTTGATAGTGGGACATACTTCTTGAAGATGGGGATCAATGACAGCCTGTTTGTTTATCTCTTTCCTATTATTTTGATGTTCTTACAACCCCAAACAGACATTGTTATGATTATTTCCCTGTAGTGTATGACAATAATTTCACCTAGAGGCCTGATTCAGTCCTTTCTCTCCAGTCTGTTGTTCATCTTGTAGTCTTCATGATCAAAATATCAGGGTGGAGGAAATGACAAGGAAGGATAGAAGACAAGAGACATAATTACAGATAGGACTCCAGATCGGCAGAGGCAATTCACAAAAAGAGACAGCAGAAAAG
Source organism: Homo sapiens (assembly GCF_000001405.40). Classification (NCBI taxonomy): domain Eukaryota; kingdom Metazoa; phylum Chordata; class Mammalia; order Primates; family Hominidae; genus Homo; species Homo sapiens. The sequence continues at coordinate 145,894,786 of NC_000004.12, read as the reverse complement.
CTACAGGGGGTTAATAAAAATGCTTGTTTATATGTGTCTACAAGGTGTGCTTTTCCTAGAGTAAAAGGAAACCCTCATTTCCTGTTACTCCCCCAATTAAAAAAGGAAATACATGTGGTGGAACACATCACAAGTGGAATTTCCAGACTTGATTCTTTTTCAAGTTGCATGGTTGAGCTAACCAATAGACCTGTATTAGTAAAACTGCATTTTTGGAATGCTCTAACTTTATTCCAGAACCCTCTGGTTCCATCCAGTTGAAGTGCTCCTTTGTATGTAGAGACTCAGTTGACCCAGTAAATACATGATGAGATTATTTTAAAGTATACTCTTGGGAATATTTTCTTTTAAAATTAAAAGAGTAATGTGTACATTAAAAAATTCAAATAGTACAGAAGGATATGAAATGAAAACACAAGTTTCCCTCCTGATTCCTTCCTTTTAATCCACAATCCTTCAGTGGTAACTGCTTAGTGGTTTCCTGGGTATGCTTCCAGGAAGTTTTCATATGCAAATAAAAAGATACCATTTTTTGTTTGTTCCATTTATTCATGCCATTCTTCCCACTCCCTCCCTTTATTTTTTCTCAAGTATTTTAAAGCAAATCCCAGACATCATATCCGCTTGTTTGTAAATACTTCCATGTATATATCTTCACCAGATAAGGACTTAAAAAAATAACCACAATTCCACTGTCACATCTAACAGAAACAATTGCTAAGTGATATTTTGGAACATCCAAGCTATAATCAGTATTTCCTCAATTATCTGAGAAATGTCCTTTTACAATGGTTTTATTTAAACAGAATCCAAATAAGCTTCACACCTTGCTTTTTTTTTTTGTATATATCTCTTAAGTCTTTATTTTTCCATAACCCCTTCTCTTTTAAAAATGCCACTTACATGTTGAAGAAACTGGGTCGTTTGTCTTGAGGAATTCACACATTATAGATTTGGCTGATTTCATCCCGTTGGTGTGTTTAACACTTTTTTAAAAAATCAATTGTATTTCCAATAAAGGGTTAGTTATATAGAGGATTGTTTAATTTTTTATAAGGACATTTCACAGATGACATATCAGAAGGCACATGGTATCTGCCCCATTTTTAGTAATGTTAAGATTAATTAGTGGTTTTAGGTGTTGTCAACTGATCCATCCTTTATAAAGTTCCCTGCTAATATTTCACCTAATGGTTTTAGCTGTGACTGATTTCCACTTTTTTAGAAAACAAAAATAGAATTACCCTGGATATATGGTTTTGTATCTTGCTTTATCCACCAATGCTAATATCTTGGACATGTTTTTATATCATCGTCTGTAGATCTAGCTCATTTTTAAAAGTGCTTTTTATATTTTATTGTGGGCACATATGCTAAGTCATTTAACCGGTTTTGAAATATTTCTGATTCCTTATGATTAAGAAAGAAATGTCTAAGTTCTTGATTCTGCTTCTTTTTATTCCCTGTATCCCTAAATTGCAGAGGCTAGTGTGGCACTGAGCAATATAAATTGGTAGACCAAAAGTTTAGCAATAGTGTCACAACAGAGACCCTTCACTTTGAGAGCGACCTTAGCTTTATTTGGAGGAGGTAGTTGGTTTGTTTAATTTCTTGAAAGATTGGAGCATTTGTGGTGGCCTCATTGCAGCTCTTCCCAAAGTGGGCAATGAGGCCCAGTCACCGTGCAGAGGAAGGCAGCACATATTGTTAGTGGCTACCAAAGGGACAGAAATAAAAGGGTCAAAAACCCTGACCTTAAGACCCCCTGATGGCTAAATTGGCAGCAGCATCTGCTCAAGCCACAACTAAACAAGTCAGCAGTAGGGATCCGAAAATTTGTCTCCATTGGAGTTCAGAGAGTGAGGTTTATGCTAGCTGTTTGGTTTTCAGTGTGGAGCAGTGCATTATTCTCTGTCCCATGTGATTTGTTTTTATTTCTCACTGTTTTCAAAGTTCAGGAATTCAGACATGGACTTGAGTCTGACAGTTTCCTTCAGGAAACAAAGCCCCTGCATTCAGACTTCTCTGACTGTGCATGGTGCCCTTGGGCCCTGAGTTAGGACAGGCTGGGCGAAGCCCCTTTGCCGATGTCTTCCTTAGTGTTGGATGGCCTTTGGAAGTCAGACTTTCACAAGGCAGGATGATCAGATTTTGGAAAATGGAGCCCAGATGGAAGTAACTAGGTGAATATGGGTTTCTACCTGAAGAAAAGCAGTACTAAAACTTTCTTATGGATAAAATCTCGGAATTGTCAAGAAAAAAACCCAAATCATTTTTAGTGCTTTTTATATGGCAGTGTATGTGAATTAATGCCAGATGCAGTGTACCTTTTTGTTTTCCTTAATGGTCCTTTCTTTCTCCTTCTTCCAAGCCTCAGAAGAGGAAAGTGGAAAGCCTTTCCAGTGTCCAATATGTGGTTTGGTTATTAAAAGGAAGAGTTACTGGAAGCGGCACATGGTGATTCACACAGGTTTAAAAAGTCATCAGTGTCCGCTCTGTCCATTCCGGTGTGCTCGCAAGGACAATCTCAAATCCCACATGAAGGTAAGCCACCTACCGACTGCACCTCCTGGAGAGGCAGGCACAGCCAGGGCTTCTGTACATGGTCTGGTGCAGGAGGCTTCTTGGCCGAGGGAGGGCGCCTCACTGATGAAACATGCGGATGACAGTACTCCACGTAGCAAGGTAGAATTCAACAGAAAGGTGTTAATGTCCACTTTGCAGCCAAGAACTTAAAGGCAGAGAGAGAGAACCTTCGATATCCAAATAATGTATTTACTGGAGGGCGGTCCTCTCCTATAGGGGAGCAACAGCCTGCCTGGCCTGTGTGCTGACGCATTTCTTGGGGCACTCAGAGGCAGGGCTGGGGAATAGCAAGAAGCAGGGAAAGCCAAGTTCAGGAAGAGCTGCTGGACTGAGCACCAAAGAGAGGGCTGTTGAACCTGCTCCCCTTCCTGGAGAGACTGCCCTTGGCTGTTACTGCCTTACCCTCCAGCTTGCAAACTAAGAGGAACACACAGAGACACCGTGTAGGAGGCATGAAGACAGTGAAGGCACCGGGCCTTTAACTTTATTTAGCCCTGTGGGAGGCTTGGGGGCCCTTTCTAACAAGACTGTAGTCCTCATTGAGGCTGTCATTGTTTGAGCTATCATAATTCCCAGGATTACATTTACCAAACATCCAAGGACATAATTTTCAATGTCCTATTAAAAACAACTGGGGAGCTCAAACCTACACTAAACATGTACAGAAAAATTGACTGGAATCCATGAGTCCCTCTTATATGAGATGGGGGAAAACTTAGTTAGATGGAAATCTTTTTAGCTGACTCCGTTAATGCAAAGGGTTTTGTCTCAAAATCCAGGAGGAAACTCATGGGATCAAAAGAGCATGGGCTTTTGAATTTGATAGACCTGAATTGAAATCTTATTATGCAACTTACTAGCTAAGTGGCCTTGAGCAAGTTAACCTTTAGACTCTGAATTTTCTCATCTGTTAAATGGGAATCATAATGTTTGTCTGGAAGAGTTGTCATTAGTATTTAAGGAGAGAATATTAACCAAATATCTGACACAGGAATTTTCAATGGAAGTTATTTAATTCTAATAACTATCATTGAGCATCTTAATAGCAATCATATCTTCACTGATATTTTCGATATGATTTGGCTGTTGACATTATTTATAAAGTGTTTACTTTCCTACCATAAGAAGTATAATGTATGGACATAATTAAGGTATTTGCTTATTTGGAAATCTTGCAGTCTAATCCTTTTAAATAGATCAGTAATCACTCTTCAGAATTGTAGCTCTAAAAAAGTGTGACCAGATAGAACCTCTACTGACTTTAGGAAATAGCTTGGAAGATTAAGAAAATTTAAATCCATGATGTAATTTGTTTTCTATCATTTGCCTTTGTCTCCTGGGAGTAGCATGCCCTTCATCTTCAGAATCCATTTAACCAGGAGTTCTGGTTGGCTGAATTTTACTCAGCCGACTTAGTTTTTACTTTAACCCTCCTCATCCTCTGTCACGTCTTCCCAGAGTAAAAACTTGTATTTTAAACCTGCAAAGTTGAATTTCGTTAGCAGGATGAGACTTCAAAAGAAATGCCTTTAAAATGAAAATTTGTTTTAGTTACTATTTCCTAAGCTGTGTTTAGAAATCAGGTCTGGCAAATTTAAAGCTTCAGCGAGCAGAAAACTTGCATCTAGCCTGACACCTTGTAAGCTTGGTTTCAGCTCAGGGTCACTTAAAACAACCTATTTATAAACCCATGGAAAAAAAGCAGGGTTTTCAATAGCAGGAACTACTGACCCTGAAACTACAGGGAGATGAGTTGGGTGCCTTGATGACACAGACGGCCGGCCATGGCAGTGTCACAGATGAGAGCTGCAAGGGCTTTGTGGGTCGTGGGGTCTTAGAATGCTTTCAGAACAAATCAATAACCAGTACGATAAAGCAGTTGTGTGAAATTACTACTTTATTCAAACTCATGGTGTCCTAACCTGTTGAGCTATGACTTGAGCTTTTGATACGGGAAGTGTGAGAAGAGCTCATGCAAGTTTAATTTTATCAAACGGTATATTCTTTCTTGTCCCTGCTTTCCACCTCACTTATTGGCTGTTCTTTTTTTAATCAAAGCATTCATGATTTTATTTGGTTAAAATACTTTAATTTTGCTACATTTTGCAAATCTAGTCTACCTGGAAATATAATGGTTGTAGTCTTATGGGTAGATATCCTCTGCTACATCCACCAGAGACTACAAATATGGACGGACAGATTTTTTTTTTTTTTTTTAATTTTTGAGACGGAGTCTAGCTCTCTTACCCAGGCTGGAGTGCAGTGGCGCCATCTTGGCTCACTGCAGCCTCCGCCTCCGGGCTCTAAGCGATTCTCCTGCTTCAGTCTCCCGAGTAGCTGGGACTACAGGCGTCCGCCACCACGCCTGGCTAATTTTTGTATTTTTAGTAGAGACGAGGTTTCACCATGTTAGCCACGCTGGTCTTGAACTCTTGACCTCAGGCAGTTCACTTGCCTCGGTCTCCCAGAGTACTGGGATTATGGGCGTGAGCCACTGCACCCGGCCGTGGACAGATTTTCTTAATGAATTCTGCCTAAGAAGTGGGGTCAGTACGGGAGGCGGAGCTTGCAGTGAGCCGAGATCGCACCACTGCACTCCAGCCTGGGCGACAGAGCTAGACTCCGTCTCAAAAAAAAAAAAAAAAAGTGGGGTCAGTATAGCCAGAGATTAAGATCTCAAACTGTATGGTCAGAAAAACCTTAGTTAGAATCTCAGTTCCACCTTAGGAACTGTGAGACTTTGAAAGAATCATTTAACCTCTCCAAACCTCTGTTTCCACTAATGGAGATAATAATCATACAGTCTGTCTCATGGGGTTGTTATGAGAGTTAAATGAGATAATGCACATAAAGCACTTAATACAGTGCCCAGCCTGGAGAAACAACATTCAGTAAATGTAGCTAATACAGTGATCATTATCGGAAAGCCATCTCAATATACATTAATGTTTATTTACATTTAGAAATAATCAATGAAATGGTATAAAAAATTACTCTAAAATAAATTTTATTCCTTTTCCCTTTTTGTGATCTGTCTTTAGTGCTGAGAACTTAGAAAAACTGATAAACAAAGGAATATAAAGTTGATCCTTAATCCCATCACCAAGAATGATAAATAACCATTATCACTTTGATGTATATTCTTCTATATTGGTATATCGATGTTTTAAAGAAAAATGGGATTCTACTTTCTTTGTTCAACAAATATAGTACTTACTGCATTTGTATTATAGTACTTACTCTATCCTATTATGTCCTAGGCACTGTACATTCTTTTAGCCCACCTTTCCTTCATAATATATCGTGCAAATGTTTTTATCACCCGCTGTGGAAGGAGCTTATAAAGGCCTCCAGATTTCCTTGGGGTTATCTCAGATTTCCATTAAGTCCTTTAAAATTTTCCTGGATAAGTGAACATACAGGAATTCAACATGAATTCATAAGCTAAAATTGAACAGAAAAGGTGAGGAAGACTGCTAAGATAAAGAACACTGGTGAAGTATTAGCAGGAAACTGACCGAGAGTCAGGGTACTGAGTTCTAGTAGCCTCAGGTCTGCCATTTAAGGAGCTCTAACTTCTCATGAAGGCCCTCACCTGTCCCCCTAGTGGGGGATGGAGTAGAGGTTTCCCAAAATTTCCCCAAGCTCTGAAATACCACAACCCAAGCATCCAACTGCTACCAAGAAATGGCCCCAATGGTGAAGAGATGGCCCTAATGATGTAACAGCACCTGATATGGGTTGTTTGTGTGAAATGACCAGAGGATAGGTGAGCCCCTAAACATGGCCTGGAGAGAATGACGTGCTTTAGAGAAGCATGTCTTCATTTTAGTAGACTAAGAAGATCTTTAAAGCAAATGTCAAGCTAAAGAGAATAAAAATTATGACAGAAAAGTGCTCGAATGTCAGGAGAGAAGGGGGAAAAACTGCAGTCAGAGGATAGAGCTAATACTTCTCTCAAAGGCCAAATGTGATATATAGTCCTTTTGGGAAGTTGTAGCTCAAAAAAAATTGTTAAGTGCAAAAGTCAACAAAATACCCACTGTTTTTCCTTTAAAGCTTCACTAATTTGTCCATAACTAAATATAACAAGGCCAGGATCTGGTGAAAAAGAAGTCACATAAAATACATGCACATAGACGGTTTTTAATCCAGGACTCCCTTTTGATTTTAGAACTTGGGCTTGTGCTCTGTCCTTTTCCTTCTTCCAGAAGCTGCTTCCGGAGCTTCTGTTCTTGGATTAGCTCCCCTCCTCTCCTGGGTCAGTAGATGTAAGGACACTTCTGAAATGGATCTGCCCCACTGCACTGCTCTCAGGGACAATGGAAGCTCTCTAACTCGTGACCTTTATCACCTGGTTCCAGGGCATGCTTTTGGCAGCACCGGTCAGGGTCCCATGGGACTGTGACCTGAGGTCCCCAAGGTGCCTGCTTCTGCGTGAATTGGTCGGAGGAGATGGTGGGGATTCTGTGAGAAAGCAATGAAATGGTCAGCTCCTAGTGAAATCCTTTTGTTGTGAAAGAACAGAAAGGGGTGATGTTAACAGCTGGTGACAATCAGTGTGTTTCCCCACCCCCAGCACTCCACCCCAGCAGAGGGAAAGCCTTTCCATGATCAGGACTTTGCCTAACTGAGTTTAAGTGTATATGGCTATTTCTGTTAAGAAACTCGTGCTTTGGGGGACCCAGAATCTCTTCTGTTGTTTTTTTCAAAAAGCCACAGTGGGGTGCTGTAGCGACAGGATCTCACCATTAACTTTTAATTTCTTTGCTTTTGTTGGTCACTTAACATTATTTAAAAGTATGTTTTGGCTGGTGAATAATGCTTTTGGATTGCATTCAGAATGCATAAACAGCTGTTGTAAAACTTGCTCTCTTGGAAAGGAAACCTACCGAGAGGGGCCAGGTGGTGCAGCGGATTAACGCATGAGCCTTTAACCTTGGTGAGACCTGGGTTCGAGTCCTGCTTAGGTCACCCCTAAAAGAGGAGGTGTCAGTTTTGTTTTGCTTTTGGGTTCCAATCACTCACTTGTTTGTTCAGATCACACAGCTCCCCAAATCATTTGGCCCACATCTACACAATTGGCAGTTCTACTTAAGGGAGGACCAGTCCTGAAATAGCAGAGTGTAGCAGGTCAGCACTAAAGTGCATTGGCAGAGATAAATGGGGAAGTTACAAGCTTATGAGCACCTGCCAGCTCAAAGCCTGGCTCAGGCCAATGCAATGATTTCCTCACTTTTTTAAGCACTAAATTTGGTAGTGACAGGAAGAAAAAGTTTCTCCCAATTTTTACAGGTATCATGTGCATGCAAGACTGGAACTGGATTTAAAAGTCTGCATTCTTTCATTGCAGACGTCAGAATCTGGAGCATGATATTATAGCCACGTTTGGAAAAATTGGTTTCCTCTTGCTCAGAATACTTGGTGAGGGTCAGACCTTGGTTTTTCTCCTACTTTGTTTTTTTTTTTTGTATGTAATTTCGCTCAATCCATTTATTCTGGGGCCTCAATTTCTCTGTCTTTGAAACGGGAATACCCTGGAGACATTATTTTCTACATTCTTAATTACCTAAGAGCAGCATTTTGAAAACTGAAATTATGTTTGCAGAACATAACTAACAAAAAATTGGATGAATGCAAAGTATCATTATTGTGAGAGGAATTACTTGACAGGTTACCTCTTTTGATCCCCAACTAGTAATTTTGTAAGTTTGGATTGTGCTGGGTTTATAATATTTTCTCTGAAGACATCAACTGAGATCAGATGACTAGAATAGTGGGATGCTACCCAAAATAGCATCCGTTGGCCGGCTGCATCCTCAGTTGTGAGCATGGCCCTAATAATGGACTCTTAACCTATGTGGACCCACTTTATGTTTAGGGATTGGCCTCATTACCTGGAGCCCCATAGTGAAATGCTCTGCAGTACAAAGGCCAGCCCTTTGCACGGTGAGGAAATGATTGATGAATAGTCTGGATCTACAGCAAGGCATTTTCCATAAATGCACGGTGGCTAGCTCATTCTTCTTGCTTCTCCGTCAGGTTCATCAGCACCAGGATCGGGGAGAGACCTTTCAGTGCCAGCTGTGCCCTTTTACTTCCTCACGCCACTTCAGCCTGAAACTCCACATGCGTTGCCATCAGCACTTCCTGAGGACAGAAGCCAAGGTGAAGGAGGAGATCCCAGACCCAGATGTCAAGGGATCTCCCCACCTCAGTGACAGTGCCTGCCTGGGGCAGCAAAGGGAAGGAGGAGGGACAGAGCTAGTGGGGACCATGATGACGTCTAACACTCCAGAGAGGACTAGCCAGGGAGGGGCTGGCGTCTCGCCTTTGCTGGTGAAGGAGGAACCCAAGGAAGATAACGGCCTGCCCACCTCCTTTACTTTGAATGCTGCCGACAGGCCCGCCAACCACACAAAGCTGAAAGACCCCTCCGAGTATGTGGCCAACAGTGCGTCAGCATTGTTCAGCCAGGACATCTCTGTTAAGATGGCGTCTGATTTTCTCATGAAGCTGTCAGGTACTTGAATAGGGTTGTATTCTCTCTCTCTCTCTCTCTCTCTCTCTCTCTCTCTCTCTCTCTCTCTGTCTCTGTCTACCAGTATTCTTATTTGTAAAATAAGCTGGTAGAACTAGATGATTTCAAGGTCCCTTTAAATTTGGATAGTCTGCACTTCCATACATTTTCTCCTTGACTTTGTGTGTGTGTAATCCTTTGGAAGTAGTATTGCTTTGGCTTGGGTCTCAAAACAGTAGGGATTGTTGATTTCCTTCTGCTTTTTTCCCTTTGGTGAGTTCTTACTGTAGGGGGGAATGGTCACATGGTAAGCCAGGCTTGTGTCAGTTGCTTGTGTGACATTGGGCCCTGTTTAACATGTCTCTTCTGCACTGGACTTGTATGAAATACCTCATTTTGGCATTATTCAAGTTCTTTACTGTCTTAATTTATAAGATTTTTAAAGGACATATATACAAAGACTACTATTAGGAATTATAGACTTCTAAAATTTGAGCAAATGATAACTATCTTTAAGAAGTTTTTCAGGTTTTTTTAATGGGAAATTTTTTTATTATGGCAAACTGTATTTAACATAAAATTTACCATTTTAACCATTTTAGGTGCACAGTTCAATGACATTAAGTATGTTCACATTGTTGTGCAAACCATTGACCCCCATCCATCTCCAGAACTTTTTCATTCTCTCAAACTGAAACTCATTAAACAACTCTCGGTTCACCTCTTCCCCCACAGGCCCTGGAGGCCACTACTTTATGTCTTTGAATCTGACTATAGGGACCTCATATAAAGTGGAATTTAAAAACACATTTTTAAAAAAAATTCTTTTTTTAAAAAAACTGCCCTGATCCATTTGGGAAAAAAAGATGGAGTATAAATTATAAAGATGTATTCTTATTAGTTGACATTCTTTCTATCACCATCAAATTGTACATGATGTTTCTTTTTTTATCATTTTTTCCCAACATATTTGATTTAAGTCGTGGTGTTGAAAAGGGGCATCAAGGTCTTAGGGCACTTTGTTTTTCCTGTCATTCTCTTTTGGAATGATAAGGTGTGTTGCAGGATTGTGCAGCTACTCATTACGCTTTTAAGAGTATGATTTTAAATTTTAAAGGAGATGTAGGGGGTGGGGAAAGGTCGGTGGAGAATTGGTTCTGTATTTCAGTGAAGATGGAAGTCCCCACGATGATTTCCAAATGCCATGTCAGCTCTTTGGAGATTGACAATACCCTTTTAAATGGAGAATAATTGGTCACCACCTTCCTTTAAATGGAATGTGAGTCGCATTTCACTAAATGTCATTGCCAGGTGAATTAGAGGTTCAGCTCCACTCTGAAGTCCCTTTGCTCAGGGACACTTCAGTCGGGTCTTTTGGAATGTCCCCCTTACCACAGATCTTTGCTCCTCAGGAGTGGGAGACACTAGTTGGAAGAAATGAGGAAAGGTAGGGGATGGAAAATGAGATGTCCCAGAAATGAACCAAGTAGGCAAAGAGCGGGGAATGTAACAGTGAAGCACACCAACTGGCAATGAGAGTGAGGGGGCCCTATGCTGGAATTGGCCAAGTTTCTGACTCTGGCTCTAAAGAACACTGGCTTCTCTGCTCCTCATCACCTCTCTCCCCCGACTTCTCCCTCCTCTATTCCAATCTAGGGGAAAATGTGATTTTTAGAGACTTTGAGTTTTATATTTAAAAATTTTTGAACATGTGGGGAAAATACATGTTTTCATGTATTCCATGTTTGCTGTTCTGATCCTTTAGGATTTCACCTCCAGGGGAACTCTAGTTTTTCCTTGATTGTCTTCCCTGCCACCGTGATAGCAAAGGGGGCTCCTTTTATGGGCCCTTATAGTGCAATCCCCAGGGAAGGAATGCAAATGACATATTCACATCACATAGCTTAGAAAGGGGGACATTTCCTTACCTAACAGACAGGGGCAATCCGAGTGGGGGTGAATGACTCTGAATAAGGTGTTACTCCCTTTACTCCATGACTCCAGGGATGTTTTAAAATCTAGAGGAAGTTGAGCGAGAACAGGGAAGGTTTGGTCTTTGGATAAAACACTTGTGTATGATGCATGGCTTCTGCTGGGCTCAGCTCTGAGTGCTCACATTACGCTGTAATTAGCTCTAGACCCAATCTCAGGGAGCATAAGATAAGGCTGCTTAGAGCCAGCACTGCAAGCAGCAGACACGAGGGGAGAAGCCAGTTGATAGGTTGGGGGGAAGAATTGCGCATCAAAGCCTTATATTGTGATCTGTGTTTTCAGTTAGCTATTGATGGGGAGTTGTTTATGGTTTGGTAGTCAGAATATTTACTGACTGATAATTGGCATAAGAAAACAGATAACAAATGCACACACTATTTATGCAAAAGGCCCATGTGGCTATTTTATGGTGGCTTACTGGAGGTCCTGAAACCTGACTTGTATGCACTGTTACCTAGCAACCTGTTATAAAGTCACTGGGGAGTGAGATGCATCCTTAATTTTTTTGTGTGTGCATATTTGGATGTAAATGTAAACTTGGTGACTGTGGCAATGCAGCTCAGGAGAGGAGAAGATAAGTTAAAAGGAAAGGAATACATTTTCTAGAGCGATTTTTTTTTTTTTTTTAATTTTACTTACCCTCTGGTTGGTCTGGCCATACGTTTGATAGCTGCTCTCACTGTGATGCCCTACCTGGCTGTGTCTGTGGATATGATTTAGGGACAAAAAGGCCAAATCCCAGGGAGCTGCGGCTGAGTTTCTAGCTCTTCCCATCATCAAATGTAGTGAAGTAGTGGCTAGTCTCGGGCCTTGTCCCTTGGCGTTATAACGGCGCCATTGTTCTTGCACTGAATTTTTTCCCTGGGCTCTGTCCGTGCACCTGCTGGTACTGTAGGGTGCAGCTGTTTGTGGGCACTGAGTCTGTGAATCTTTGTGCCAGCCAGATCACTGTCTGCAAAACTGGAGCACAGTGACAAATTCAAGCGTGCAGACACCTACTTGTTTCCAAAAGAGAGAAAACACTTGATGCTTTCTTGCCTGGTTATTAAGGGGAGTCTTTCTTGCTCCTTCAACTAAAACTAAGCATAAAGATGATTGAATGGAACCGAGTGGGATTAAAAGTCAGTGGATAGAATACTGTTTTAAATGGACTCTCAATACCCCCCACCCCCATTCCTGTTAGAGGTTTCTTAACGTGCATGATTGTGAAATAAAATCCCTTCTCCAAACTATCAGCTATTCTTCTGACTGAGCCCACACTTAACACTGCTTGGTCCTTCAAAAATAATGCTGCTTGCAAAACGGAGGCTTCCAGGCCCGGCATCGCAGTTGATTCAGGGAATAGTATGGGCAGCTTTCAGGGCTGACAGAAAAATGAATTTTGTAGATTTCACCCACGGTTTAGACTGAGGCAGACCTGAGAGGACTCCAGGCCTGTATGTTCCAGCAGCTCTTTCCTGGAAGCCAGAAAGCATATGCAAATCATTGCATGTCAGGGCAGGTGAGCCAGTGGTCACGTGGCTAGGGTGTTCAGGGAAAAGGTGTTCACCCGACTGCGGAGAGCTAAGTTCCTGCTGATTCTGTGCCTTGTCACCCATAGCCAGCAGCAGTTCTTAACCTCGGCTGCACATTAGCCTTGCCTGGGGAGTTTTTCACAAAATGCCAGGGCCCAGAAATTATGATTCACTGGGATAGGCCCTGGACATTGGTATTTTCTTTAATATCCTCAAATGATTTTAATGTGCAGAATGATTTTAGTGTGCAGCCAGGGCTGAGGACCACTGATGTGGAATATAAACTTGTTACATGGTACAGTATTTTTTGGTACAGCTACGGTTTTCATCAGTGCAGTTTTGTTCCTGTGGTCTCCAGCCGAGACCATGAAACGGGGCATGGTGGTATGAGATAGGCCTGTGGCTTTCACCATAGGTCAAGGTTGACATGAAGGAGAGGCCTGGGTGAGTTGTGTTCATGGAGCCCCAGGTGTTTCCTTGTGGGGCCTCCTGACAGGGGAGTTTCTCCAGTTAAAAAGTCTCAAGATTCAGTGCAGAGCATAAAGGAACTGGGAGGGTCGTCATTATTAGAAGCCTGATTAAAAGTTGCCTGCAGCAACGGCCTTACATCATTTCTTTTTCCGAAAACTACCCTTTTCAAGATATAAAATTTAATTCTAACTCTCCAAATTATAACCAAGCAGTTGACAGAAACTTGGCACTTCACTTGTTGGCTGGGAATATCTTTTTGTCCCTGGTTTTCCAAAATAAAAGATATGTCATTTCAACTATTTTTAATTTGGAAGCCAGCAAAAATTGTTGTGCTGTCTCCCACATCATATTAATTTCGTAAAATTGAGACCAAAATAATTTTAACTAGGAGAGATGGACTTCTTTAAAGCACTAACTTACTTTTAGCCTCACAGAGACAGTTTATGAACAAATGGATATAAGCTAAACTGTTTCTGACTTATTAGTAGCTCATCCATTAAACAGCAAAGGTGTTCACATATAAACGTAGGGTGTAGGTTAATGTGTTTGTGTCATATACTGTAGTTTTCCATTGGCCTTTGTTCTACAACTTCCATCTATTTCACCTGCTTTTAAGCCTCTGCATTTACAATACAGTTTTTGTATAAATGGCAGCTCCCCATCTTGCTTTACCTTTGTTTGTGCTGCTGGAGAAGGAGGGATGGGAGATGCCCATTGAACTAAGTCATCCTCATTGCCCAGTGGCTCTGATTGCCTTTCTGTAAAGGCAGTCATCTCAACAAATGAGCCTTCTTCCAAGTAAATGCCATCCTTGTGTTATTCACACCCTACGACGGCAGTGCCAACAGCCAGGGGGCTCTCCCACTCCCCACGCCTGGGCATGCCCTCTCCAGTCAGGTGATTTTCGACAGCCTCCCTTTGCATTTTTAGTTTAGCCCTTCCTTTTAACCCTGCCTTGCTTTTCTGGTGATGGGCACTCACTAATCACGTGACTAAAATTCCTCATGTGAGCAGCTGCATTTAGGGGCCTTATATGTGTAAGCGGCTTGAATGCCCTTTTGAAATTCTCGACTTTATTGAACTTGGTGATTCATAAGAGAGGAAGAGTGTGACTCTTTCTTATTTTTCAGTGACTTGCCACTCATGAGACAAGCACTGACCTGAGTTAAGAAAGGAGCAGGTAGGACTATAAGTAAGTGGGACCTGGAGGATTATACGTAAGTGGGGCCTGGATTGCTTACACACACAGTTGCTGAAACTTGCATGGACAGAGTTCTTACGCTAGTTACTCATTGCTTATTATTTTTACTTTGTTTAATACTTACTAACTCCTTTGAGCCTTGTGGCAACGCCATAGTAGGTGGTATAAGTATTCCCATTTTACAGATGAGGAAACTGAGAAATGGAGAGGTTAGGAGTCTTGCCCAGGTTAGCACAATGAATAGGTGGTAGAACTGAGATTCTTTTTTTTAGACGGAGTCTGGCTCTGTCGCCCAGGCTGAAGTCAGTGATGCGATCTCGGCTCACTGAAACATCCGCCTCCCGGGTTCAAGCTATTCTCCTGCCTCAGCCTCCCAAGTAGCTGGGACTAAAGGTACCTGCCACCATGACCAGCTAATTTTTATATTTTTGGTAGAGATGGGGTTTCACCGTATTGGCCAGGCTGGTCTTGAACTCCTGACCTCGTGATCTGGCTGCCTCGGCCTCCCAAAGTGCTGGGATTACAGATGTGAGAAACTGGGATCACAGGCATGAGAGACTGGGATTCTAATCCAGGCAGTGTGGTTCCAGGATTCTCTTCCCCAGGCTGTCTCTACCCACAAATTACAGAAAGAAGCAGCAAAACAGGAACTCGGCTCTGTTCTCTGCCCTTCTTGTGCGTTGTGGAATTAGCCAGGATTTCAGCATGTTCTGGATGTTGTTATGTCAGACAGCTTTAGAATTTGTGTTAATAGTTTTAGGCATCTCAGGAATTATTTAGTACAAATAGAGCAGTAAGAGTAGGGCCAACTGATATTTCTGTAGAGCTTCACAGCGTACTGTGTATTTCTAAATACATCATTTCATAACAAGCATGTAGATGAGAAAACCAAGACTTGGGGTAAATAACTATAAAAGAGTCATGACTGGAATCCAGACCTTTCTTTCCTGACCCTGCTAGATAGAGTGTACCTAGTTCCAGAATTGCCATCAGAGTGATTTTTTATCTTGATAGACCCCTGGGAAATTTTACCAAAGCCTATTGTATCTGTAAAAACAAAGGGAAGTGTCATTCTCCTTGAAGTCCGTTCTTTTTACTACTGTTGTTATTATTGTTGTTGCTTCTACTATTATTATTTTAAGAGCTATAATTAATCAAATGTGCTTACAGTGAGCTGGGCACTGTGCCAGCCACATCATGTAATTTCTCATTTAACCTTCACCACAGCCCTATAGGGTCTGTAATAGTAAACCTATGTTATAGATAAGGAGGCCGAGACTTAAAGGTTTCGGCTGCAAAGGACAGAGCAAGGATTCAGCTCTGGGTAACCACAGAAGGTTGGCTCTTGACTACTTAATTAGCTATTACCTATTTTTTTTTTCTCAGTTGAGCAAACTGTCTTTTGACCTCCGTCTGCTTCACTGTTTATTTTCCTTGGCTTCAAACCATGGCATCATTTTGAATGCATGCACTTTCAGTCACTAATCTAGTTAAATTTTTTGTGTCTTCAAAATTGTACTGAAATTTTCATCTACACTCCATCCCTTCATGTGCAGCCTGCTCCTCATGCCTAGAAGTTGCCCCTCCAGCTCCCTCCCTGATGCCTTTTCCTCCCCAGCACTGCCCCCACCCATCCACCCAGCATTTCTGATGGACTTTTCTTCCAGTACCTCTTGCATCAGATCATGCTCCTGTCTGGCTAGCTCTTTTCCTTCCTTCCTCCTTTCCTTCTTTCCTTCCTTCCTTCCTTCCGCCCTTCCTCCCTTCCTCTCTCTCCCTTCCTCCCTTCCTCTCTCTCCCTTCCTCCCTTCCTCTCTCTCCCTTCCTTCCTTTCTCTCTCTCCCTTTCCTTTCCTTTCCTTTCCTTTCCTTTCCTTTCCTTTCCTTTCCTTTCCTTTCCTGTCCTGTCCTGTCCTGTCCTGTCCTGTCCTGTCCTGTCCTGTCTTGTCTTTTTTTTCTTTCGAGATGAGGTCTTACTCTGTCACCCAGGCTGGTCTCGAACTCCTGACCTCAGGTGATCCTCCCACCTCAGCCTCCCAATTAGCTGGGTTTACAGGCACAGGCCACCATGCTCAGCCCTAGCTCCTTTCTGCTCAGTAACTATCTCTCCACTTCTCTTAAGAAAACTGTTAACAGTCTTCACCAGCTCATGAACATACCCCTCTCATTTCCATTTTTCTACCTTTACTCATGTTGTTCCTGGGGTCTGATAATTGGAACCATGGAATTGCATGTATATTTTCCTCCTCTTGGGAGGAGCTACAAAGTCACACTGTAAAGAGGTGGGCCTTTGGAGGGGGGAATCGTAGCCATTTCATGGTCTGCCACAGTCCAGAGTTCTTCAGACTCTCTGGGTGATCCACAATGACAAAAATCATTTACAAACTGATCTGTAAATAAGAATGTCAGCATATTAATTTAAAATGACAAGTATAGCAGTCAAGAGGAGATGTCATTTGGGGCAAGTGGATCCTGACTTTCCTGAAAAAGGTTGGAAATATATTATCCAGTCTTCAGGTTTTCTTTCTTCTAGTCTCCAGGCAAACCACTCCATTGCTGCTCATACATTTCATTCTTTGGCCGTGTTAATAGTGGGAATTTAAAATACAGCCTTCTTTCACATTTACTTAGGGCTTGATTGGTTTTCCAGGACCTGTCCTTCCTGCTTTTGACGAGGGAGATATCCTGTCTGTTAAGTGGGTTACTGCAGATGGCAACTTTTGCCCTTTGTGGGTTGGTTTTAGTAGTTTAGTTTTTGCAGGAAAACTTTATATATTTTAAAATTCTTGAGGCACTGCTCACTTTTTGTTATCTTTGACCCTTCTGCAGAGGCTGTTTTTCCCCTTTGGCCATAGCTATCATAGGAATCTTTACAGTCTTGCTTTGGGTACATAGACACTGAAGGGTGGCCAAGGATTAGCTCAGGTGGGGATTAATGAGAAATATGAGATGGCTAAAATTTCACTAAACACTAATTATAAAATGATTTAAGGGAAATTAAAGAGCAAGATTTTAAAATATTTAGCAAATGTTCTAAACATTCCATTTGAATATAATACGCTTAACATTTAAAAGTCATATTTAACTGTTATTAATTATTATTTAATTAAATCTTGGCTTTTCTTACGATTTCAGAAGGCAGTTTCTTACCCAAAGCACATCATAGTGCTGAAAAATCCCAGATCCCCAACCTGTTCATACATACATACATACACACTGCTAACAAGGGAACTTGGTTGGATAGAACCGCACCGGCTTGTGATCTGGAGAGTTAAGCTCTGATTCTGGTTCTATCATTAATGAGCTATGTGATTTTCAAAAGATCGTATAATCCTCTGAGCCTATGTGTTCTTATTGTAAAGTAAGGGAGTGGAAAACAGTAATGGCTTTCATTTTGTTTCAAAAGTTCACATTTATTACATTTACATATTTAAAAAGCCAAGCAATTAGGGGGAAAAAAAGTTGCTATTTGGTGAGCACAAAATGTGACACTCCAGTGCTATGAGGGAGTACAGTCTGTAGCAATGTGATCATCTAGTATATTTCTAAATTTATTTTGCTGATCTCAGTTTGAAAAAATACAAGTACGGTTTCACATAGTGGCAAATGGGAACAGATTTTTAACAACTTGTCTTGTAATTTCAGGATCTCCTCAATTAAAGAAGAGTATAAGCTTTTGCTTCAAAGTTGACAACATTTGGCAACTGCCCTCATTCCTTATAATAAATGGAAGATAAGCAGTATCCAGAACTCACAATATGCCCTAAAGCCATCTGTAATTCTGTGTCAACTACTTGGTTATTACTCAGTTAACTGTTATTTGGGAAATGTATTTAATCTCTCTAGGTCTGAGATCTCTCATCTGCAAAATGGGGATAATACTAGTGCCTACCTCAAAGGGTGGCTGTGAGAATTAGATAAATTAATACAGGTAAATACTTGGTGTGTTACCCAGCTCATGTTATGTGCTCAATAAATGATAGATCTAGCTCTATCCATATGTATCTACATATGTCTATTTGTCTGTCTATTAGCTATGGTCAAAAGCTGCACCAAGCACACTTGATACACTTGAATCTACCCTTGCATTTAATTTAAGGCAGGTATGCCCAGGGGATAGCTGGCAATGTCTAGAGAAATTGTTTTTTTCACAACTGGGAAGTACTCCTGGCTACTAGTGCGTAGAGATGCCAAGGATGCTGTTAAATATCCTACAATGTGCAAGACAGTCCCCCACCCCCAACTGCTCCCAGCAGATTATCCAGTGCAGAATATCAGTGGAGTGGAGGTTGAGAAACACTAATTTAAAGTATGTTTATAGGCTCTAGTAGGACTATAATTATATATGAACACACATGCATAGGCCTGAATTCTTTGAAAAATCAGTGCAAAGGCAGCCACTTCATTATTGATGACATTACTACAACTGCAGCTCTCCTATGAGAGGGGGAGAAACTGCATTACAAGGGCTACTACACAAAACTGAATCAACTTGGCAACATATTAGTGGTCTCCAGTATGTTGATGTTTTATATATAATGCAGTGGATGATGCACGCTTTGAACTTAAATTTTAAATTAATTAATTTTACAATGATTTTTTAAAAACTTAAATTCAAAACAAACATTTGTTGGAACCCCTGAAGCATATCCTAGGGTTCCTTGGAACACTGTTTGAAAACCATTGCTCTGTAGTCCCTTCCAGGCTCAAGAGTCTTTGGCCTTGGTTTAGGGTGAGATCGTAAATAAAATTCTCAGTGGGTTGCTTTTTCACAGAGCAGTTCAGCATTTATAAAATTGCCATACGTTGAACTGAAGGAGAGTTCTGTCTTATTAAGCTCAAGAAAAGGTGTCATTTTCCTTCACCAGAGGGAACCAATAGAAGTATTTATTTTGCAGTTGATTCCTTCCCTTCATCCTCCTAGTCAAATCTTCTCAGGATTTCTTCCTACCAGAAAATGTCCCTTTTCTTCAGACAAAACCCACCCTTCCCTTTCTCATGAACAGTGCTTAATTCACCCACATCACTTATTTTCCAAAGCCATTGTTCACCTGCTGAGGATAGTGTCCCTTTTAAAGGTACCTGGGTGTCTTGGAGAGAAAGGAAGGGGTTTGGATGCATTTCCAGTGAGAAACTCTGAGCCAAGTGTCTCTGTGAATTAGATCTGTGATTTGGGGCATCAGTTTCTTAACCTTTTTAGGACCTTAGTTTCCTCACCTGTAAAATGAAGATAGTAATAACATCTGTCTCCTGTGATTGATGGAAGGTTTGATCCCTATGTAATTACTCAAGAGCTAGTTGTATACGTTGTTAAAACAAATGATGGTCTTTAGAAGGAAGTTATATAGTATTTTCCCTAGTAATAGGGAAGTTATATAGTATTTTCCCAATTACTATATAACTAGAAAATATTGTAAAATATATAGTATTTTCTAGTTATACAGTAATTTCCTAGAATTGGAAGACTGGAATCATCTTATCCCAGCAGCTTTCCCATTCCTTTCCCACATTTGCCTTTATCTTGAATTCTTCATAAATCCTCAAAAAAGCGGATTTGTTTCCTTTAAATGGTGGTCCACCTCCATCAAGTACATAAACTGAGAGGTATGTGTAATTGATCAGCAGCGTGGCCCAGGTCCTACGATGCTGGGAACAAACAGCGAGAGAGGGGGCCTCTTGATTACCAAGGGCTTTCTCATCACATCAAAAGTGCAGTTATCCAGAAACTTTCAAATAAATAAACAGAAGTCAAGGCAGGTGTTGTGAAAGTCCTTGACAAGTTGAGTTCCGCACCTGCACAAATCTTTCTGTGTTAGTAGTAGGAATAAAGTGAAGACTATGTCATGAGTCATAAATGGTTGCTTTTCTCTTAGCAATTTCCCCAAAGAAAAAGAAAACATCTTGAATTCCACCTCTCACTGCACATGTGGGTTTTTTTGTAAAGTGGGATAATTTAAAAGATAGTAATTATTAAGTCATATTAATTTTAAAATATAGGCTTTATGTACTGTTCTCAATGTAAATATTTTTGGTCATTGAAAAAAGCAGGTTAGCCTTCATATTTCTATTTTTACGTCTTCTATTGAGACCCAAATGTTTGGGAAATTAAAACTTGGGCAAATGAGTGATTTCCATATGCTCTTCTGATATGTCATTAGCTATATTTACATTTCCTCAGCACATTACAATTTTCTGTTATTCTCTGTATTGTCAGAATGAAAACCAGGTATGTAGTGCCTTGCAAATGTATAATCCAGCAATATACAGCTTGCCTATTGCCTTTTAAAGTGTCTTTTTGAAGTTCTATTAAATCCAGGTTGTGCTAGCAATGCTAAATATCTTTACTTTTTTCCCCCTAAGTCTCTTATAGCATATACTCTGACTAATGCTTCTAGAAACCACTTACATGTGCAGGAAGCATCTGCTTAATGATCTCTAGAAGTTGGGATTTGCTCCTGGGGCCTCAATAGTTTTTTTTTTTTCATCTCTTTCTTAGCTTCATCTTAGAATTTTAAAATGTTTTTAAATAAAAGATGCAGCAAGGAAGCATTTTAAAAATACTTAACCATTCACTTTAAATTGTTCTTCCTCAAAGAATCAAAGACACAGACTTAATAAACACCCTATTTAATTACTCTGTCGTGATGAACTAGGGTGCCCTTGGAAAAGACTTTATAAAGGGTTCTGGGAGAATGGTGTTGGGAGAGAGCAAGCTTTAGAAGGGTGACCAGCAAAATCCCCCAAGAAGTGGGGGAAAGGTGCAAAGGGGAGAAATGTGCTAGATAAACCAAGTCCTCTTAGGAGCAACCTTCCTGGTAGACGTTGGAAGTACATATTTGAGGATTGCTCTGTAGACCATTATTGCTCCCTTTGATTCAGATTCATATGGCATTGTCCCCAAAGGGCTAGATTTTAAGCACTTTCCTTGAGATTTTTCTGGACTCCTCCTTTAGTAATGCTCTAGTTCAAGTGATGATTAGATATTTCAGTAATGCTGTGGTCTAGGTAGAAAGGCCTTTAACTTTACTTCAAAGATCTTATCTCCCATCTAATTATTAAATCCAGGGAAAGCACTTCTGATTGCTTTTGGTGGGATATTTTGGAGGTCTTAGTTCTTGTTAACTTCAGATAATATTGGAACGCCATTGGATGCCACTAATTTGGAGCAACACATTTTACTCATTCAACAAATATGTATTGATCACTAACTATGTACCAGGCACTATTCAGGGTACTTGAGACACATCAGTGTTAAAACAAAAATTGTTGGGCCAGGCGTGTCGGCTCACGCCTATAATCCCAGCACTTTGGGAGGCCGAAGCGGGTGGATCACGAGGTCAGGAAGCCGAGACCATCCTGGCTAACATGGTGAAACCCCATCTCTACTAAAAATACAAAAACTTAGCTGGGCATGGTGGCGGGCGCCTGTAGTCCTAGCTACTTGGGAGGCTGAGGCAGGAGAATTGCTTGAACCTAGGAGGCAGAGGTTGTGGTGAGCCGAGATTGTGCCACTGCACTACAGCCTGGGTGACAAAGCATCTCAAAAAAAAAAAAAAAAGAAAAGAAAAAAAAATTGTTGCCTTCATGAAGCCTACCTTGTTTTGTTTTTGTTTTTGTTTTTGTTTTTTTGAGACAGAATCTCGCTCCGTCACCCAGGCTGGTGTGCAGTGGCATGATCTTGGCTCACCACAACCTCTGCCTCCTGGGTTCAAGCGATTCTCCTACCTCAGTCTCCCGAGTAGCTGGGATTACAGGTGCATGCCACCACGTCTGGCTTATTTGTATTTTTAGTAGAGATGGGGTTTCACCATGTTGGCCAGGCTGGTCTCAAACTCCTGACCTCAAGTGATCTGCCTGCTTCAGCCTCCCAAAGTGCTGGGATTACAAGCATGAGCCACCGCACCCAGCCATAAATTGTTAACATAATAAATTTTAAAAACCATATAGCATGTGATTGGTCTGTTAAACTAAATACCGCGTAACAAAATGCCACAGACTGGATGACTTAAATAACAGATTTATTTCTCTCTTCTGGAGGCTGGAAGCCTAATATCAAGGTGTCAGCAGGTTTGGTTTCTCCTGAGGCCTCTCTCCTTGTTTTGCAGACGGCCGCCTTCTCACTGTGTCCTCGTGCAGACTTTCCTCTGTGTGCGTGCATCCCTGGTGTCTCTCTCTCTCTCTCTTCTTATTCTTCTGGTTCTTTAATGGAACCAGTCACAATGCATTAGGGCTCCACTCTTATGACCTCATTTAACCTTAATTACCTCCTTCGAGGTCCTACCTCCAGGTATATTCCACACTGGCAGGTTAGGGCTTCGACATATGAAGGGACACAATTGAGTCCATAACAGTAGGTTATTAGGTAATAAGTATTTGGAGGGAAAAATGAAAGTTAGATCAGGGTAAGAGAGGTTGGGAGGACTGTGAAGGTGGTGATTATAGTTTTGAACAGGATGATCAGAGTAGACCTCACTGAGCAGGTAGTATTTGAGCCGATTGGAAGGTCAAGTATTTTCAAGTTTTGTTACAATACAGAGACCAGAAGTGGAGGTGGTGCGGTGGAGGCAGGTAAGGGACACAGCAGGGGAAGCCCATGGACTTAGGTTCTGGTCCCAGCTCTGCATCTTTCTGGTAGTGAAACTTCCAGATAGTTCTTTGGGCTTCTGGGGTTCAGTTTCCAAATATGCTGGTCTGTGTGAACTTGTGATTCCAGAATGCATATTCTTACAGGGGTATGAGATGGAAAACAGACTTTGTGCTTGAGTATTGGCTTGGAGTAGGTGGTAGGCAAGGGGTGATAGATGTTTGCTTCGGGGATTTATTTTTATCTTTTTGTCTGTTAAGATGGAATGGACTTAAGGCTCATTCTAATAAGTGTTTCTAAGAATCCTGTATTAGGATGAGATCCTCTTTCTCAAAAGATGGACACAATCAGTGTAATCAATCCTAAGTTCCTACCTCATGGACTCTTAAAGGGAGTGAGATGCCTGTGAAAGTGAAGAGTAGTAGGAAGAGGGTGCTTGTCTCTTCCTTTGTGGTCTTTCCTGGGTAGTATGTAGCCCAGTGGAGAAGGCCTGGTACAGTGTGGCTGAGCCACAGAATCCATCCCATAATAGGCCAGTTAGCTCTGTCCTGACCACACACTCCACAGCAACCAACCATGCTAAAAATGGAAAAAGGACATTAGTGGAAAAACTGGTGAAATCTGAATAAAATCTAGAGTTTAGCTCATAGTAATGTGAATTTCTTAGTTCTGACAAATGTACCATGGTTATGTAAGATGCTAACATTAGGGAATTCTGGGTGAAGGATATATGGGAACTCTTGGAACCATCTTTGCAACTTCTCTGTAAATCTAAAATTATTCCAAAATAAAAACTGTTCTTTAAAAAAAAAAAGGCCATTTTGGACTCAGTGATGACTTGGGCTACAGACATGGATTTATCACCATAATCAGAAGAACAGTGCTAAGTAAATGCCCCACTGTTTATGGATCAGTAGTGTCGTCTTATAATGAGGCAAGAGTGGTCTATCTCTAGTCTGAGCTTTTCTGTTTGGCAAATTCTCCATCCTCACTTTACCATTGCACCCCAGGTTTTTGCTTTGGGTACTGCCTCTGACTCATGTTTGTATTCAATATCTTATGGCAGAATAATTGCCTGAAAGCATTATTTCATAATAGGATTAGGTGGGGAGAGTGCTAATAAGTCAGGGAGGCAGTGGCATACACAGGAAACAAGACTTCTAGGGAAACCAAAGAGAAAATGCCCAGAAACTTTGTAGAGGTAGCACTTCTTAAAATATTTTAGGTTCAAAAGATTCAGAAGCCCACACTCCTCAGAGTTGTAGGCCCATGGAGTGTATTGTGTGGTTTTGCCCAGGGCCCAGCCTGTTCTGATGAGGTTGTGATCCCTCCGGTTGTTAGCACAGTGTGATTGTGCATTCCATACTTCGTGAAGTACCAGGGCAGCTAAGGAGGGGAGTGGCCTTTTATGTATATATAATCCCTTTTTTTCTTTTGACAGCTGCAAATCAGAAGGAGCCCATGAATCTTAATTTTAAAGTGAAAGAGGAGCCTAAGGAAGGGGAGTCCCTAAGCACGACTTTGCCTCGGTCCAGCTATGTGTTCAGCCCGGAATCTGAAGTGTCAGCCCCAGGCGTCTCTGAGGACGCACTAAAGCCCCAGGAAGGGAAGGGAAGTGTGCTAAGGCGGGATGTGTCAGTCAAAGCAGCCTCTGAACTTCTCATGAAACTCTCAGGTACTTGATTTATTCTAAAATATTCACATTCTGATAGTTTCACTTGCAGGCCAACTGGACTGCTTCCTGCATGGGTTATAATTAACCCAATGGCAGCAATATCGCATTATTGCTGTGAATTCAAAGAACGATCAGATTACTTGGCTTAAATTCCTGTGTTGTGTGTGAGTTTGTTTGTGTATATTAGCTGTGTACCTATCTTATTAAATACAACCTTTTCCTGACTATCACTGCAAATTGTTGGAAACCACTGCTGCTTTCTAAGGTGATATAGGCCATAATTTTAAATGGGTTCTAATGATGTTCAAAGGTCTTCTGCTAATTGATCAAAATATCTATTCTTTCCTAATAGAGGACCTGGCATTTTGTGTGTATTTATACTACACTCTTTAAGCACCATTACAAATATTTTTCTTAACTTCATAAGCATTTGAGATGGCACTTGAAGTAATTACCAATAGAGTGGCAATAAGAGATTTTATGGATAGAGAATTTTATAATGGAATATTACAATAATTAATCTGTTCTTAAGATTAATGAATCATTCTTTACTAGCATCTAAATGTAATCTCAGCGTATTAAATGTAGGGAAAATAGCTTATAATTTGAAATTCATATAGTTTGGATTTTTTTCCACGTCATCTCCTATCTGCCCTGTCCTCTCTGAAACAGGTAAAAACATAATGTCTTTTCAATTCAAAGATAGGACTTTCAGAACATGGAAAAAAAAGGTTATATCAATAATAATACTTGTCAAGTCATATCCCATCCTTAGTTCATTACCTCTTAAGCAGAATTTTTAGAAACTATATTTAAAATGCTAATATGAATCGAAAGCTGTTTTTAGTTTGAAACTTGCTGTGCTTGGAGAATGAAAGCAAGAAATGCATTAGAGAGACTCCTTTAAGACCTGTAATTTCATCAGCAGTTCTGACTGTGTTTCTGGTTGACTAGTGGGTTGGAAAGTAAGAAATTAACAGTGATTTACTTAGTCGTTATATCAGAACAGTTGAAATTCCTGTACTTACCAGTTGGTGGGGTTAAAAATTCTTTTCTTTGATGTTAATTCAAAGCACATTGGAAGTTCAAGGTAACATGATTTGTTATAAATAAAGCATAATGCAATCATTACATTCTTATCATAGCTCTGTCTTCCTAAACTTTGCAGAGATAGTGCAGTACCTCCTATGCAGATGAGATGTTAGTAAGATTGTACTATTTGCTATTATAAAAGCTGAATATTTTTATAAAGGATGTTCAAGTGAACACATTTTTTGTATATTTGAACTCTCCTTCCTATGTTAAATGATGCAGAGTAATCTATTTGTTGTTTTCTGATAAATTCAAAGAGGTCACATAGCTCTGATTCTTCCCCCATAGCATACACTTTCACATTCCAGTGACTTGAAGTCTTAACCAACAGTGACCCCTGTCTCCCTCCTTATGGTCAGATTCCAGTATATAATATTTCTAGTTCAGAGTTTGCTGTGCAGCAGGTGTTGTAAGCAGAAGAGACTTGGGTAGCACCAAAAGATAATATGCAAAAAATGAGATTTCAAGAGTGATGTTCTTTAAGGAAAAATATTTTATCTTAATCCTTTTGCATGATGAGATTTGAGACACAAGTGTGGAATCATTTTGTAGATAATAATGATATCCCCCAAACAGAATATGTCTAACAGCCATGAACAGTGAAAGATATTTGTGGACAGCAGTGGTCCTTCTAAATGTATATGTTGCCTTTGGTTGAGCACATGTGCTATGGGGTTCAGCAATAGTTGAATGGATGACGTCCTGTTTCCAAAGGGCATCTGCCCCTGCTTCGTGATGTGGAAATGAAAACTTGTTTGAAGACTGACAACAATTATTTTTGCCCTGAAAAAAAATCCTCAAATCCTCAGCATTCTGTGTGCAAAAGACTTAGGTCAAAGAGATATGCATCACAGCCCTGACCCTTAGATGCGGTGGTCTAGTCAGAAGTAATCCAGGGCAGTGGAATCCATTCATGTGATTTGCGCTTGGAACTTAGTACTGCCATACTCTAGTGGCCATGGTCAGGTAAACTGGGAAGAAGTTTTTTAGTCATAACAATAGGCATGTGACTTAAAAGCAAATATCATTTCATTCCTAAGCCACAAGGTAAAGAAGACTCACCCTTAATTAGGTTTAAAGTGGATATTAGAGTTTCTAATCACTGATAGAACAGTGCTCTTGCAAGAATGAAGATGTTAGGAAAAAACTTTGTGTGTTCTTTCCTCAAATTGTAATTTTAACAATTTCATAGTTCATGCCCTAAAAGACATCCAAGTAAAGGACTTGTGTCTTCAGATACCCTTTGCCATGATCACTTCTGTTGCTCTATAGACAAGAGTAATAATTCATTTCCCAAAACGTCTGTGTAGTTGGACAGGGCTACACCACCAGTTTGCCTTGGCTGATACCCCCAAAGCTTTGTTGTAGCTGTTCTTGTGAACAGGAGTTCCTATTGCTTCCTGCCTTGCTTGTTTTCATTTGTAGTCTTCCCATATGCTTGGGAAAATCTTTCTGGTCAGGAAGAGTTGGTTGAGGATACTTAGTTATGCAAGGATGAGGCATACTTTTCCTTGTTTTAGTTTTGACCCAAGGAGTAGCTAAGATGTGGAATAAAAGGAATTTTCTTCTCTGTTACTTATTTCCTTGAGGTTAGAAGTGGTGACCTATAGTTTAGACCCTTTCAGTCTTCTCATTGAATGAATAAGAAGAAACTAGTCCACAATTTTGGCTGCTTCATTTTCAGTTTTAAATTAATTTATGTTAACTCCTTAAGGATGGAGACTTGGCACCTGGCCCAGTCACATATCATGTGGAACTTTTCTATGTGGAGAAAACTCTGTAGGTATATTGTTTTCCAAATTGACATTTGTGTTTTATGGGAAAAACGCAGATGAGCTAGAGTAGGCTCAATTTTTCATTAAGTGTGCATTGGGGAAAATCTGAGCTTTCTTCCTTCCTGTGGTTCGAGTTCTATTTCCAGTTGTTAATTGGGAAGTTGAATGCCTGACAGCTGGGCCAAGTAAATTGATTGCCATAAAGAAAGCAACACACTCTGAGGAAAGCACTGGAAGTCTGCGACTACTTGTTGTTATGTGACACAAGGCAGCCAAAATAATCAGACTTTTTTGCTAAGCATATGGTTGCCAAAGATAATTCCCAGAAGTCTTCATTCAAGGAGGCCGAAATCTCAGTGTTCAATATAGAGGATATATAACATTAGATAGTGTAAGAGATTCAGAGTACCTTTAAACTCTGGTTTTGCAATGTCTGGTCACCTTGCAAACTTATGGGATAGCTGTGTTATCATGGATATGATGTAATGCTGAAAATGACACAAAATTTTGTCTGTTTTGTCTCTGTTTTGCTTTAAGAGAAGTAGCTAGATGCAAAGTGATGAAGATAAATGCCCTCTTCTTTCTTTGGGGAGTTACATGTTTCCATGGGAATACATATATAAAATGTATCATGCATGGTTGGGTGATCCTAGAAGTAGTAGATAAGAATGCCATTTAAAAATATGAATTCCACACACAAAAAGTACATAGCTGGAAAGCTGGAGCTATGCAGAAACATTAATGAAAAATTAAACGTTTACATTTCTCTAACATGGTAAATAAAACTTCATATTAGACCTTAATTTTAAACAAGTTTATTGGTTTTAAAAATTTCTGTGCTCACCCAGTGGATTTATATTCATTTCTGGTTTATATTCATTTATTCCTGCCTAGTCCTGGAGAACCATATAAATTACAATTGCTTCTTGTATAGGAATTCAACCAGGCCCTAGATTTGAAATAACATAGTGATGGGCTTAGGGTATCACCTAAATGAGATGGAGCTTCAGCTAGGAGATATTTAGAAACAGGTAAACTTGAGTAGGATGACATTTTAAGGTGAATTTAATCTCTGCGGTGACCTGAAGTGGAGAAGAAAAGAACTCACTTTATTAGCAGCTGTAATTAGGGCCCCTTTGGTTATAAATAACAGAAACCCTTTTCAGATAGTTTTGGCAAGATAGAAGAATTTAGTAGAAGATGCAGGTTTGGGATTGGCTTATGGATCCCAAGGGCAGAGATGCAGTGGGGCCTTGGTTTTCCACCGCAGCCAGAGGCTGGAGGCCCATATGGAACCCAGGAACCACCCCCTTCCTCACCTCATTTCTGCTTCTCTCTGGACCGACAGATGGACTTCTTCTGTTACCCAGTCCACATGATGGAAAGGGGGAATTGCCAGCAGCTTCTGAGTTTATGTTTTGCTCAAAAGAATAGCCAGACAGAAATGTCTTTATCCCAGTCCTAAATCCCAACTGAGTGTCTTGGCTTTAACTGGGACCCAAGAGTGGAAACTTCTCTATTTAGAAATGAGGGCATGTTGGGCAGATGTGGCTGCTGCCATTAGCCATGTGGGATTGCTGGGAGGGAGAGCAGGAGGGTGAGGTGCGAAACAGGAAGATAGAACAATACATGCGAACCACAAAAGGTCCAGGAATAATTATGGTGGTTGCTGTCATTTCAGTATTGAGTGGAAATGTGTTTGGTGCTGTTTATCTTTCCTTCTTGAAAGGGTCTGAGAGAAAAACCTCTCTAATTTGCTAAGGCAGTGCTTCTCAAAGTGTGGTCCCTAGACCAGCAGAATCATCATGAAATTTGTGGGGATAAGGAAGCGTTAGAGATGCAAATTCTTGAGCCCTACTCTGGACCTAGTTGAAACTCTGGGGGTGGGAGTCCCGCTGTCTGTGTTTTCACAAGCCCTCCTAGCGATTCTGACAGCTAAGGTTTGAGAAGCACTGTGCTGAGGAAGTGGTTAATTGGAAAAATAAGTTTCATCCATCTGAGAAGAATGCTTTAGGTTGAAGCTGACAGAGAACAAAGCTCTATTAAATGTACATTTTACTTTTTAAAAAGAACCATCTCTCTTCAGTGAAGATTCTTTTTAATTTATTATGAAATAATGGTATCTGGGAACCTTTTTTTAGAAGGGCACATGTACCTAATAAATCAAGATAGTGTTGGCTGTGAGCCTCAGATAATACTACTTTTTTCAATGCTCTTTGCTGTTAAATTTCATGATTATTCCTGAGCAATGTTGGCTTTCATTTAGGAGAAAAACCTTTCTCTACCTCCCCTCTACATAATCTAAGACCATGTTGGAGACTCTTCTAAACAATTATTTGAGGTTAATTAGAGATTTAGCTTAATAATTTCTCAGAGCAAAAACTTATTTGCTTATTTGGTATTTTCCCTTGGAAAATTATGGTCTAGCAAGCTTTCTAAGCAGTGTGACTTCAGTAATCTATACGGATGGAAAATACATGTTGTATTTTTATGTTACTGCCTTCTCACATTTGCCTCCTTCAGACTTGGAAGTTATCTAGTTAGGTGGTAGAGACGATGTGAGGCCAATTTGTACTTAGTTCCTTATGATTCTACCTGCTTCCATAAAAGGCTAAATGTAGAGTTCACTTATAAAGTGAACAGGTAGATCTAATCAGTCTAGTAAGTCCAAAAATCAAAAAATTCACATATTCATTTCAACTTTTTTTGAGTCCCTGGAGAAATTTATTGAATCCAGTATTCTGCTTTTCTAGAATTTATATATTTTATTTTATTATTTTTTTAGAGACAGGGTCTTGCTCAGTCACCCAGGCTGGAGTGCAATGGTGTGATCATAGCTCACTGTAACCTTGAACTCCTAGGCTCAAGCGATCCTCCCACCTCAGGCTCCAGAGTAGCTAGAACTACAGATGTGCATCATCACACTCAGCTAATTTTTTTTTTTTTTTTTTTTTTTTGTAGAGACAAGGTCTGCTATGTTGCCCAGGCTGGTCTTGAACTCCTGGCCTCAAGCAGTCCTCCCAACTTGGGAGGACTGGGAGGTATGAGCTACTCACAAAGTACTGGGATTACAGGTGTGAGCTACTATGCCTGGCCAGAATTTATATATTTTATGTTTTAGAGGGCATTTCTAGACTGATTTTAATGTACCATCTCATTTTAAAAACTGTGTATGTATGCGTGTGTGTGTGTGTGGGAGGTTGTGTATGAGAGAGACAGAGTTTCACCCTGTTGTGCAGGCTGGAATGCAGTGGGTTCCTGGGTTCAAGCAATTCTATGCCTCAGCCTCCTGAGCAGCTGGGATTACAGGTGCCTGCCACTGCGCCCGGCTGATTTTTTGTATTTTAGTAGAGATGGGGTTTCACCATGTTGACTAGGCTGGTCTCGAACATCTGAGCTCAGACAATCTGCCCACCTCAGCCTCCCAAAGTGCTAGGATTACAGGGGTGAGCCACTGCGCCTGGCCCATCTTTATTAAAATATAATTCACATACCATAAAATTTACCCATTCAAAGTACACAATTCAATGATATTTAGTATATCCAACAGAGTTGTGCAACCATCACTACATCAAATTCCAGAAAATTTTCATTGCTCCCAAAAATGTCGAGCCCATGAGCAGCAGTCACTCTCTATCCCCACCACCTCCACCCCCCACCCAGGCAACCATGAATCTACTGTTTCAATAGTTTTGTCCATTCTGGACGTTTCATATGAATGAAATCATACAATATGCAGTGTTTTGTGTCTGGCTTCTCTCACTTAGCATAATGTTTTCAAGGTTTTTCTATGTTGTAACATAAATCAGTACTTCATTTTTATGGCTTTATTCATTTTCAATTTTTATGATATTCCATTGTATGGATATACCACATTTTCGTTTATGAAGACATTTGGATGTTTGCCATCTTCTGCTACTATGAACATTCATGTGCAAGTTTTTGTGTGGGCTTAGGTTTTTAATTCTCTTGGGTATATACCTAGGAATGGAATTGCTGAGTCAAATGCTAACTCTGTGTTTAACATTTTAAGGAACTGACAAGTGGTTTTCCAAAGTAGCTGCACCATTTCACGTGCCCACCAGCAGTGGATGAGGGTCTCAATTTCTCCACATCCTTGCAAAAAACTTGGTTTTGTCTGTCTTTTTTTATTATAACCATCTTAAGAGTGTAAACTAGTGTTTCATTATAGTTTTGATTTGCATTTCCCTGATGACTAATGATGTTGAGCATATTTTCATGTGCTTATTGGCCATCTGTATATCCTCTTTGGAGAAGTGTCTATTCAAGTTATTTTCTTACTTTTTAAATTGGGTTATTTGTTTTTATTCTTGAGTGTTGAAAGTTTCTTATGTATTCTGGACATAAGTCTCTTCTCAGATATATGATTTGCAAATATTTCCTCCCAGTTCTGCCAGTTGTCCTTCGTTTTCTTAATGATATTATTTGCAGCATGAACGTTTTTAATTTTGATGAGGTCCATTTTATCTCTGTTTTTCTTTTGTTGCTTGTGAGCCCTATCACATTTTCCATAAATCCAAAAATTAAGTAAAAAATGCAGACTTGTTTAATATTAAAAGGAAAGTCTGTCTCATATTCACATAGTGCTATTTAATTTTCAGAGATATAAAGCCTGTGAAACCAAATTTATTGAATAATACCTCAGTGGAGTGGACCCTTCTGACTCCCGTATTTGCTGTAGCATTCTTTATATGTCTGATGGCAAAGAATATTTATATGTCAACTTTTTAAATGACTTACAGTGAATGTGACCAGCAATGGGCCTACAACTAATGGCTGGATCACTTTCCTCATTGCCATACACACCGTGAGCAATTTTATATATATATATATATCCCATGGCTGGGGGACAATGAAATATAAATAAGAATTAGACTTTTTTTAGCCCTTGAAAACTCAGTGAGAATTGGAGACATTGGGAGTACCAAATCTATATGTTACACAAACAGGGAACAGATCACTTTAATAAGGTAAAAACAACATATTACTATACCCAGAGAAATCTTCTCTTGAAGGTCTAGATCTTGTTAAGCTCAGAGGCTAGACAGCAGTATTGTTAACCTGACCATTTAAGCAGGACAGACTCAGAAGTAGCTGGATGCAGCCAGCCCTGGAACTTGGTTCTTTCTCAGCTACAAAGAGGAACTTATTCCAACAGGCTCTCTGGCCATACCTGCTGTTACACCCGCTCTGGCCAGTAAGCACCCTTCTGTTTATTTTGTAATTCCACATGGCCTTTACAAATCCTCAAACCCGTACACCTGAATGGCTCCTGCTGCTTTCCCCCGCCCCATATGGGAGCTGTTCCAGCTCACACCCTCAAGGCCAGGGCCTCTGCACCTCCCTTTTTAGCCCTCAAGCTTCAGGCTACCCTTTTTGCTTTTTTGACCCAGCTTTCTCCAAGGCCTGGGATTCAAAAGACCAGACTCAAAAGGGCTCTTGTTTTATTATCATCTCCCTGTCGCATAGCTGCATATGTTAATATAGCCACGAAAATTTGTATTGGCTTGTGTTCCCAGAAACCAGGCAAGAACTCTGACAGGAATTTAATGTGCTCCACCTTCATCGTAGATTCCTTTTCTGTTGGACTGCTTCAGGACTAGGGCAGGGAGGGGTCTGGACGCAGCAGGGAGTGGGTAGGGCTGCAGGGTGGTGGATCTGGGGTGGGGGCGTGCTGAAGGGGCTCTAGATCTTCCTTTACAAATATGGAGCAAAAGAATTAAGAATGACGCCTAGGCCTTCCTCTTGGATTCCTGCATCTCTTTCTGTTTCTGGTATAAATGACTACAGATGTTACCTAATCGGTAACACATACTTGGGGCACAAACGGAGAGGCCGCTGGTAAATACGATTTGATGATGACGACTCTGAGAAGACGCTTTATTTTCCGAGGGATCCAGTTGCAGTGTGGTTGCAAATATTTGAGTAACCAGTCAATCTGCTCAATTTTTCACTCATAGGACAAGTTTTCCTGATGGATAGAAGGTATGTACCTTGCACCATTCTAGGTTTTTGAGGTTCCTCCCAGCGGCCTTTTGGCTATATGTTAATACAGTTATAGTCTTGTGAGGGAGAGCTTAATCATTATTTTCCTTAAAGAGATATCAAAAGCATTCTCATTCCACAGTGGTTTTTCTTCTCATCACCATATTAACCTTTCACCTTTAACATATTCATGTCAAAGAAGGGGAATATTTGCATGCATAATTAAATCGCATGAATATGGTGCCCATCTGGATACATGCTGGTCTCATAGACCTACCCCTTGAGAAGGGAATCCTCATTGCTAAGTAGCTTGTCTGCTGCCAAGAGGCCGGGTCACCCACTGGGCAAGGGCTCTACTGCGTGGTGGGGCAGGGGCTACTCAGCGCATCTGTGCACCGCACTGGAAGATGCATATAGTCTGAGAGTGATGGACCCTTTCCATTGGGCAGGGGAGTGTCCATATTAGCCCAAGAATAGAAATTTCACAAAGAGAATTGTTTTTCTCTTATGGCTTTTAGGATTCTTACAGAAAGACAAATGATTTAAAAGTGTTTCCCCGCTATCAAGCTGTAAGGGCCTGTGGTATTCTTTCTGAAGGGATCTTTGTCTTCCCTTCTAATAATTCTTTTCTTTACTCCACCCATGTATGCGTTTTTCCCATTTTAAGCCATCCTGAGTTTGTGCTGTGAGTTGATTTACTTCCTTTTTTCTAACTACGGGATAGCAGCTGGATTCAAGCACATTTCCTGGTTTCCTGTGGCTTGCCATATGCTTGTATCACTTATCTCCACAGCTGGAGAGAGGAGGGAAGGTTATAGAATTTATGTGCGACCCATCACATTTTATCTTAGGTACAAAATCAGATGGCGAGGGTCACTGTTTAAAGAATAAATTATGAACTTGTTTCTTTACTTCCTACTACTACCATCCTTTTCCCCATAAACCCACCCTTGCCCTAAACATATGTACACACTTCCCCTATTTTTGCTACCAGAAATTCTTCCTGCTATTTTGAGGTAGAGGGCGTTTATGGGGACAGCCTTACAGAGCTCCCTGTGGTCCACATGCGTGTTTCCAAAGGTGCATTAAGAGCCCCTCCCCTCAAGAGGAAAAGAGGCCCTCAACAGAACCAAGGATTACTGAGAAGAAGAGGTGAAATTGCACTGATTTGTGGACCTGATTATATGAGTGGGATCTCTTGCCTCTGCACATTCAAATATTGGTAAGAACTTTCACTTGGAAATCAGCCATGTTTATTTAGCCATCATATCGGGTAATATGTAAGTAATACTTTTTTTAGAACTTTTTTTCCAAAGAGCTGTGAAGAAGAAAGAAGAAAGCTGGGGAGTAGGAAGACAGTTTCATCAGGACAGAATTACACGTTTAATCAGGACAAATCTTTTCAATTACTCCTGCTAGATCCCACTACATTTGCACCCTGTTTATCCTATCATACTGTTTAAAATATTTTCTTCCAAAGCATTGTTCATACTAGAAAGCTGTTCCTGCCTGACGTTCAGCTCTCCTGGAGACACCCAGGACTGGGGTATCAGTCCTGTGTGTAACTGTGAGTGTTCAGTGACTAGGGTCTCGCTATCCAGTGTAAGGGTTGCGTCCTCTTCCCCCTGCCATCTGGTTGGCTGTTTCTGGCTCTTCAGCACCTGCTCTAGAGAGGACGCGAGAACCAGAGAGAGGAAGGGAAATTAAAATGAGTCGCTTACACTACTTGTAAGTAGCTTTGATTTAAAAAGCATTTGGAAAAGAAGGTTGAAACACAGCCAAAATACATCAGGGGAATATCCATGCACTCTGTATCTCCAGAAACTATGGGGAAGTGAGAGCCCGGAGGGAACATTATCTACTAGTGGGAGGTCCCACCCCACAGTCCAACGACTCCCACAGGCATGGGACTAGGGACCGTACCCTATCAAAAACAGGGACTCACTTATTATTGGCTGTTGCGAAGATTTCTTGGGGGTTTAAATGAACCCTATATTACTCCTCCTATCTTTCCATTTCTTCTTTGTGACCTCCTTCCTTTTTGTTTTATTTCACTTATTCTTTCATTCAGCAGATATTTATTGAGCTGCTACCATTTTCCAAGCCCTGTTTGGGCACTAAGGATACAAAAGTGAATAAGGACCTCACCTGCATGGAGCCTACGTTCCCTTCCTACCCCATCTATTGCTACCATATCTTACTCCTGGTATTGCCTGGGTTCTGGTCTCTGTTATTATCTGATTCTCCACTCTCTGCATGTTTATCAGCCCTTCCCTGCCTGCTGGGAACATTGACCAACAAGAGTGAAGTAGTCACGGCTTTTCAGCAGCGATATCCTTGCAACAGATTCATTATTATTTATATTAGCAATATTTGTAGATTAATATTACTAGTATCTACTAGTGTTATATACTAGTGCATATTAGTAATATGTAGCACCACATAAGAAAAGCATGTTAAACTTGTCTGCATATACTGAACCCCTTTGACCCTCTGGACATGGAAAATACTTGAAAAATTGACAAACTCTCAGTTATTAAAATAAAACTTCTTTTGCTCCTTTCCCTCCTTGGGCATTAAGGAATCCCTCTGTGCATAAAGCAATGGCCAACCCATCAGTTGACAGAGATGGCCTTTGCTTTTTGGTAATTTTTTATGGTAGCAGGGATTCTACTGAATCTTTCAGGAGTTATATATTTTTTCATCATTTTTCCTTTTTTTTTTTTTTTTGAGACAGGGTCTCTCTGTGTCACCCAGGCTGGAGTGTAGTGGCACAATTACAACTCACTACAGCCACAAACTCCTGGCCTCAAGCTATCCTCCCACCTCAGCCTCCCAAGTAGCTGGGACTACAGGCATGTGCCACCAAGCCCAGCTAATTTTTTGATTTTTATCTTTTGTAGAGACTGGATCTCGCTATGTTACCCACCCAGGCTGTTCTTGAACTCCTAACCTCAAGCAGTCCTCCCACTTTGCCCTCCCAAAGCACTGGGATTACAGGTGTGAACTACTGTGCTGGCCAGAATTTGTATATTTTAGATTTTTATGTTTTAGAGGGGATTTCTAGGCTGACTTTAATGTACCGTCTCATTTTGAAAAACATCTTTATTAAAAGTGATCCTCCTGCCTCAGCCTCCCAAAGGGCTGGGATTATAGGCATGTACCATTGCCAGGAATCCTGTTTAGAAGCCACATGTGCACACACACACACACACACACACACACACACACACACACTCACACATGCACACACATCAGCACTCTGGTTCATGGAAGGATATATAAAGGCCTATTATTCACAACATATAAGGATGGACAGGGCTTAGATTTATTAAATGGCAAAGGATAATAATGTTAAATAGCTTTAAGGTTAGATCAGATACTTTAATTGACCCTTTCCATTTTTTTCTTTTTTCTGCCTTTTTAATATGAGACAGGAAAAGTATATTCTGGACATTAGATGAAAAATAGGTTAATTTTTTTTAAATGAGATCATTTGGAATGTTACCAAATGGCATATATATAGTTCAAATGCACCTCTTTAGCTAATTTCTAGTGAAATTATTAAATGAAAAGAAAACAAGATGATTGGGAGAGGTTTTACATTTAACACCAGGACACTCAAAGTTCAACAGATAATGACTGAGCCACCCGACATCATCTGCTGGGCTGCCAAAGCTAATCTCTCTGAGCTCCCAGCGACTGAAGGATTTTAATTTTGATTTTGATTTGGACAAAAGTGAAATTGAGTGCAGAATTTGTTATGTTTGAGGGACATATTCTGATATCTGGTCACCAGAATCAAGTTGAAAACTCATACTGCAGGTGTGGGCATACTGTTGTGGCCAGTCTGACAACATTTGCAGATATCCAACTGAGTTAGCTCAGTCGAGGACCTGTTGCATTGATAACTGGTGTAGAGGACACAAGACTAATTTAAAAATCTACGTAAGAGTAAAGCAACAAGCGCTTTGATCTTGTAGAAAATGATATGTTTCATGTACCCCAGAAAGAAATTCCAAGTCTCACTAACTCTTTTTTACCTGTAGAGTTTGAGCTCAGCATTTTTAAGACATGTTTGTTCTTTGCAAATTCAAAAAGTTAGCAAAATAGAATACCTGGTGCTTCTCAGGTGTTTTTCTAAAATTGACTCTAAGTTGATCCCCTGCTCACCTCTGTCTACTTAATTATGAATTCTAATTTGCATAGCTAATTCTAAAGACATTTGTTAATTTTCCTTCCTAAATTTCCAGGTATTATACTGATATAGAGGGAAAATGTTGGTTACTTTATGATTTTGATGATAAAATTCAAGAAATCAATTCTGATAAAATACCTTTGAAATTGTTTTAAGAATAAGAGTGTGTGTGTGTGTGTGTGTGTGTGCGTGCGCGTGCGCGCGCATGAGCGAGAAAGAAGGAGGAGGCATACAGAAAATCCTAGTTCTATCATTTTAAACAAAATTCTTCTAATGTTTAGGCTGCTGTAAAGATTGGTGTAACCACCAGAAAAGAGTATTTAATTCAATTAATTAATGAATTAATTAAAGAATTAATTTGCCACAGATTTTTTATCATCTTCATCATAGACATTGGCTTGGTCTCGTGGTTTGCTCAGTTTTCCCTGCACTATTCTGAGTGAAATGGGGTGTGTGTGTGTGTGTGTGTGTGTGTGTGTGTGTGTGTGTGTATGTGTGTACTGGAGGTCATTGTATGGTTTTCTGTTGAAAGCTACCATTCTTGAAGTTTCTTATATATTGAGGATAACTAAAGGAAAATGTGCCCACTACTGTTTTCTTTTATGAAGAAAGAGTCCCCTCTTTTTCCCCAGGAACAGATGGCCAGTTTGTCGAGGAGGGAGAGCAGGCCTGGGAGCAGGCTTGCATCGCCTCTCTCTGGGGTGTGGCAGCACCCATGGGCAAGCCCCAGTATTGGAGTTCACTCCTCAGAGCAGGAATGGGGAGCTTTTCCCCACCAAGGGCCACACTGTAGATAAAAATGAATTTTAATATATTACTTCCCATGGAGAAGAAGCATATAATAAGCCGATCCTTTATAGAACATAAAACTTGTCTTGGCTGGAGACACGGTGGCTCATGCCTGTAATCCCAGCACTTTGGGGGACCGAGAGGACAGATCACGTGAGGTCAGGAGTTTGAGACCAGCCTGACCAACATGGAGAAAACCTGTCTCTACTAAAAATACAAAAAATTAGCCGTGCATGGTGGCGCAAGACTGTAATCCCAGCTACTCGGGAGCCTGAGGCAGGAGAATTGCTTGAACCCAGGAAGTGGAGGTTGTAGTGAGCCAAGCTTGCGCCATTGCACTCCAGCCTGGGCAAGAAGAAAGAAATTCTGTCTCAAAAAAAAAAAAAATAAAGCTTGTCTCAATCGACTTGTGATTCTGTTTTGTGATACAGGGGGAGACACAGTGTAGGGTAAAAAAGCCAAAAGAGAGAATAACATTCAGCATCTAAGCATTGGGTTCTTAATTCTCATAACAAGGATGGAGATACAAGGTATCTCCATTGCACTGGGTACCTAGCTCCAGTCATAGGGTGAGGGGATGGCTTCAGGGCCCGAGGCTGCTTCACTTCCACATTGCTTCTCTCTAAGAAGGAGAAGCCAAACATGTAATTTCAGACTTCTGTGGAATAAACATTTCCTTTTCTGCTCCATCCTTGGCCTCCACTCCAGTAGATCTGGGGCTTAGCCATTCTCTGAGCAACCAAGAAAACCCAGCCCAATTCTTCATTCCATTGTGGTTTTGGAAGGGCAAAAAGAGAAGCAAAGGGAGCAGGCATCTTGCCTTTATCAGATGCCAGCGGGTGCCAGTCCCAAGATAAAGATGTTACCATGGGATCTCATTTCTGTGTCCTGATCATTTGTTTCACTTCATTGGTCCTTTTGGTCTGCATTCTTGTTCACAAAGTTTTAAGTAATGATCAATCCTAAGACCTGCAGGAATCAAATTTCATATGTGGAGGGTGTTTGCCCATCCAAGACCTTTGTATCTTTGAGGTTCATAAGTTGGAGACGAAAGATTTTTGATTTATCCCATTGAAAAGCCTATCACTCTAGAAAGTGAATGGTGTCAGCATGGCATAGTTGGCAGTGCTTTTAGAGGCTCTTTTAAGCTTCTTGTTCTACAATACTAGTTCCAAATCATGATAGCATGCAGTCGAGAGGGAATGACCAATTGATATTGTTTATATCAGTGCCATTTCCAGTGTTCCATCCTTTCATATTTTGTTGTAATCTGTAGCATGTATGAGTGTTCGCAGCAGATTGAGGGCCCAGGAAGGGAGGATAACATTACACACCACCGTGTGCCACACCTCAGGTGATGTATGGGGCAAACATAGCATTAAGCTTGCTCAACGCGCCATGCCCTGTGCTCTCTTGAGGATATCCGAAAGATGAACAAGAACTAAGCACTCCCCTGAGAGCTCAGTGCAGAGGGGAAATGAATCTACACAAAATAATTGCTGTGTAAGGCATCACAATATTTATAAGGTACAAACACTCTAGATATAGAAAAGATGAGGGAGAGAGTGCCACTCGAGGAAGATACAGGAAGGCTGCTCACAGAGGGGACATCCGAATAGGGTTTTGAAGTTTGAATAGGGTTTTATCAGGATATTTGGGAAGGAAAGAGCACATAACAAAAGATAAGACAAGGAGCAGCATGCTCTGTTGAAGCAACTGGAATATTTCAGTATTGCAGGAGCACAAAGTCACATGGAGGAGTGCTCAGAGATGAAGTAGGGAGGGTGGGGCTGAGGCTTTCTGTGGGACAGAGAAGGAATCGTTGTGCAGGTGGAAGAACCCAAGGGCAAGAAGGCAGAGCGCAGGAAGCTCACGTGGCACCTGCAGAGCCTCCTGCTTCTCTCCTGGCTTCCATGCCACCACACCAGGTGGGACTATTCCCTCTCTATCTCTTTTCCTTGCTCTTTTCTTCCTCCTCCTCTTAAGGGTAGGTAACAACAGTTCCACCCCATCCACTGCCCTCTGCTTGCTCTCTTTTGCAGACCTCACTCTGTCCCATGAATTCAGATGACTTCCCATCTCCATGTCACAAATGTCCTTCCCTTCCCACCTGTAAGCCATCACAACCTCCACTTCCTGTGGGAAACTTGAATACTTAGGCAACACAGAACTTCTTCTCCTGAATTTCTCCTCAGCCCAACTTTGGTAGTTTCCTTACTCCTAGTGAGGAAGACTTCCAAACTCCTAGTGAGGAAGACTTCCAAACTCCTAGTTTGGAAGATAAAAAATATTATCTTCCAAACCTTAGAGACTTACAGTTCATAGGATTTTCATCTCACCTGCCTCTCATCCAGTTCCTGTATAAATTTCATCCATAATTTCTCTCACATTTGTTTCTTCATTTTTTTTTAATTGAGACTTTTTTTTTTAATTGCTCTGTTGCCCATGCCGGAGTGTAATGGTGCAATCAGGGCTTACTGCAGCCTCGACCTCCCAGGCTCAGATGATCCTCCCACCTCATCTTCCCAAATAGCTGGGACTACAAGCATGTGCCACCACACTCAGCTAATTTTGTACTTTTTTATGATATAGGGTTTTGCCATGTTGGCCAGGCTGGTCTCCAAACTGCTGGGTTCATGCAATCCATACACCTCAGCCTCCTGAAGTACTGGGATTACAGACCCAGCCTCTTTTCATTCTTAATTCAGACTACAGTCAGCCACCAAGTCCTTCCCATTCAACCTCTGAAATATCTTGTAGTTTTTTTTTGTTTTTTTGTGGGTTGTTTGTTTGTTTGTTTGTTTTGAGACAGAGTCTCCTTCTATTGCCCAGGCTGGAGTGAAGTAGCACAATGATAGCTCCTTGCAGCCTTGAACTCCCTGGCTCAATAGATCCTCCCACCTC
This sequence comes from Homo sapiens, assembly GCF_000001405.40. Taxonomy (NCBI): domain Eukaryota; kingdom Metazoa; phylum Chordata; class Mammalia; order Primates; family Hominidae; genus Homo; species Homo sapiens. Next base: position 145,853,480 of record NC_000004.12, on the reverse strand, counting down.
AGCCTCCTGAGTGGCTGAGACTATAGGCACACCACCACACCAACAGCAACGATATATAGACCACCTGGGATAAAATGACTATTTGTCCTATTATTTTGGGAAGAGATTCTAAAAGGATTCACGTTGTGTGTGTACAGGAAAGAGTAAAATCCTGTGTGTGTAGACATGTCCCTGGGTATGGGAGACAAAGCTAAGAGATAGTAGAAATGATTAATTCAACCGTTGTTATGTTAGAACACCCCAGGCAAAAAGAAGAGAGCTGGCCTGGGGACCAAATGAGGTATGTAACAGAAACCAGTGTTGCCAGGTCAGCCTGTCCAGGAACCTGGCTGAGGTGGCGATTGATACCAGGCCTAGGCTAGAAATGAAAGGAGCTTTTTCTTTCTTCTTTGTCTTGTGTGGTGATTGAACTTTCTTTGGAGCAAAAACTAGAATGCGGCAAAAACTTTAGAGCCGTGGTTTTCAACCAGGATGGTTTTGCCCTTCCCTCCCCTGAGAAAATTTGGCAACATCTGCAGTCATGTTTGGTTGTTAAAACTAGAGGATGGAGCCCAGGATGGTGGCTTGTGCAGGTAGCCCCAGCTTCTCAGGAGGCTGAGGCAGGAGGGTTGCTTGAGGCCAGGAATTTGAGACTGCAGTGTGCTATATGACCACACCTGTGAATAGCCACTGCACTCCAGCCTGGGCAACGTAGTGAGACCTACGTTTCTTAAAAAATAAATAAATAAAAGTTAGAGGATAATGCTACTGGTATCTAGTGGGTAGAGAGACCAAGGATGTTGCTAAACATCCTGCAATGTGCAATATAGTCCCCCACAACAAAGATTATCCAGCCCCAAATGTCAGTAGTACCGAGGTTGAGAAATCCTGCTTGAAAAGAAAAGCCAAAAAAAACACTTGGCAATAATGCTATTGCATGGAAGAGAAGGGACTGTGATATTTACTGTATTATTTGTCCAGTGTTTCACTTGTCCATTGAGATGTTAGTTTGAAAACTCCTCTCCCTGAGTCTGGAATCTGTCAAGTAAATTAAGAAGGTCAAAGGCTTTTTATCAGTGATCAGTGTTTTGTGCATTCTTGAAAGGGCAAGGGTTGTCATAAGAAAGAGCAGAAAGCACTTCATGTAAATCATACTTGATGTGATCCCAGGAAGCTTTTAAAAACTAATTTCATTAAATTTAGTGGTGCAAATAGCCAGGTGATTTTTTATTCCATGGTCAAAGCTAGGGAAATGAGGCAGGGTGGTATGAGGTGTGAGGAGAAGATAAATAACAGAGCTTCTTTCTGGCTTTGCTTTTTATAGTGTCAAGTTTTTTTAAATGAAGTGAATCCCTTTGTATTTGTCCTAGTATTCTTTTGTGTTTGTCCCCAGGCCTTACAATGACTTCCCAGTGCAAGATTCAGACGCATCATTATGTACCTATGACACTGACCCCACTGTTTATTTTCCAAATATTAGGTACTTTGGGGAAGCATGATGAGGGAAGCTGTGTTGTGACTGCCCATGAGGGTGGCTGATCTGGCTGGAGGTCAGGATGGCTGTGAGGTCACCAGATCCCTAAGGGGCTTGAGGGAGGAAGATCAGTTCTCCAGGAAGAATCAGATGAACTGGAAGTAAAGGCAGAGAAGCTAAGCGTGTATCTTGGACAGCTTTCTTCTTCTTCTCTTTTTTTATTTAAAAAAATTTTTTTATCATGACTGACTGATTCAGTGAACTTGATTTTTATGAGCTGCTTTGCAGACATGAAGAGAAAAAACAGCTTGGCAGGAGTAGGGAAAGGGGGGAGGGATCTAAAGTAAATACCACACTTGCCTGCAGTTTAGTTGTTGACAAAAAACAGTTTTCCCTGAGAAGCATGTGTAATATGTCAGGAAGAAAAAAGAGCAATTAACACTCTTCTTACATAAGATCTTATTGATAGCACTGTATTAATTTTAATCATTTAGGTTAAAATGCTCTTCTTTTTTTTAACTACCGGTCAATAAACTATATACGTGTATTTGACGTTCACCCATGTCATGCTTTCCAGGGAAAGCATAGCTTTTTGGCCCTCCCAGCTTCTAACAATGAGGTTTCCCTGATGACATCTCCTGACTGTCCCACAGATCAGCACTTCCTTTACACTGCTTCTTGCTGTTTGTTTTATCTGTGTACCTGTGTGTCTGTCTGCCTGTCTGTCTGTCTATCTATCTATCTATCTATCTATCTGAAGTTTCCTAGGTCTGCTGTAGCAAGTTACCACAAAGTTGGAAGCTTGAAACAACAGATATTTATTCTCTCATGGTTCTGGAGGCTAGAAGTCTGAAATCAAAATGTTGGTCTGGCTGCACTCCTTCCAGAGGCTCTAGGGGAAAATCCTGGCTTGCCTCTTGCAGCTTCCAGTGGCTGCAGGGACTCCTTGGTTTGTGGCTGCATCACTCCAGTCTCTGTCTGTTTTCACATGGCCTTTTCCACTGTTTCTATGTCTTGTCCTCTTCTGTGTCTTATTAGGACACTTGTCATTGGATTTGGGACCCACCTAGATAATCCAGGATGATTTCTTCTTGAGATTCTTGACTTAATCACATCTGCAAGGACCTTTTTTTCCCAAATAAAGTCACATTCGCATTCACAAGTTCCCATGATTAGGATGTAGATGTTTCTTTTGGGGGACCACAATTCAACCCACTACTCTATCTGTCTGTCTATCATCTATCTGTTCAACTATCAAAATCCTCTTTGTTTTTTGTTTCCCAGTGTGCTGAGTACACAGTAGTTCCTAATTATTATTATTAATTTGAAAGTGTGGCCTTATTTTATAGCGACCCAAGTTATTTTCTGGGCTAATTGTCCCACCTTGTTTCAAAGATGTTTTATCATTAACTCTAAGCAATAGATGGACATAGACACTCCACCCTTACAAAACAAATATGTGTTTCAGACTAAAGACCCAGCATCTAATAGCCACACCTAAATGACACACAGTAAATTGTACCATTATTATAACTTGTAAGATTGCTGTTTTTCTGGGTGTTGCTCCTTGGGCTGCAGTTAACTTCCTGCGTGGTCTTCCATACACCTCCAGCAAGGTGCAAATGTCTCCGTTGAATTGACCCTATTTATCCTTGATTAATGTATGTGCCCTAGAAGAGAGAAAAGCAATTGGTCAGAGCTTTAAAAATAGAGGGAGAGGCCGGGCGCAGTGGCTCATGCCTGTAATCCCAGCACTTTTGGAGGCCGAAGTGGGCACATCACCTGAGGTCAGGAGTTGAAGACCAGCCTGGTCAACATGGGGAAACCCTGTCTCTACTAAAAATACAAAAATTAGCCGAATATTGTGGCAGGTGCCTGTAGTCCCAGCTACTCGGGAGGCTGAGGCAGGAGAATCTCTTAAACCTGGGAGGTGGAGATTGCAGTGAGCCCACATCGCACCATTGCACTCCAGCCTGGGCAACAAGAGTGAAACTACTTCTCAGGAAAAAAAAAAAAATAGAGGGAGAAAACCATAATATTAAGATGCTTGCTCTTATTTGATTCACTGAATTGAATAAGTTCTAAAGCAAGAACAAACACTTACCGTGTCCTCTCTCAGTTCTGGAAACAGTGTGGTAGAGAGGAAGGGGCACATGTGGTTGGTGAGAGACCTTGGTCAAGAAACATAGGCTCCAGCTTGCAGGCCAAGGCCTGGCCCTGCTACCATCTGTGATCTCGAACAAGCCTCTGAGTCTCTCTGGGCTAAAAAAAACTGAAGTCTCCTACCTTTTCTGGTATTAGATGATTGAGCCAATGGTTTTCAAACTATGGTCCAGTGTGCCGTGCACGCTCATTTTTCTCTTCCCTGCCACAATCTTTATGGTTTTCTCTGTGATTAGAAACTGGGTCTAGCTTGGAATTAAGAAATGGTGGTGTTTTTGTTTCTCTTCATTCACCTACTTGCAGCGGAAAGCTACAAGGAAACACAGATGGTGAAGATTAAAGAGGAACCCATGGAGGTTGACATCCAGGACTCCCATGTCTCGATATCACCCAGCCGGAATGTTGGCTACAGCACTTTAATCGGGCGAGAGAAAACCGAACCCTTACAGAAGATGCCAGAGGGCAGAGTACCCCCAGAGAGAAACCTCTTCAGTCAGGATATCTCTGTGAAAATGGCTTCCGAGCTCCTCTTTCAACTGTCAGGTATGTTTATGCACAGGAAAATGTCAATTATTGGAAATCATTGAAGGAAAACCCTTCTAACACAGTTTTTTTTAAAAAAAAAAACCTGAATTATAGGATTTTTTAGACAGAAATCAATTTTGTTGCTTTAACATGCATACTGCCACCCAAACTAACAGTTAATAAAGTGTTGCCAAGTAGAATTCCTGCCAAACTTTCCTTAATAAATAGTTAAGAATCACTTGAAATTAAAACTCTATTCAATTCTGCGCAAATGATTCCTGTTGACTGGGCTAAACACCTCACCTCTAATTTTGCTTAGGCAGTTGATCTGATTAACAGGCTTTTTTTTAATGTGCAAAAGATAAATTTCAATTTATTCCAACAGTGACTGAATTACTATGACTTCCAAATTAGTGTGGTCTGAATTAATGAGGTTTTATTGTATCTTGCCAAAACAAAAACAAAACAAAGAAGGGAAAAGCAAAAGATGAAGGTATGAGGACTATTTCCAGCTATAGCCTTAGCAGAACAGTTTCGGTAAACCAACTTTTTGTACTGCACATACTTACAATTGAAAAGTGCAGTAATTACCAGCTCAGTGAGGTGTCTGGATGAAATAGTTAAGGATCCCAGTACCTAAGTTGTTCCTTCTGTCATCTCTTTCAAGCCGCATAGCATTTGTCCCTAGCAAATTTAATATGCTTCTATTTTTTTGCACATGATTGAGGTTGATGGTATATACATATATAAGATTCGGATAGAAATACATACAAATACCTTGTCCAAAGTCAAGCACTGGCCTACAATATTAAAGTTTATCCATCAATAAAGCCTGTTACTAATGTTCAACAAACTCTGTTTTGTTATGGATAACACATTTAGAGCATCCATTTAATTCTCTCTTAAGGAAGATACCAGGAAAGAGAAAAAAAGCTAAAATCTGTCTGTCGCCATAATAGTTCACCTTCTCATTGACCTGGCAACACAGCCCATAGCTGTGTAATTATCAGATGGTGCTGAAAATGGTGGCCTCCAGGTCCTCAAACAGGGATGGTATTTGTGCAGATCTCTGCAGTAGCCGAAATCACTAATTCTGTAAACTTAATAGGACACACAGATCTTTGCAAGCTCCAAAACAGGCTACTTTTATTTATGTATTTTTTGAAGGATGAAGCTTATCTAAAAACAATATAACTTTAATAATGATTGAGGAGTTAAAATTTGCAAAAGTGTGACCTGCGTGGTTCTTTTCAGAAAGTCTCTCTAAACCGTATGCTGTCGCAGTCTCCTATCAGCTAAAAAGTTTGGGTCTGAGAGTTCTCACCCTGGCGCTGTCACTGCCTGGGTGACCTCAGACAAGTCATTTAGCCCCGATTTCCTGCTCTCTGAAAGAGTACTGGCTGTGAATCCAAATTCACGCTCATTGTCATTGTTGAGTGGACAGAAAGGAATTGTCCATGCACACATGCATGCAGTGGCTTCAGACTAGCAGTACAAAGTGTGAGACGGGTGTTGCAAATCTTTGTTTAAATTTTTCCAAAAATCCACAAGATTAAGAGATTTTTATTTGCCCTGCTGTTTAAATCTGAAACTCTTATACAGTTGGCCAGGTTTTTTCTAGATATTAAAAGAAGCCATTGACAGCTGTGACCGTCAGTGTAGGGTCCTCACATTTGAACTGCATTGGGAAGGCCAGAGTTCAACTTTTGTGTTCTTGAAAGCTCATTAAATAATTTCTGACAGCTGATAGATGTAGACCTCAAGCCACAGTAAGGGAGGGTCTACCTCTTCTTGTCTAAATGATATTTTTTTGTCCCTTATGACATTTATCAGAATAAGCACTGAATGACTGCAGCACGAAGAGGTCTTAGGCTGTTTTTATATCCCCTCTCACAAAGGGGCCTCACAATACAGAATGCTTAAAGGTTGTCATCAAAGTCAGAGGCGGAACAGTTGCAACAACTGCAGTTTTCATGCTGAATCAGAGGAAAGCAGAAATTTTCAGCTGGGGAAAGATACAGTGGAAATAACTGTCTCTGCCCATAACTCTATGTGTGTGTGCATGTGTATGTGTACGTATATATTTACCAAGGCCTCGTTCAAATCAGACCACATACTTGATATTTGATATTTGTTACTGTTTCCCTTTGATTGGTTTTACTTTTCTTTTTTTTTTTTATTTTTTTGAGACAGAGTTACACTCTGTCGCCCAGGCTGGAGTGCAGTGGCACAGTCTTGGCTCACTACACCCTCCACCTCCTAGGTTCAAGCAATTCTCCTGCCTCAGCCTCCCAAGTAGCTGGGACTACAGGCACGCGCCATCACGCCCTGCTAATTTTTGTATTTTTAGTAGAGACGGGTTTTCACCATGTTGGCCAGGCTGGTCTTGAACTCCTGACCTCAGGTGATCCACCTGCCTCGGCCTCCCAAAGTGCTGGGATTACAGGCATGAGCCACAGCACCTGGCCTGAGTGATGGTTGTTTTTTGTTGTTGTTGTTGTGTTTTTGTTTGTTTGTTTGTTTGAGACAGAGTCTTGCTCTGTTGCTCAGGCTGGAGTGTAGTGGCGCGATCTCGGCTCGCTGCAAGCTCCGCCTCCCGGGTTCACGCCATTCTCCTGCCTCAGCCTCCCAAGTAGCTGGGACTACAGGCACGCGCCATCATGCCCTGCTAATTTTTGTATTTTTAGTAGAGACGGGTTTTCACCATGTTGGCCAGGCTGGTCTTGAACTCCTGACCTCAGGTGATCCACCTGCCTCGGCCTCCCAAAGTGCTGGGATTACAGGCATGAGCCACAGCACCTGGCCTGAGTGATGGTTGTTTTTTGTTGTTGTTGTTGTGTTTTTTTGTTTGTTTGTTTGTTTGAGACAGAGTCTTGCTCTGTTGCTCAGGCTGGAGTGTAGTGGCGCGATCTCGGCTCGCTGCAAGCTCCGCCTCCCGGGTTCACGCCATTCTCCTGCCTCAGCCTCCCTAGTAGCTGGGACCATAGATGCCCACCACCATCCCTGGCTAATTTTTTGTATTTTTAGTAGAGACGGTGTTTCACTGTGTTAGCCAGGATAGTGTCGATCTCCTGACCTCCTAATCTGCCCGCCTCAGCCTCCCAAAGTGCTGGGATTACAGGCGTGAGCCACTGGATACTATCAACATGCTTTGGATGATTGTCTTTTCCAGTAAGATGGGGAGGATCTGGATGTTTAAAAAAGAAATCAAAAGAAAACCACAAAGGAAAAAGAGAGATGTTGAGGGTTTTTCTGCTTAAGGCTAAAAGATGCAAGTTGAGTGAGAACAACCTAAGAGGTGTATGTTTCATTCTTTCTCCTTACAGAAAAAGTGAGCAAAGAGCACAATCATACAAAAGAAAACACCATCCGGACCACGACCAGGTAGGCGACTTTGTGTGGGTTCCTCCAGAACACCCCGTGTGGGCCACCAGCCCGTACTACATGTTGAACGTTGCTCCCCAAACCTCTTTCTCCCACTGGGTTCAAAGGAGTCACACCCTTTACCACCATGTTCTACCAGAATTTCTTGGTTGGTAGAAACAATACAGACGTAAAGGAGGAAGACCACTAATATGTACTAAACATCTAATAGGTGTCACTTTGCTGGGAAATTTTCCATATGTTATTGTTTTGTATTCCTGACAATAATTTTGTGAAGTAGATGTTATTATCATCCTCTCTGCAGAAGTCTCCTGGCCTGAGAGTTGAGCCGGGTGGCTCAGCTGGGACTGGGGGCTGGGTCTGTATCTCACGAAGGCCTCTTTCTGTCTTATTGCAACCCTGCTCCTGACTGCCTCCATGACTATAGGCTGATAATTTGTCACCAAGGATATCCCAAATTTTTTTTAACCTCCCAGCGTTATTTGGAAGGCAAAGATTTTAAAGGCAGAAAAAAGATAATGCTTTTTAAAAATTGCAAGGAAATTTATATCATTCACCACTGTGGACAAGGAAGTTTTTTCACTTGCCAAAGGCAGTCTGAGGAGGTTAGCCAGTGTGGGCTGCCCACCGTCCATCTGCCGTTGTGAGAAGAGGAGGATCAGCCAGTGCTGCTGCTCCCATGGAGCTGCTTCCCATGAAGTCCACCCAAACCTGAAACGTTGTAGGTGAGAGCCAGCAGATGAAAACCCCACCACTGCAGAAAAGGAGCTCAGGGGAAATGCATTCTCCACCTTTGAAGGACCATTCTCCACTTTCAAACCTCCCTCCAATTTCTGAGTTAGCCCAAGATATGAGCTTTACAGGATGATCAAGAGCAATACACATTTTTAGGATGAACAACTAGGAACAGTAGAAACTAGCTGGGAGCTACCAAGCAGTCTTTAAATCAAGGAACTTTGCTTTCCTGAGCAAACAGAGAAAGATTCTTCCTGATGGGAACAGTTGCTGGGTTTTGTGTTTCTAATTCTTGCAACAAAAGGTACAAGATATTTTTCTTTTTGATGTCTTATTAATCGACCTCAGAGCATCATCAGGCCTGTGGACAGTACTCATTTAAACTTCAACCTGAGGTTTTAAAAAAATATTCCATTAATTGGAGTTTAGGAATGTCAAATTTCAAAGAGCAATTAAAACAGAGCCAGCTTGCCTCACACTGGGTTTATTTTATTTATTTATTTATTTATTTATTTATTTATTTATTTATTTATTTATTTATTTGAGACAGTCTCACTCTGTTTCCCAGGCTGGAGTGCAGTGGCCCAGTTTTGGCTCACTGCAGCCTCCACTTTGCAGGCTCAAGCCATCCTCCCACCTCAGCCTCCCGAGTAGCTGGAACTACAGGTATATGCCACCATCCTCTGCTAATTTTTGTATTTTTTGTAAAGACAGGGTTTCGCCATGTTGCCCAGGCTGGTCTCAAACTCCTGAGCTCAAGCGATCTGCCTGCCTCGGCCTTCCAAAGTGCTGGGATTACAGGGGTGAGCCACCGTGATTCGCTCACACTGGGTTTATATAGTTTTAGGGAGAGGAACCTCGTTCTAATAGAACAGAAGAGTGGTATGTATTAGTCTTGTGTCTGTATATAAGTATACAGAGAGAAAATGAGAGTAGGAAGATGGACTGCAGATTGTATTGGGAAATGGCTTTCGGGGGATGGAAAGGCTATTTTGTATATTAAGTTTGATGCCCAAATAGAAGATGTGAACTCCCATGGAATCCATCCTGCCCCCTCCTACATCTAACCTTTAAGCTATTTAGTGTATGTGCTTGTGTCTGTGGGTCTAAACACTGATGAAATTGGACAGATTAGTAGACCTTGAAAGACAGCAGACTAAACATAAAAAAATATTCATTTTAATTTGCTGCCATAGGATTCTTGAAGTGTTATAGGTTAAGTCCCCTAGAGATGGAGATTCTCGTGGAAGTGCTTTATTGAGGGAATGCTCTCAGAGGAACCTGCAAGGAGGTGATGGGGGCAGAAGACGGAGGAAAGAGAAGGAGAAGGAGCTGAGAGGAAGGATGTGGTTTTAGCTGGTTTCTAACTAACTTCAGCTGCATCCCCCAGGAAGGTTCACTAGCTTCAAGTAATCCCCTGCAGGGGATGTATAACCTCCCATGTTAGGGGGTTCCAATGGGGACAGCGGTTCTCACTTATAGTTATCAGGCAACACTTACGCAAACTCCGGGGTAGGTGCATTCGTGCCAGAGGGAGGATCTGGGCAGGACCCCACTAGCATGATCTATGGAGGTTTCTGAGGGCTCTTTAAGATTACATAATATTTATACAACAAAAAGATGTGCTGCAAGACCATATTATTTTATGCTCTTTAGGTGTTCTCTAGGAAGAGGTAAGAGGAGGCCCCAAGTTGGCCCCATACAAAGATTTTAATGTGCCTCAAGCCTAAACTGCCTTGGCTGGAGCTGAAGCATGATTATAGGATAGAAGAGAAAAAAAATTTTTTTAACCATTTGGCAAAAATGATGCAATCCTTAAATTCTCCTCTTTCTGGGAGATTATGAGTAAGAGGAAATCCGAATTAGATCTTTTGCCCAAAGCAAAGGAAGAGGTTCTTCCTGTGAGCTCCCGGCATGATATGGTGTTTAGAAATCAGTGTTAAAGAATTCTTGGCTTATAGTTCTACAAAGTCCTCGGTGTGGTTTTTTTTTTTTTCCTTTGAGTAGAGGCAGCTTACTTGATTAGCCTATCCATAAATAGATCTCTTTTTTACCTCTCGCCTTATTACTTCAGGTGGAATAGAATAAAATTTTTATGCCAAGAAATCCTCTTTAACCTGAGTTAACTGATATCAGGAACAGAAAAAAAAATGCCAATTTTCTTTCTTCTTTCCTGACTCCTGTTTTAGAAGGAACTCTTACTCTGCAGGTACAAGATCAGTGTGTGGATTATGCTTTAAGGTGTGATTTGTAATACATTTCAAAAAGATTTACATCAAACCTCTGAATTTCTGTATCTTCAGATTTTTAAGTACTAATGGAGTGTTTATTTAGTAATCATATCTTCTGTGTTTGATTTCCTAGAAGAAACTGATCATTCAGAAGGACGGTTCATGATTGGAATCAAGTTCAGAATTTTTCGCACTTTGAGAATAGCTAGGTATATTTAAGGTAGTTTCGTTTGTAAAGGGCAGGCCTGAGCACAGCACTGAGATCAAACCTTCCCTTGCCTTTCTCATGCTGATGAATGCCTACGCTCCTCCACTCCTTGCCATCTCCTGATCCTAGGATCTGGATATCCAAGGACATGAGGTAGGGAGAAGAGACACAAAACTGAAGAAAGGAGCTGACTCTATCCCTGCCTCTTATAAACCCACAGCTTCCCTCACAATTGTTTATCGTTATTTATCTCGATGCTCATTTCAACCACAAGACTAAGGAAAAGTGTAGCAGCCCAAGAGGAAACACTCTGTAGCTTGGCATTCCAATATGTGCTTGCCAGTGAGTCATGGGAGTGCTGATGCCCGTGTCCTGCACCAAGAGAACACGAAGTCCACGGATGTGTGCTGTTAACTCTCCATCCCGTATGGGTTGGTGACTGCACTTTCCTCACCATCAAATCCTCCCTCCTCACACCTGTCCAGTGGCAGCTCTGCCCCTTGTTGATACCTCTGTTATACGAAAGGTAGATAAGGAGAGTGAAAATAATGGGAGACAGTATTCTTTGCTGGCAATTTTTTTAAAGGGGTTTAGGTGAAGCTAAAGGTTGAAACTAATAACTACCAAGTTTCTGGATCACTGGATCTCTACCTCATTTTTAAAAACTCTTATAATGGAAAATTTCAAACATATACAGAAGTATCTGTCATCCAATCCAACAATCATCAATTAATGATTTATGATGTTTTATCTATCTCCCTCCTCTACTTCCCCCTCCCTGTAGATTATTTTGAAGCAAATCCCAGACATCATTTTAAGAACTGGTTTGAGAATGCCATTTTTTTGTTTTGTTTTTTTTTTTTATCCTAAGAACTTAAACTCAGCTGCTTAAATTAGGATAATCTTCCCAAAAGTAAAGGAGAAAAACAATCCACCAAGGCACACCGTGTAGCCAGGCAGAAAAATCAATCTACTTAGCAGCTTGAATGATTGAATCATGTGGTCCTGCTCACCAGTGCCTTAACCTTGTCCCTCCACCCTTGTTTGTGTCCTCATCGGGGCACTTCCCATTGAATCAGTCCTTTAGATGCAACTTCACCGTAAATGCTAAAACAGCAGTCTTTTTCCTTGTTTAACCTCAGAGTCTAGAAAATTCAATGCAAGTGTAAAGAAGGCTGTGGGTCTCCTTTGAGATAGTGTGTGGACTGAGTGTTGTTAATGCCACTCTATCTGACAAATGAGATGAGGAGAGAGTCCCGGCCAGACCCATGAGAACAGAAGGACCAAACATTTCAGACTAATAAAATCCTGATTTTTCTATTTCCTTTCCCAGCACAAGCCTAGGTTCTACAGGGAGCAGATAACTAGCTATTATGATCATTTGGTAGATGAAAATACATGAGGCATGATATCATAATCAGATCTCAAAGTTTAATGGAATAAAAAGAAGATCTACATCCTTTGACATGGACCATCACCCAGCCAGATGCTGGATAAGATCGAGATAGGAAAATGGAACCCTAGAGTAAGAATCAGATAGCTCCTGGCAGGTGAATTGGACATGCTCAATGTTGTGTAACACCATGAACTTCAAACAATGGCTGCCAAGAACCCTCTCTTGGTTATTTGTTCTCTCTTTTCTCCATTAATAATTCAGTGTCCATGGGGGTATAAAATTGCAGGCCTATAACAAATACTTTCTCACACCTGGCTTGCTTTGTTCCAAAAGCAAGGAAGAGTTTGCCTGAATTGTTCTTTTCTCCATTACTAGACAAAAAGCAGAAGTGGGAAAATCAGAGAAAGATAGACTCATATCGTGCTGTGCAGACCAATATTTAATTTGCCCAATTTTCAGAATTTGAAATGCAGGCTATTTTTCTGTGATTTAGATAATGGCACATAGTGTTTACTAAAAGACATATTCACTTGGAATCATCCAATGTAAAATTTTCCTTTGTGATGGTTCGGATGCGTGTCCTTAAATATTTATGATTCAGTAATAGAAATTGCACAAATTTGTAAAAGCATGATGTGTTGCCTCAATTCGCACAATTTTCCCTTTTTAGTTCTTTGGAAGGAATAAAAGAATAATGCTATATTACCTTAAAAAGTAAAATATTACTTTTAGAGAACACTGAATTAGACAGAAGCAATTAAGAAAAGAAACCAGAAACAGAGCAAATGAAATTGATATCTAAGGAGGTCTCCATATATTCTCTTTACCCTTTACATGTTGTGACTTTAAAATTAAATGCAATGAGCATTCTATTTCCAAAGAATGGAAATTGCTACTAATTTCACAGAGTCCCTTCAGTTAGGACATTCATTTCTTTTTGGTGAAGTCAAGGCTGTTTTGGGGCCTCATGGTGCCATTGTACATTTTAAAAAGACTCCCTCCCTTAGTACACTGCCATCTACTGGAATATTGTCACAATAAATCTGATGTCTGTGACGTTAATCATGCCCCTCTAGATGTGGTGCTTTTGTGCAGTGCACAGCCTACACCACTATCTGCAGCTGCCCTGACACACATGCGGACTTGAGAGTCTTTTCATTGGCAATACATTCTTTGCTACTTATCTTTGAGCTTCTATTTTTCAAAGAAATTAAAACTGATCCTTGAAAACAATGGAGATACACACACACAGAGCCTGAAATTACTTTGTGCATTGTTGCCATTTGGATTTGTTTTTCCTTCCCATTTCACCAAGCCCTTTCTCAGTACTTTGTTCTATTCCTCTACTCCATTGTCCTATAGATATTTGCTCTCTACCATTTTTCCTCCCTTCGTGACATCTATACCGAAATGTTATATTGGAACGATATGCTTCCAGAATGGTTCTGTGTTGTGTTACTCTTAAGAGGCAAATTTAAATCTCCTTTTCAGGATCTGAAGAGGGCTGTGCCTTTCTTTTCATTTCCCATGGACACTCCCATCTTTATTTCTACTGGCTTGCAATAGTATTCTCTCGTTTTTATAACTCCTAATAGTCAGGAATGAAGTGTAAATTGGTAAGTCTCTGTCAGTGGACATCCAGAGACTGTGTTCCCCTCTAGCTGCCTTTGGCAGGTTATGCAAGAATGATATAACCAAAAAGTAGGTGAGGCTTAGATGCTGTTCTTATCTGGAATTTTCTCTGAAGAGTGTCTTCATGATTGTTAGTAGAAATATATCAAGTCTTTCAAGGGTTGGCCTCTGTAAAGCAGCCCTCTTGCATGATGCAGTGGGCCAGGAGACCATCCACATTTCACTAGCATCGTCTGTAACTTCCACATGACAGAGGCTTGCATCACTGCAGAGAAGACTAAGTTCATCCGTTCTGAGCTCACCTCAGCAGAAAGCTCAATGTCTTTGTTTGTGTATAAAGTCAGATTCCTGCGGGAGATCCTCCACAAGCTGACATTTCAAGTATCCGGATGTGCAGGGTTCACTTCCTTGGTCTGCGGTTGGCTCTGGCACCCCCGGTCTGGCCTCTCCACTGCAGCGGCCCTCGACAAGGCCTGGCATTGTGCTCCTTGTCCCGAGAAGTTTCCGGGCTCCACAGTGCATGAATGCTAGAGCAGCAGCAACAGAAACTTGTTCCTTGAAAACTCAGTGTTAGGTTGTACATACTGGCCCACCTGTAAGACAATCTGAAATAGGAGGCATTTATACTTTTCAAAGAAGAAAATACTAAACATGAAAAATACGTATATGTTCCTAAGATGCTGTATTTTTCTTCTACAATATTGCATACAACCTCTTCCTTCCATAGCTTTCAGACTTCTGAAACTGAAGCAGACTGATACTGAGGGTCATAATTGAGATGTAGTTGTTTCTGCCTGTGTCTTTTACAATTGTCCCTCAGAGCTTTCTCTTTAAAAGACCGAGTCTTTTCAAAAGTAAAAGATACTAAACAGTAAAATTTAATGGTTGTTTTTAACTTTTAAAAGTAACTTATTTCCAGATAATATAGGAGCACATAAAGAAAATGTATTTTTAGTCCTACTACCTAGAGACAGCCACTGCTAAGTTGGTGGTGTGTATCCTTGCTGGATTTTTTTTCATTTATAACTGAGTCCTACTACATATACAGTTTTATAATCTTCTGTTTTCACCTAACAATATATAAGATTGTCCATTTTTCCATGGACATTCTCAATGTTATTCTTTTAATGTTTGCATAGTATTCAGGTTTGCCTGTGTTATAATTTATTTAATCAGTCCCTTGTTATTGAATATCAAGGGTCCCCCCCCAAAAAATTGTTAATATAAACAATGGTGGGATAAAATGACTTTTCATGCGCGTCCCTGTGAAGAGACCACCAAGCAGGCTTTGTGTGAGCGACATGGCTGTTTATTTCACCTGGGTGCAGGTGGGCTGAGTCCGAAAAGAGTCAGCGAAGGGAGTTAAGGGTGGGGCCGTTTTATAGGTTTTGGGTAGGTAAAAGAAAATTACAGTCAAAGGGGTTTTGTTCTCTGGCGGGCAGGAGTGGGGGTCGCAAGGTGCTCAGTGGGGGTGCTTTTGAGCCAGGATGAGCCAGGAAAAGGACTTTCACAAGGTAATGTCATCAGTTAAGGCAAGGACCAGCCATTTACACTTCTTTTGTGGTGGAATGTCATCAGTTAAGGTGGGGCTGGGCATATTCACTTCTTTTGTGATTCTTCAGTTACTTCAGGCCATCTGGGCATATACGTGCAAGTCACAGGGGATGTGATGGTTTGGCTTGGGCTCAGAGGCCTGACATTCCTGCCTTCTTATATTAATAAGAAAAATAAAACAAAATAGTGTTGAAGTGTTGGGGTGGCGAAAATTTTTGGGGGGTGGTATGGAGAGAGAATGGGCGATGTTTCTCAGGGCTGCTTCAAGCGGGATTAGGGGCGGCGTGGGAACCTAGAGTGGGAGAGATTAAGCTGAAGGGAGGTCTTGTAAGGGGTGATATTGTGGGGATGTTAGAAGAAACATTTGTCGTATAGAATGATTGGTGATGGCCTGGATACGGTTTTGTATGAATTGAAAAGCTAAATGGAATAACAGAAGGAGAAAAACAGGTATAAAAGGTCTAAGAATTGGGATGACTCAGGATATCTGATTAGAGAGTGCTTAAGGAGATTCGGCATAGTCCTGCCAGCAAAGATTATTTATTTACTTCAAGAGTTTAGAGTGGCAGTTTGGGGATAGCACCAGGAGATATCAGCTGTGATGCCTTGGAAAAACAGTGTAAACCGGCAGTGTAAACAAGAGCAGGGCATGTATGAGTAGTTGAGAACGGTGAATAGGAGTATGACTAGACAGAAAATAGTAGGGATGACAAGTTTTTTTTTGGTGGGGGGCACAGTCTAAGTTGGTCTGGTGTCTGGAATGAGACTGGGGCCTAATAAAAAGGAGCGTCTATACAGGAGCTTAAATGGGCTGTACCCTGTAGCATTCTGAGGACAGGCCTGAATTCTGAGAAGGGAAAGTGGTAAAAGTATTGTCCAGTCCTTTTTAAGTTGGTGGCTGAGCTTGGTGAGGTGTGTTTTAAAAGACCTTTACTTTAGTCCATTCTACTTTTCTTGAAGACGGAGGACCATAAGGGATATAAAGGTTTCACTGAATACTAAGAGCCTGAAAAACTGCTTGGCTGATTTGACTAATAAAGGCTCGTCTGTTATCAGACTGTATTGAGGTGGGAAGGCTAAACTGAGGAATTATGTCTGACAGAAGGGAAGAAATGACTGCGGTGGCCTTCTCAGACCCTGTAGGAAAGGCCTCTACCTATCCAGTGAAAGTATCTACCTAGACTAAGAGGTATTTTAGTTATCTGACTCAGGGCATGTTGAGTAAAGCTAATTTACCAGTACTAGGTGGGGCAAATCCTCGAGCTTGATGTGTAGGGAAGGGAGGGTGCCTGAATAATCCCTGAGGAGTAGCAGAATAGCAGATGGAACACTGAGAAGTTATTTCCTTGAGGATAGATTTCCACGATGGAAAGGAAATGAGAGGTTCTAAGAGGCGGGCTAGTGGCTTGTACTATAGCATAACCTGCCTTTGCTGGTGTGTGGCGATTAGGCCTGGTGGAACCGCCATCAATAAATCAAGCGTGATCAGGGTGAGGAACAGGAAAGAAGGAAATTTGGGGAAATGGGGTGAATGTCAGGTGGATCAGAGAGATACAGTCATGGGGGTCAGGTGTGGTATCAGGAATAATGTGGGAGGCCGGATTGAAGTCCGAGCCAGGAACAATGGTAATTGTGGGAGACTCAACAAAGAGTGAGTACAGCTGAAGGAGCCGGGGAGCAGAAAGTATATGCGTCAGGTATGAGGAAGACAATACATTTTGGAAGTTATGAGAACTGTAGAGAGTGAGTTGAGCATAGTTTGTGATTTTGAGGGCCTCTAAAAGTATTAAAGCAGCAGCAGCCACTGCACGCAGACACGAGGGCTAGGCTAAAACAGTAAGGTCAAGTTGTTTGGCCAGAAAGGCTACAGGGTGTGGTCCTGGCTCTTGTGTAAGAATTCTGACCGCGCTAACCATGCCTAGGAAGGAAAGGAGTTGTTTTGTAGAAGGTGCTTGGGTTTGAGAGATCAGTTGGACACGATTGGCAGGGAGAGCACGTGTGTTTTTATGAGAATTATGCCGAGATAGGTAACAGATGAGGAAGAAATTTGGGCTTGATTGAAGTAACGGGGGCTGTCTGTGAAGCTTTGCGGCAGTACAGCCTAGGTAATTTGCTGAGCTTGATGAGTGTCAGGGTCAGTCCAAGTGAAAGCGAAGAGAGGCTGGGATGAAGGGTGCAAAGGAATAGTAAAGAAAGCATGTTTGAGATCTAGAACAGACTAATGGGTTGTAGAGGCAGGTATTGAGGATAGGAGAGTATATGGGTTTGGCACCACGGGGTGGATAGGCAAAACAATTTGGTTGATAAGGCGCAGATCCTGAACTAACTTGTAAAGGCTTGTCTGGTTTTAGGACAGGTAAAATGGGGGTATTGTAAGGAGAGTTTATAGTCTTTAAAAGGCCATGCTGTAGCAGGTGAGTGATAACAGGCTCTAATCCTTTTAAAGCGTGCTGCGGGATGGGATACTGGCGTTGAGTGGGGTAAGGGTGATTAGGTTTTAATGAGATGGTAAGGGGTGCATGATCGGTCGCCAAGGAGGGAGTAGAGGTATCTTATACTTGTGGGTTAAGGTGGGGGGATACAAGAGGAGGACGCAAAGGAGGCTTTGGATTGGGAAGAAGGGCGGCAATGAGATATTGCTGTAGTCCAGGAATAGTCAGGGAAGCAGATAATTTAGTTAAAGTGTCTCAGCCTAATAAGGGAACTGGGCAGGTGGGGATAACTAAAAAGGAGTGCTTAAAAGAGTGTTGTCTAAGTTGGCACCAGAGTTGGGGAGTTTTAAGAGGTTTAGAAGCCTGGCTGTCAATACCCACAACAGTTATGGAGGCAAGGGAAACAGGCCCTTGAAAAGAAGGTAATGTAGAGTGGGTAGCCTCCGAATTGATTAAGAAGGGGACGGGCTTACCTTCCACTGTGAGAGTTACCCGAAGCTCAGCATCCGTGATGGTCTAGGGGGCTTCTGAGGCGATCGGGCAGTGTCAGTCTTCAGCCGCTAAGCCGAGAAGATCTGGGAAGGAGTCAGTCAGAGAGCCTTGGGCTAGAGTTCCAGGGGCTCTGGGAGTGGCTGCTAGGTGAGTTGAACAGTCCGATTTTCAGTGGGGTCCCACACAGATGGGACGTAGCTTAGGAGGAATCCCAGGCTGCGGGCATTCCTTGGCCCAGTGGCCAGATTTCCGGCACGTGTAGCAAGCTCCTGTGGGAGGAGGTTCTGGAGGAACGCCTGGCCGCTGCGGTTCAGGCGTTTGGAAGTTCTTATGTGCTGGAGATGTGGCTGGGGTTTGTCTCACAGTGGAGGCAAGGAATTGCAACTTTTTTCTATTATTGTACACCTTGAAGGCGAGGTTAATTAAATCCTGTTGTGGGGTTTCAGGGCCGGAATTTAATTTTTGGAGTTTTATTTAATGTCGGTAGCAGATTGGGTAATAAAATGTATTTTGAGAATAAGACGGCCTTTTGACCTTTTAGGGTCTAGGGCTGTAAAGTGTCTCAGGGTTGCTGCCAAACGAGTCATGAACTGGGCTGGATTTTTATATTTGATGAAAAAGAGCCTAAACGCTATCTGATTTGGGATAAAGAAAAAGGAGCATTAACCTTGACTATGCCTTTAGCTCCAGCCACCTTTTTAAGAGTAAATTGCTGGGCAGGATGGGGAGGGCTAGTCACGGAACGAAACTGTAAGCCGGACCAGGTGTGAGGAGGGGAGGTGATAAAAAGATTATATAGGGTGGAGGAGCAGAGGCTGAGGAAGAATTGGGACCTAGCTCGGCCTGGCGAAGAGCAGCCTGGGGAGGAAGGGAGAGGTCAGATGGGTCTGTAGAAAAGGAAGATTAGAAAGACTCAGCGACGCTTGGGGTTAATACTGAGGGGACAGGCGGGAGGGAAAGAAGGAAGATTTGGGACAAGTTGCACTGGGCACAGAGACTAGGAAGGGACTGATGTGTAAAAGAATGCCTGGATGTCAGGCACCTCAGACCGTTTGCCTATTTTACGACAAGAATTATTTAGATCTTGCAGGATGGAAAAATTCAAAGTGCCATTTTCTGGCTATTTGGAACTACTGTCGAGTTTGTATTGGGGTCAAGCGGCATTGCAGAAGAAAATAAGGCATTTAGGTTTTAGGTCAGGTGTAAGTTGAAGAGGTTTTAAGTTTTTGAGAACACAGGCCAAGGGAGTAGAAGGAGGAATGGAGGGTGGAAGGTTGCCCATAGTGAAGGAAGCAAGCCTAGAGAAAAGAGAGAGTAGAGAAATGGAGGGAAGGGGTTCGGGGGTTCTTACCTTCCAGAAAAGTGGGAAAAGGGGTTGGGGCACAGAGATAAGAGGTTGGGGCGCAGAGATAAGAGGTCAGGGCATGGAAATAAGGGATGGGGCGCAGAAATAAGAGGTCGGGGCATGGAAATAAGGGATTGGGGCACAGAGATAAAAGAGGTTGGGGTGCAGAAATAAGGGATTGGGGTGCAGAGATATAAGAGGTTGGGGCACGGAAATAAGGGATTGGGGCACAGAGATACGAGGTTGGGGTGCGTAAATAAGGGATTGGGGCACAGAGATAAGAGGTTGGGGTGCAGAAATAAGGGATTGGGGGTTCTTGCCCCGTAGAAAAGCGGGACTTGCCGCTAAGGGTGAAGGAGAAGGGGTTGAGTGGTACTTGCCCCTCTTCCAGAAAAGCAGAGAAGGGGTAGAGACACGGAGAGAAGGGGTTGGGGTACTTGCCCCTGCCCCAGGAAAGCGGGACTTGCCACTAAGGGTGAAGGACTAAGGCAGGCGTCCCTGCGTGGTCTGACACCTTTGAAACGTGGGTGAATAATCAGAGAGGCAGCCCTGCAATGATTAAACACCAAGGGAAGGCTGCCTTCCCAGTCCGTGACTGGCGCCAGAGTTTTGGGTCCACGGATAAAACGTGTCTCCTTTGTCTCTACCAGAAAATGAAAGGAATTGAAATTAAGAGAAGGGAGAGATTGAATTGTGGCGCCAAGATTGAAAGGAGAAAGAGGTTGAGGGATAGTGAGGGAGGTTGGAGAAGAGAGTAAAAAGAGGCCGCTTACCGGATTTGAAATTGGTGAGATGTTTCTTGGGCTGGTCGGTCTGAGGACCTGAGGTCGTAGGTGGATCTTTCTCACGGAGCAAAGAACAGGAGGACAGGGGATTGATCTCCCAAGGGAGGTCCCCCGATCCGAGTCACGGCACCAAATTTCATGCACGTCCGTGTGAAGAGACCACCAAACAGGCCTTGTGTGAGCAACATGGTTGTTTATTTCACCTGGGTGCAGGTGGGCTGAGTCCGAAAAGAGAGTCAGCAAAGGGAGATAAGGGTGGGGCCGTTTTATAGGATTTGGGTAGGTAAAGGAAAATTACAGTCAAAGGGGGTTTGTTCTCTGGCAGGCAGGAGTGGGGGTCGCACACAAGGTAATGTCATCAGTTAAGGCAAGGACCGGCCATTTACACTTCTTTTGTGGTGGAATGTCATCAGTTAAGGTGGGGCAGGGCATATTCACTTCTTTTGTGATTCTTCAGTTACTTCAGGCCATCTAGGCATATACGTGCAAGTCACAGGGGATGCGATGGCTTGGCTTGGGCTCAGAGGCCTGACATGACTCAAAACAGTATTCACATTTTTCAGGCTATTGGTACCAATTGTCAAAATGACTTTTAAGAAGATTGAATCTGCAGTTCTAACAGTTTTCATGAGAGACAGAGACAGAGGGAGACAGAGAATATTTCAAAGGCCCGATCAACTCTGTGCTTATCATTAAAATTTTTTTAATGATTGGAGGGTGAAAAATTATATCTTCCATTTAAAGTCTTTGATTTATTGATTCCTAGTGCTCTTAAGCATTTTGTTCATGGGGAGACATTTGTATTTGCTCTGTGTGTGTGTGTGTGTGTGTGTGTGTGTGTGTGGTTTTGTTTTGTTTTTTGTTTGTTTGTTTGTTTTTTTGAGACGAGGTCTTGCCCTGTCGCCCAGGCTGGAGTGCAGTGGCACAATCTCCACTCACTGCAGCCTCTACCTCCTGGGCTCAAGTGATCCTCCCACCTCAGCCTCTCATGTAGCTGGGACTACAGGCATGCACCACCACACTTGGCTAATTTTTGTATTTTTTTGTAGAGACAGGGTTTCTGCCATGTTGCCCAAGCTGTTCTTGAATTCCTGGGCTCAAGTGATCCTCCTGCCTTGGTCTCCCAAAGTGCTGGGATTACAGGAGTGAGCCATCATGCACAGTCTTGTATTTTCTTTTACTGCCATTTCTTATTCTGTTTGGTGGCTTGTCTGGGTTGGATTTTTTGTTTGGTCGTTGCTATTGATTTTTTATTATTATGAAATTTTTTAACCAAAATAGAAAAAATAATGAATCACTATATTCCCATCACCCATATTGAACAAGTATCAACATTTTGCCACACTTGGTTTACCCGTCCTTTTTCCTCCTGCATTTTAAGTCACATCCCAGATATCAAACATTCATTCCCAGATTCTTTGGTATATATCTCTAAAAAGTAAGGAGATTTTCCATGATGCTAGTTCACATCTTACAAAATTAACAACACCTTTAGTTTTTAATTGCTACAGTTTCTGTTTCATTGGCCACAGCCAAGTTATGCAGCCGCATCAACGGAATTGGAGGAGAGGAAACCCATCTTAGCTTCCTTGTCACCTCCAAAAATTAAAGAAGAAAATCTGCTGCCTATATGCTAGTAGAGTGATTGAGAACCCTTGAGTCCCCTCTGCCCACAGGCCCATTTAGAAACACACTGAATCTGCAATGCCAGCCTCGATTTTTAGATAAATGCCCCAGCTGAAGCTTGCCAATGTATAGGAATAATCCAAGTTTTATTCACAACTGCCCCTCTTTCTTTGAAAATGTGTGAGCCCAACATGATCAATGACCGAGTTTTCAGGCCTAACCCACTGGGGTCACAGGAGGTCCCTGTTATGTCCCTTGTATGGTCAAATACAGAATTTTCTCTTTCAGATGGTCAGGGTTGCCTTCAGGGCTGAGACTCACAGTCATTTTTAATCTTGGGCACTCTTGTCCACCCCCACATTCCCTAACCTGCCATCCGGGGTCCTTTTCGTCACAATAAATAAAATCTTTAGGAACAGGGTTCCTCATTTCTGTGGTATTGAAAAGGGAAGGGCAATGTTCATGCGTACCATTAAAAGTGTTTTCTTTCATTATAGATTACCTTTTCAATTGACTGCAAGGATGTTAGTAAGACAACTGGCCCTGATTGTTATACGTAACATGTTAATATCTGGGCACATTTCAGAAGCAACAGCTCTACAACTGCTCATTCAAAATGAAAATGAGGAAGTTAGGAAGACCACACATGGTCCTAGGCCACATAGAGTGATTGCTACTGCAGAACAAAAGGACTGTGTCAGGGTTTTCTTCTATATTTCACATGATACTGATGCAACTGTATAGAGTGTTTGCATTTTATTTTTTAAAGTGTTCGAAATTTTTTTACAAAAATATGTAGAACTAAGCACTTAATATATTTCAAATACAATTACTTATAAATATGTTATACAACATGTACATATATAAATATATGAAAAGAAATATAAGCGTCTATTAAGTTATTAGCAAATAAATTAATAAAAGGAAGTAATAGTTGAGAAAAAGAAAATCACTAAAAGTGAAGAAAACGGCATTAATCATGAAAATTAAGTTGAAAATGAAATATTCTTATTTGATCTTTTCAAAAAGTGAAATATGTAAAAATAAAGTGTTTTTGTTTTTCAGTTGTGACCTTATTTTCATGTAAGCTATTCCAGCTTCTCGAAGAATGTCTTCTCACCTTAAAGTACTTGAGGAAATGTTGAGGAGGTAGTTATAACTAATACAAAGATTTCCTTTATTCCTTATCTTTGAATAAACCCACCTTTCTTATTTGATATGTTTAAGAAGCATTAAAAAAAAAACACTTTTTTTGTCTTTTGGCAAGGCCTGTAATCTGTTATTATTAGCAAGCTCTAGTTTTTGTTCAAAGAAAACATTTCCGGTTTGTTCTCATTTCCTTTAGTTTCATTATATGAAACACAGACATGGAGATCCCATATGCAAGTTACCTGTATTCATTTTAATTCTCTAACATGCATATTCCACATATTCAAAAGATGTTTGAACTAAAGTCAGATTAATTATTGAGATAACTTTCATCTGTTGCCTGCCTTTTCTCGTGGCTTTTGGAAACATGGAAAACTATTTTCTCAACTAACTGCTTCCTGTACACTTCAAAATGTTAATGCCGTGTGTAACTCCTGGAGGGTTTCTCAAGGTCTAAGTGATTCAAAGGTCAGAGTTTTTAAAATACTGACACATCTGTGGCATTTCAGTTCTTAAAAAATAACATGATGTATCAACATGGAAAACCAGTATTGCAGTGGCTTAACAACTGGGTCTGAGTAGAGAAGAGGAAGACACTGTTACCAGGAGGGATAGAAAACCACCTGGTGAGGGGCCCAGGGGCTGAGGTCTGCTGGGGAGCAGGTAGTGGTTAGAGAAAGAACACGTTGGCTCCCACAGAACTGTTGTACCCCACGCTGGGACTTCCAGCTCTCTTTTTGCAACATATAGTTTCTCAGACATATATCTAAGTCAGATAGCTTGTTTTTAAAATTTCCTTAAAGTAACACAAAAGAAAATTAAAAATTACCCCAGATTCTTTCAGACATGTTTTATCCAGCTCTCGAAATCTGTAAACCCTGTTAGGTCACATAATATATGGCTGAATATATGATAATCGAGTACTTTTACTTGATTAATTCACCGAAGAATTTTTTTTTTAAGATTCACTATTTTAAAAAAATCTACTAAGGTAATTTGTCTCTGTGCAGATAGAAGTCAGACTGTCACTTTAGGATGATTTGCCAGAAACTCTTACATTTAATAGAATTTCATGCCACCCTGATCTATCTAGTCCCTTCTGAGTTCCAAGTAAAAACTCATTACAGTGCAGTCTTTCTTTATTTAATCTTTTTCTTTTCTATTTGTCATTCCCAAGTTTAGTCTTGAAAGTTACTGTCTCTTAGAAAAAAAATCTGTTTCTTCTCTATTGCTCCTTTAAAACTGTTGTGTCATTACCAAAGAAGGTCTTTTCCAAACTTTCTCTCACAGTCTGTACTCACCTTCTTTTCTGTTTTCTTTTGGTTTTGTTATTGCTGTCAAAATGAGAATCCCTGTAACGTTTGGTTTCAGTGGTGGCACTTGGGGAGGGTTGATTTTAAGTAGATGAGCCTTCTCTTCTGCATGAGACAAAACTCTCTGTTGGCCCTCAGGTGTTAAAGGTGGAAATACTGGTGTCACAATAGGCACTTAGCAAAATGTATCACTATTTAGAGCCATAATCCTTTATGGACTTTTATTATTTATTGTAAGTCTTTTCCTTTCTCAGCCCTGTGCTGCTGACCCCACATCCCATGCCTGGCCTGGAATTGTCCACTCACTATGACACCCCTGCCCCTTCATATCTTAGCCCTTAGATTTTCTACAGGAGAAAAATCAAAATATACTTTCCACAGCCATTTCACTTGTATCCAGAAAAGAAACTCAAGGAGATAAAAGTTTTATAAGATTGTATTTTCAAAACCCAGGGAAATTAACAGGGGGCTTGGGCTCTTTGATGTCCATACCATCAACTTCCAGATGCTGCTACTGAAGAGTTACTGAATATTTATGAATTATGTAAGTCTTCCAGCTAGCCTGTCTTTGACCCGGGCCAAAGGGAATATGTTGTGATAGATGATGATTTTGTTGAGTGAAAATAAGTGATGATTCCCTCCCCATTAGCTGTTAATTTCCACCTCCTCCTCTATCAACTTTTTACCAAAAATATTAACCAGAAATAAACCTCTTTTCTTGCTTTTTTCCACTTCCTTGGCTTACTTTCTGGATGGAGGGGCTTTTTCATAATAAAATGACTGAAGTCTAGGCAGCTGAGGATTCAGAAGCAAGGGCTATATGGTGTTCACAAACTGGCTCCTTTTCTGGAACAGTTGGTAACTGGCTGAAGTAACCAGTTGGAGGACAGTACAAACATGCTTCGGGGCACGTCGTAAAGTCCAGTGCATTTCATGGATTGTTTTACTCCCTGGGAAGATGCAGCCCGCTTCATCCTGTGTCCGGTACCTCCTGGAACTTGCCTCTCCGCTGCCCGCTGCCAACAGTGACAGTCACTGAGCAGCATGAACGAGGTGTCAGCCTCACCACCCCTTACTGAAGTGCTTTTTCCACCGCAAAGCTGGGTGTCACCTGAGAACGGATGTGCTTCTGTACTTTACGGTCACTGGCACAGGAGAAGAAAAAGAACTTACGGAATATGATTTCAGCATTCTGAAAATGAACTTTCATGGGACAAAGTTACACATGGAGTGTCTTCTGTTTTCTTAGTTCCTTGTGCAGAGAGTTAAGGATAACCAGTGTTATTGGAGATCTAATCCCATGAAGCAAGCTCTGCTCTATAGGGCATGCTGCAAGTTTAGTTTTTTCTCCTTCCTGAAGCATGAAGCTAATCTGGGTACCAGAAGGATTAATACACAGTTGTGTATGTAGCCATAGTGCCACCATGTGCTTTACAGCTTTGGCGAAATAGAAGCTTACAAACAGCTAACGACCTCTTTACCCTTCCTTCTTCATTTACAGTTAATAGCAGAGACAGGCTTGCTCTAGGAAGCTGTAGGTACAGCAGTGGCGAATGTTTAGAGTTGCAAATTGACCAGGCCCATGAGTGGTACAAGTTTTAGGAAATTGGGGCATATCTTAACTTCTATAGGGAAATAAAGACAAAAATTATTTTTACTTGCTCTATTTCTCAATAGAAAAGTCTTTCAGCTTCCTTCAGTACCTTTATACTGAAACGACTGGTCCCTACTCCCCTCCATCACCCCCTTCTCTATCTCTTCCTTTTCTCCATTTGTTGCAAGGATTCATGGGTCTCTATTGTCCATAAATTCCTTAGGTGTTAACGGACCAACGAAAGGCAGTGTAGCTGAGCGGGAAAGAGTGCAGATGGGGAAGCCATCATGCTCAACTCATGGGCATGGGCAACTACCTAACTTCTTTGTGCCTAAGTCTCCACATCTGTAAAATAGGGATAATGCAGTAGTCCCTCCTTATCCACACAGGGAATATGTTTCAAGACCCACAGTGGTTGGCAGGGCGTGGTGGCTCATGCCTGTAATCCCAGCACTTTGGGAGGCCGAGGCAGGTGGGTCACATGAGGTCAGAAAATCGAGACCAGCCTGGCCAACAAGGCAAAATCCCATCTCTACTAAGAATACAAAAATTAGTCGGGCGTGGTGGCACACGCCTGTAATCCCAGCTACTTGGGAGGCTGAGGCTGGAGAATTGCTTGAACCCAGGAGGCGGAGGTTGCAGTGAGCCAAGATTGCGCCATTGCACTCCAGCCTGGGCAACAAGAGCAAAACTCTGTCTCAAAAAAGAAAAAAAGACCCACAGTGGTTGCCGGAAACCTCAGATAGTACTGAACCCTATATACACAATGCTTTTTCCTATGCATACATATGGTAAAGTTTAATTTATAAATTAGGCATAGTAAGAGATTAACAACAATAACTAATAATAAAATAGGACAATTATAACAATATTCTGTGTAACATTATTCTTATTCTGGATTAAGAGTTATGTGAATGTGGTCTCGCTCTCAAAATATCTTATTGTACTGTACTGTGGATAACTGAAATCACAGAAAGCCAAACCATGGGTAAGGGGGGACTACTATAATAATGGTGGCTACTCTCATAGGGTTCTTATGAGGACCAAGTGAAGTTAATACACACAAAGCACCTTAAATCAGTGCCAGATACTTAGCGTTTGTTGCTGTTTTTTATTGAGCATGTACTATGTACTGAGAACTTTAACATGAAACATCTCATTTGAACCCTTACAGCACCCCTCTAAAAGATGGCGTTGTTAAACCTCTTTTTCAGTGACGAAACTGAGGCTAGAGGGGTTATTGATTGTCCAAAGGTCCCTTAACTATGAAGTAACCAATATGAAATTCAGACTCCAATTTTTCTGATTCCAAACTCTCTGCAAAACTAGCACACTTGCTATCTCCTGGCATGAACGGATCCGAATGCAGAGCATGGCAGCTGTGTGTTTGGTCTGAGACCGATTCCCTGTTAACCTAATATCTTCTCTCTGTAGCTAAGACTTACACCAGCCTTAAGCTGCCTTGCCTTCTGAAAGTTTCTCCATTGATTCTTTGCCCGATAGAAACATTGGCAGCCCTTTTGTGCATTTTTAGTATCCAGCAGGACTCCCTTCTAATTCTCTGCTCCCTCAGAAGAAATCTTTTCTTTTCTATGCAGGATAAAGCTGGCATCCAGGGTAGAAAATTATTTTGAATGTTGTTTCCCTCGGTGATTGTCTCCCTTTCAATTCAATTTCTTCTGAGCAGCTCAGTGATAATAGGGCTCCACTCCTCACATCAGCAGGAATCCACACTTTTGAAGACAGCATGTGAAGACGCAGTGCTAGCCCATTGCCACTACTTAGCAAGACCCAGAAGACTACTTCCAGCACATAGCACAGCAGCCTCTGCTCGCTTCACCTAGAAAGCTAGGTGAAGGTTATTCTCAAATGTACCTGTGGTGTTGACCAGCCCTCTCCTTTAAACTCTTCTTCGACCTGCAAGTGTCGCTGCTGGCTGGCGACATTGGCCACCAGCATCACCACGTCCCATCTGGACTGCTGCACTGGCCACACGCCTTGTCTTCTGCAAGTCCCCCAGGCCGCACTGCCTGCTGCAGCCACATGGAGCTTTCTGAAACTGAAGTCCAGTTCCCTGACCCCCTTACTTAAGACACTGCAGTGCCCTCACTACTGTTGGGACAAAGCCATGATCACTGCACACAGGGTCCAGACTCATTTGCCTCTACCATGGGCCTTCCTCCAGCTCTGCAGGCTTTCTCACAGTGCTGGGGCCGCCTTCCCCAGCTCCTTGAAACCCTAATGACCCTACTGTCCATCCCGCCCATGGTGGCTTTTGCAGGAAGGCCCTTCCTGGGCTCCCTGGCCAGGCCCCGTGGTCACACTGTGTCCCCTCCTTCACGGCCTTAGCCACCCTTGCAGGTTATGAGATGTTTGGTAGAAAGCGACATATCTGCCCCTTCGCTTCTCCCCAATTCCTGCCTCCTACTAGCCTATAGCCAGTGTTCACTTTTTAAGCCTGTTTAAATTGTTTTGTGTTTAAGATACAAAGAAAAACCATGGCATACAAAGTTGTGTTAAATCTAGCCTAACACAGTCATGTAAAACTATATTATCTATTAATGTATGTTTTACTTTAAAGAAAGTGTCTTCCATTTTCATCTTAACATTCTCTTTTTAAAATTGAATAATAGCAACCATAGCCTTGTGGCATGTTTAGCAAAGCAGCGCTAGTCCTGGGAGTCCTAGGCTTGGTCTGTTGTTCTGCTCCAGATCTGCTGTTTTGCCCAGGGGAGTGGTGGGGGGTAGTGATCCCTCCTGGCTGCGTTTCCCTGCCTTCCAGAAGGTTCAGCCAATCAGAGGCACTGGTGAGAGGTAGGGGGAGGGGATTAAGGTAGAGCCTGGGTATTCTACCACTCCCTCTCTGTCTCCCATGGCAGCTGCATCTCCTCTGGTGCTTCGGCTCCCATGACCTGGGCTCCATTTATCTCCTCCTTTTGTCCCTCCAGCCTCAGGGTGGCAATGGCTTCCTGCCCTTCCTATCTCTGGGCTGTGTTACTACCCCCTGGAACTTCCACTGTCTGGGTACCCAGTTCCTATGGTTGAATTTCGTCTGTTGTAAATAAATAGGGCTTTCCATTTTCTAGGTTGGACACTGATGGATACTCCAGTATTCTTATATGTGATCGCAGTACTTATTCACATTTTATTTTAGAGGCCTGGAAGATGGACCCTGTGACCGAGTTAGAGTTCTCTAATTAAAAACATTCAATCCTTTGTGTTCACTGTGGTCATGGTTTTAGAGGGAACCCTGGCAGGATGTCTGGTGACCCTAGTTCTAGTTCTAGCTGAGTCACTAGGGGACCTTAGGATCACTCAGGTCAGGGCCTCTCTTTCATGTTAAATGAGGGAGCTCCCTGGGGTCCCTTCTGGCAGCCCCGTTTTCTGACTTTAACTCCATCAGAACCAACACAATTTCAAGTTGCAGTTTTCGTTTCTGTGGGGACCAGTGACATGTTTCCTTCAGTGTATTGGTCCCTGGCCCCAGCCATCTGTCTTGATGTGTGTAGTGGGTCCCTGAGGGATCAGGTGACAGAATATGGGTGAGCCAGGGCAATTCCATCTCTACCGGGAAAACCACAGACAGGCCCTTTCTGATTCTGACCCAGGCAGGGCACAACACACAGAAAGAATAGAGCAAGAGGAAAATGTACTGCACAGCTGTCCTCCTCTACGGGTTTAACAGTGTTTCAAAGATGATGTTTCATTTATTCCCCCCAAATATAAAACCCATAGGCAGAAGGTACAGCTGGCACTTGTCTGATGTAATGACTTTTCTTTTTCTCCATTTTAAGCACAATCTTCTTATATTCACTAAACACCGTTGCAAACAGCAACACCTTATCTAATATTGCGTATATATGTATTTGGGACCAGGTGCTCTGGGTGTCTTAAATAACTTTAATTTACTAAACTTCACTCCCCCTCCCCCACCCCAGCCCTTTCTTTTCAGAAGACACATTTAGACAATCACCATTCACCTCCAATTCAAAAGAACTGCTGCCCAGTGACTCCGTGCTGCACGGAAGAATATCAGCTCCAGGTATGGAAACATTGTTGGCTTTGCTTCTACTGTTGATTGCTTAAGAATTACTTTTCTGAAATGTGTGAATTTTCAGATACTTTCAGCTTACGGATGTAGTTATTCATATAAGGTTAGGTTTTAGAAAAGAAGGAGAAACTCAATTTAAGCTACAAAAGTTTATTAAAATAAAATGTTTACAGTAATAAGCCTCTTCATCTTTGCTTTAAGAGCTTATTGTTCTTTACCTGCTGATATTTCACCCACATAATGAATTTCTTTTTCTTTAAAATAATGAAGTATAACCTGAAAATAATTTGCTTTACATGTTGTATTTCAGGCCGGCAGCCAGGAATATAGGGGAGGGCAGTGGCGAAGAGTGCTAGTCCCCAGTAGGGCAGGTCATGACCCCAGGGGGTGTGGGCCACCACAAAGACCACCTCAGTTTGCATGGAAACGAGACAGCTCACTGAGGAAACCTTGCCACCCAGATTTTGTCTCTCTTCTTGGCCATAGTATCTACATATATCCATCCAGTGCTCTGTTTTGCCATCTCAGCCATCAGTACATCATTTTTTATCCGTTCTTCCTTTTTTCATTTCTCCTTTCCTGGGTAGAAGGAAGGATGTGCTTACTGTTCCTTATCCACAGCATGGCCATCCTGGAGGGCTTATGTGTGTGTTCTCAGAGTTATTGGGAAATGAGAACATCTGAGAACCGCTGCACTCTAGTTCATACTCCCTACCCATACCCACCCCGCCCACCACCAATCTAGCAGCCAGGAAACTTCTGCCAGTTGCTACCTTCCCTCCCAGCTGTGGAGAGGATCTCAGCAGCACTCGGTAGCCTCCATCCACATTCATTTGTCCAGGAAACCGTGGCCACCTGTGTGCAGGGCAGTACTCACAGCAGGGTTGTTGGCCCCGCAGCCTCTTCAAAAATAAAGTCCAAGTCTCCTCCACATACTCAAGGAGCCCTGTTTTACAGGGCACTGGAGAACTAATTAATTTGCAATGCAGAAAGAATGCAGTGACATCTGAAATATTGGCCTCGGGTATCACAGGTCATTGGAAATAGTTTGTGACAAACTGGGGTGGAGGGTGGGGGTGGGGAAGGCAACTCTTTGTCATTCTTGAGTCTCATAAGGGTAGTTCCATTTCTTCTCATCTCCCCACATTCAGCCAAAGAATCCAGATACCTGCATGCTTTTTAGCTTTGCAGGCAGGGCTTTTCTATTCAAACACCAGAAATAATGTGCTTACACAAAAACACATTACATAATGGCTGGTTCTAGAGGTGGAAAGAAATTTTGTCTAGTTTATGTCTTCATACTCAAACAGGGGTTCTTGGAACTACTGTTTACTTCCCACAGTGTCATTTTGAATAGCCATCTCCCTGGTCCCAAAATTATTGCCCTGCTGTTAAGTTGATGGATTGTGACTTTCTAATGTCAAAATAACTGCCCAGGAATTGCCTGTCAGAATGCTGTGACCCATACGGCCAGCATCCCATGATATATATACAAACCTTGCACTGCTGGCTTTATGTTTGGCTTGGCAGTATTTAAAGCAGGGTTTATTGGTCAAGTTAAAACTTGACCTAAAGAGTGATTTCATTATATGCTTAACTGTGCATCGGGGGGTTTTCCGTGATTTGCTTGATAAACTTACGTTAGACATTAGATGAACTCACACTTTAAAAGCTTAACTCTTATTTGGGGGAGAAGGTCAGCATAACTGAGATTTTTAAAATGTAAATTCGCCCTGCTGAAAGATAATCAATCTACCCTACTTCACCAAAACCTTTCTTTAGGTAGAGAAAAGCAAAATGACTACATTTACATTTTGTTAAAATAAGCAGCTAAAAAAAAAAGACTTTTTTTGTTTTAATAAGCAAGGTGAAAATGCTTTGGGAATGGAGTTAAAATTAGAAAAAAATTTAAAATGATAGGGACAACCTTGTGGTCATGAAGTTCTCATAATCTGAAGACAGTTTTGTAAGGAAGGCCTCAATAATTTGGACTAATTGTGGAGGAGAACAGCCTGAATTAATCAAAGTTAACGGTGTGGAGACTTTTAAAGAAAACTTAACTTCTTTCAAGTCTGGACAGTGATAAATGGCCATGGATAAATATACCTACTATACATTCTCAATCTCTTAATCACAATTCTGAAATCCAAAAAACCCCACCCACCAAAATTTTTTTGAATAAATATTTTGTGGCAAAACCTAATGGGAGGCTATTTATTTATTGTCTTTATTTATTACAACAAGGGGTGAAATTTATACATTTTGTTGAAGAACTATGAATGTACTTGACTATGAAGTGTTGCTTCAGGTCCACTGGGCTGTTACATAAAATAGGTTTTATGCACCATATTGTGATCCTAAAATGAGAAAGAAGTATGAATGCCAAATTACATCTGGCCCCAGGGAGTTCAGATAAATATTATGAATCTACATTTATTTTAGTAATCTGCTAAATGCAGTGCTGGGAGCAAGAACACTGAAGCTACAGTTGAGGATCTTAAAGTTCTGGAGTATAAGAGTCATGGGTTCTTATAGAACATTTCATCTGGGATAATAAGATTGGAGTGTGAAAGGAAAAAATGAAAAGAAATTTTTGAAAGACCAATCCGGCAGCAGATTAGTGAATCATTGGAGAGGATTGGGGGCAAATGACAGGAGCCTAGCTGGGATCCTCTAGTTCTAGGGCAGCTTTATTAATGAGGGCCTGAGTTAGAGAGAAAAAGAGGAGTGGGGTGGGAAAAGCAGACAGAGGATGAGTTGGCTGGTTGGAGACTGGTTAGCTTTGCTAATAAGCACGTTGAATTAGGAAATGATAGTGGCTGTGCAGAAATAGGGAAGCCAGAAAGGAGACAGCTGGCTTTAGTGACTAGGTAGAAAATAATTTGTTGTTAGTGTACAAATGAAAGCCTCAGAATCTTTAGAAATCTTCTCTTAGGTAGTTTAAACACTACCATTAAAAAACTTTCTACCTTTTATTTACTTAGCAAACGTCTTTGTTCAGCAGATAATGCAAAAATAAATGTCAGCCCAGAGAACTCTCTCAGATTCCCAATTAGTAGAGACCATAATTAATGAGATATAATGTGCCTAGTTCCATTTCCCTTGCAAATGCTGAAAATACATAGCATTATTTCAACAATATATACAACATTGGTATATAGTTATGTACCTTCTACCAATAGGAAGAAGAGTCCAGATGCCTTCAGATTAAGACCACAGGGTAAGGAAGTGCTAGAAGAGAATATCATTTAGGGTGTAACAGCTGCTGGGCCAAGGGGATCCATGGTAGCTTCAGTGTGTTGTGCTTGTGTTTCAGGCCTGTTGGAGAAGGAAGCCAGCAGTGAGGGGGATTGCAAAGTAGAGAGAGGTTGGTAGAACTGTGGAC
Organism: Homo sapiens; assembly: GCF_000001405.40. Lineage (NCBI taxonomy): Eukaryota > Metazoa > Chordata > Mammalia > Primates > Hominidae > Homo > Homo sapiens. The sequence goes on along the minus strand of NC_000004.12, from coordinate 145,820,027 downwards.
TGTGAAGAGATCGAGAATAGCACAGTTAACTAGGCATTTGCCTTCGGCAGATGGCATCTGAAACTCACAGCTGCCACCGTCCCAGAGAAACAGAATAAACACAGAGCTTCACGGTGTCCTGGCTGCGGTTGTTGCCAGTATTTCTAGACTGACTTTCCTGAGAACTAAAGAATGCTCATGTTAGCCAAGACCTAACATTTTCACTTGCTGCGAATGTCTTAGGCAGAGGTAGCATCAGGAATCTTTAATAAAATGATGAGTTAAAAACTGCTGTCACCTTCTGCGGGAGGGATGTGGGGACAGAATATCCTTAGAGCCATAAATAGATTACTGAATGTACCCTGGGTGGTGATGTTGCTGCTGGTGACTTTACAAAAGAAATAAAAGAGCTTTCCTATCATGGGGGAGATAGAAATTACAGACTACGTGAAATTTAATGTACTTTATTTAATTTATAGTTGTTTCACTTTGTGCAAGATTTACATCAATAGAAGAAAGATTCCGAGGTCAGGTGATTTTCAGGGCATGTGGGTGATTCTGTATTAAAAGCAGACCCATTGCCATTGTACCTGCAGCTGTCCCTGTTTCCCATCATCTTGCTGTAAGCAAAGGCTGTTAAGAGAAGAATTTATATCCCAGTACTGCTTTTAAACAACGTGGAGCTTCCATTCTGTGTTATTATGATTTGAAGTCACAGTATGTTTGCTCTGTATTAAGCCAAAAAACAAAAACACAACCAGGGCGGGTGTGAAGGAAAATGTGGGTCTCCGTGGAATTCTCTCCGAGTGTTTGGAGTCCCCGATGCTTCCGTGTGTTATTTCAGATGCAGCCTGGAGTGAGATAATGTAAAGCACATCTGCAATTATATTCATCAATCCCTTCCCTCATTATTTCCCCTAACTTGCATTTAAAAAAAAAAAAACTCACGTTGTTGGTTTTATTTATAATGTACAAACAAGAAAAGATGAACATCAGCACCCCTCACAAAAACAAGCTTTTTTTGGTAGGCAGGGGGAAGTTTTAGTTTCTTTCAGGACCTGCTATGCCAGTCAGAATTTGATGTTCAATCAAAAGGCTGGTTTGGAATTGCCTGCCTTGTCCTCAGTCTTGTTCTTGATCCATTTTCCCTTCTCTGGTCTGCCTATCAATCTAATATACTGTGTCATATACTTTCCTGAAATCTGAATAAATGATGCCTTGTATTAGAATGCCACCTGCAACTAGCTCTCAGCCTGACACACCCCTGGTCAGAAGTGAATGACCTCTTTAAGACCGTTGGCTTAAAAAGATACGTCTCAATGTGTGCATGTCACCTTCCTTTGTGTTAAGACTTCCCAACTCAGGCCTCGAGAGAGAGACACACGTATAAATCTATCTTGGATTATATTATAGCAAACTATTTTCTTCAGTCCATTCTCAAACACAGCAGATTCTTTTTCAATTTAGACAAAGTCATAGATAAACAATAGAACATTGGATGTTAGTGTATATCGTTTTGTAACTTGAGCTCCTTTGTGATGAGACAAATTCATTTTGTACAGAGAAAGAAGCTAGCAGTTTTCAAGGATCTATTAAATTGTCAGGCACAGGACATATGTCATCTCATTTTTAATTCTGGAAACAACTCATTGAGACATAGGAATTATCCACAATTTACAAATTACTACCTGGAGGTGTAGAGAGATTTAATAACTTGTTCAAAGTCATACAGTTGAGGAGGGGCAGCACAGGAATTCAGACCCAGAACTGCACAGCACATTTTCTCTCTTTCTGCCCTATCTTGCTGCCTGCTAAGTCAGATAATATGTCACCAGACACTGACCAAAAGGAACACACCTCCCAGTGTTGCCCACATTTACCGCAGCTGTTGGCATTTTAAGTATTACTGATGCACCGTCTTCTTTTAGCTAGAAATAAAAATTAGTCCTTTAAGTAAGATACTTGAAATAATTTATAATTACTTACTGTTGATTAACAGAATTCTAATTGTATTCTCTTCTATTTCTATCTTTCCTCTCTTCCTTTAATGCTTTGATATCTAGTAATATCATAGTCACTTGGAACATTTCTTTCAGTTAGGATGTCAGTAGTTTTTAATGGATCATCTGGTTCATAGAAATGGTTTTATGAAGCTGTGTTAAAACTCTCAGTTAGATAAAATATGTATTGCTGAGTTTAGTGATGATCTGGTCAGCAGCATAGAAGAAACATTTCTAGACTGGGAATCAGGAGAACTTGGGTTTGGTCCTAGCCCAGTTTCCTATAGAAAGAGATGAGAAGGTCTACAAGCTCCTTGCACATCCCCTGTATTAAAAGTTCTGTCATCTTGATATGGTTTAGCTCTGTGTCCCCATCCAAATCTCATCTTGAATTATAATCTCCGTGTGTTTAGATCATGGTGATGGTTTCTCCCATGCTGTTGTCGTGATAGTGAGTTCTCACGAGAGCTGATGGTTTTAAGTGTTCGGCAGTTCCTCCTTCATTCACTCACCCTTGTCTGCCTCCATATAAGATGTGCCTGCTTCCCTTTCCGCCATGATTCTGCTTCTTGAGGCCTCCCCAGCCATGCAGAGATGTGAGTCAACTAACCTCTTTTCTTCGTAAATTACCCAGTCTCTGGTAGTATTTTTATAGCAGTGTGAAAATAGACTAATACACATCTGTTATGGCACTGTAATTTTAGCCCAGACTCCTTCATTTTCTTTCTAGGGCCAAAACTATATGCTAGCACAGGAGAAAATCAGTCTAGTCTAGGGGCTTTACTGCTAAAATTCTCCCACCTACAGTGAAAGTTGGGAAAGGGAAAAGTCACCATAAGTAGTTCTTGAAAGACACAGTACTGGGGAGAGGTAGTGACTGGGATGGGGATGAGAAGGGCTTTTAGGAAGCTGGGGCATTCTCTTTCTTTATCTGATTACTCATTATGTATATAGGTAATTTTGTGAAAATTCATCAAGCTGCATACTTATGATAGTATTTCTGCATTTGTCAAGGCTAATTGCTTATTTACAAATAGGTAGGTCTAGATGCCAAGTGGACACCTTCAGGCTAATAGGAGTGCACATTTGCTTCAGACTATGACAGTGATAATGATGACAACAGTTTTTCAATTATGCCACTTCTAGTTTGCAGGAACATTTCTATTTGTAACACAAACTGGTTGCCCTAAACTAATGACATGTAGGTTGATATATCTTCTCCTGTTGCATTTCAAATCCAAAAACTATTCCACACTGCTTATGGCACTTCTTTGATGTACTTGCAGGAGATAAGCTATAGTCTGTGCAGCTGTTTACTAGAGGGAGAAAGTTTCGTAGTTATGGATTTTCTTGATCCAGACAATGTTACTTGAGGCTAAGGATTGTGTGCTCCTTGTTAGCCCCATCTGTCCCCCACCAGCCTAGTTTGGTCTTAGAGTATAGGTGTATTTCAAAGGGGAGCTGTTGACTCTATTAGAAACTAGTTGTAGAGAAAGATCTTTCATTAGGCACTGTCAGCTATGTGTCTGAGTTAGCTCTTCTCAGTAATTAACTAATTAAATTAAGTTGTCAGCCCCTATAGACCAGCATTTATAGGTTCACACACTAAAGTACACGCATACTTTTTTAAGGGTGGTAACCTTTCTAAAGGAGAAATGTGTATCCTGTTTAGATGCCTTACCTGAAGAATCTGTAGAAAGCCACAAAGATAAAGAAACAACTGTGATTGTGTGGCCACGCCCCTTTATCTCTGCCCATATGGTTTGAGTCTGCCCAGATAGGTTGAGTCACTTGGTATTAAAAATAATTATCAACACTTTCATGTTTGTGCTTTGTGGGAAATGGTAACATCCGAAAGCCCTTATAAAACCCAGATCCAAGTCAAATGTGGTGGCCCACACCTATAATCCCAGCTATTCAGGAGGCTGGGGTGGGAGGATCAGTTGAGCCCAGGAGTTTGAGACCAGCCTGGACAGCATAGCAAGACCCCATCTCAACAAAATCCAAATTCCATTTGAGGACTTTGTTTCTCAAGTATAGGTTATCCCCAGGGCTGTGGCCACTTTGGCCTTGGCCTGGTTTCTTCCTCTGAACAGAGCAAATTTATCAAATTTATATGTGCTCACATAATATTCCAAACACCCTTTATAAGGCCTCAGCAGTGCCTGTGGTTGCTTTTTTACTTTTGCAAAGACTATTTAGATGCCTCGAGAATGAATAGTGCTATAAAAGGCCAAATTCTTGAGTATGTGTAATGGATGATGGAGAGTATTTGTTTGAAAATTGCAATGCAGTGACCCTGGCTTCAGTTTGGGACTGGCTAATTCAATCTACAAGGCCTTTTCTGTATATACAATATGTTCTTCCATTCCTTTGCTATCAAAAATACATATTCTCATTTCATGCAATTTCTTCTTTGTGTTTATTTCTTTTCAGGGCAGCAACTGCCCTCTGGTAACCAGGATAGAAAAAAGAAAAGTAATTCCACTCATAAACTAGACCATCTATTTTCATTCAAACAAATCTATTCTGTATTCTCTTACCTAGGCCAAATGAGTGCCTCTCTGTGGTAAAGAAGACACTCCCACATCACACCATGGCTGTCTCCTGATGTAGTGATAGGAATGATGGTCCAGGACTTCATTTTTCATTTTCTGCTATTCTCTCTCATTCATTGTGTCTCTTAGCAAGATACTTAGCTTTTCTATTTTCACTTTATCATTCAGAAACAAAAGATGTTCACTAGAAATGCAAAAGTGTGGCCAGTGTTTGCATTCGCATGATATGAGGTTCACCACACCATCCCCAGAAGTTCCATTCAGACATCCCACATCAAGGTCCCTGGAGCTCTTTCAGTCCAAAGGGCTTCAAACTGAAGATGTCATTTCCCCTGCCTCCCACTTTCTTCATACCACTCCTCCAAAAACATCAATCAGTGAATTAAAACCCTCCTCTCCTATTTTTCTGTCTTAATAGATGGCATCATAATCATCACCCACCATGGCACACACCATAAGTTTGGACACCATTTGTTTGGATTTCCCCAGAAGCGGATTGTGAGACAAATTTGGGTGCAATTTTTGGGTTTTTTTGTTTTGTTTTGTTTCCAAGACAGAGTCTTGCTCTGTCGCCCAGGCTGGAGTGCAGTGGCACGATCTCAGCTGACTGCATCCTCCACCTCCCAGGTTCAAGGAATTCTTCTGCCTCAGCCTCCTGAGTAGCTGGGATTACAGGCGCATGCCACAACGCCCGGCAAATTTTTTTTTTTTTTTTTTTTTTGTATTTTTAGTAGAGACAGGGTTTCACCATGTTGGCCAGGCTGGTCTTGAACTCCTGACTTCAGGTGATCCGCCCGCCTCGGCCTCCCAAAGTGCTGGGATTACAGGTGCGAGCCACTGTGCCAGGCCTAGTTTTTGTTTGTTTGTTTGTTTGTTTGTTTGTTAGGAGGTGAGACCAGGAAACACTGGTAGCAAGATGGAAAAATGAGCCAAGCAAAGGAAAGCAGCCAAACAGGTTACCAATGTGGCCAACTGGAGATTAATTTCCCTGGGGACCTCTGGGACACAATGTAGGATACACACTTCAGAGTTTCCTACCTCAAGAGTGAGACAGCTGGGATGTGTATGCAGCCAGTCATCAGTTAAAGCTGCTCCCAGGAGACTTAATTCCCCCAATCTCTGGTCTACCATACATGTGGGCCAACCAGGTTTCAGTGGCCAGAGAAAGCACATAGGAAATACATGCAGGTACTGGTGGTGGGAAGTAAGGCATTGAAGCCGTGAAGGAAAAGTGATACAGGTTGAGTATCCCTTATCCAAAGTGTTTGGGATCAGAAGAGTATTTCAGATTTTAGATTTTTTTATATCTAGATAGATAGATAATTTTCATGATACTTACTGGATGAGCATCCCAAATTCAAAAATCTGAGAGCATTTCCTTTGAGCATGATGCTGGTGCTCAAAAAGCTTCGAATTCTGAGCATTTCGGATTTGGGGTTTCCGGATTTGGGAGGCTCAACCTGTAACTGGGGAGGGACATGAGGAACAACACTATCTGCTGCACCATCTTTCATTATTACCTCTTCTTCACCCTCCACTTCCATTCAGTTACCATGTCCTTCTACATCGATCCCTCCTCCTAGATCTCTCCTAACCCTAACTGCAGTAACTTTTATTCTAGTCTTCATCACTAGTTCTCTGGATTACAGTGGCCTCTGGCTGGTCTTCCTGTCTCCAGTGTCACCCCCTCAAATCCCTGCTGTCCATCCTGCAGTCCGACTATCTTTCTAGACTGCAGATCTCATCAGGCCACTGCCGGCAAGGGGGGCTTCCTGTTGTCATCAGGATAAAATCTAAACTTTGACTGATGCACATGCACTCGTAAGACTGATTATAATACGGGTCTGTTTTTGCCACAGGTTAAAATGGATCCACTTGCAAAAATAAAATGTACAATAAAGCCTTTTATAAATAGAATTGGTCTCTACCTAATGCGGTGCTCACACTGCATTAGTCCCCACTCATCCTCAGGGGATACATTCCCGGACCCCTAGTGGAGGCCTGAAAACACAGATGGTACCAAACCCTGGAAATACTATGTTTTTTCTTATACACACATACCTATGATAAAGTTTAATTTATAAATTAGGCACAGCAAGAGATTAACAATAATAATGAAATAGAACAATTTAATAACAACATACTATAATAAAAGTTATGTGAATGTGGTCCTTCTCTCAAAAGATCTTCTTGCACTATACTCACTCTTCCCGTGCTGATGTGAGATGATGAAATGTCTACATGATGAGATGAAGTGAGGTGAATGACAGCTGCTGTGACGTACTGTGAGGCTGCTACTGACCTTCTGACACTGTGTCAGAAGAAGGATCATCTGCTTTTGGTGATCCTGGATCGTGGAGCCATGATAATGTTGATAGATGTCAGGAGCAGAGGATGTCAGTGACTAATGGGCGTTTAATGGAATGCCGGACAAAGGGGTGACTCACGTCCCAGGTAGGACAGAATGGGATGGCAAGAGATTTCATCAACTTAGAACAACACGCAATTTTTTTTAACTTATGAAATGTTTATTTGTGGAATTTTCCATTTAATATTTTCACACCGCAGTTGACCGTGGGTAATGGAAATCTTAGAAAGCAAAACCACAGAGGAGGGGACGACTGTCCCATGAAGTAACTCTCCTTTTAGAATAAAATGGTTTAGGTCAGGCGTGGTGGCTCACACCTGTAATCCGAGCACTTTGGGAGGCCGAGGAGGATGGATCACCTGAGGTCAGGAGTTTGAGACCAGCCTGACCAATGCAGTGAAACCCCATCTCCACTAAAAATACAAAAGTTAGCTGGGCGTGTTGGCGTGCGCCTGTAGTCCCACCTACCCAGGAGGCTGAGACAGGAAAATCTCTTGAACCCAGGCGGCAGAGGCTGCAGTGAGCCTAGATCACGCCACTGCACTCCAGCCTGGGTGACAGAGCGAGACACCATCTCAAAAAATAAATAAATAAATAAATAAATAAATAAATAAATAAATAAATATAAAATGGTTTACCTTGACAGTAGAAAGACTGCAGGGCTATATTCGTTTTTTCACCTTAGATGCCGAGCTGATTGCCAACCACTAAAGAAACGTTAAGGCATTTCTGGAAGCAGAGAGTGGGAGATGGAGGCACAAGAAGACTTTAGATGGTTTGATGTGAGAGTCCAATACTCAACATGAAAACTGAAGACTGATTTTCTCATGTGATAATAAATCTCCCAGTCATAAAAATTCCCTCTGTCATTAGTCTCATATTAAAAAGCTTGGAGTTGGTCTGGTGCAGTGGCTCACGCCTGTAATTCCAGTACTTTGGGAGGCCAAGGCAGGCGGATCACCTGAGGTCAGGGTTTAAAGACCAGCCTGACCAACATGGTGGGATCCTGTCTCTACTAAAAAAAAAAAAAAAATGCAAAAAGTAACCAGGTGCAGTGGCACACACCTGTAGTCCCAACTACCTGGGAGGCTGAGGCAGGAGAATCGCTTGAACCCAGGAGGTGGAGGTTGCAGTGAGCTCAGACTGTGCCACTGCACTCCAGCCTGGGTGACAGAGTGAGAGTCCGTCTCAGAAAAAAAAAAGCTTGGAGTTAGTTCAAGTAGAATTTTTTTCCCATCTCTGAGCTAACAGATGTTTTAAAGAACCTTTTTTATCAAATGAGCTTCTTTTCAAGTATAAATTATTTTAGCGATGGCCAGTTTTATATTTTGATCCCAATCAGGCAAAAGTTCACATTGGAGTCTCTCATCAATACTTATGGTAAACTGTGTATGAGACAGATTTAAATTCAGGCCTAAATCACTAAGGAGTTTGGGCAGCCCATGAAAAGGATATATCTGTATTTCTTTTAAATGATTAAAAAATTGTGCGTGGTTTTTCCCTCTTGCTTGGGAAACATGTCCCACAAATCTCCTGGCACTTCCAAGGTCTTGCACATGAAGAGAGAAACAACATTCTACAGCTGTCAAGCTGCACACCTCCCTAGTTGTAGACCTCCTCACCCCTACGAGAAACAACAGAGACAGACCTTACATTTGGAAATCACCACATGTACATAGCCATTTCTGTCCTTAGCTTCCTACACTCTCAAGTGCTTTTGCATTCCATCTCCCAATCTCCTTCTCTGTGTCTACTGTGAGCCATGGTGAGGCTTACATAATGTAATACTTACATGAAATACTCTATTAAAAATATAAACCAGAAATGAGGGGCCAGGCGCAGTGGCTCACGTATAATCCTGGCACTTTGGGAGGCGAGGCAGGCCAAACATTTGAGGCCAGGAGTTTGAGACTAGCCTGACCAACATGGTGAAACCCCGTCTCTACAAAACAAACAAACAAAAATTAGCCAGGCATGGTGGTGCATGCCTGTAATCCCAGCTACTCAGGAGGCTGAGGTACGAGAATCACTTGAACCCAGGAGGCGGAGGTTGCAGTGAGCCAGGATTGTGCCACTGCACTCCAGCCTGGGCAACAGAGTGAAACCCTGACTCAAAAAAAAAAAAAAAAGCGAAATGAGTTCTCTTGGTTGCAGAGAAGTATAACACTCCATGTTAGTTTGTGAGCTGGACGTCAATGTCTCGTTCTAGGAATTTAATCTACAAATAGACTTGAACAAGTAACTTTAAGGGATATGGACAAAAATACACTTTGCAGCATAAAGACCTGAAAACAAACTAAATGCACATAGGTAGGAAACCATTTTCAATAAACCATGAATATTCAGTGGGAAACTCCACAGCCATTAAAAAAGAATGAAGGAGATCTGTAGGAATCTCTTTGAAAAAATGCCCAAGACATATTGTTAGATAAAAAAAGGAAACACTGGCTGCTGACAACATGCGTGACATGATCCCATTATGTTTTAAAAAAGAGGCAGTACATTTATGTGTACATAATAGCTTGTATATGCATGGATAATTTCTTAAACTGTGACTGGTGATTACCACTGACAAGTGGAAAGGACAGGGATTGGGAGAAGGGGACAGTAGTGAGAGGCATTCTTTTATTTTTGAGTTTATATCCTTTGTTCTATTTTTTTCATCAATTTACATTACACTTATAATTTCTAAAAGTTAAAAAAGTAAAGTGGGAAACCATTGTGTTCAAGTCACTTTTTTTTTTTAGAATTGGCCTTTACTCATATAATAATTTGGAGCCATAATGAATAATCTCTAGATCAAGTAAACTGCTAAAAATATAAAGCAATAATTCCTAGCCGTCTTCCTTCAGTAAGCTCCCCTAACCAGAAGCCAGAGTTAAATGAGTTTTTCATACAGTTTGTGAAACTATAAAGCAGGTTACAAATCCACATGAATGGTATGATTCCATGATTTGTAAAACGGTGGGCATGCAGGAAAAAAAGAGCAGAAAGAATAAATCTAGAAATGTTAGCTTTTCCTCAGTTTAGTTGGCATGTCAAGTAATTTATACTTATATTTTATGAATTTCCATTTTTATAAGAAGTATATGTTACTTTCATAATCATGTAATTGCCTGATGGGTCCTTCCTGCCTGCTGCACAGACAAAACCAATTCACTGAGACCCTGTTATTGCAGTAAAGAGTTTAATTAATGCAGGGCAGCCTAGCAGGAGGACTGGAGTTATCACTCAGATGAGTCTCCCCAGGAACTCAGAGCCCAGGTTTTTTATGGATAATTTGGTGGGCAGGGGGCTAGGGAATGGGTGCTGCTGATTGGTTGGAGATGAAATCATAGGGGTATAGAAAATGGTCCTCATGTGCTGAGTCCACCTCTGGATGGGGGCCACAGGACTGGTTGAGTCATGGGTCTGGGTGGGGTCAGTCAGTTGCCAGAATGCTGTCTGAAAAACATCTCAAAAGACCAATCTTAGATGCTACAATAGTGATGTTATCTATAGAAGCAACTGGGGAAGACACATCTTGTGACCTCTGGCCACGTGACTCCTGAGCAGTAAGGGATTATAGAAACTACACCTTCATTTTAGAATTCAGACCCTTCTCATAATCCTAGTCTTGTGGACTTTTATTAGTTTTCAGTCTGTGAGCCAGAAGGGCATTAGTTTTAGGGAGGGACTATTATCATCATTGTTTCAAAGTTAAATTATAAACTAAATTCTCCCCATGGTTAGCCTGCCCTAGGCCCAGGAAAAAGCAAAGGCAGCCAGTCTGTGAGGCCAGAAGCAAGAATGGAGTCAGCCATGCTGGACTTCTCTCACTGTCATCATCTTTGCAAAGGTGGTTTCAATCAGAAAACACCAATAAGTTAGTTTCATTTTGAACAAAGGAGAAAATATCTTTTCATACTATTCTCATACTGAATGCTTGACACCAACTCTCTCTGGAAGTTTCTATCATGAGGATATTCCTGGAGCTTTGGACAAAATCCACTTTGGCAGAACCACATTTAAATATGACGCTAGGCTGGGCACAGTGGCTCACACTTGTAATCCCAATGCTTTGGGAAGCCAAGGCAGGAGGATTGTTTGAGGCCAGGAGTTCAAGACCAGCCTGGGCAATGTAGCAAGACCCCGCCTCTGCAAAAAATTTAAAAATTAGCCATGTATGGTCGTGTATACCTGTAGTCCCAGCTACTTGGGAGGCTGAAGCAGGAGGATTGCTTGAGGCCAGGAGTTCAAGGCTGCAGTGAGCTATTAATAAGATCAAGCCACTGCACTCCAGCCTTGGTGTCAGAGAGACACTGCCTCTAAAAAATAAAATTAAAAAACAAGCAAATACATAACTGTGACTCCAGAAAAATGGTAGACCTAAAAGCAGCTAAAGTAAATGGAGATATTTTCAATGAAAATGTTGGGAAAAAATCTTGTAAAGTGGTATTTGCAAAGTAGAACTCCTCTTTAAGGTATCAAAGTGCTTCAGACTAAGGAACACTATTTGAATGTTCTGCGTTTATCTGTACCTACTACCTTCATAATTTCCCCATCCTCTGTTGTATGCACTCTACAGAACCTCTTTCCTATCGGGGCTTTCCAGTCAAAATGACTCATCCAGCTGCAGAATCTAGTTTCTCCGCCCTAAGTATCTAGGAATGAGTCACTCAAATGAGTTGCTTCTTTTTTAACTTCAATGGAATTAGGCTTGAAAGATTCATGATGGGGGAGGGTCCTGGGAAAGGGGCCTGTGCTGAGGTTATCAGGGAAATCAGCTGTATTATAGGAATGGGAAAGAGGCCAGGAAACAGGATAATGAGGGAGTGGGATAGCCTGGAGGTAGAATGATTTATAAAAAAAGATTAGATCCAAATTCTGGCTGTCTTTGTTAGAGTATGGAGGCAGGAATTAATTGGTTATGTGGATTGTAGGTAACCATTTTGTGGCAAGATGACTTAAAAGGTAAGGTGACTCATCCTAATTATTTTTTTTTTGCTCACTAATTTTCTATGTACTGTATAGTCACTTGCACCCACAGAAAAACAAGGGGAAAGTTTACTCAGGAAAAAAAAAAAAATGTGTACTCTTGCAAATGCTTTTAACATGTAGGCAAGCTTTCGGTATGTGAAAGTTATTTCTGACACAATTTTTGGTCAAATTGTTTTTCATTTTTATGAAAATGTTAATTTTTAAAGCACTCTGGTCTATCTCCCAACTGTTACTTTTATCACTCGAAAATGTGTTATTTTAAAAATATCATCACTGGTGTCATACTAAGACTTGCCATGCCTTTCATAGTAATTAATGTTTTTTGTTTTTTGTTTTTTTTTTGTTTTTGTTTTTTGTTTTTTTTTTTTAAAGCAGCCTGGCACAGTGGCTCACGCCTGTAATCCCAGCACTTTGGGAGGCCAAGGCGGGCGAATCACGAGGTCAGGAGTTCAAGACCAGCCTGGCCAAGATGGTGAAACCCCATCTCTACTAAAAATACAAAAATTAGCTGGGCGTGGTGGTGGGCGCCTGTAATCCCAGCTATTTGGGAGGCTGAGGCAGAGAACTGCTTGAACCCAGGAGGCGTTGGTTGCAGTGAGCTGAGATGGCGCCACTGCACTCCAGCCTGGGCGACAGAGCGAGACTATGTCTCAAAAAAAAAAAGCACTGGGACATGAAAAAGAAAAATGAAAGTTATCTTTGGGTGATGATGGGAACTCTGATTGAGGGTTTTAGTTTTGTTTCCCCCTACCACCACCTTGTCTCTCTTCTTCTAGTTTTCTATAATGAGCATGAAACACTTCTATAAAGAAAAATTAAATGTTTAGAGGGAGTAAGATGTTAAGGAACAAAGGTAAGATTCATGGTGCTCTGAGTTAATAGGCCGTAAGCTTAATAATTATGGTTATACACAGGATAGGTCTTTGTCAGAGACTGCTAAACATCTTGTACAACAATCTTGTGTAAACAACAGTGGTCAGGAAAAGACTCCCCAGAAGGTGAAATTCCAACAAATTTTGGCAGAGTCATTTCAGAAACGTTAAAGTTACACATCCTGTAAGTTATTAATAAAGATGTGAAATCCTTGTATGAAATACGACTATGATCACAGTCATTTCCATTTGGAGGTTCACGAAGCTTACTCAAGGAATGATTGAAGTTTGAGGGTGGTTACTTATTTTTAACCTTGCAAGGGAGATTCATGAATTAAATTAATCTTAGGGCACCAGGTGTGATAGAAGAACTGCACGCCATTTTCTCTATCTTGGTTGTTGAAAATAGAGTGTTCAATGGGACAGTCTGTTGTACTGTCTCATTGCATCATTGGTCTCATAAGTATCAGTGACTTAGGTATAATTAATAAAATAATAGCTGCCGTGGGAGGGTATTTTCAGTCGTTATATCAAAATGTATAATAAGCATTCTAATTTCTGTTATATCTGTTTAATTTCCTAACAAAGGAGTTCAGTTAGAAAAAGGATATCAGTGGCTCCTGACAAACCTGTCCTTAACTTTCCCCTTAGATTATTTTCATTCTTCTCTGCCAGTGTCGAAGAATACAGAGATGTTGCAGAATGAGGATTAAATTAAAAAAAAGATCTGAGTATCATTAAATATTTGATGAGCAGTATGAGAAGATTGTGAGGTGTGCATATCACTGGGGTGAAAAGAAAGTTCATTCATTCATGGCCCAGCACAATGTCTCACACCTGTAATCCCAGCACTTTGGGAGGCCAAGGCAGGAGTATTGCTTGAGCTCAGGAGTTCGAGACCAGCCTGGGCAACATGGCGAAACCCCATCTTTACCAAAAATACAAAAAAAAAGTAGCTGGGCGTGGTGGAGTGTGCCTGTGATCCCAGTTACTTGGGAGGCTGAGATGGGAGGATGGTTTGAGCCCAGGAGGCAGAGGTTGCAGTGAGCCCAGATAGCACCATTGCACTCCAGCCTGGGCAACAGACCCAGACCCTATTTCAAAAAAAAAAAAAAAAAAAAAAGTTCATTTATTCAACATACTTATGAGCAGCTTTTGTATGCCAGGTACTTCTTAGGTCCTGGGGAACAGCAGTGAATAAAACAAAGCCCCTGTCCTCATGAAGTATACACCCTAGAGGGGGAGGCAGACAATAAACTAGTACTATTATAGGTAACATCATGAAAAAAAATAAGCAAGGGAAAGAGGGGGTTTGGGAAGGGGTCACATAAGGTAGAATGGTCAGGAAAAGACTCCCCAGAAGGTGAAATTCAAGCAGCTACCTGAAGCAAGGGTGGGAGAGAGTCCTGTATTGCCTCGTGGGGAAGAAAGTTCATGTAAAGGGAGCAACAAGGCCCTGACGTCAGGGTGAGCTTGACCGCGGAAGTGACAGCAGGAAGGGAGGTGAGGCTGGAGGGGAGGGAGGGAGCCGGCCCCCAGGTCATCTGAAATAGCATGGACTTGGGCTTTCATTGCAAGTATGCCAGGAACCATTGGAATGCTTTGAGCAGAAAAGTGACATGATCTTACTTCCATTTAACTCTTTCCTGTTTAATCTTTAAAGCCCAAATAATGTCCTCTGAAAGGCTTAATGGGAACAGAGAGGCCCTGCATAAAGATAAAAGAGGCAAAGAAAGGTAATTTGCTGAGCAGAATTTTTATAGTGGATGGAATCTGTGCATGTTCCTTTAATAATTAGTTAATTATTGATGGTGAGTGTTGCCCAATATTTTTCTCATTAAGTTATCACAGAGGGATTCTATTTTGTTACATTTGGTTGAAATTTGGGGATTTTTTTTTCCTAATCAGTTAAAAATGACTATCTAGATATTTAACTGAATACTTATGGGAAAAAGTCTACAAAACTTGTTCTAGTAACAAAAAGAAAGTCTCAGAAAGTTAAAGAACATGAAACCAGGATTCTTTTTTAGAGACAAATCCATTATTTAGAATTCCTTCTAGAAGAGGGAATGCCTTCATCAGAAAGGTGAATTTTGCTTCACACAAATGCACACACACACACACACACACACACACACACACACAAAAGGAATTGCTCCGGCATTATTTATAAAGAGACGTGTCAGGGAACTATGAATTCTCCAATAAAACTGCAAATTACTCTAACAGATGCATACAAAACATGCCTAGAGGCTGTTGTGTATTTGTATTTTGCCAGTACTGCCATTGAAGAGGTGATTTACAATCCTAAAGCCACCAATGATGGCATTTTCTAAATGTTATATCAAATTATATTGTGTAAGACAGTAACATCTGTCACTTAGAATGGAATTCTTAAATATTTGTTATATAAATATAATACTGACAATCAAAAAAGCTCATGTTTGCTAATACATAATAGGCATCTTTTAGAGGGAGGGATTTGCACTGTCCCCACTCATGGAAATAGTACCTAATAAGAAATTTATTTGCCTCCCTTACTTAGAAACACTACTAAATATTAAATCATCAAAAACCTGGTTACTAAGTAAAATGACCACAGCCACTGAAGGGTTCAGGTTCAAGATGAGTTTTCAACTAAATGTACCAGTTCCCACCTACCTTCAATAATCTTCAGATGTCAAAATCACTTTTTAAAAACATTTTCTTTGTTACTCGTAATATCTGAGGAAATGTAGATTCTTCATAGACTTTTCAAGACTTGGATTATATAAACCCATTGTTCAGCTAGATGTTTGTTTTAAATGTTTTTTAGCCACCAGAAAAAAAGTGATTATCTAGTCTAGACTTGTTCTTGTACCATTCTTCAGCCAAGCTGTTCAGAGGCAGTTTGCTGAGATAGGGAGTGAGATAATATGTTTCAGTGAAAAAATAGGCAGTCCACTCCTTGCTGGCAGGCTATGAGGTTGATTACTTAATGCCTGAGCCAGAGAGTGAGTCCAAATTACAGTTTCCTCTGGAATGATGCAAGCTTCAAAATTCACTGGAGTGGGGAGTAGAGGGTGGAGAGAGGAGAAACCTTTACAAGTGATTGGATTACATCAATTTTCACTTCTGTGTGTACACACGCATATGTATATGCGTTCATTTCCTTTTGGCATGTAAGAATAAACTAGTCCAGATTTCTAAAAGGGCTTTGCTGTTTTTAATAGAAATTTCCACCGAAGAGACTTTAGAGTTAAAAAATTCTTGGTTGACTGAAATGAACAGATTGCTATCTGGCAATGGTGGCCCCTCTTCTGGGTTGCACAAGCATATACCAGAATAAGTTATAACAAAAAAAAAATATGAAGTTAGGGTAAACTACATCCATTTTGAGAAACTGAATTCTTTTTGTATGCATAAATAACCCAACCAGGAGGATCTGGTGTGGTTAGCACACTCTGAATGCGTTTAAGTCATTTTCATTTGATTGGAGAACTGGGATAAAGTTGGAGATTGGCCTTTGGGAAATCATTACTGGCTCAAGCTAAATGATATTGCCAGCTCTATTAAAGTTCTAGAGTCTTGGGGAGTCATATACACCAATTTATAAGGAATCCTTTGATCAATTGGAAAAACTCCTCTCCACCTAAAATGGAGGAAGAAAAGATGTCTCCCTGGTCAGATTGTGTGGTTGATGTTCTCAAGATGATAATATTAGCTCTGTGCCTC
Source organism: Homo sapiens (assembly GCF_000001405.40). NCBI lineage: Eukaryota > Metazoa > Chordata > Mammalia > Primates > Hominidae > Homo > Homo sapiens. Next base: position 145,803,556 of record NC_000004.12, on the reverse strand, counting down.
TCAGACTATATCCATGACAGTTTCTAAATCCTTTTGCAAACAGCTAGATTCCAAAATCACTGCCTTTATTTGTGCAATTGAAGAACTAAGAATGATCCTGATACACTGTTTGCTAGCAAAGAAGTGATTTCCTTAGCCTCTTGGTGGTAACCAGCTTGAGCTCATTTTTTTTTCAAATTGCTGAGTTTAATGGGATTAAAGAGATCTCTAAAGAAGGAATTTTAAATCTGCACTAGGAAAAGGATATTTGTCATTGTTTTGTTTTGGTTTTAATAGACTTGGACTTTTAAGATCCTTTGTCATAACTAAGTAGGTGAAATGATGTACTGAGTTGGTGGCTTTTAAAATTTTTTGAAGAAAACCCAGATACAGTTTTACCTGTTTATATGTGTGTATGCATATGTGTGTGTTAAATAACAATGCAAAACATATAGAGATAGGTGTTTAGGTAAAGTAGATAAGTGATGACAGATAGGAGGGAAGGAAGGAGAGAGGGAGAGAGGAAGGAAGGAAGAAGAGAGGATAGATAGTTACAGGTAACTGAAACAATCCTCACACATGTACCATGTCTGCAATTTTTTAATCTATCCTATTTTATTTCACTCTTTTATTTTTGTGAGACAGAGTCTCAACCTGTCACCTGGGCTGGAGGGCAGTGGCGTGATCTCGACTCACTGCAGCCTCAATCTCCAAGGCTCAAGTGATCCTGCCTCAGCCTCCCGAGTAGCTGGGGCTACAGATGCATACCACCTTGTCTAGCTAACTTTTTAATTTTTTTTGGTAGAGATGCAGTTTCTCCATGAACTCCTGGGCTCAAGCTATTCTCCCGCCTTCATGTCCCAGGGTGCTGGGATTACAGGCGTGAGCCACTGCGCCCAACTTATTTCACCCTTTTAAAAAATGTTGGTTGAGATCCACTAAATCAATTTTATAATCGGCTGGCGGGTCACAACCAGAAATTTGAACATCACTGGGCTAGCTAGTAAGAAAGCCTGGAGTCCCCAGCTTTGAGTTCCCTCAGGAAGACCTGAGAACTCCCTCATGCACCCCTGCTCCCACCTTTGTGCCAGCTGCTTTGGTTTTGACTGAACAGGCTGGTTTGTGCCAAACACCTTGTGGATCCAAACTCCCATCCTTATTGAGATGATTGGATTGTTCCTGAACTAGACCTTTGAAGTTGTGCCCAACAGGAGTGAAAACAAATAAAACAAAGGAATCAAGCCTTTTCCCAGTGTAGTCTGGTGATACTCTGCTTTGTATCTGAGTGGAAAGAGAAAGTAATGGTGTTTTACATTTGAGTGAATCTCATTGAAGAACAGTGTCTCTGAAATGCTTTTCAGAGTCTTAAAGTAATGATAAAGTGAATTTAAGTGGGAGGAAAGAGAAGAAATTTTTTAAATTCTGCATTTAGCCATTTAATTGAACTCTTAGAGCTCTTAGTATCTGAAACAAGTCTTTAGTTATGTACTTTCACAGATACAGGTAACTATGACAATGCCCAGCCTTCATTCTTATTCGGTGTATTAGATAAGGGACAAATGACCCTCTCTCCCCAGTGTGTTGCCTTTATTTCCATTTTCTAAAATGATCTTTTCCTATGAATAGCAGACCCACCTTCCTGCCCTCCCCACCCTCCCTGCCATGAGTGGTAGAATGCTCACGTTGAAATAATGGAGCTTTTGGTTGCTGGCAGCAATCAGCTAAGCTTTTAAAAGCATACGTATTGAAAGGGAAAAGAAGTTATGTCTTGGATTCCACCCACTCCAGAAGTCAGCAAAAAGAAAATTCTCTCAATTAAAACATAATGTAATTTCCATCCCACCCTTGGGGCATTACTTCTGCTAATGTTGATGAAAATGAACATCAAATTGATTGGCTTCCCACGCCCTGACAATCATTAATTATGCCAAAGGTGCTGGGGATGAGTGTAGTGATTTGAAAGAAACACAAGTTGACAGCTTCTTCCTGACTCTAGAGTCCCATCTCAGGACAGGTGACGGGCCTGATGTATCTTTTTAGAGTACACTTCTTCCCCACTCTCTCTAAAAAGAAAGAGATTTTGAGGATTTTATTTGCTTTGAATTAGCTGATCCCATGGAATGTAGAAAGGTTTCCGTCAAAACAGATTCAGTGCTGTCTGATGGGGATATCAAGGTAGAAGAACATGATAATGGGGCTTTAAAAGCTTACATGTTTGAAAATGTCTGCAGATGATTTTCTTTTATTATACATATATAATATCTGAATATCTGCAAGTACAGTGCTAGCAACATACAACTGCTAACGGAATTGGAAGTTTAACAGGGCAATGGTCTTGATTCTGAAAGGGTCAAATTCCCTACTACCATTAGAGATTCTATAAAAGAATCCTATTCATACATAGAGGATTTTTTTTTTCCTTCACATAGGCAATTATTTCCATCTTAACCTTGGATAGAGGAAGTTGGACTAATAGTTAAATGTGCTTGGAATTATGCCTATGACTTTTTTACTACCTTGTGAATTTTCTTATTGAAAGCTCAGTGAACTTCTTAATTTAAAAAATAAGAATTAGCTCATGCTCTTTGCCCTTGGTAATCACCAGGGCACCACTATCATCCAAAGTACATTAAGGACCTACCTGCCTGTATCCCTACTAGAATTTAAATAGTCACAGTCTCTGCTTTCTCAAAATCTGCAACCCAGGATACATTAGATGTATGGTTCTCAACTGGGAGGTATTTTGCCCCCAAGGGGACATTTGGCAGTGTCTGGTGTTACTTTTCATTGTCTTAACTGGGGGAAGTACTGCTGGCATCTTGTAGGTGGAAGCTGGGGATGCTCTTAAACATCCTACAATCTGCAATGCACAGCACAGGCCCCACAGTAGGGAATTGTCAGTCAAAAATGTCAGTAGTGCTGACGTTGAGAAACACCAAATTGTGTTGGCAGATGTGTACATAAAGGGCATGTTAAAACTAAGACTCAGGGACCAGCTGTACAGGCTGGGTGCAGTGGCTCACACCTGTAATCCCAGCACTTTGGGAGACCGAGGCAGGTGGATCGCTTGAGCTCAGGAGTCTGTAGTCTTAGCTACTCGGGAGGCTAAGGTGGGAGGCTTGCTTGATCCAGGGAGGTAGAGGTTGCAGTGAGCCGAGATCATGCCACTGCATTCCAGCCTTGGCGACAGAGCGAGATTCTGTTTCCAAAAAAAAAAAAAGGACCAGCTATCCAGATGAAATGATATTGCTTCACTATGTTTATATATGTATTTCTGGAAACTTCTCAAGTTTCTAACTTACAGTTTGGTTACTTAATAGTTCTATTAATACTGGTACTTGTTTTATAAAAGACAACTGGACAACTGTGACATGCAATTTCATTGTAACAGTGGCCTGGAAAATAAGCATCAAACATGATGGAATCTTGCTCATGAATTATTGAAATCTCAAGAAAGAGAACATATGCATTATAGAGCAGGGGTCCTACTCTCTATAAACTAACTAAGCATACTTTACATGAAAAAATTATTGTATGTATTAGTTGTGATAAAATTTTGATGGCTGTAAAAAAAAGGCCAAAATAGCAATGGCTTAAATAAGGTAGAAGGTGATTTCTCTTTTTATGTAACAGCCAGAGTATAAGCAGTCCAGAGCTGATGTGGCGGCTCTAAGGCTCCTTCTCTCTTGTTATCCTGCCATTCTTGGCTTACATCTTCCATCTTATGGTCTACTATGGCTGCTCCTACTCCCACCATCACATCCACATCCTAAAGAGCAGGAAGGAAGTCGAGGGCATGACCCTCTTTTTAAGGGCATGTAACACATCACTTCTGGTCACACTGTTGTCTAGAACTTGATCACGTGGCCGTACTTAGCTGGTAAGGAGATTGACAGTGTTTTGTTGGGCAGCCATGTGCCCAGCTAAAACTCGGGGGGTTCCTTTATTAAAGGAAGGAGAAAAGTATGGATGTTGGAGGGCAGCTAGCAGTCTCTGCTCAGATGTCTGGTTTTAGGTTAATTCTTTTAGGTTAAACCAAAGACTGGTTAATAATTCCAAATGGCCTTTGGTCAGGATAGAGTTCACAGACTGTGACAGTGTCTGTGATGGCCTGTTATTTTACTCTATTACATTCATCCTGAATAGTCAGCCTTCCGTGCCAGACTTCCTTATTTGTAAATTGCCAGTAATACCTAACTCATAGGCTTATGGTGAGGATTAATGATGTCATATATATGTTACACACTCAGAACAGTCCCTAGCACATAGTGAGCTCCACTAAGAGCTATAAATATTATTGTTATGGGTGATTGCTGTGCCCGACTAGCTGATTTGAGCCTTAACTTATTCAGCACACAAATGTCTGTTAATTTCATTTGGTTTGTAAATCTCAATATTTGTTGCTCTGATCTAATTTGGATTTGTAGCCACAACCCCACAACCCCAATAAAGTATCAAAACGGGAGATCTGCTTTGAATATGAAGATAATGCTAAATTGGAATTGATGTGGGCACGAACCAGTAGACTGCCAGCTTCTTACATCAGAACATTGGTGGCCAAGCTAGAAATTCAGTGTAGTTGTCAACTTTAGATAACATTGCCTTGCATTCATCTGTTTTTCAACAATGTCAGAGATTTCTGGTTTGGTCCCATAGAGATCATTAAATTTGTGAACATTCTTTCTTTACTTCTCAATAAAGACATTTACAAACTCACAGTGGAAAAAGTGCAACTCAGATTTACAAATGGCAGTAGCTCTCTTACCTTTTACATTATTTCAGATTTCAACATCATGTAGCGGATAACCTTCCCTGAAATTCTGCCTCATCTGTTCTAATATTTAACATGGCTAAAGATAAGGTTAGAACATCTTTTTAAAAATTATTATTATTGTTGTTATTATTATTATTGAGACAAATCTTATTCTTGTCACCCCGGCTGGAGTGCAATGGCATGATCTCGGCTCACTGCAACCTCCATCTCCCGGGTTTCAAGTGATTCTCCTGTCTCAGCCTCCCAAGTAGCCAGGAATACAGGTACACGCCACCACACCTAGCTAATTTTTGTATTTTTAGTGGAGACGAGGTTTCACCACATTGGCCAGGCTGGTCTTGAACTCCTGATCTCAGGCGATCTGCCCACCTCAGCCTTCCAAAGTGCTGGGATTATAGGCGTGAGCCACTGTGCCCAGCCAGAACATCTTTAAATTTCCAAGCATACATATACATGTAGAGAAAATCCTCTATTGATGTCAGGGTAGCTTGGCCCCTAAACCACACATATTCATTCTTAGGTCATTTCATACTTTTTACTAGTGTAAATTTTGAAAGCAGGGCAATATCTTACTTGCATGTAAAGTGACAGAAATGCAAACCATATATATTGCTTGAAAGGAGCAGGCTGTCTTTTCTATAGGTTATAACCCACTGTCATGTGAACATGAAGTCCGTGGAGGAAGCCACACTCCAGTATGCAAACCTCTGTCTTGCTTTTCTTCTCAAAAAGTTTCTCAAAGTCCCTTTGGTCCTCACAACATGAAACTTAGTAGGATGATTCTGTATCCATTTAATCTTAAATTCGGTGAGGGAGAATGATGGTGACTCATTTGGCAATTCATATTATTTTTATCAACAGAAAATGATAAAACAATTCCATATAATCATATGGAAATGAACATTATTCAGACTAACTTGGGCCAAAATATTTTCTAGGCTGGCTAAAAATGTAAGCACTCAGAGGGAGTAAGGGTTTAGCAACAATACAATGAGAATTTCCAGAATAAATCATTTCCATTTATACCACAGAAGCTTTAGTCTTTTAAAACTCAACATATTATAGTATAATGCTTAAAAATTATTCAACGACTTGACGAAACAAGCCTTAGAGTGTTAATTCCTCCAACAAGAAAAACAAGGATTCTACTCATATCATCATTTTCTTTTTAAAATAAATGAATGCAGGAACTAGAAAGGGAGAGAAGGAGCAGATGGGAATGAGAACTGATAGCCTCTCTTGGTGAACAAGCTCCAGAGAAGGTCAAGTCCTTTTCCTGTCAGGCAGCTTTTGTGAGTAGGGGAGATTTCACAAACCTGTCCTTGGCATAAGACTCATGTGAGTGACCAGGTGAACAGCTGTAACTTGATAGAAAGATTAATCCTCTGGCTGTTATTATAGAAGAGCAGTAGAGGGAGTGTCTGTAAAGGTCAGTGTGAAGCTTCCTAAAATAATTTTTCCTAAAGGCAAAGAGTTTACCTTTAAGAGCAAGATCTGAACTTACTTTGCTCTCTAGTCTCTTCTGTCCTACACAGAGGAACCCAAGTTCGGATTCGAGCCTGATAGGATCTGACCTCTAATTTTTCTTTTAGGATATTAAATTATGCTAGAACATCATTGATCATAATTATGGCAGATGTAGTTCCAGAATTGTGTAAGTCAGAGCCACTGGCTCTAAGAGACCAAAATTCTTTGTAAAACCTTAACACCTTGCCTCTGGTTTGGCATGACCCCAGGAAGCCCCCCGACCGCCCACATTACATGCATCCAGTACACGCATCCAGTACATACATAGTCAGTGTATGTGGTTCCCTTTGGTATCTATGAAATGAAGGTAGTACCTACCACATGGGTTGTTAGGAGGAACAAATGAGGCCGGGCACGCTGGCTCATGCCAGTAATCCCAGCATTTTGGGAGGCCGAGGCTGGTGGATCACCTGAGATCAGGATTTCAAGACCAGCCTGGCCAACATGGCGAAACCCCATCTCTACTAAAAATACAAAAAATTAGCCAGGCGTGGTAGCGGGCATCTGTAATCCCAGCTACTTGGGAGGCTGAGGCAGGAGAATTGCTTGCACCCGGGAGGCAGAGGTTGCAGTGAGCTGAGATCGTGCCACTGCACTCCAGCCTGGGCAACAAGAGCAAAACCCCTGTCTCAAAAAAAAAAAAAAAAAAAAAAGAGGAACAAATGATATAATTTATGTAAGGTTCTTAGCAGAGTGCTTGACTCATCATTAGCTCTCAGTAAATTGTATTATTGCTGTCACCGTGTTTCCTGCACAGGGGTTAAGGTAGATAAGAGAGGAGTGACACCAAATTTTCAAAATTGGTTAGAAATTTGATTTGCAAGTGACCAGATAAGGTCTCCCTTCCACCCTTCCCCACCAACAATTCACTGCTCCTTGCTCCGCTAACCTAATC